>NC_000004.12:16822916-17447916 GCF_000001405.40 Homo sapiens
ACCCCAATTAAGCAGGTGTTGGTGTTTTCCTCAAGTTCACACAGCTGATCAAATCAGTGAGGGCTGTGACCCTAGATAGCCTAGCTGCAGAGTCAGTGAAGAGAATAACTACATAGCCCTGCTAACTCATCATGTCCGGCACTCCTCCTGCCAGGATTCACAGCACACTTGATATAAGCACAATTTGTCTGTCTTCCTGGGCAGCTGAGCTCCACGAGGTAAGAATCACATCAGTACTGTCACCATAGAATTTGATTCACAACAGGCAGTCAATACATCTGGGGATGATTTACAAAGCCTCATTTTACAGATCAGAGTATGAAGTCAAGTGAGGAGGTTTAGTGACCTGCCCAATGGCCAAAGCCAACGTTTGAATGTTGGTCTTCTTATCCCGAGATAAGAAGTCACTTTCTTTTGACTTCATCAAGTTTGTTTTGTTGGTTTTCTTGCTCAACATCTTCTTACCCATTTAACAACATCTTGTCTCTGAAGTCACAGCATCCAATCCCATCCCTGGCCAGGTCTTAAATTCAATTTCCCTGAACCTGATTTAAGTCTTCAATGAGAGTTTTAAGTACATTTTTTTTTAAAAGGAGAAAGCACTAAATGCGAAAACATCCAGATAGAAAATAAAACACAAAGCTTAACCACAGCCAAGCTGCTTTCTGTGCCAGTGATGATGCCTGCACCCATAGTACCAGGCTTCGTAATTACCTCTCTGCCTGAGGTTCCACAAAGCCATACCTTTGAACTGAAACAGAAAAAGAAATAAATAAATAACTAGCTCTGATGATTAGCAAGGTACTGCAGCTGCAGGAAAAATCTCCCACATCTAACTTACCATCATATCATCACCCCTGATGTTTGTTTCTTCTTCCAGCCAAGATGAAGAGAAAACTGAATTGTGCTTCTAGTGTACAATCTTACCTAATTATGCCAGCTGATCACTTAAAAGTAATGTTTGCACACAGACCGGGAAGATGCTTACAAGAACCAGCTGGTTGATAAAGGCTATAAGTGAGGATTTGATTCGTTTTCAAAGAAGTGTTAACTATTTACATCTATTTATAAACACCACATCACAACACAAGTTACTGTGCGGCACTGCAAAGTGATACTATACTCAAATTCCACAGAGGCAGGCAAATTTAGGAATAAAAGTACTGCTCAACACGTAGAATGTAAGACACTACCATTCGCCACTTTGGGATGTCCATTTGAGGGAGGGCAGACCACCGTCCTTTGGTTTTTAGACACAAATGAAAAATTAATAAGAGTTATTAGGGGAGAGATTGTGTGTGTGTATGTGTGTGTGTGTGTGTATGCACACAAATGTGCTTTCATACAAAGCAGAATAGTACAAGTTAAATATCACTAGCTTTTAGACTTAGAAGTCTTGAGTTAGAAAATTAATCATACCACATGCCACCCACACGCCTTGGCCAAGTTGCTTGACGAGCTGTTGGGATGAGTACATGAGATACTGCAAATGAAAGTCAGGGCACGAATGCTTGTACAACCCAGTAAAGCTGTAAATAATGAATGCCACATATTCAGTAGTACTATGTGCTGAGACCTGTCCAAACATTGTCTCATCTAATCCACATAACAATCTTATGTAGTAGGTTTTATCATCCTCATTTTGCTTTTCACTTAAGTGTCTTTGTCCAAGAGGCAAAGTGGAATTTGAACCTACACCTATGTGGTCAAAACTTTGTTTGAGTTCCAAAGTCCATGTTCATAACTGTTAAACTCCCTGGTTCTACACACTCTCCTCACTGGCAAAGTTTAGGCATCTTTAATCCATCCAATTTCTGAAGAATTTACCCACAACACGGGTGTTCACCCATGCTTTTAAGACTGAACAGGGATTTCCTTAACTCAACACATGGTTATTGAGTGCCAGCCATGTCCTGGCATGAGCCTGGTTGCTGGGGATAGGAAAGTGAATAAGACAGTGAGCATCTCAGCCTGCTTAGAGCCACATGAGGGAGAGATAAAACAAGGAAAGCATTACACTGTGATGTCATACATGTTAATGGTACCTAAATAGTACCTGGTATATGGTAGATGCAGAGTAAATACATGTGGGATAACAGGGAAGTATTTGCAATGCAGTGGTAGCTGAGATACTGCCTAGGAAATCTGAGGGAGGCAGCCTTCCTGGAGGGGGTGGCTGGAAAGAGAGACCCTGAATGATGAGTAGCTCACCTAGCAGATATAATGTGGGAAGGACACCACAGGCAAAAGGAAGCGACCTGTTTCATAGTATAATGAGACCTGTTAACAACTTGGAATAAACAGCTCCAATTATTCCTAATATGAATCCTCAGTGTGTCTAAATCTATAGGCCATTTACTGAGTGAAGAGATTAACCAGAAATAACAAATTATAGCCAAAATGGCAATTCTAAGACAGAAGCTAGGGTTTTCCAGGTTAATGACCCAGAGAATGAGGAATACTTGAAGACCCTAACCTTTCTGAGTGCATTGAATCCCCAAGGCAAGCAGGGTACCTTGAATATCTATTGGCCACATCCAGTCTGTAATTCATGTGGGTCTTTGCAAGGCCACATAATGCGGGTAAAGAAGAAAAGTGCTCCTTTTCTTCTAATTCTAGACTCTAATTCTATTCATATAGGGAGATGGAGGGAACCACAATCATTGCATGTAAGTGAGGCCACTCTTTTTTTTTTAAACTGAGCCCAGGTTTACAATGTTTCCAATAGCCAAACCAGTCAATAGGTGGGACTTCATGAAATGACATCATTTGGCCTCTCTAGTGAAACAGAAAAACATCCAGAGCACGGCCTGGGAATTCTGGGCAATGGGCTTCACTCTCTGCTTCATGAGGTTGTTACTGAACATAGGAATTAAATGATATATGAGATACAATACACAGGCAAATTCTTTCCCATAATGGTTAATAAACAGCAATTTTCATTTTCTCTAGGAAGCCTTAATACAATTAAAGCACCAAAATATAGTTTATTTATAAATCACCTATGAAACTAATTTTATATATATGTGCCTATGTATGTATAATACGTCATGTATATTCATTATATATTATCATTATATATTCTATTATTTATGTATAAATTAATATCACTAATATTGATTTAGTTTAGCCCTAATGTTATATATATCTATCTAATCTACTAATGGATTATAGACTAGATAGAGAAATATTAATCTATCTAATATGTAGATAGGAGATAAAGATGATAGATATAGATAGATACATAGATCCAGAGATAGATAGATTAGATAGATGAGATAGCTATAACACTGAGACTAAAACAATATTCGAATCATAATTGGACAGGTTGATTTTAAATCACATAATTGTCACAGAATGAAAGTCTTCAGAGAACTTCTAGTCCCAATAGTTCAGCATCTATAACCTTCCAAGTCATATTTATTTCAGTGTAAACAAAAGCAAAAGGACAAAAATGAAATTCAGTTGAAGAGATTCTGGCCATTTAAAACAAAAACATAAATATTACCTTACCTGGGGCTCATCTACATTTCCTATTTCCACCAATGTGTAAATCCTGAAATTTCTACCTCCAGAATATGAATATTCACCAGTAAATGAATGGATGGATTAAATTGTTATGCAAAAGACATTGTCTTTCTAGTGCATTGAAATTCTTTCTGCCTCACTCTGGTGAGCCAGGCTCCTCCCGCAAAAGGTTTTATAAGATAGACAGAGTTCTTCAACAAGCGTTTCCAACAACTGCTAAACCTTAGCTCTAATGTACACCGTGAAAAGGGAAAATCCTCTTTCTAAGCCCATTTATGATTTATTAGCTTATTCATTTGACTGCAAATGCTTGAGAAAATCTGCTCTTTTCAACAAGCTTAAACATTTGGGAAAGGGCAGAACAAAAAAAAAAGGAAAATAAAGGAGAAAAAGAATTGAAAAGGTATATTAAATGCAAATGGAAGGAGCTTAGTGAGGCATCAAGACTGACATTTGAACTGCAACAACTCGGCGGGTAATTTGAGATTGATTAAATACTAAACTAGGCTTGATTGGTGTAGAAGCTCAATCATAATCATGATTCAGAGACAGGAACGTAAAGGAAGATTCCCTCGTGAGAACCTGAAGTCTGAAGAAAGTGCAAACCAGTTGCACAGAAAATTCTTATTTGCTATTCATCATTACATCCTGCCACACTTAAAGGAGTGCTGGTAAAATACAAAAACAACCCCATCACCAAGAAACAAGAATCCAGATCACAAGTTGCGCTTCATGGATATCTCCTTGAAGGCACTACCCGTCTCTCTCATCAGCAGAGAAGGCAGCTCCACTCGGGGCAGCATTGCAGAGACAGCAGGAGGACAGTGTCAGAATAAGAGGCAATTCAGAAGGGCTGGATACAGGTTGAGATTTTAAAAAGGAGTGTAGAGCTATGCAAGATGAAAGAAATAAGTGCTAAGATGCATCTGAAAAGATGCTACTCTTTTTTTGCTCTTAAACGTATTCAGAATTTTCCTACCATACTTGGAAAAGCTAAAAAACCAAACCAAAACAAAACAGGATGAGAACAAGGATAACTGGTTAAGCAAAGACTACAATTCTGAGATGCTTGGCAATAGGCTTTGCAAGGCTTTCAATTTAGTTCATAAGATTTGCTAGGCAAATTAGTGTCAAAAAGGCCTTATTTTGGAAAAACAGAAATATACATACGTGTGTGTGTAATGTGGAATGTGAATAGATCAAGAAAATTCTCTTGTCTACACGCAGTTCAATATTCACATTTTGCCAGAACTGCAAGATCAACATGATCTTGCTTTTCTTATTTCAAAATTTTGCACATATGTCTATGCTTTGACAACTGGAGGGTTGAAAAGAAACAAGGAGGATCACAAAGATTCACGGAAAAGCCTCAGAGTGGCCAGTACCTGGGCCCTGGCCAGATGACACACTGGTTGGGCCAGACCTCCCGACCCTTTCAGGATTTCGTATCCTCTTATCTCCTAACGGCCATCAGGCAGAAAGGAGCAGCTGGTTTTCTCCTCTTTGACTCTTGGTTGTTGCCACTTTTGTACTTCCTGTCTCTTTCTGGAATCTTTCTCTCATTCCACCTCCCACTTCCACCAAACCATTTCCTTCCCTTCCAGTCCCAAAGCTGCATTTCCTCCCTTTCCCCAGGATGCTTCCATCTGCTCTCCTCGCTCTCCAATCCTCTCGTTCTAGAAGCTCCACCTCAGTTCTTACAGACGCTCTTTATGCCATCTGTTAGCAGGATGTAAGTGGCAAACCATCGTCTTAGGATAAAATAATACTCAAACTTCTAATCAAACTTTCAAGGCTCGCCTCCACCTGGTGCCCAGCCAGATTCATGTATCAATACATTCCTGCATTCCTTTACTCAAGTCAAGCGGATGGACTCTGTTTTTTCTCTGGCCCCTACACTTCTCTGCCTTTAGGATTTTGCTTACGCTGTTTCCCTAGTCTTAAATACATTTCCTTCCACCTCCTCCAGTGTGCTTTTCTGGATACCTCTAGTTAGGAGAGTTACCTCCTTTTAGCCCATAATCTGTAACCCCTCCTCTTGGATGTGTGATTGTGTGTCTGTGTTGGAGGTACACAGTCCATGAGCACAGTTTCATCAGTGCTAGATTACAAAATATTTAACAGCAGAATCCCCTGTAAGTTTTTGTTGTATCTCTCTCAGAGTTTGGACACCTATCATGTGATAGATATTGGGAGATAGTATAGTGATAAAGGAAAGAGCAAGCCTAGAAACTTCCATTTTAGAATTACAGCAAGACCACGTGCACTTAAAAAAATCCTATCTGAAATGATAGAGAAGTAACAGAAAAAGTGTGACTTAAGGAGCCAAAGGGAATGGAAGAGGTAAGAT
This sequence comes from Homo sapiens, assembly GCF_000001405.40. Taxonomy (NCBI): domain Eukaryota; kingdom Metazoa; phylum Chordata; class Mammalia; order Primates; family Hominidae; genus Homo; species Homo sapiens. The sequence continues at coordinate 16,828,795 of NC_000004.12, forward strand.
GAGTGAGATCATTCAATGAATTCTTGGAAGATGGTAATTGAATAGAGAAATACTCCTATCTTTATTAAAAGTGGAGACACCTGCAACACGGCACCCTGCAGCAAAGAATACCAAAGAAAAGTGAGCCAGTGTATACTACAGAACCCCCAAAAGGCTCAGAACTTGAATGCGTGGCTGAAGAAGATGGGTGAAGCACGGGATTGGTAATTGGGGTTCTGCTAAGAACACTTACATTCTCAGGTGAGAGCACTTACATGCCCTACCCACTCCCCTCCTCCCTCACTGGAACTCCTCATTGCTTCCTTACTCATGCTAAGCAGAGTGTTAGTAAGTTCTTCTCTGGAGAAATGAAAAGGATCCAGGAAAAAAGAACTCTAGGAACTGTCACAGGGGTGATTCCAGTGAACATGCTCACTGGCTACCCAGTCAATCGGTGGTGAGAACCACTAAGCAAAAGCTTCATCACACTCAGAGCTTGTAAGTAGCTGTTAGCACCATATGTTTAAGGGGACCACCAGGAATCCCCAGAATTAGGCAAAGTTCCCAATACAAAACAGAGAAACTGACACAAATAAACAGGGAGAAAATAACGAACAAAAGAAAGAGACAATGCAGAAAGCAGAAGAAAACTTTTATTTGAAAACACAATTTATTTTTTAAAACCGTGTGTCTATATGCTGCTTTGATAAAATATATATTAATATAAAAAGAGGGCACATTTTTAAGAGTATAATAGATCTGGGTTTGAAGCATGATTCCCCTGGTTAAATCCTGTGTGTGTTATATAAAAGTAATTGAATCTCCCTGACCTCAGATTTCACATCTATGAAATTACCGTAGTAATATACTAACTCATGGGGTTGTTTTCATAAGTAAAAGGAGGTGATGTCACTTAGTCTGTATGTTCTGTGCTAAATAAATGACTTAGGAATTTTTTATGACCAGTACTTCTCATCATTTTTTTGGAGTGGCAGATGCCTAGGAGAACTAGATGAAGGCTGTGTATCCTCTCACTCGAAAAACACACACAGGCCGGGTGCGGTGGCTCACGCCTGTAATCCCAGCACTTTGGGAGGCCAAGGCAAGCAGATCACGAGGTCAAGAGATTGAGACCATCCTGGCCGACATGGTGAAACCCTGTCTCTACTAAAAATGCAAAAATTAGCTGGGCGTGGTGCCGTGTGCCTGTAATCTCAGCTACTCGGGAGGCTGAGGCAGCAGAATCCCTTGAACCTGGGAGGTGGAGGTTGCAATGGGCTGAGATCGAGATCTCACCACTGCACTTCAGCCTGGTGACAGAGCAAGACTCCATCTCAAAAAGAAAAAAAAGAAGAAAAAGAGAAGAAAAACACATACACATATTGATATGGTTTGGCTCTGTCTCCCCATCCAAACCTCATCTCCAATTGTAATCCCCAGGTGTTGAGGGAGAGACCTGGTGGGAGGTGATTGGATCATGCGGGTGGTTTCCCCCACGCTGTTCTCATGACAGTGAGTGAGTTCTCAGGAAATCGGATGGTTTTTGTAAAGGGCTCTTCCCCCTTCACTCACCCACACCCTCTCCTTCTGCCTTGTGAAGAAGGTGCCTATTATTCCTTCTGTGGTGATTGTAAGTCCCCCAAGGCCTCCCCAGCCATGCAGAACTGTGAGTCAATTAAACCTCCTTTGTTTATAAATTACCCAGTCTCAGGTAGTATCTTTATAGCAGTGTAAGAACAGACTAATCCACATATGTGTGGAGGAGAGATCTCACATAATTCCCAAGGCATGTCAGACTCTCTGAAGCCAAGTGAAACTTGTCCAGGTAAAATAATTGATCTACATGAAGGAGTCATTAAGAGCAAGCATATTCCTTTTTGTTTCTTTTAAATCAACTGCAATGATCAGCAAAAAAGGCAACTCAGTGAATGGAGTAAGAACTCTATCTAATTCTGCCTGTGCCAAATGGAGGTGATTCTGCATGAATAACAGCAGAAGTTATTGGACCCGAGGAGGTCCAAGGAGTGTCATTTCATTTGGTTCATGAAAGGAAGATGGCTGATCCAATTAGCCTGTGCCGACCTCAGACCTGATGATGCTTTTAATTTTCTAAGGCTGCAGGGTTGAGAATAAGGGCTCCTGATGGTTCCAGCAGAGAGAGAACCTAGAAGACATTGTTTTCTTCTGCAAAAGGATGTGCGGATCTCATGGAAATGCTGAGCTGCCTTTTCTCAGAAAGAGCTGACTGTGTCCATGGAATCTATTATTGAGCAATCAAGCACCTCTAGGCAATGGGGTTGAATAGAACGGTGCAGAACTCATAGTCAGACTGACATGGATTTAGATCCCAGCTCCATGACTTCTAACCTGCATGACCTTGGACAACTCAGCCTCTCTGAGCTTTTTTTTTTTTTTTTTTCTATTTTAAGTGCAAATATCATAAGGGAAGACTGAACTTCTTTTAGGAGTATAGGACAAGCAGCAAGGAGGTGGGATGGCTGGAGTAGAGTGAGGAAGAGCAATACAGAGATAAAGTAAGAGGAAGAATAAGCCGGGTCACATAGATCTCACAGCAAAGTTTTAGGTTTTCTTTTGAGTAATATGAAAAGCCATCGGAGGGTTTTGAAGAGAAGAGAGAGACATGATCTGACCTACATTTTCAAAAGCTTACTCTGGCTATTGTGTGGAAGTAGAAGCAAAAAGTCCCTATGGTGGTTGTTGCAACCATCCTGGGACAGAACGTGGTGGCTTTGAAGAAGGCAGTGGTAGTGATGGTGCTGATGACAAAAGAAGTCAGATTCAGGATGTCCAAGGAGCATTTCTAAATGAAAGGACAACTGAGGCATCCAAGTAACTGAGGACAACTTCATAAAAAGAATGTGGCTTATGCTAAGAAGAATGCAACCAAGCAAAGGTGCTAGTTTCTTTTTTTCTCAGTAATTGGACACTTGGATATTAATTGAGCACATGACTGTCCAGACATGTCTCTCTGGAAACTAAGTGTGACCATGTAAGCAAGCATTAGCTAATGGAGTATCAGCAGAAGTAGTGGGTGCATCTAGTGGGAGCTATGATTAAAGTGAAGAGGCACATCCCTTTCTCTTTCTTTCTGTGTGCTAATATGGGCGTAACCAGGGCTGGAACTGCCATCCTGGACTCTGGATTGCAACCCATGCATTGAGACTGGCAGAAATCAGGAAAGATGCCTTTGTACCTGCTGATCCTGGTGCATCTATAAAAGCCCTGGATTGTCTGAATTCGTAACAAAACTTCACAACAAAACTTTAATTTGTTTAAAACTGTTATTTTGGGTATTCTGTTACAGCTGAACATAGTCCCAACTGAATCAAAAGAAAATAAAATAATTACTATTACTACATTCATTACATGTTTGCTATGTTCTGGGTATTGTGGAAGGCACTTTACACATATCATGTTCTCTCATCTTCAGTACCCCAAGAAGAAGGTGTTGGTATTATCATCATTTTACAGATAACAAAGCTGGTGCAGTGAGAGGTCAAATAACTTGTCCAAGATTACTTGCCTAGCTTATAATTAGCAGAGTTAGGGTTGCTAAAATTTGACAAATAGGAGAAAAGGGAGAGGACATACTGATGAAATTATAGAGAAAGAAAAATACCTTTGATATTGTTATCTGGCAGCATTACATTTTGACTTCTTATGTTGAGATTCAAATATAAAATAATTTGGTTTATATTCCTTAAACTGAATTAACTTTTTAAGCTTAATACTTTTTTAGAGAAAATGTTTATGAATTTGGTATATTCTAAGCACATTGACACTAACTCTACTTCGACAGTGTAACTTCAAATTTCATAATGAAACAAAATTGCACAGCCCAAGTCTTGAAGTTGATTAGAAGAGAGATAAGTAACTGGCTTAGAATTTTTTGAGCTGCGTGTTAACAATCTACCCACAAGGCTCTGAGAAAGACTACTGCCCAGATTAGGATCATCAGACTTAAGGGACCTCTGTAAGTACTAAGTACCACCAGTACTACTGATACCTGGGGAAATAGGACACTGGACACAGGAGTTAGCTGGGGTTGAAATTAGAAACCTCTCACATTCCTAGAAAGCAAAACTGCAAGACCATCTGAACAATTTTGAAAAATCCTATAAATTGAGGGACTCAGAATAACTTAATATTTACTGAGTGCTTAACACACAGTCACACAAGTTCATTTGAATATTCCTATTTTACTCATAAGGAAACAAACAGCGATGAAATCCTTGCTCCTTCCAATGCTCCACTGTTGGACAAAAATAAATATTTATTCACTTAAAAAACACACTTTTATCTTAATCTTGGGGCATAATAAAATCTGAAAGAAAAGAAATCAAATATGCTTACTCAATTATAACTAGAAAAGCTAGGTCTGTCTAATGTTCAGGCCAATAAGATATTCTAGAAAATTCACTGAAATTCATAAAAGGGAATATGTCTGATTAGTCAATAAAGGACTTTAAGATGAGATATATGTCTAATTAATCAATAAAGGACTTTAAGATGAGACCTTTCTTATAACTTATTTTCAATAGACATTTCTTAATATTGGTGTCCTTGAGAAGTATGTACAAATGTGATATTATGGCACAAAACAGAAGAAACAATTAATTTTCCTTTGCCTTTTATTCCTTCATTCTTTGTATACTTATTGAGTGTCAGTTGTCTTTTCTTGCGGTATCTCCTTTCACACTAACAATATGATCCGGTCCCAACAGCTTCACTTTCCACCAATCTTTTCCTCTTTTTTTTTTTTTTTTTGAGACGGAGTCTCTCTCTGTCACCAGTCTGGAGTGCAGTGGCGCGATCTCTGCTCACTGCAACCTCTGCCTCCTGGGTCCAAATGATTCTCCTGCCTCAGCCTCCCGAGTAGCTGGGACTACCGGCGCATGCCACCACGCCCAGCTAATTTTTGTATTTTTAGTAGAGATGGGGTTTCAGCATGTTGTCCAGGATGGTCTCGATCTCTTGACCTTGTGATCCACCCGCTTTAGCTCCCCAAAGTGCTGGGATTACAGGCATGAGCCACCACACCCCGCCCTCCTCATTTTCTATTACTCAGTCTATTCCAGCTCCGCAGCCCTTTGCTGCTCCCCTGGGCACACCTCCACCCCTAGATCTTTGTACTTGCTCTCTTAACAGCCTGTAAGTCTCTTACCCAATGTCCATGGTTCACTCTCTTACTTCATTCAAGTCTCTGCTCAAATGCCATCTTTCCAGAGAAATCATTTCTGGCCATTCTCTCTACAGTAGTAGCCCCTTAACTTAATATATTTTTCACCATGGCACTTAGTTCTTCTTGATACTCTATTATGTGTTGCTTGTTTATTTACTAATGTTCTGCCTCCTCTACAAGGGAGGGCTTATTGTCTGTTTTGTTCACTAATGTCCAGGGCTTGCCTCAATGCTTGATCCACCTTAGGGACTTATTAATGAATTGTGTATAAATGAATAAACTTTGCAAGGGGTCACAAGCTTAAGCATTTGGTCTGCAATATGCTTTGGGAAAAATGAATGAACTGCCAAACTTTCACAATCAGTATTTCCAGATTCTCTTGAAAAATCAGATCTGACATCACTGTGCCATCACACCTATGTGGCGTGATTGAGTGAAAGTAGAATAGGGGTTGTCCCCTTTACATAGGGCATATGTTCTGCAGTTTGGGACAGAATTCCATCAGTGATAGTCTTCACCCCTACGAGCACGTGACTCCTATAGGTGCAAGCTTTAGAAGGTAGGAGTCAAGGCCAGGCACGGTGGCTCAAGCCTGTAATCCCAGCACTTTGGGAGGTCGAGGCGGGCGGATCACGAGTTCAGGAGTTCGAGACCAGCCTGGCCAACATGCTGAAACCCTGTCTCTACTAAAAAGACAAAAATTAGCTGGGCATGGTGGTGTGTGCGTGTAATCCCCTCTACTGGGGAGGCTGAGGCAGAAGAATGGCTTGAACCCCGGAGTCGGAGTTTGCAGTAAGCCGAGATTGTGCCACTGCACTCCAGCCTGGGTGACAGAGCAAGATTCCATCTCAAAAAAAAAAAAAGGCAGGAGTCAAGAAGGAAAGGAAGGCTCTGTCGTGTTCACTATTGTACTCCCAGCATCCATTTACATAGTAATTGGCACATGGAATTATTGGTTGAACAACAGATGAATATATTATTCCTACATTCCAGATGAGGAAACTGAAATTCATAGAGGAAATACCTTGTCCCAAATCACAGAGCTGTACATGGTGCAGACTGCTTGATCCCAGTGGCTTGGTTATTATGCCGCATAGACAATGAAGGAATTGCTAATTACAGACATATCTTACATTCAAGAATAGAGGCCTTAATTTCATAAATCAAGGTAATATTTATGTGGCATAAAATGCATAAATCTCAAGTTTACAATTTGAGTTTTGAAGTATGTGTTTGCCCGTATAACCACTAATCTTACAGAAATGTGAATATTTCCTAGAACATTCTCTCAGGCTCCTTGCCAGTCAATGCCATCCCCACACCCCAGACAGAGGTAGCCCAATGTTGCGGTCAATTACCATTAGATGGACTTGCCTGTTCTTGAAATCATGTAAATGGAACCATCACTATTTACTTTTTGAGCCTCTTTTGTGTAACAATATTTTTGCAAGTCTTCTATGGTGTTTCATGCATCAGTCATTCATTCCTTTTTATTGCTGAGTGGTGTGTCATTGTATGTACAGATCCAAATTGTTCATCCATTTCCCTGCCATGGTTTCTGACTATTTTTTAAGGCTGTTATAAATATTTTTGTATAAGTGTCCCTGTAGATATAAGTTTTAATTTCCCCTAGGTAATTAAATTCGAATTGCTAGGTCATTGGGATAGGTGTAAGTTTTACTTTACAAGGAACAGGCAAAGAGTTTTAAAAGTGGTTTTACTATTTTATCTTCTCATCACCAATTAATGAGAGTCCTAATTGCTCTATAGCCTCAGCAATATTTGCTGTTGTCAGTCTCTACAATTTTAGCCATTTGATAGGTGTGATGTTTTGTTTTGAGGTAACTCAAAAGAAACACTCATTTTTCCGAGGTGGGAACTCTCCTTCCTGCTCTACCAGATAGAGCTCAACTTCACATTTATATTATCTGAGCTCTAGTGATGTGCTGGTAAATGTTTAACAGAACATTCAGGAATGGTGGGGTACAAGGTCCTGACTTGTAGTATTTGCTAATTTCTTTGGTGTAAATACTGCCAGTAAGGATGATTTTAAGCTAGCAACACAATAGAAATGCACAAACTGGTTGGCTTTAACACATCACTGTCTGTCCATTACTTCACTGTAAGATTCAATCAATAGAAAAGAACATTCATTTTCCAAAGATAATGACTGTATGTATAAGTGTATCCATGGTGTGAACCAAAGGTTGGTCATTCACAAAGAAGAGAGAGGTGGCTTTCCATTCCACTATTGGCCTCATCCTCAACATTTGAAGAATCTCAAATTATTGAGCTTGTGGGACTAAAATCTAGAACTTCATCTGCACTGATTAAAAGTTTGGCTGGGAGGATAAACATGGATAATGGGAGAACAAACTGGGTTCTGAGGATGGCTGGATTTGAAATCATATGAACATCTTAGTTACTCCCAGGTGCTCAGGAAGTCCATAGGTTTCCATTTTCCAGCTGGGCAAATTTACCTCCTCTACCTAGATGCCCAGATGTCAAAGCTCTCCAAATTTGGGCTTTATCTTGCCTAACTGTTGCTATTTTCTATTGATCTCTGCTGCAAACTGGCAGCTCTCACTGCTCAGACAGAGGCCAACGTCTTCTCTACTATCAGAGCCTTCCCTCCTTCCAGCATTGCTCCCCTTGTCTAAGATACCCTCCCTTTTACCTCTGCTATTTTTTCCTTCCAAATCATTCATGCCCACCATTTATTGATTTCGTCTAGTTACCAATGCTGTGCACAGAGTTTTACACACATGGAATTATTGAATCCTTAAAAAAGTATTTCTGCTTTAAAAATGAGGTCACTGAGGCTCATAAAATTTAAATAATCACACACTAAAAGTGGCATTGCCAGATTTTGAACTTTAGCACTTTTTATAACCAAAGCCCAGATGCTTTCCACTTTGTAGGAAGGTCTAATTAAAATCTCTAGAATTTAATTCTGGAGATTTTAAATGGTCATTCATATTACACACACTGAACTGCTACATAACCATTATCTGCCTGACACAATTTCATACTTCATCTTCTGTTCCCAAAATGGTTGCTAGTCCAGGTCTGTGTAGACCCTGAATGCAAAGTAGAGAGAAAAACAGTTCATGGAATTATTCAGTTCAGTGTTAATATGAGCAGCTAAGATATTTAGACATTTTGATCTTGAGCCATGAGTTTTCTCACAACACAGAATTTTTCTGACATGGACATATTCTGACATGACTGTTTACTCTCTGTATGACCTTAGGCAACTTAACTAACTTCAGAATATCTGGAATAATAACATCTACCTTGGAGAACTACCATATATATTTAATGAAATAGCATATGTGAAGCATCAACTTCCATACCAGACACATATTAGAGACTAAATAAATAAAATAATAACTTATTATTTAGGTCAGGGTCAGTGGTTGTTACAGTGATGGTCACCAAAGAATCCTGCCTCCTATATTCATACCTTGGCATAGTCTCTTCCCACGTTGACTCTGGACCTAGCTACATAACTTGCTCTATTGAATGTTCAGAGTCTATTGAATGTTAGAAAACAGGATGAAAATAGAGACTTAGAAGTCACTTGCACACTAGGATTGCTTTCTGGCTCTGCATGAAAAAGCCTGGGCTAACCTGTCAGAGACACATAGCCCAACCAACACCCAACACTAACTGCCAAACATGTGCATAAGGCCACGTTCAATCACCCAGCCCACGTTGCCAAGTTGTATGAGTGATCCCAGGTGAGACTGAGACTGAGACTGACAGAAGGGCTACTCACCTCAGTGCAGTCAAATTTACTAACGCACAGTACTACAAACAAATAAAATGGTGGTTGTTTCAAGCACTAAACTTTGGTATGATATGTTAGGCAGGAAAGTATCATTTAGGTTTGAACTTTACAGCACTTAGCATGCTAGCTCACACAGGGAAGGCGCTTGGTGCACATGCACTGAATTCTGTAAAAAGTATAAAACTTGTACATGAGACTGTGGTATTGCTGAAGGCAGGGACTAGGGTTTATATTTTCATGGCATCTCACACAGTTTGAATACAGAGAAGGTGCAAAATAAGGCTTTTGGCAGTCGTGAAAGCTTGACTTGATTTGCATTTAAAGAAAATCAGAGCCCTGTTTGTATGAACAGCAAAGCTATTTAGGCATCTTCTTGAGCCATGAGTTTTTCCACAACATGGAGTTTTTCTGACATGGAAATATATGAGCTAAACTTTTCATCGAAAGGCACATTCCAGGTCCTACGCTAGGAGAGGGTGACCTTCTCCCTAATTAGGAGAAATTAAAAACGGAGATCAGCAAGCAACAGATGCAGAGACTCAAACTAATCTGCCTTTCATTCTTCCAGGCTTGCTACCTCAAATCCCTCGGCATGTGACTATGAGGGCACCTTTCACCATAGTTGTGTTGACATTTCTGTGGCTCCACATCTGGAAAGGCGACTTTTAAACTTTATTCACAAGCTCACTTGTGGCTCCCTCTTGGCCTTTAAAGACACAAATACATGTCTGTGAAACCTACAGCTGAGAGTTTTGGGCCAAGATTTAGGAAGTGCTATTGGGATGTTAGCATGCTTCTTCTTGTCATGTACTTAAAAAAGGACACCCAGAGTGTACTGTCACTCTCTGGAGAACACAGTGGAAGAAGTGTCTTGCTTTGGAGCTCCCAACACACACTGAGGTCACCAAACTTGGCTCAACCATTTCTCTGCCTGGCAGAGTAGGCAACTTCCAGTGTGAGGAAAAGGACATTAATCTGTTATCCATTAATACTAATAAATGATTCAGCCTTCCATGCACTGAGCAAAGAATAAAAAGCAAAAAGCTTAGTTCCATGCATTTTGGAAGAACTTACTCTAAAATGCACAATAGGCATAGTCATATCAGTGACTTAACTTCAAGAGACTTCATTTGCCTTTGTTTTTTAAGCTTCCTTCCCTAGGATGAATGAGAAATTAAAATGTTGCTCTATGTTAGTGAGAAAGCCTCACAAAAGAGCAGACCAGCTTCCCCAAGCATATTCTGCAGAAGCAGGACTGTGATAATGCTGCACCAACAATGAAAGACAAAGAAAGGAGAGGGGAATGAAACTATTTTTTATTCTTTGTATTCTAGACACTTAATATACAAGCTTATATTTAAGCAAAACCATGAGCAAGCATAGTAGTTCATTTAGTGCTGCTATAAAAGAATACCTGAGACTGAGTTATTTATAAAGAAGGTTTACTTGGCTCATAATTCTGCTGGCTAGAAGATTGGACATCTGGCGAAAACCTCAGGCTGCTTCCATTCATGGCAGAAGGCAAGGGGAGCCGATGTGTGCAGAGATCACTTGGTAAGAGAGGAAGCAAGAGCAAGGAGTAGGACATGCCAGGCTTTTTCAACAACCAGCTCTTGTGGGAACTAACAGATTGACAATTCACAAACTCCCCATTAATCTGTTCATGAGGGATCCACCTCCATGGCTCAAACACCTTCCATTAGGCCTCACCTCCAACACTGGGGAGCAAATTTCAACTTGAGATTTGGAGGATACAAACCCAGACTATAACACCCAGTTTGGTGGTGATGATCCTCATTCTACGTGAGCAAACTGAGGCTCAAAAAGTTAAGTAATTTTCCCAAGTTAAGTAATCTGTCAAGAGTTAAGGAATTTGCCCAAGAGGATGGGCAGCTAATTAATGGTAGAACAGTGATATGAAGCTACCCCAGCCTGTGTTCCATGTAGGAAGTCTTAAACTAAAAAAGATACTATTATTTAGAGATACCAACATGTCAGGCACTGTGCCATGAGCTTCAATATATCCATTTTCTTATATAAGCTATGAGGAAATTATAGCCTTTGATTTGTAGATGAGGAAACTGCTCTGAGTCTGAATCCAAGTCTTTATAAACAGGTCTATGAATAATATGTACACACACACATACACACACATGCACATTTTGGGCCTACCTAAAGTGGCCAACATTTTCATGAAGTGCACTAAGTCTTTTTGGCTGAAAACAGCCTAAAGGTCTTCTAAATCCTTTGCATGCTAGTAGTAAATACATACTATGTCTATAGCCCTCCTCACTTTATAATCACCTGTTTTAACTTTCCCAACAATCCTATCAGGAAGGAAATATAATCACTTCACAGACAAAGAGCTAAGGACCTAAGAAGTTGAGTAACTTGCTCAACTATCAACTCTGATAGATTTATCAGACAAAAATGGCAAACTCAGGCACTGAGCCCAGCAGTCAGCACCAGTGATATACTTGACACTCATGTTTAGAGAAGTTCAGATGAAAATGACTTTGAGTGACAAATAGTAATATAAATGTATGCATGTGCTACTATCACAACTATGTAAAAAGATACATATATATATCTTACAATCTTTTATCAATGAACCTAATCACAAATACACATCAATAATTTCCATGTCCTCTTTTCCAGCCACTGGCCATTTATTCAAGAAGCCATGATAGAGGAAAACTCACAGAAAGTCAGCAGTGGGAAGAGGAAAAGGTGAAAGAGGGAAGGCCATATCCACTGTGCGGCTTTAATAGCTTATCTACAGTACAGAAGTCGTTTGGGATCACTTGAGTGACAGGACAGCTCAGTGGTTAGCTGTGAACTCTAAGGTCCAATAGACTTGGGTTTAAATTCTGGCTCAGTCCCTTGTCAACAAGTTGTGACCTTGGACGACTTATTTTGCATCTCTCAGTCTCAAGCAAAGATGCTCAACTCACAAAGACTGTCAAATGTATTATAGCACTTGATGCAGTATGCATAACACACCAAGTGTCCAGAAAACTATAGCTCTCAATATGATATATTGCTCAGTCTTTTGTCCAAGAATGATCAGAGACATCTCTTTCTCTGCCTGCAGTAACAGGGGTGATGCCTCATTCCTGGCTCATGGCTGCCTGGTCCAACCTAGAGGAGACCCTGCAAGGAAAGAATTGCCGCCAGTAACATAGACTTGATTAGGAACATCAAAGAGGATTTGCTTGGTTGCAGCAGTGTTTCCCCCGTCTCTGCATGCACATTCAAACCGCATCTCATGCAAACTCATAACCTGTGAAATTGTGTTTTGATTGGGTACACCACATATGCCCGGACTTATCTAACCAAGTCCCTAAGGAAAATTATAGAATACCATTTTTTTTTCTTACCCCTGTAAAAAAAGATTCAGTTATTACATTTTTTAAAATTCAGGGCAGGCATAACCATAGCTAGCTTTGACATTTCTGAACAGACCTGAATTTCCAGGAAAAGCATAGGTAACATAGCCAGTATACTAAGGTCTATTTTAGCACATAGAAAATGTGAGTGGATTCACAATATCCCAGAACAATCAATATTTTCTCTTGCATATCTGAAACAGATGAACCAAATATTTAAATTAGATTATGATGACATGGTTTATTCAACATTTCCCACCTGGTAAAACTACTTTTTGAATGGCATTATATATTATATGTGCACTTAGTAAACAGGTGTTTGATAATCCTTTAGAAGACATCACATGTGAATAAGATTCTAATTCTCACAGTTGCCTTCAAATGAGAACATTACTTTTCATCTCGAAGGCAACCAACACATAGAAAAATAGCAGACACGTTGTGCATTTTTTTCTAATCTAGATTTATCAAGGGCTTCTTCCCCCTTTTCTCCTTCTTTGAGATAGGATGCAGTATGTGCAAAATGTTTTGTAAACTATAAGCCGTACACAAATATCAGTTGTTGTGCTGGAAAATAAATTTTACATTTACCTTGGAACTGAACAACTACAATACTTTAGAGTTGGGAGGAAACCAGGAGGTCATAGGGTCCAACCTACCATTTTCAAGTAGGCCCCTACAAATGAAAAACAGATGACATTTTAAACAGACCACTTTCAAATTAAATGTCAAATGCATATGATGCAACCTAACACACCGTAAACTCTTAGAACACAAAGATCCTCCCCAGTTTCTTCAAGAGGCCATCAAGACCCTCATGGAATTTATACATTCATTCTAGAAGTCTATAAAGGTGTATTGCTGGGTACCTCTTGGGGAACTCATCTATTTTCATGGCTTTGGTGAGCACATTTTAAAGTTATCATCCTTAAACATGCTTTTAAGAGTCACCTTTGTAATTCTACTCCACACATTATTTTTTACTCAGAGTCAACAGATATAAAGCATAATAAAGCAACCCAAGCCCGGACTCCCAATTGCTGGCTGGGAATTTAAACCTTTGGCTGCTAAATACCTCCGAAGTGCAAATTACAGTGGTTTCCTGACCTTGAAGAGGCTTGTTCAATGAAAGGAGAAAGTCAAGAAAAATCATACAATGGTGGGACTGAGAATGTCAGAGAGAGAAACGGAGAAAGAGCAAAAGGAAGTCAACCTAGCAGAAGAAACTAATTTACAAAATAAACCTTATTCAGTACATTTTCTGTAAATTAAAAAAAAAATCCATGCTCTAAACAGTTATTTAAAATATATAAACTAGCTAATTTACCTGTGAATACTTCAACAAAAATGTGCTTTAAATTATTTAATATACACATTTATTAAGGCACTCAGATATTTTGAATACACCCCATGAGTGATCTTTGAATGGAAATTTAAAATTTACAAAACACTTTCACAAGCATCATCATATGTGCTTCATTCCATAGCAGCCTTTGAGTAGTGGATATTGTTAAGATCTCTATCTTACCAACAAGGCATAAGAGCTTGAGCTCTGGAGACCAGCGTTTGGATTCACATTTTTAAACCTGGAACAATTTTTCTCTCTAAAGGAGCGATTTGCGTAGTAGTTAAGAGGTCAGGTTCTGGAACTGGTATTTCTGGGTTTGAATCCAATTCTACAACCCTCATTGCCCCATTTTCCTGACTTGTGATATAGGGCTACTGTGAGGATTAAATGAGTAAATGTATATTAAGCTCATAAAGCCTAACACAAAGTAAGTTTATGAAAGAGGACACTGTTATTATTTTACTTAAACAAAAAGAAAATATTGCAAAGAGCAATATTGCCAACAGAAAAAAGACAGTCTTACCACGCAGCCATTTTTTTTGTACTTTTTCCTTTCCTTATTGTCAGCCTAATTGCAATCATTCAGTATATACAAATCTGTACTCTGTGGTGTTTACTTAATACAGCATAAACACTTTTCTTACAAACACCTTGTTCAATGTCTATATCCAGTGAATTTATTATAAGTAATCATTTCCTTAGTTTTTAAACAGTAAGATTATTTTCAATTTTAGTGTTAAAAATAACGTTATAATACATGTCTTTGGAAAGTTAGCGTTTTCCGCATACTGGATTATTTCCTAAGAAGGCATTTTCTCTGTGTATGCTTCTTAAGGGGAAGAAGCATGTCGTTTTCTTCACTGTTCAGTCTCCAAAGACTAGAGCCAGGTCTGACAACAAACAGTTGTAAATGAGTGAATGAGTGAATGAATGAATGAACCACTTCAACAGATTCTTAAATGTTAAATATTGAATGCAAGTGTATACATAGTTCATCACCAAGTTCTAAAATATGAGATATTTTAAACCTATACATTATTAATGGCATTATCAAACAGCATAAAAACAGGGTGCCATTTTAAAAAAAATGCTATTTTATAAATTTGTATTTCTTTTTTTTGTTTTTGTTTTCTGAGACAGAGTCTCGCTCTGTTCCCCAGGCTGGGGTGCAATGGCACGACCTTGGCTCACTGCAACCTCCACCTCCCAGGTTCAAGCTATTCTCCTGCCTCAGCCTCCCAAGTAGCTGGGATTACAGACATGTGCCACCACGCCCAGCTAATTTTTTGTATGTTTAGTAGAGACAGGGTTTCACCATGTTGGCCAGCCTCGAACTCCTGACCTCAGGTAATCCACCTGCCTCAGCCTCCCAAAGTGCTGGGATTACAGGTGTGAGCTGCCACGCCCAGCAAATTTGTATTTCTTTAAAAACTAAGGAGTTTGCTTTCCCTATTAAGATCAATCAGCCAAGTGTGGTAGCTGACACTGGTAATCCCAACAGTTTGGGAGCCTAAAATGGGAGGACGGGTTGAGCCCAGCAGTTTGAGACCAGTCTGGGCAACATAGCAAGACCCCATCTCTAAAAAAAAAAAAAAAAAAAATTAGCTGGGCGTGGTGGCACACTCCTATAGTCTCAGCTACTTGGGAGTCTAAGGTGAGAGAATCGCGTAAGCCTAGAAGGTGAAGGCCTGAGGCCCAGCCACTGCACTCTAGCCTGGGAGACAGAGACACACCCTGTCTCCAAAAAAAAAAAAAAAAAAAAAAAAAAGGATCTATCAATGGTGAGTCACCAAGCAACAGCTGTAGAAGTAAAAACTAAATACCTCACTTCTCCTCCCACTTCCCTGGGTGCCTCATTTCAAATTCCTTGGCCAATGACCTCCCTTTACTAAAGCTTTATTTACATTTCTGCAGTTGCACATCTGGAAAAGGAACTTCTAAACTTTATTTCACAAGAACACTTGGGGCTCTCTCATATCCCTTTTTATGGTAAAGATATTAAGGATTTGTCTGTTATTTTTCTCTTAAGACTTTTTTTTCTAATTCTGCTTTTTGATGGGGTAACTGGGATACATCCTTAAAGCACAAAGTGTTTTAATGTTAAGAAATCAAATTGATTGACTCTGCATTTACAAGAACAATCCCCATGTCTTCTCTCATCTTGTTTCGTTTGTTTTGTTTTTGTTTTTTTGTCCATGACTTTTTAAGACATTGGTTTCGAGTGCTACTTCCCTGATCTTATTGTTGATTTTCCTCACAACATTAGCACATTTTGCAGAAGCCCTGAAAACATTGCTTTTCCCTGACCTAACCCACCTAATGTTTTCTTCCACCTGCACTCATTTGATTTCAGGCTTGATACTGTATTAAACATTCAGAGCAAATGGATTGTGGTCTGTGGTTAAAAGGTACAAGAGGGAAAACTACATCATGTCACGTCTCTGCTAATGGTAGGTCAAGAGTAAACATCCATAAGCAGATGCAGCGGAATCTACTGCCCACTGGGGGAAAGTTCACTCTGGCTCTTTAAGAGTCAACAGCTTAGACTCATGCAGTGCATGTTTCAGCCCAGTCCCAGATTAGAGATGTGGGGTCTCAATTTCACTGTATTAAAGCTAGCAGGTGGAGGCTGCACAAGGTCAGTGGCCTTTGTTCTGTGGTCCCTGAAGCTCTAGAGGGCTTTCCAGGGGAGAAGTGGAATGCAAGAGTGTAAGCAGATCCCCTGCTCCCAAATTTATACATTAAGCCTCCTTATTAAAGAGCCGTTTTGGTAACTGCAATCACAACTGCAATGCATGTCATCGAGATCTCCTCTCAGCTCTTTCTGTGACTATCCCATGGCCGCCCCTGTTTCCTTTGAGCACTGGTGGGTGTTTTAGCTCTCTCAGTAACAGCTTTTTCTATCAAAGAAACCCAGATGGCAATAGGCAAAGCTTACTTTTCTCTCTTGCCTTCCTACGGCAGGCACAAAGACCTGACACATGTTAAGTGTTCCATAAATGTTTGTTATGGTTGCTAATACTATTTATCATATGGGCTACTACAAAATACATGATTCCCTATTATCCCAACATCTACTGTTTCTTGCAGCAACATCCTATGACAGCAACAGTGACAGGAATAAGACCAGAAGCAATACTAATCGCATAGGACTTATGAAATACCTACCATGGGTAGGTCCTCTACTAGCTGGTTTATGTGTACTATCTCATTCAACCCCTTAATTTTCAAGTACTACTAGTCCTAATTTATGGGGATATTAATTAGGAAATGGTGCAAGAGAAGTCAAATAGTTTGCCCAAAAGAAATGAGCTAATAAGCCTGGGCGCGGTGGCTCCTGCCTGTAATCCCAGCAGTTTGGGAGGCCGAGGTGGGTGGATCACCTGAGGTCAGGAGTTCAAGACCAGCCTGGCCAACATGGAGAAACCCCATCTCTACCAAAAATACAAAAAATTAGCCAGGCGTGGCAGCATGCGCCTGTAGTCCCAGCTACTCAGGAGGCTGAGGCAGGAGGATGGGATGGGGTGAACCCGGGAGGCAGAGCTTGCAGTGAGCTGAGATCACGCCACTGCACTCCAGCCTGGGCGACAGAGCAAGACTCTGTCTCAAAAAAAAAAAAAAAAAGTTAATAAGTAGCAAGGCTGGATTATAAGGTCTGGTTCATCTGATCTCAACTCTCAGACTTTTTCTATGCAATGCACTCCCTAAGACCTCCGCCCATTCTTAACATGTTTTTACATTGTCTAATACACTTGGTTTAACAGATAAGAAGCCTCAGCTGTAACATGTAAACCTATCAAGATGGCTAACAAAGCTTTAATAATTTCAAATACCAAATAGCCCAGTGAATCCAGGTTTTAAAAATAGAAAGCAAAGTACATTCTATCTTGTCTACCCCTGGTGCTGTTGGTAAGCAAAAGATCAAACTCTTTAGCAGAACAAGTTGCATTTTAACTTATTGGAAGTGAGTCTAAAAATTCTATCTATATATTTTTTATGGCCTGAATGCATGGAAATCAGACTTTTGAAGGATGTTTTGTTACCTTCTGTAGTAGTTTGAGAGAGTATTTCTAGAGCTATAAAAACACTGAATATGTAAATTTTGGAAACATTTATATGTTAAAAATACTGAAAAGCAACTACGGGTAAGCATTGCTAAAAGCAGGTAGGGGAGATGCCACATTTGCAGTCTGTAGACTCCCTAGAGCTCTCCATTAATTCTGTCATGTCATTTACATGAAAATGGGGCTCTCCTTTGTATTAAGATGCCAAAGCCAAATCACATGGACAATGCAAAAGAGCAGGCAAAGAGTGCTTTGTCACAAAAATATATAATTTATTTCAACAATTTCTGTGGATTTTTGATATCAAAGTCTCTTTATGACACTGACAGTCATCAAGCGGATGTTTGTCAAAGTACATTTCCCAGATGTCTAAATAAAACAGTTTTGCCTTGATGAGTTTTATACTGAGAGCTGGAGAAGACTCCACTCTATTTTAATTTCTCTCCTTTTTCAGTATGTGTCATTTCATTCTCTTTTCAATTTGACTCTCACCCCAAAATTTGAATAGTTGAGGTTCTAGTTAGTTGGACCCCAATTAATGAAAAATCCCCCGTAATTGTTTTTATGGCAAGATAAAAACATTTCTATATGTTGTAATAACATGTAGAAAAATATTTATGCTCACTAGTAAGCCACAAAATACAAATGAGACTATCAACACCAAATAATTTTTGACTCTCAAATCAGCATAATATTTTTTTTCATGATACCATTTAACAGGGACCAGAATGTGGTCAGAGGGTCACTTATATCCATACTAATGGAAAGGTCAATTACTCAATACTGTTGGAAACTCAGTGTTAACATTCTAGAGGAAGATTTTAGGAAATGTCCAAACTCTTATTTTGTGACACCTCCTCCTTAAGGATGTTACCCAAATTTTGAAAAAATTCTTACATCAAAGATGTTTACCATAGTGGTAAAAAATAACAATCGTTAGAAACACCTAAACCTCTTGCAATAACTTATCATCTTATTAAATGAAAGAAATACTTGGCAATCATTGGTAAAGGTTCTTTAACACATGTTTGTTTGTTTGTTTGTTTGTTTGTTTGTTTGTTTTTTGAGACGGAGTCTCGCTCTGTCGCCCAGGCTGGACTGCAGTGGCGGATCTCGGCTCATTGCAAGCTCCGCCTCCAGGGTTCACACCATTCTCCTGCCTCAGCCTCCCGAGTAGCTGGGGCTACAGGCGCCCGCCACAGTGCCCAGCTAATTTTTTGTATTTTTTGTAGAGACGGGGTTTTACCATGTTAACCAGGATGGTCTCAATTTCCTGACCTCGTGATCCACCCGCCTTGGCCTCCCAGAGTGCTGGGATTACAGGCGTGAGCCACCGCGCCCAGCCTAACACATTTTTTAAAGTAATATTTTTAAATCTCTGCTATAATGCAAATGAAAAAGCCAAATATAAATGTAAAATACATAGAGTCTTGTGAAAAAAATAAAATAAAAATAAGTACTGAGAAAAATAAGCCAAATACTTAACTGTCAGGGTCTTTGATGAATGCTGAAAGGTATTTATTTTTGAAATCCAGCTACTTGTCTCTGTTTTTCTTACACTCTACAGTAAGTATATATTATATTGAAAGTAGGGACAAAGTGAATTTTAAAAAGCAAAAAAGAACTATGTAAAGGGTCTTGGCAACAAGTCATTAATAAAGGCTTACTGTTCATTCTAAATTAAGGCTATGTAACATGGTTCTGTACACAGATGAAAAGCTCAATTTGGAGAAGTCCATGTATATACACTATAATCTAATTAATGGCATTTGTACCCAAACTAATTTGAAATTTTAATGTTTTAAAACAATGTCAAAAATCTTGAGTATTCACATATTTGGCACACATTTCTAAGAAGACAGCAGATGTATTCCATGGGTTTCCAGAGAAACATGAATGTACACATGAATAGAAGCTGCAGGAAGGCAGAGTCTAGTTAGCATGTGGAAGAATATTTGGCCTTCAGAGACATCCAACAATGGAGTGGGCAGCCTAAGGACATATTAACCCTCCTCAGCTTGAACAGGATTTTAGCAGAAGCTGCAGCGTCATACACTAAAACAAAAGAAATAACCTTCTCCCCATACTTTCTTTTAACTCCATCTAGGTAACCCCCATCTCAGTAAATAATAGCAATATCCACATACTTGCTGAAGACAAATATTTTAATCTTCTGTTTCCTTTGTCAGCCATATCTGATATATCAGCAAACAACATCGCAAATCCATCCACTTTTCCCCATCCCCACGGCCACCATCCTGGCCCAAGTCAGAATCATGTCTCCTGTTGACCACTGAAAGAGCCTCCTCAATCATCCACACTCTTTCCAGTAATGCACTCTCTGCATGGCCGCCTGAAAGCTACATCTACTGATATATCTGATTAAAGCCTAAATCAAATCACACCACTCCCTTACTGGTAGTTCTTCAAAGATTTCTCAAAGCACTAAAATGAAATCCCAAATTGAAAATTGAAATTCCTTTCCCCGATCTACAAAGACCAAAAAATCTGGCCCCCACTATGCCTTCAATTTAATCCCAGGCCATTTGCTTCATCCATATTCATTTTTTTCCCTCTGTCTTTCTTTTGCTGTACTTGCCATTGGCTCCTGCCTGTTAGTTCTCTCCCAAGATGCTCACAGGGCTGGCTTCTTCTCAAAAATGTCTTTGTTTAAATATCACTTCCCCTGGGAGGACTTCTGTGACCACCCCAACTAAAGTAGCCCCAAACGTACTGTCTTTCATCTTCCTCTTTTGCTTCTTGCTATCATATTTCTTTTTCTTTTAAAAATTGATTTCTTCTAATGCAAGATCAAGGAGAAAAGGATCTTATTCATCGTGTCCATTGTTTCATTCAAAATGCCTGGCATCAAGCAATTGTTTAATTAATACCGATAGAATGAATGTCAGTTACACTTTATCATGACCACATTCCATGCAGCAAGAACCCAAAGGCAATGTCTAAAGGGCCTGGTGGCTCACTGAGGAGCCTTCTTAGAGAGTTGTGCTGCCTCCTTCAAATCCCTCTGGTCCAATTGATGTATTAACTCTTTGGGAGCCATTTAATACAGTGACACTTCATGGCATGACTGTTTCCTGTTTGTCAAAAAATAACACATTCTTTTAAGTGTAGCCATTGAAAAAATAGCTATCAAGAACACATGGGCATTTGCTCTTAATTCCCTCTTATCACTCTCTGGCCATTCCCTGGGTGGAGGGTTCTGCCCACTTCTGGAGGGTCAGCACCTTGAAGGCAGACACCAGCTCTTAGCCTTACACCTGGTCCCTCTTACATTTCATCTCTTCCAGCACACATGCTAGTCATCTGGTAGCCTTTTGCATACTGGTGAGTGATTTAAAAACAAAACTGTGAAAAGTAGGCATACTTTTAACAATCCCCAGGAAGGTGAAGCGCTTTCATCTTCAAAACTCCAACATATATTAATAAACTTTGCATCTATGCATTCAGGTATGTCAAAGAGGTGATATGCTATAAACATCTTTGGAGGGGAGGTGAATGCTGGCTTTGGGAGACTATGAAGGTAGCATTAGAAAGAGGGCCTCTGGAGCTCTTGTGTAAGGAGAAAGTCGGCGGCGCTTTCTGTGAGTCTGTTATGGGAGCCGCCAAAGAACTGCCAGTTTCCCTCCACATGGACACATCTAGCCAGAGAAAGCCTGGAATAAGGGAAATATCCCAGGCTTTGGATAGGGCCTGGACAAATTCTAGCCCCACCACCTATTAGCTGAACCTCCTTGAACAAGCCATTGAGCTTAGCTGAGGTTCAATTTCCCTTGCATGCAAAAAAAAAATTTGATGGTTATATCTACATTATAGAAATATTGAGAAGATTAAGTAAATTTATGCATGGAAAAGCTCCTGAAAGCCTTGGCACCCAGTAGATAGATATTTAATTTACATAAGCTTATTTCCTCCCTTTCCTGAGAACAGAGGAGAACACAAGGATGTCAGGTTTCCCACATTGTAGAAATTTGAACAGTCTAAGAATTAAAAAGTAACCATACGGTGATCCAAAGTAACCGTTTCCCTCATATCATTACCCCAAGAACTAACCCCTAGAATGATAATCCCTTTTAACAATATCTTCTTGATCCTAGCATAGCTAAGGAGAGAGAGGGCAGATCAAATTCTGGATTGGGTAGAAAGTGGATGGTGGGGTCATTCACTGAAACATGAGACATAGGAAAAGAACAAGATGGTGAGTTTGGTTTGGGAGTTGATGAATCTATAGTACCTGCTCAACATCCAAATGGGAATTTCCAGGAAGTGTTTGGACATACAGGTCTGAAACTCTGAAATGAGTTCAAGATGGAGATAGATACTTAGGAGAAATGATATAGGTAATAGTTAAAACCATAAGTGTGTGTGTGTGTGTGTGTGTGTGTGTGTATTGGGGAGTGGGAGATGACACCCAGGGAGAATGTGTTAAGTGAGGGGAAAACTTGTTCAGAAGGGCTATCTAGAAAATATCCACAATTATGAGGGTCAGTGGAAGCAGTGGGGTGCTAGTGAATAGTAAACAGCCTGCTCTTGGAGTGAGGAGAAGCTGATTTTAAACCACTGCCAATTTCTATGGTGTAAATACTCCACCATAACCAACTTCAAGCTACCAACAGGATATCAACAGGCTTACAAAAGTTGTGAAAAATTAACATATGCTCTCACAAGCAGGTACGAGTCAGGAGGGTGGCAGGAAGGAGAGAATGCAAAGGATTAGGCAAAACCAACCAAATAGTATGGGGAGTAAATGGAAAAAAGGAACCAAGGACAATAGTGTTATGAAAACCAAGGCACTTGAGTTTCTTAGTAGGGATTGTGGCAATCACAATAGAAAGTCTCTACTAAAAGTATAAAAATTAGCCGGGCATGGTGGTGGGCACCTGTAATCCCAGCTACTTGGGAGGCTGAGGTGAGAGAATCACTTGAAACCAGGAGGTGGAGGTTGCAGTGAGCCAAGCTCGCACCACTGCACTCCAGTCTGGGTGAAACAGCGAGACTCTTGTCTCCAAAAAAAAAAAATAATAAGAAAAAAAAGAAAATTCCAGTAGGTGAACAGGTAAACACAAAAGATGTCATTAGGATTTGCCAATGTGTAGATGAGTGAGGCCTCAGAGACAGATTCAGAGAAAGGGTAAGAAGCTAGTCAAACTGTCTTAAGAGCAAACAAATGAGAAGGAAGCGAAGACATACAGAGACAGTCTTTTCCAAACAATGGTTTAGGAAGGCAGGAGAGAAATCAAGCAATGTCTCCAGTGAGAGAGAGGATCAAAGTAAGGTAGAGTTTGAGCACAATCTGAGAAACATGAGCCACAAGGTGGACAAGTGCGTAGCAGCCAAAACATGGTGGAGATTAATGGCTGCCCAGTGTTCTTCTGCCTACTCTGTTAGTATTACTTTTACCATAAAAGAAACAGTAGTGACCCAGCTTGATTTCTGAAATCACAGGCAGTTGGGAGAAATCCTGATCCTCTCATGTTCCAGCTTTGTGATCTCAGACAAGACTCATTTCCTCAACTGTAAAATGGAGACAATAATAACCACATCTTTTGGGGTTTTTATGAAGATGCAATTATCTAAAACATGCAAAGCACCTCTCAGAGTACCTGGCATATAGTAGGTCCTAGATACATTTTAGTCTCCATCTCTTACCCAGAACATTAGAGCATTAAAACTAAAATTACCAAGGTATCCTGTGTCCTACCCATGACTAGGGAGGAAGGAAATGTTCCTTCTGCTGTGTAAATCACACAGCGTCAGATACACGAAAAGACAAACAGGATGGATCTTTCTTTTCCCTTCATACACATCTGCAATGCAATGAAGTGGTGAACTTCCACACACATGGGATGAACTAGGAGCTGCCACATGAAGGAAAATCCATTCATAAAGTACTTGGAGGATCATCTGGACAAAAGATGTTATATGAATACCTGTGATCATTACCAATTACATATTCCATTGGTATGAATCATCAGAATATATAGCATGAATAAGTTCAGAAGATAATATCTAGGAAATTAACTTGCTTCAGCTTTTCCTAATTTGACCTTAGCTATTTTTAGGATTTTATCAGTTTGTTTTTTGTATGAATTAAATACAAGAGTAACATTTGTTTTAAATCCCTTAAATTATTCTTTTGGGACTAAAAACTTTATTTTCCTATGGTAAATATAAGAAAGGCAGTTACAGGCATGTAAAAGTCAGTCACTAATATGTAAATTAAACAAACTGATCCACATATTTTAAGTAATAGTGGTTACTGTACCCTGGATCTCATATAAATATTGAAGTAAGTTTATTTATATTAGTTGGCCAGAATTTGAAGATAAAAAAAGAAAGATCACTTTAAGTTTAGAAAAATCTTTGGCCCAAATCTCTGTAACAGTTTAGGTAGGCATCACTTCTCATTAGAAAGCAACCAAAAGAAAGCCCTCTCTTCCAGAAAATACCATCACGTTTTCAAATATGCATGTACTATAATTCTTCCTATTGAATAAGCAATACAAATGTCTCTTCATGTGCTATTATGCTACAAGAATTAAGAAGGCATGTTTTTTAATTTTTAAATTTTCTATTTTAATTACTAAATCAACAAAATGAAACAGCAGCCTATGGATTGAGAAAAAATATTTGCAAAGCATGTATCTCATAAAGGGTTAATATCCCAAATTTGCAAATAGCTCATACAACTCAATAGTGAAAAAACAAATAATCCAGTTAGAAAATGGGCAGAAGACCTGAATAGACATTTTTCTAAAAGAGACACAAAAATGGTCAATATGTGTATGGAAAGGTGTTCAACATTATTAATAGCAGAGAAATGCAGATCCAAACCATTATGAGATACCACCTCACATCTGTTAGGGTGGCTGTTACCAAAAAGTCAAAAGATAAATGGTGAGGATGTGGAGAAAAATGAATTCTTGTACACTGTTAGTGGAAATATAGATTGGTACAGCCATTACGGAAAACAGGATGGAGGTTTCCAAAGACATTAAACATAGAACTAACATGTGGCTTAGTAATCCCTCTTCTGGACATATACCCAAAGGAAATAAAATCACTACCTAATAAAAATATTTGCACTCCCATGTTCATTGCAGCATTTTCCACAATAGTCAAGATGTGGGCACAACAAGCATCCGTCAGTGGATGACAGGGAAAAGAAACTGTGGTACATATATGCAATGGAATATTATTTGGCACCACCAAAAGAATGAGATCTTGCCATCTGCTACAGCATGGATGAGCCTGGAGAACACTATGCAATGTGAAATAAGCCAGATACAGAAATAAAGATATTACACAATCTCACCTAGATGTGAAATCTTTTTTAAAAAATTTAAATATACAGAGATACATAATAAAACAGTAGTTACCAGGGATAGCAGGGGGTGAGCGGGGAGGAAATGGGAAGAGGTAGATTGAAGAATGTAAAATAACAGATGTAGGATGAATCAGTCTAGAGATTAAATGTTTGTACATGAGGACTATAGGTAATATAACTGTATGGTATAGTTGATTCTTACTAAATGAGTAGATTTTAGCTGCTCTTGCCAGAAAAAAACAAAACAAAACAAATTGATAAGTATGTGAGATTATGGACTGTTATTTGCTTTACTATAGTAGCCTTTATACTATCTATATGTATTCAATAATATCATATTGTATACCTTAAATATACACAATAAAGTTTACTTTTAAAAATTATTTCATAAATATATTCTATTTGTAAACAATAAAAATACCAAATAAACTTGAAGTCACAGTTATATAATTCTGTTGTGGGTTCTTCCCCTCAATCCAAAATAACAGTGGTTATTTTGCTTTCTTCCCCTCAATCCAAAATAACAGTGGTTATTTTGCTATGTGTCCTTCCAGATATTTTTTATTTTCCTGTGCATTTAAATATAAATACACACACACACACACACACACACACACACACAGGTGAAATATATACTATGTATTGTTTATTGTTAAAAAAAGCAATAATGTAGAGTATATTACTTACCAATTCCCTTTCCCTAGGGGAGGAACTATGGAGAAGAATTTATAAGTAATATACTTTACGTCTATATATATGTTATATATAACTATTACATATAACATTATAATATATATGTGTATATTATGTGTGTATATATATATATAACTATTTCATGTAGAGGAGGAGAATTAAAGAGTGATATACGCTATATTAATGAACAACACATTTTAAGCCTTTCTATGTTAGCACATTTCATACACTGTGGCATTTTACTACGTATGGATGCACACGATTATTTAAGCTTTGCCCTATTGGTGGAGATACAGTTGCAAGATTCAGAAAAAGGGTAGGAAGCAAGATTTATCAAAGATCATTTATATATAAATATAATTTCACTTCTAAAAATCAGTAAGAAAAAGACAAACAACCCAATAGAAAAAATGGGCAAAAAATATGGACAGCCAGTATACAGAAGGAAATGCCTACAAAATAATGCTCAACCTCAGTATTATCTAAAGTAACTGTTCTCAAGTACTCTCCGAGATCATTTCCAGGGATACGCATGATTAAAACTATTTTCATCAAATTTCTACACTCACTATTTGCCTTTTGCTTTGTGTTGACACTGCACTGAGAGTGCACAGCAATAGTGAGAAAAACTGGGGTTCCTTAGCACAAATCACAAATCCTTAACAATGGTACCAAGCTATAAAGAAGCAATCATATTTGTCACCACCATGCACTCAGAGTTTTACAAAATTCCCTGATGAAGAAGTACAAATTATAAATTATATCTCTACCATCGAGTACGTGAGTTTTTAATTTTCTGAGGGACAGACAGAATGAGAAGAATAAAGACCATACTAGGAAAAACACTTGTATGATTGTTGCAAGCTCAACTAATGGCTTATTTTGTGCAATACCATTTTAGTTGAAAAGCAACTCACAAATTATAGTTATTCAGATGTATATTTGGCAGATATTTTCTCAAAAATGAACAAAGTGAGCCAATCACATCGAGGAAGACAATTCACAGTATTTATTGTCAATGACAAACTTTGAGCTTTCTTGAAAAAAATAAAGGTTAGGAAAGTTATATCTGCCTATGTGAGTGTGACAGCTTCTTAACACTTAAAGCCTTTTCTGATGAGACTGATGATGATATTAATGAGTGTGATTTTTTTATTGTTGTTGCATAATGAAATGTGTCAAATTTGGAAGATACGCAAAACTAAGTGAACTAATATTTTCCAAATAACCAATGCATGTTATTATAAATTCATGAGTGGGTAAAATATCCATTCAAAGTGCAAGATGGACTAATGGATTTTAATATTACAGAGCATGAAAAGTCCACTGCTATGGTTTCAGATTCCACACTAAAGCTAACACTTAAGAAAATACCACTTACAGAGTTTGGATGTAGCAACAAAGAATATTTATATTTATCTCAAGAGATTTCCAGAGTATTCCTTTCTTTTCCAATCCCAAATCTATGTGAGGCCAATTTTCTTCAAACGAAACAAATCAGCGGAGTGAATGCAGAAACTAATATGAAAATCCATCCACCCTTTATTAAACAAATATTAAAGAGACTTGCAAACCTTTGAAACAATGCCGAAACAAAACTTTGGAGTGCTCAAAATTTTTAAAGAGTGTCAGATGAGCTTGAGATCAAAATCTTTGATATTCCTGGTCAGGGAAATGGAAGTTAAATTTAGATAACATTTTATATTCATCAGCTTGACTAAAATTTTCAAAATTAATAATATCAAGTGTTAGCAAGAGTAGACAGAAGTGGATATTCTCATACTCTGAATCCTAAAGGGAATGTAAATCGGTAAAGTCACTTTTAAGTACAATCAAGCTGTGTCCATTACAGAGGTTAGCCAACTTTTTCAACAAAAACCACGCGGTAAATATCAATATCTTTGATTTTGCAGGTCAAAGTTTTAACTACTCAACTCTGCCACTGCAACACAATAGCATCCATAGAGGGTATGTAAATGGATGGGCATAGCTGTGTTACAATAAAACTTTATTTATATTTAAAATGTGTATGTTCTGTAACTCTGTAATTCTACCCTTAAGTACTTACTCTAAAGAAATGCTCACACCTATATAATGTTTAATAGACTTTGGGCACCGTTCTAATCATTACTACCAATTTAATCCTCACAACAGCCCTATGAGATAAATACTATTGGTTTCTTTATTTTATAGAGGAAGAAATTGAGTCCAGCGTGGTTAAGTCACTTGTCCAAAGTTATACAGCTAATGCATGTCATTGTAGCATTATTTTGTACAGCAAAATTATAGAAGTAACCTAAATGTTCAGAGACATTAAATATTATATTTGATCTGGTTTGTGTCTTTCCTTATACAGATTCCTCAAAATTAAGTAGTTTCCTGCCTTTATTTCTTGCTATTCAAATTTTCTGAAGTAGACTTGAAGTCCCACTTTCTTCTTAGAGCTTTTGTTGACCATGCAAGCCCATCATGACCCCGTTACTAATTCTCATAGAACATTCTCTCTGGAGCTTATGGAATACCCATGGAGTTTATGTCCTCAATGATAATATGTTGTCAGGTGGCAGCAGGGGCAGGTCGAGGGAAGCCCTTTGTTTCTTTGACATGTCTCTGTCCCTTGGTAGACCAATAGTTCCTCAAGGATTGGGAATGAATGGAATCTTACGTGCCCTTTTTATTCCTCACTGTCTGTGGCCATCTCTACCACCTCCACTTCTACTACTCACATCCAAGCCACCATCCTTGCTAGTCTGAACTGAAAAAGTCTCCAGACGGATAGCCCTGCTTCCATTCTTGCCTACCTACCATACATGATCTTCATAGCATCCAGGGTGAGCATTACACAAAGTTTAATTCAGATCAAAAGCTCAACTCAGAAGCCTCCTGTGGCTTCCCACTGGACAAAATCACAAGTGTTCACCACAGCCTTCAAAGCCTGGCTTCCTTTAATCCAACCTCCTGTCCCCGGACTGCCCTGGCTCACTCTGCTCCGAGCACAAAGAGGTCTTTGCCATTTCCCATGACACGCTGAGACCCTCCTGCTGCATGGCCTTGGCAGTGGCTCTTCCCTTTGCCTGGATGCTCTTCCTCGAAATGTTGGCAAGCCTCATTCTCTCACTTTATGAAGGTCTCTGCTCAAAGGTACCCTCAGCAGTGAGGCTTTCTCTGACTACCCTGTCTAAACAAGCAAACCTCCCGACCCAACTTCTTTACTCTCTTTTCCCTTACTCAGTGTTAGGCTCTTCATATCACATACCAGAACGCAGTACATCTTGTGTTCATGTTTATTTGTTTACCGTCCCTCCCTCCCTCCCCTCAGCCCAACCTAAAATAATGCCTGGGACTTGGTTGTTCAATAAATATATTGACTGAATGAGCCTCAGTTTCCTCACTTCTAAAATGGCAATAATACTGTCCCTCACAAGATTGATATTAATAATAATTACTGATTATTTGATTATTAAAATACAGCAAGTAATGCCTGCTATATTGCTAAATTCTTTGCCTGCGTTATCTCACACAATTCTAGTAACAACCCAGTGAGATAGATAAGATCATTATTCCCCACTTTACAGATGAGGAAACTGAGGCATAGAAAGGATGAGTCACTTCCCAGGTTCACAGCTGTGCCAATAATACTCAAAGCAAGGAGTTGCTCCTAGAGCTAAGTAGAATAAAGAATGGGCAGGCATGGTGAAAGCATAGAGCGCTTTATAAATGCAAGGAATTCCTGTTTACATTATTGCTCCAAGGAGGGCTTCATGCATGATGCAAGAATTCCCCCTGCAACTAGACGAGCCAGTGGTTGGGCTTCCAGAGAACTGGGTCTCAGTGAGTCACTGTGACTAAGAGGGACCGTTCAGGTGAAAAGAAGACTTTTCCCCCACAACAAACTTTTCTTAAACGCTGCTTGGGAAGGGTGTTTGCTAAGTCCATTTTCTGATCAGATAACAGTTTGACACTAATTCTTCTATTTTCAGCTGGCACCAGACCCGGTCCTCGACTTTATCACCCATCGGTTATCTGTGTCGCCTGAAGGAACTCCGGGTAAGGTACAGGAAAAAGGTGGGGGTATTGTTGGAGCTTCCTGCTGGCCAGTACACTGGCCTATTGTTGGATTTATTTTTTTAAACTATCACATCACAATTATTTCGGCAACATCCTTTTTCCATCCTGGACCTGATACAATATTTATTGAACTATACAAACTGCGTCAATACACAATTCTTTCCGTATCGTTGCCCAAGTTCTTTACGATATCTTTTAAAAAATTAATATCCATTAAAATATTTTGCTAATTGACACATGATCAGCCAACTCTCCATGCTTCAAATTAAGACTTTTTTAAAATAAAGAGTCTTCAGATAGAACTTTGCTCAACTGCTACATTTTTAAAAAACAAATGACAACAAAATGACATTTCTTGAGATTACTAAGTGCCAGGCACTATACTATGCTTCATTTTGTTAAAGCACTACCACCACTCCACAACAGTTAATATTCCCATTTTACAGATAAGGAAACTGAGCTAAGAAACGTGGTATAATCACACTACCAATAAGTCATGAATGCTTACTCTGATCCCTGGGAGTCCTACTCCAGATCTCTGACTACGTTCCAAAAAAAGAAAAAGAAAAATGACTTGTCCTTGAATCATTTTGCTGCTTTAACTTGTGTTCAGCTGAATTCTGTAAGTAGTGAATATACAGAGCTAGGCCCCCATCACCATCAAGGCTGGTGGTATGCCCTGGTGTTTCAATCACGTGCACCTTAATAAGAGCCATTTGACTAGCTATTAAACCGCATTTTGAAAGCCATAACAGTATGGCAATACTGAAGCTGCTACAATACCCCATTTCTGTTTTCCCCTCCTAATTACATCTATTGGATTATAGGAGCAAACCTTCACAACCAAATCAGCATCTTGAGACCTGCTCTTTGCATCCTCATTAGGTGTGCATTACTTTTCCCTACAACTATGCTTTCGGATTCTTTAACTGTGGTGTGACCAGAATCATTGACTCAGAGACTCAGTACAGAGAACTTGTAAAGCTGGGAGGGGCCATCTTTGTTTTATTGTAAATAGGATGCCCAAAGAGGAAGATGACTTTTCAAGGGCCACACAATCACAGTACCAGAGGGGTTACTGAAAAGAAAAAGAAGCAATGTTCATTGACAATCTGCTATGTGCCAGACACATTTCGTAATGAAATAACAGCAGTGATACAGATAATTATAAAAAGTGACATATATTGAACGTTTAAAATTTGTCAGGCACTATGCAAAACGCTTAATGTGAATTTTTTCAAGTCGTTAATCTTCTCCAATTTAGAGACAAGTACTATTATTACTCCTGTTGGACAGATGAGAAAACCTCTCAGAAAACCATGCCAGTCATGGAGATAGAATTCAAAGACCCAAAACTACCCAGCAACATGGCCCTGGCTTTATTTCAAACATGGGAAAATGCACTCAAAGTGCAGCCCTAACCTGGCCAAAAGAGTATCTTCCTAACTATGGATTTCTGCTGAGACAAACATGGAAGAAGACGGATGGATTTGGGTAGCCAGGGAAATAATGTTACCTGCCAGTCCCACTGGCTCTTTTCATAATGCGCAATTTATCTGCACTTTCCTGTACCATTTAAATACTAATGAGACCTTTAAGAAATGCACCATAAATGCATTTTCAGCCTAATAATTCAGAAACTTTGATCTTTCAGGTAAAAGGAGCACCACTGTCACACAGACACACACACATACACACACACCCACAAAGTGGTCCTGTATCAGAGCAGATGTGCAATCTTCTCAGGTTATCTCTGTGTTAAACCCACAGGTCTCTATCTCGCTGATTCACCTCTGATCAAACTTGAAGAAAATGACACCAGCCATCTGCCTATACTTTTATAAATGAGTGCCACCTAAGGCTACCACCCATCATCTCTGTGACCTCACGTAAGTCATTCAATATCTCTGGTCCAGGTTTGTTCATCTGTCAGAATAGAGGTGGACTGAACAAAATAGGTGGTTTCTCACAGCCAAATGCTCTAGGATTTCTTGACAAAGCATTCTAAGATGATCTCATTCAATGAACACTTGCTTCATGACCAGACTATTCAATGAGAGACTCTATAATGCTGAAGCAATATTGGCAGTGATCCACATTTGTGGACTAAGTCATGGCTGGTGAATGTATTTTATATCCAGCAATACTGTGACCTTGGCTACACTGTAATTCTTTACCACATGGGTCCAAATCTGCTTAGTGAAAAAACTGAATACCCCAGGGGCATTCCTACAGCTATAAAAAAAAAATCAATCTAAAATAATTTGCCAAAAAAGCAGCATTCGTCTTGACACAAGGATTCTGTAGCTTAAATATACTAGGCATGATAACTCAAAAGACCTCCCCAAAAGCAGCAGGCTTCATTAGGGTATGGAGGACTTCTCTGCTGGACTCTGAGTCTATGAAGAACATATATATCAAATATGATCATTGGAACGTTCATAAAAATGCTTATCCTACCACTGGATTCTTGTCTTCTTATATATGCTGTACAGATGAGGAAAGTCAAGCACAGGCTTACCAAACTGATCAAAAGAGATGAAAAAGAATGTGATTTTCAGTCAGAACCAGCCAGTTATAGCCCTGAATCACTGCAGGTCAGGGTTTCCCCACCTTGGCAACATTGACCTTGGTGCTGGATGGTTCATGCTGTAGGGGACTGTCCCATGAATTGTCTGCTGCTTGGCAGTATCTCTGTCTTCTACCTATTAGATGCCAATAGTGTCCCCCACCCCAAGTTGTGACAGCCAAAAATGTCTCCAGACTTTGACAAGTGTTCCCTACGGGACCATCACTATACTGCTATAGTTGCTCAAAGAACACAGCAGAAGTAACAATTCTTCAGCTTCCCTGAAGACCAAAGCCTGGCTTAGACTTTCTCCCTTCCCCACAGCTGACTCCATTCCATCTAACCTTCTCGCCAGTCCCAGGCCTCCTTCTAATCACAGGGATTATCACGCCAGTCCGTGCTTTCAAACTCTCAAGGCTTGCCCTCATGGGCTGCAGAATCTCAAATATGGCTTTTTGTGGCCTCCAGCCACGAGTCAGCTAGGTCCTGCTGCCCTAGCCATATGGTAGCAACAGACAGCCGCAGACAAACTACGCCTTGCCAGTCCTCCCTTGCACATGCTGTTCCCCCTGCCTGCAATGCCATTCCTGTCTTCTCAAATAGAAACTGGGCAGATTCATCCTCCCGAACCTATACACCTGCGGGGATACTCCCTAGGTGCTCAAGAGCTATTAGTGGAACTAAATTGACTCTTTGCTCAGATGCCCCAGCCCTTGACCTCAGTCAAGTTACCCAACCCCCTCAGACCTCAGTTTCTTCCTCAGGAAGATGGGTGCAATGATTCCTCCCATACAAGGTTGTGAGAAATAAAGGACATCGAGGCTGCCACACAGTGAATTCTCATCCAAAAGTTATTTTATCTTCCTGTTCCAAGGAGATTATTTTACAAGAATGGGCACAATCTCTGGGCTATATCTTCACATGCTTAGTATACAGAAATAGAACTAAAATCCTTTAAGTCTCTTTCTTTTGAATCCTGAGTAATACATCATTTTTTTCAATTTTTTTTTTTTATTTTTCTCCTAAATATTTGGAAGGAGAAGCCCAAGTTTGATACCAGTGTAAGGATGGAAGCCGTTCTAATCTTACATGAATCAAAGAGCCCTGGCCGGGCGTGCTGGCTTACACCTGTAATCCCAGCACTTTGGGAGGCCAAGGCAGGTGGATCACCTGTGGTCGGGAGTTCAAGACCAGCCTGACCAACATGGAGAAACCCTGTCTCTACTAAAAATACAATATTAGCTAGGCGTGATAGTGGATACCTGTAATCCTAGCTACTTGGGAGGCTGAGACAGGAGAATTGCTTGAACCCCGGAAGTGGAGGTTGCAGTGAGCCGAGATCATGCCATTGCACTCCAGCCTGGGCAACAAGAGTGAAATTCCATCTCAAAAAAAAAAAAAAAAAAAAAAAAAAAAAAAGGAGCCCTCTGGCTCTGGCCCTTGGTGAATTCTCTCTAAATAGCTCTATCTGTGACCACAATGTTTGCAACCATCAGTAGTTTTTAGAAGGTGTCCAGTTTCCCACGGGAATATAAGGAAATTGGAATTATTAAACCAAACGATAAGAGAGATGGGAAGAAAGCCACAGTCCTCCGCCCCCGAAGTCCAGCAAATTTGAACTTCTTTGTGCAACTGTTATAAAGATGCCAAGCCCCTCAGAGATTGGCAATCAGGAAAAGGAAGAGGACGAGGAAAGGAAAGAGCGTCCAGCGAGTCAGAGTCAGCTGAGTAAGGGCGCCATCCATCACCAGTGCTTCCTGGGCAGCCCGCATCGTTGGAGTCACAGAGGGCACGGGCTCCAGCCAGCCAAGGTCAGAGGAAAAAAACAACCTGGGCTTTGCTTTATTAGTTAAGTGAACGAGTCCTTAAGAGTATTGATGTATTGACTAATGATTCCAACATCCAGCCTGCTGAGTGCTCGCATGTTTAAAGGGCAAGAGTTACAAATCAACAACTTATTAATTTAATTCCTCTTTGAAAAGGTGCCAAAGATAGAGAAAGCAGAAAGAGAGGAGAGTTTACCATGTTTTCTGCAATATCACCTCCCCCTTCTCCTCTCTTAGCTAGTGAATAATCATAAACACCAGCTTATTTAAGTGCAGATTCCTGGGCCCCACATTCAGGTATTTGTATTAGGTGATGGTTTGAGCCAGGGAATTTGTATTTCTTTACTTATCACCTCCAGCACCAAGGGATTGTGGTGCAAGTGGGGAGCAAACCATTTTGAGAAACACTATTTGTAAGAGCTGATATCTGTTTTCTCCCACTTGACAGTTACACCCTGCTACATTTCCCAACCCCTCTGCAAGGAGCTGGAGCCAGGTGACTGAGTTTTATACAACAGAGGTGGGTCGGATGTGCAACACTTCCAGGCCTGACTCTAAGACCTCCTCCACCAGACTCACATTCTCTTTTTTTTTTTTTTTTTTTTTTGAGATGGAGTCTCACTCTGTTACCCAGGCTAGAGCGCAGTGGCGCGATCTCGGCTCACTGCAAGCTCTGCCTCCCGGGTTCACGCCATTCTCCTGCCTCAGCCTTCCGAGTAGCTGCGATTACAGGCACCCGCCACCACGCCCGGCTAATTTTTTGTATTTTTAGTAGAGACGGGGTTTTTCCGTGTTAGCCAGGATGGTCTCAATCTCCTAACCTCGTGATCCGCCCGCCTCGGCTTCCCGAAGTGCTGGGATTACAGGCGTGAGCCACCGCGCCTGGCACATTCTCTTCTTGCTTGTTGCCTGGTTGGATGAAGAGGCTTCAAAGGAAGCCCAGCTGCTGATGAGGAGGTCCCTGAATGATTCAGTGATGCAGAATCTCATCCTACTCCCACCTACCTGTACTCTACTGTCATTCACATGAGAGAGAGGGAGAGAGAGAAAAACCACCACCGCCACACCTGCAGCAAAAACCCTTTATTTTATTAAGGCACTGAGATTCAACAGATTTTTTTTCAGTTGCTAGTCTAACCTGGCAAATATACATTACTCTTTTCTATTCTACAATTTTATTAGATCTTCATTCTAAAGATCCAGGGTAAATGTTTTAAGGGCAAAACTAGGAAACAAACACAGGGAAAAATCAAAGAGTGATTCATCACATCAAAATCCAACCCTGCTTTCAGATATGGTAATAAAAACACCTTAAAATAGAATAGGTCTCTTGGACTTTCTTCGCACAGAAAGATGACACCATAGATCTCTGCATGCCTTGGTGCCAAACTAATACAATACAGTAAGTGTAAGACTCGGGTAAAATGTAAAGTAAACACTAAAGATGGGTAGGTCAATTACCCCCAGAGTATTAATTAAAGGCCCTTCTCAGGCCACTAGAAATACAAAGGAATCTGTCACAGAGACAAGAAAAGGGAACTGCAACCAACTCTTAAGAAATAGCCCATACCGGTTGGGCGCAGTAGCTCACCCCTGTAATCTTAGCACTTTGGGAGGCCGAGGTGGATGGATCACCTGAGGTCAGGAGTTCGAGACCAGCCTGGCCAATATGGTGAAACCCTGTCTCTACTAAAAATACAAAAATTAGCTGGGCGTGGTGGCGGGCGCCTGTAATCCCAGCTACTTGGGAGGCTGAGGCAGGAGAATCACTTGAACCCAGGGGGCAGAGGTTGCAGTGAGCAGAGATCATGCCACTTCACTCCAGCCTGGGCAAAAGAGAGAAAAATCCATCTAAAAAGAAAAGAACAAAAATAGTCCATACCATATACCGGCCAGGCGCGGTGTGGCTCACACCTATAATCCCAGCACTTCGGGAGGCCGAAGTGGGCAGATCACTTGAGGTCAGGAGTTAAGAGACCTACCCACCTGGCCAACATGGTGAAACCCCGTCTCGTCTAAAAATACAAAAAATTAACTGGGCTTGGTGGTGTGAGCCTGTAGTCCCAGCTCCTAGGGAGGCTGAGGCAAGAGAATCACTTGAAGCTTGGGGGTGGAGGTTGCAGTAAGCAGAGACAGCGCCACTGCACTCTACCCTGGGTGACAGAGCTAGGCTCTATCTCAAAAAAAGAAAGAAACAAAGAGCCCATACCTAGAGTTTACATGGTCATCTTCACACCTCCCTGGGCTCCAGTGACCAGTATTCAGAAATCACTGCCCTCAGCCCTATTGCAGGAAGCCTCTGCATTCTTCACAGGAAGGAAAAATAAGCATGGGAACGTTCCCTGCGACCAGCTTGATGCACAGGGGCTCGGGCTGCGCTGGCAGCAGTCTCAGCTCCACAAGCCCTGCTGGAGATGGCACTAAGGGCACCTCCTCACACCAGCTCCTGTGATCATGAGGATGCCCCAGCCTCCAAGAGAAGGGCCATTTTCCGTCTGGTAAATGTGTCCATGTCCCTTTCTGTGGAGAAAAAAGCATCTCCAACTCTCTTCTTTCTCTGTAAGCTAAATCAGCTTCACACCAGCAGAGAGCAGTTGACAACCGACTCTAGGGTTCAGCTCTTTGCACGTGGCTGTCTACAGTCACTCTGGGGATAATCCAATTTGACTTTGGAGAAACAAAGAGAAGGGGCATTCATCTGAGAGAGCTCAGGAATAGAATCTCTCATTCACCTTTCCAGCCACACTGGCCTTGCTGCCCCATGGACACTCCAAACACATTCCCACCTTTGTGCTTGCCACTTTCTCCATCTAGAATATTCTTCCCCAAACCTTCACAGGGTTCCTGCCTCAGCTTCCTGCACGCCCCTGCTCCAGTGTTCCCCTGGAGAAACTTCCTCTCTAAATCAGCTACCCCCATTCAGGCACTCTCTAACCCCTTGTCCCATTTTATTTTTCTTCAAAGGCCTTATCTCCGCATGGAAGTCTAATAATTGTTGTTCCTGCCTAACAGGATATCTACAGAGGACTTTGTGATAAGAGCTGGGACCTGGAGAATAGGAATGTGATTGTGCAGATTTTCTTTCCGCGAAGTGCCATTTAAAAACAATCAGTACACAAAAAGGCATCAATATGGAAAATACACATGATACTAAGTTAATAAAGATGTGAGTTACAAAGTAGCACACCTCACTTATAAACTACATTGGAAAGGACTGGGAAGAAGTAGAGGAATATCGAATTTAAATAATGGAAAAATAAGTAATAGTTTTTACTTTTCAAAATATAAAATGCTACTTTATGTTACTTTATTAATTTTAAGAATGCATTTAAGAAAATAAATACATAATTTATAAGCCAACCAAATCAAATAAATAAATCAAAGAATTTTGTAACAATCTGGAAAGAAAAGAGAATGTGTGGTCTAATACCCTCAATTGCCAGATGAAGAAATTGAGCCTCAAAGGGAAGTGAGTGGCCCAACATTATACTCTAGGTTAGTCAATGAAAAGACAGGGTGAAAAGAAGTTGGACTCCAGGCCGGTGCTTTTCCCAATGCATTATGTTCCATATTCAGTCAAAGAAAGGAGTCATAAAGGGAGCTGGACATAGGGAAAAAAATCTGACATATTCCACTGACATGTTAACTGATAAAACATACAAAAACGTCCTGTCTTGGTAACAGCACCAAGACTATTATCTCATTCCCTGTATTAATCAGATCTTAAAATCTTGAACCAAAAATGGGCCTGTGTTGTTTGCAGAGTATGGCAAATTGTATTTTCCAAACATGGCCACATTAATACACATAATATCCCACACGCTTTTCTTACAAGGTGGTGTAGATATTCCCATATCAATGGGTATAGGAGGCTCTGTTTCTTCCCCCTAAACCTGGCTGGACTTTTGTGACAACCTTGCCAAACAGAACCTGAAAGAAGTGATACCTTCAGGGACTAGGTGCTGAAAGATAATATGACTGCTGTCTGGCACAGCGTCTCTCAGAGGCTTAGCCCTTGGAACCCAGCCTCCATGCTGTGGGGAAGTCCAAGGCACAGTCAGGAGCCAACATCAACTGCCAGACATGGGAATGAGCAAGCCCTCATTGCATTCCAATGCTCAGCCTTGGAAACACCCGCAGGTAACACTGAGGGAAGAAGAGATGAGCTAACCTGCGGAGCCCTGCCCAGATCACAGATTAATACTCATCACAGATTAATACACAATCTAATACAATACAGTAAGTGTAAGACTCAGGTAAAATTTAAAGTAAACACTAAAGATGGGTAGGTCAATTACCCCCAGAGTATTAATTAAAGGCCCTGCTCAGGGCACTAGAAATACAAAGGAATCTGTCACAGAGACAAGAAAAGGGAACTGCAATCAACTCTTAAGAAATAGCCCATACCGGTTATAGAACATTATAAATGTTCTTTCATGCCAATAGAAAACAGGAACAACTAGAGAACCACTAAGGTACAGGATAGCAGTGCCCAGGTTTGTAGTGTTTTCTAGGTAAAGAAGGATTCCAGGAGATATAGCTACTTAAAGAATCATTAACTTGAGATGGTAAAGAGGGCTCTTTAAAATGTAGAAATAAGAACCAGTAATTCATCGGCAAAAGATGATAATAGCACCAAGATTTCAAGGTGGTAGTTGGGAGCAATGGTGAAGAAGTGATCTATAATCAAATAGCTGCACTCCAAGACACTTCAAGACAATGAAGTCCAAGGGTGAAAAATGTCGGGCATTCATATCCAAGTGGATATGAATATCCTCCTATGCACATAGAAGATATCAACAATCCATGACAACATTCTATCCCTAACCTAACCTGACCACTTCAAAAACAATCCACTAGCATCTGTTGGAGCTGTCACATAAAATGAAATCCATTTGCTATCCCTGATAAAGTCCAGACCTCTCAAATTACCAAAGCCCAGAAAGATTGTCATTATAAAGCCCTACAGTAGTTACATATGCATTTTCCACACCTTTCTTTTAATCACATTAGACTCGTTTATCTTAGTGATTTAAGTGGACCTTAATAGATTATCTATTCTAGTTTTATCTTCAAGAGAGTAGGTATCACCCATTTTATTTTACTTTTGCGTCAGTTGAGCCTGAGTAATGATAACAGGCTTACCCATAGTTTCTGTGCTTTAATATCTCAGGCAAGAACAGGGACCAGACCTCTAAATTTGGGGACTCCTGATAGGACAAAGGTATTATTACTCAAAAACTTTTTTATTGTTCCAACATCACATTCTCAGGTTCCAGGGGCAGCATTGTCAGAATGCAAATTAACATCTGCTGACGGGGGTGTATTTTGCTGATTAAAATGCACAGCAAATACTATTCTCTGTATAAACTCTTAATATCAGAGAGGTCAGAGTCATCACCCCCACCCAACCCCTTCTGCCACCCCAGACAGTCACTCAGCACTGGAATCAAAGTCTGGTGGCAGAATCTTAAGGCAAAGCAAAACGAATATTCACTCAGGCAGATGGGAAAAGTTGCAGATTGTGTGAATGGATTTGTCTCTCCTCCTCTTTCACCCACACTTCTCCTTTCAAAGGATGAAGACTGAAGTGATTGCAACCATGCAGAGTATAACACAGAAGCACTTGTTATTCACATAGGACACCAATTGCCAAAGACCTTTATCTCAGTGCCTTTCGTTAGCCCAGTCTTTTAACTGTTTTTAGGATCTGTTTCTTCTCATAGGATGATGATGACGATAATGGTGGTCATGGTGTTGGTAATGATGTTGGTGATAACGATGATGATGCTGTTGACAATGATTTTGGTGATGATGATGATGTTGATGAAGATGATAATGAAGAGGAAGACGTTACTGGTGATGATGATGCCGGTGATGAGAATGATTTTAATGAAGATTATGATGAAGATGATGACATTATTGGTGATGATGATGCTGGTAGATGATGTTGATGATGATGAATGGTGCTACCATTTGCCAGACACCATGCTAAGTGCCTCAGTGGTTCATAAAGTTTCCTTCAGTTAATTCTCAACAATGCTATGAGGTGGGCATCATTATTGTTATTATTATTATTTTAATTATCCCCATTCATCAGGTGAGGAAGCTGGGGCCTAGAGAAGTTAAGTAACTGCCCAAAGACACACAGTAGTAAAATGTTTTAAATTAGAAATTAAGCTCAGGCAGGCCAGTTCTAAGGGCAGAATTCTAGTACACAAATGCAAAAGTCATAAAAAAAAAAAAAACTCAGAAATGCTCGAAGTTTTGGGAAAGGTGCTATGCTGACCCGTCAGACATGGAGGTGATAATATCAGACAACTTTCTTCAGAAATGAGGGTTGTTTGGAAGAGAAAATTAAATCATGGGTGTGAAGGTGCTTCTAAAACAACTATGTTATATGAACACTATGGAACAGTATTAATTCATCTAATTCCAGTAACACCAATACAAGGCAGTTACTGCTACTATCAACGTGCATTTACAAATGAGGCAACAGACTCATCTTCAGTTAGATGACTTGGCTGAGGCATGGTCGACCTGAAATCCAAGCGCAGAGAGTTCAGTACTTGGGCCTGAAATCAAAACCACTGCACCATGGGTGTTTCTAAAATTATGACTATTATTGAGTTACGAGCTTCTTACGTCACAAAAGTACAGTTCACGTGCTTCATTTTTTGAGTTTGGAGCTGGTCATACCAATACGTAGATGTTCACTTTACCCAGTGATATTTTTGGTCGCCTTCCATCTTAAGTATTTGAGGAACATCCTGCTGTTTTAGGTTGCAAATTTGGAAGTGATCTAGAAAGTCAATGTGGTGATCCAAAAACAACACTCAGGATGTTCCTTGAGCCTGTTTTCCTACTTGCAGTATTTTCTTAGCCATGTATCTCAGTCTTTGGGGACTTGTTCTTTCAGCGTGATGGTGACATGAGCCTATGTGAGTGGGTGGCCATGGTGGGATGCCAGCCAGCAGCAACCCCAAATGCTTTATTGGAAGAAGCAGCCATTGTGTTTTGTACAAGGCAGCTGCAGAGGCGATCCACGACATTCAGAGGTGAAGGAAGGAGATGCAGAAGATGCCGTGGATTCAGTGTTTGGAAGACTAACCATAACCATATCAATAGGAGGGAATAGTGAGAAAGCCCAGGAGCCTGCCACATGGACGAATTCAGTAGGCAACAGGACTCGCTGCATTCATTACACAAAAAGGAGCGAAGGCTTATCCAGATCCAGAGATGGTTAGAATTGGAAGGAAGTTTAAATGTCATATTAGTCCAACTTCCGTATCTTACAGATAAGAAAAGTGGTGGCCAGAAGGGGAAGTGGCTCTTAAAAATCACAAAGCTAATTAGGGGCTCTGCAATCCTGCTGAAGGGGTGTGTATGTGTGGCCTTACCCAGAGCATATGGGGACCTGCGGTCACCCCCACTCCCCTTAACATCCCTCTTTACCAGGTATAAAAGCCCTCTCTGATCTGGCCTCACCATCTCTGCAGCCTCCCTCCCTTCTTGTGTCCACTCCATACCCACAACACTCACTTCCTTGCATTCTCTTTATTTATTTATTTATTTATTTTAGATGGAGTCTCGCTCTTGTCACCCAGGCTGGAGTGCAGCGGTGCAATCTCTGCTCACTACAACCTCCACCTCCCAGTTCAAGCGATTCTCCTGCCTCAGCCTCCCAAGTAGCTGGGATTACAGGTGTCCGCCACCACACCTGGCTAGTTTTTGTAGTTTTTAGTAGAGACAGGGTTTCACAATGTTGGCCAGGCTGGTCTCGAACTCCTGACCTCAGGTGATCCGCCCACCTCGGCCTCCCAAAGTGCTAGGATTACAGGCATGAGCCACCATGCCCTGCCTCCTTGCGTTCTTTAAACCCAAAAAGCCTATCTCTGATTTAGACCTGCATACACTGCTTCCTCTGGCAAATGAGTGAGACCCATATGTTGCACTCAGCAGTGTGTTGCAGCTCTCCTATTGCT
This sequence comes from Homo sapiens, assembly GCF_000001405.40. NCBI lineage: Eukaryota > Metazoa > Chordata > Mammalia > Primates > Hominidae > Homo > Homo sapiens. The sequence goes on from NC_000004.12 coordinate 16,871,057, forward strand.
AAATTTTCAGAAATTTTGTGAGACAGCCTCTAACTTCCAATTAAACAAATCATACTGAAAGCAAAGGTAATAACTAGTCCAAAATTCCTAATTATTTTGCTACATGTTACTATTATTGGTGCCCTTGGGGTTATTTATGTCTGTTGCATGATGGAAATACTGTATAATGGTGTGTGTCTTTTCTCAACCCCACACTTTGAATATATGTAGCTTCAAATGAGCCATAGTGGGAGTATTTACTACAGAAATTGGCAAATGCTAAAATGCAGGGCTTGAGTTTTTATTTTGTTGACTGTGTAGATTTAAGAAAGTGATGCAAAAATGTTAATAATATGAATTAAGTATGAAAGTTTGCATGCCTGAAGCTGTAACATAATGAGTGGCAGAAAATTTGAGGAAATATTCTTCCAGTATTCGAGAAGTATTATCCAATTCAGGAGAGCAGTGACTCATGTCACTGATGAATGAATGAAGTTCAAATATTCATCTCTGTTGTTTCATTGTCTTCTTAATCATTAATGTAAAAGAAAATATCAGCCAACATTCATGTCAAAACCACTCTTTCTTTTTTTTTTTTTTTTGAGACAGACTCTCGCTCTGTCACCCAGGCTGGAGTGCAGTGGCACGATCTCAGCTCACTGCAACCTCCGCCTCCCAGGTTCAAGCAATTTCCCCTGCCTCAGCCTCCCAAGTACCTGGGATCACAGGCGCCCACCACCACGCCCAGCTAATTTTTGTATTTTTTAGTAGAGAAGGGGTTTTGCCATGTTGGCTAGGCTGGTCTTGAATTCCTGACCGCAGATGATCCGCCCACCTCGGCCTCCCAAAGTGCTGGGATTACAGGTGTGAGCTACCGCGCCCAGCCCACATCAGAACTACTCTTATTCATCAATGAAAATTACATTTGGGCTATGACTATAAGAGTTCAGCAGAAATCAATGAAAGCATTTTGGGAGAATTAATTGGCTATACAGAATTTATAATAAAAAATATTGTATATTTTATTATTATCCATAAACTGTAAACTATATATCTTTCTATTAGTAAAACTTATAATAAGCGTATGTATGTATATACACGCTCTTTTTTTTTAAAGACCCAATTGTTAAACATTTATCCATAGAGCTCTCATTTCTGTATTTTGCATGGGTCTCTACTCAGGGACATCTTCTTTGACCACGTTATCTAAAGTAGTGTCCATCATATGTCTCTATCCTGTGACTGTATTTTTCTTCATATTATTTTTATTCTTTTATCTTTATTTTTTATTTTTTATCTTTATTTTTCTTCACCACAAATGAATACCTGAACTTCAATCATTCATCCATAACATGAGTTACTGCTCCTCAGAATTGAATAAAACTTTTCAAATACTACTTAATGCTATGGCATATATATATTTGTTTACTTGTTTATTGTATGGTTCCTTCAACTGAATTGTAAGTTCTATTCTGGTTAAAAGAATCTTTGTTGTTATCACTGCTTCTTTTTCTCTTGTGCTGAGAATGGATGACTGGCATAAAGCAGATACTTAACAACAAAAAAAAAGTTTTTAAAGAATGAGAGCAATAGACCTTCTCAGATTCTCAGGTAAATTCATGGCATCTTTTATTATAAGTCAGTGTAGGCAGGACTCTCAATCCCTTTCATACTGTTACAATCAAAAATAATATTTGCAAATAGTTTAGAAATCAGTATAAGGCAGAAACAAACCAGAGAAAAGATTTCACAGCCATGACTATTAATTAACTTTCAGTATGTTTTAGCAAAAGATGACAAGATCAGAAAATATGTTTCCTTGAGCTCTGCAAGCAAAGCAAGAAAAGCAAAAGATCCACTATATTCAAAGCAAGGCTGTCCAGATCATTGTCGGGGAGCCCACGTGCTTCTAAGTCCAATTCTAAGAGTCCCATTGACAGCCCAGTGACAGGGGAAAGCAATCAGATAAGGAAAATGCTCACCATCTAATGGGGGTTCAAAAAGGCCAAGTGGCAGGGTGGTAAAGATGCTGTGAAGGAGAATGGTGTATCGGGCATTTCCTCTGCATTTGAGAAACAGCTGAGCACCCTGGGAATATTTAGCCCAGGGTGCTATATTTAGCAATGAGAAGACCTGGAGCCTTGGGATGATAAGCTCCTCATATTTGGATAGTGGAGGTCTCTCCTGTAGAAGAGAGAATGAACTTATTTTGTACAAGTTCAGAAAAGGGCTGGTGAATGATAGTGACTAAGAGACAAACTTGACTTTAATTTTTTTACATTTCTTTTAACTAGAACCCTAAGTCAATAAGATGGATTGCCTCAAAATGGAGTGGGCTGCCTATCACTGAAAGTGCTGGAGCACAGGACAGGGTTGAGCTAGAACCTGGAAAAGAGAACCTGGCATTCGGCCTGGGGTTAACCTTGACGGTGTTAATGGTCTCTATTCACCAGTTGATCTTATGACAAAAAAAAAAATGTTCTTTGTCCTTAGGCTTTCTATTCTTCTACTTTATTCCTTAAAAAATTCAACAAAGAAAAACCAAATTATTCCAATTCCTAAAGAGTTTTCTAAAACAAGGAGTATTTTGGCATTTCTTAATATTGTTTTTATATTTTATATTATTCTGCATATTTTTAGTCTTAAAACTTAGTATTTGAGAAAACAGCATTGGTGGCAAAGTTTTTTTTCATGATCCTATTGACGTATAATGTGTAAATCACAAAATTCATGTGTTTTAATTTTTAGTAAATTGCCCAAGTCATAACAATCATCACCACAACCAGTTTCAGTGTTTCAGCAGGTTTTCATGATCCCAACATGGTCTCTCATGTCAATTGCAGGAATTACTGTTTCCATCCACGTAATCTACAATATGTGGTGTTTTGTGAAAGGCTTCTTCTATTTAGCATAATGTTTTTGAGGCTCGTCCACGCTGTAGCAATGGATCCAAATTTCATCCTTTTATGGTCCCTATTGTACTGATATATCACATTTTGTTTATCCAGTCATCGCTTAACAGACATTTGGGGTTACTTCTGCTTTTTGACTGTTACGAACAATGATAGCATCATTTAAAAATATCTCCAACTCCCTACACAAACTCCAAACCAAAAACTCGTGGAAAACATTTATAACAAAATTAGATGATAAGATCATCATGGCAATGCATAGGCTGGAAAATAGGCAGATCTTAAGATTCAGTTTTATATTATATTTAATAAATAAATAGAATATATTTTAAAGTGAGAAAGAAGGTTACAAGACAAGAAGTACAGAAAAATCCCGTGTCTATATTTATCTATAAGTTCATTAATTCTAAGATGCACATTTTTTCCAATATCAATCTGATGTCTCAATGCATGTTTTACAATTAGACTATGATTTACCCTCTCTGTCAAGCCATCATTGTCATTGTACATGTACAAATATTCAAAGCAGAAGCATCATAATTTGCAGAATGGGTGCGAATGGTTTGGAAGAAAAGGAGGGACAGATAGATCACTCTTTCTCCTCTCAATCAAATAGTTGAGGGTAAGAGTCAGGGAGAGTGCGCATCCAACAAGATTCGCTACATTCCTGAAAATCAAATTCAAAATTAGGCAAGCTCTACCTAATGCAAAGCCTGCTCAGAGACCTGCATCATGTCTGTTTTCTAAAAGTATTATTTTGAAGAATGCCATCTCACCAACATCCTTGGTGGCACAAAGGTTATACTACGTGGAAAATCGTGGACAACCATGAGTTGAAGAACAATTCTAAACCATTAGACCCTGAGTGTAAGTCTTAGTAATACCTAACCAATGTATTTCATTTATAGCCTTGTTTATGTATGCACAAGAGTGGCACTTGACAAAAATTGGTCCAATTATGTTTTTAAAAAGCTCTTTCAATTTTTTCAATAAAACAAAAATTATATTTGAAAAGAAAAGGGGACCTGACATCCCAAAATACAAGCCAGTGGAACAAACCACTACAGCCATAGACATGTATGTTATCAGGGTCTAGGCAGGAAGGAAGCTAGAGAACATCTGATAGACCAGAAAATCAGGGAATCAAAAACAGCCAACAAGTATTCACTGGACAGCAAGGCAGGCCAGTCTGAGAATCAATAGCAGCTGGGGAAACATAGTGTCTGGGGAAACATAAGAGAATTAATACCAAAAAAGTCAATTAAGACTATACAAGGAAAGGGGTTATCATCAGGGTAGGGTTTCTGGGGCTGGCAAAATCTGATCTGGGTGGTAATCAGATAACCTCATTTGATGTCTTAAGCTATACAAAATTAATTTATCAATTGAAAAATAAATTTTTAAAGATTACCATGCTACTGGATAAAAAGCAGATCCTGTGGCCTACTCCGGACCAACTGAATCAAAGAGTTCAGAGTGAAGCCAAGGAATACTAAAGAACATTAAAGCTCATGGAGAAGAAAAAAGAAAAAGAAAACTTATGATCAATTTTACTTAAAATTATTTTTAAAAATCAACTGCATTTTAGAGTGAATCATCTGTCTAGTCACTAGAAAAATTTCTTCCAATTTTATAAAAGAAAGTTTTGACCAATAGAAGAGTCTCTATCTAGAGTTATCTGATGTAGACTGAGCTGGAGGAGGCATGACGGTTATTCTCAGCAATGACTCAGAGCCCTCCACCAGAAGAGCTGCTGCAGAGCGAAGAGACATTCCTTTATGTAAGCAGACGGCCAAGGATAGGCCGTCTCCAGGGACCACCAGCCAAAGGCATGGTATAACTGCTGGGGATGATATTTGCCTTATGAAAGTCACATTCACAATAGCGACATCATTGTCCATATAGAGAGCTTTAGCTTCCACAAAATACCCTCTATCCTTCTCCTTCCACTCCTATTTGATTCTTAGAACCCTGGATAGCAGGCATTATAGGAAGTAGGAATGCATTATAGGAAGTAGGAATGCATTATAGGAAGAAACTGAAATTCAACAAGGGAGGCCATATGTGCAGAGTGATGGGCTGGGGCCATGTCCCATGTCCCTGGCTCCAATCCTGCCACCCTCCTATTGGGCCATTCCGCAACCAACTCAAAGTCACAAAATCATCTTGCATTAGCATGTTTCAGAAGCGCTCAAGGTTTGGATAAACCGACTATGCTAGACAGAAATTCTTCTTAAGTACCCTACGTGCAACAATTTCATAAACATTTACTATTCTGGGTCTATTTCTTTCTCTGAAACACCTACTGAGTTGATTGATAATTTATGCAATGGTAATATTCCACTGCATTTAAATCTAGGGGTACACACCTCTGCTCTAACGCTGCCTCTAATTTTCCTACCTCACTTTCCCTAAAGGAGTCAAAACTTGGTAGATATAAAAGAGTTACGGCAGCTAGAGCCTGGAGTTTAAAAGATAAAGAGTTGCTAGGGTCACCCTAATGTATTCATATTGCACCTGTTATACATAGGACTTTTCTCCACTAATAGGCGATTAAATGTAAATCCTAATGTACATTTCATTTTATGTGCAATATGGGTGAGTTACTGTTGCTATAGAAACCTTCACTTTTGCATTTACTGATTTTAATTCTGTGACATTTGCTGACTTTAGTACAATGTAAAGTTTATAAATATAACATACAGGTTTGTGGAGGGTTTTTTTTTTAAGGATTCAATTTGCATAGCTAATTCTACCACAAATCTCTAGGTACATTAGGGGAAAAAGCATTAAACTGATCCCTACCAACAGTAATCAGCAAAAACAAGGCTATTTCTAGAAATAAGTATTGCCATCGATCCTCAAAAATCTCTCCTCACTAACCAAATACTCCATCCATTGTATAAACCTTTAACCATTGATTCAGTGAAAATTTCCCAATGTGGAATTTGTATAGTGCTTTTTTTTTTTTTCCTTAGAGACAAGGTCTTCGCTCTGTCACACAGACTGGAGTGCAGTGGTGCCATCATAGCTCACTACAACCTCCAACTCTTGGGCTGAAACAATCATCGAGTCTCAGACTCTCCAGTAGCTGGGATGGCAGGTGTGTGCCACCACACCTAACTAGAGCTTTTATTCCAAACATTTTCAAATCTGTTACCTTTAATATGCAACTGGCAAGAGAGACAGGCCAGATATGGTTCGAAAAAGAAAATGATGTCAGTTTGGAGACTACTTCCAATCCAGGGCAATACTCTGACTTTCAACTGGAGCTTCAAGGGGATCATTGCAACGAATCATTCTCTTTTCCTTCTTATTCTAAGTTGTCTTAGTTGTCTTTGTGTCTTTGGAATCTAGCATAGTTCCCACTATGTGGAATAAACACATGCTTTCTAGGGATCTTTCAAGCTTTCCAGGTGTCCTTAAATTTTTTAAAATTCTCTGATTATTGCCATTTAACAGATATGGAAACTGAGACCCATTATGCAAATCATCCGAAGTCATCTAGCAACTAACTGGGAAAGTCAATGCATCCATAAGAGTTTGTTAAACTGATGTGTGTTTATGATGAGCACCCAATACTTTTGAAGGTATTCTCACAGGCATAGGTGAAAATTCTTGTCACTGTTAGAGATCCACAGAGAAATCAATTACTTTCTGTATATTCCTAGAAGAAACCTGGATTCAGGTAGCCATACACATACATATATCAGTAGAAAACAGGGTGTGTACAAGAAACATTTTAAGTGATGTCATCAAAGCCTGAACAATCAATAGAAGAAATAAATTTAACCAATATTTGTTGAGCTTCTACATTGTGTCAGACACTGCTTAGTAACCTTGGAAGAGCAAAGTGTCTGCAGTTGTACCTAAAGAAGAGGAAAGGGGATAAAACTATAATGCCATATTTAAAGCTTATAGGGAAAAGGAAGACAAACCAATCAAATGGCAAATGGCCCTAAAAGAATCACAAGAGCTTCTCAAAGACAAGAGGCAATTGAAGGAAAACAGAGCCACTAATAACCAAGGAGAAACAGAAATAATGAGATTCAAAAATGGCAAAGAGAATAAACTAAATCAATCTATGATTTAAAAAAATAAAAAGGATGTTGAACAAACTTGGAGTAATGAAGATATTGTAAAAGTTAAAGCCAATCAAAAGCAGGTAGGGGAAGGGGCTTGGGAAGTTCACAGATCAGCAGAGGCAGAGGAGGCCATGGAGAAGTTGGACGTGGAGAATTGATGGGCATTGAGGATATGCTGTTACAGCAATTTCCAATGGATTCTGGGAACTGTATAGAGTGAACATCATTAAACTGTACAGTTATTTGGGGCTGGGGGACACATGTACATACTGTTGACAAGAATAGATAAAGATAAAGCCTGAGAAGGGTTCCTACTCTCTTATTCCAGTAACCATAGAGTTTGGCTGGAGACCACTTATACTCAACACCTTCCACGGCTAATCCATCGCCCATACAATTCACTGTCATCTTTTACCAGAAAACTATACAATCCTTCTCTAATATGTCCTTCTGCTTCTGCTTTTAAATCCTTTGAAGCCATTCTCTACTGAGCAGCCTGAGTGTTGTTTTCAAAATGTCATTCTAATGATGTACCTTCTCTCAGACCACCACCAAAAGGAGTACATTTTCCATTACTTTTAGAATTAAAACAAAAACCTAAAAAGCCAAAACCCTTAACATCCTATCTGTAGTCAAACACGGTCTGACCCCAACCTGCATCATCAGCTTCTTTGCTGTCTGAACTATGGACAATCAGCTCCCTCCTGCTACAGGGCCTTTGTGCTTACTATTATTCTTTTAAAATGCCATCTTGGCATCGCATGTCCAATTTTTCTAGCTAAATCTCATTTGTTCTTTAAGTCTCAGCTAAAAATTCACTTCCTCAAAGGAGCCTTCCCTAACCACTATTGCCACCAATATAGGTCAGCTTTCCTTATTTATTTTACGCTTTCACAGAAACATGCTTGATTCCTCTAGTGCACTGATTACATTGTGATAAATACTGCACATTTTATCCATTACAACTATACTTTAGTTAGTATGAGTTTTTAATTGCTGTACAGCCCCCTTACTTGATTGTAAATTTCCTGCAAGAAATGCCAATGTCTGTTTTTATGCGGTATTGTATGCTAAACACCTGGCTCTGCTTGATATAGATGTACCAAATGAGGGAATGAATAAGATGTTAATGGATCTGCTGAAGAACATATAATATTCCCTATTGCAATAAAGTCAGATCCAAAGTCCTCAGACAAACATTCAAAGACCTCTGACACCAGCCTCTATTATATCTGAGAAGGCAGCATTTTGGCAGGAGAGGATGTGATGGTTAATTTTATGTGTCAACTTGACTGAGCCAAAGGATGCCCAGATACCTGGTTAAGCATTATCTCTGGGTATGTCTGTGAAGGTGTTTACTCTGAGATTAGGGTAGAACTCGCTGTTAGAATTGTTGTCTGGGTAAAGCACACAGCCCTCCCCAGTGGGGGTGGGCACCATTCAATCTATAGAAGGCTTGAATAGAACAAAATGGCAGAGGAAAGTTGGCTTAACTCTGCCTGGCTGTTTAAGAGCTGGAATATTGATCTTTTCCTACTTTCAGTGCTTCTAGTTTCAGAGCTTCAGACTTGAACTGGAATTTATATCATCAGCTCTCTGGCCCTCAGGACTTTAAACTATACCACCAGCTTTCTTGGGTCTCCAGCTTGCAAACAGCAGATCATGGGACTTCTCAGCTTCCATAACAATGTGAGTCTAGAGCTTACAATGAATCTCTTCCTGGATATATACCCTATATCTGCTTTTCTGGAGAATTCTAACTAACACAGAGGGAGTAGAGAAGTAAGGGTGTCTACCCTAGAAACAGGAAGCCAATTTAACATCTCCATGAAGCCTCATTCACACTGCATTCTATGGACATGGTACCCAAGCACGGAACACAGAGACAATGATGTCTCCTCTTGGTGTCCAACTCTCTTTACACCTGCAGAAACTTTCCTGTGCAGAAGTCAGCCAACCACATCCTATTCCTATGCCAGACGTGTTTGCTTGATGGCATCTCAGACCTTTATTTCCCCAAACCAGATGCCCTTCTTCTTTCCCAACAAATCCAAATCCTACAATCCCTTATCAAACCGATCCCAGCCTCCTCCATGACACATGGCCTAAACATTCTTCTTTATGCACTGTATCTTAATGACAGAAGAGAATTTAGCACCATCTTAAAAATTCTTCATGGGTCCAGTCAAGATTTAGTGAAGATCAATTAGAATTCAGGTTCTGGGTGACTAAATTAAATCAAAACAGGCCTCCATTTCCTGTTGGGCAGTTTCCACACTGCAAAAAGGCAGCTGACCAAGGGGAGAAGGAACGGCTGAAATCCAGAGCACTTTGCTAAGCCCCATGGAGCTAATGTCTGCCAGGAAGACCAGGAAGCTTTTCATTTTCACAAAAGGGCCATAGGCTCACTCAGAAGGAGCACGTTTTTCTAGTTTGCATAGACATGTCCCATAGCCTTCTGTGCCTGAAAAGAGAGGAACAGCGCTTGTCTGCATGGTGCTTATAGTTAGTTGCCTCTCCTACTCTGTGTAAACCTCGGAGCCTACTACTTCTTTCATATCCCTCATTCATTCAAGCACTATTTAGATTATCATTTCTGCCCTTGGCCCTGTGTCCTCTGCTGCTGATACAAAGATAAGCCAGGCGTCGGATCACGAGGTCAGGAGATCGAGACCATCCTGGCTAACACAGTGAAATCCGTCTCTACTAAAAATACAAAAAATTAGCCGAGTGTGGTGGCGGGTGCCTGTAGTCCCAGCTACTTGGGAGGCTGAGGCAGGAGAATAGTGTGAACCCGGGAGGCGGAGCTTGCAGTGAGTCAAGATCACACCACTGCACTCCAGCGTGGGTGAGACAGCAAGACTCCATCTCAAAAAAAAAAAAAAAAAAAGCACACACACAAAGAGGAGCCAGGTGAGGTTCCCAACCTCAAGAAATCCTTGGTGCTATGACTCTCACAGTGGTGTGACCCTCACAGTGGATTCTCAGTAAACAGATACTGGTCCCACAGTTGAATGTGGGGATCACTGAGGAACCAAAATCGAAGTCATCAGCCAATGAGAAGGCTTTGAATGCGTCTCACAGTGAGACTCAAGACCTTCTGTAACCTACCTGGGCCTCAGTGTCTTCATCTGTAAAGTGGGCGCTGTCTGGAGAGGCAGCGGAGCTGACAAGTGAAGTTCAGCTCTGAACTTGGGAACACCCAGGCTTAAGTCACAGAGATAGCTCTTGCTACCTCTGAAGCCCTGGGCTAATTACTAAGCCTCTCTCGGCCTCACTTATCTTATCTGAAAAATGGAGTGGATACCACTACGTATCACAGTAGTGTGTGGCTTAATTGAGGCCATGATGTAAAGCACTTAGCTGTGGGACTAGCGATTGGTAAGTACTCAGCAGATATTCACCCTGATTAGCATGGCTCCTGCTCCTGGATTTTTGAGATTTTCTTTCTTTTTTCATCCAGGCTCCTGCCTTCATCTTTATGGATTTCTAACCATTCAAGGCTTTGAATGATTTGCTTTCTTCCTAAAGTTCTCTCGATACTGTCATTCGGGGAGGGGAATTTGGGCCTTTTTTTTTTTTTTTTTAAGATTGACTAAGTAACCACCTGGAAGTTCCACATAAATTACTATGATTAACTTCCTGATAAGGATGAAATTTTCCACCCTCTACTCAGACAATTTCTCATGGCCAGAAAAAAAATGATTATTTTTGCCACATCTGAAGTCTTCAGTGGACTTTAAAAAGCTGCTCTTTTTTTCTTTCTCCCTCACCCAAGGTTTAGATTACAATAAGTTAAGAGACCTAGTTGCAGCCATCACTGGGGCATTTATGCTTCCTAGCTTCACCTCCCTGTTTTGAGATGTTTACGCAGTCTAATTCCTCCTAAAATCATCAGAGATGTAGCATTGTTAAGAAGTTAACAGTGCCTTCAATTAAACATAGGAATATGTGGGTCAAAATTTCCCACATAGCACAAGCAATTTAGGGTGTGAGTGTACATGTCTGTGCATGTGTATGCACGTGTGTGCATGTCTCAGTACCGCAATCCTGGCTGGGAAAACCTCTGTCCTCGCTGCTCTCAACAGCTCACTCTTGGCACCCTCAGTTATAACTGGAGGTTCAGCTGGCTACCTTCCCCACTAGGCTGTGAGCATCCTGAGGGCAGGGTTTATATATGGTCCTCCCTCACTGAGCACATAATAAAAAAAAGCTCAATAAGGTATTAAGGAATGAATGAGTCAATGCAATTCCATCCTAGACAACACAGGGTGCCACCATGAATGCTACTTCTTAAATGGTTTTAAAATCAAAGCTGTAATAAAGCTAACAGCAGAGTTCTTTCTTCTCTCCTTTTCAGCAGAGTTCTTTCTTCTCTCCTTTTCCCCTGCCTCCATAAAAAAAAGTCACAGGAAATATAGAATTAGGACTGGAAACCATTCCCCCTCCATTCTCTCCCCACCTCCCCCATTCTTTAGTTATCCTAAGGGTATCTGGTATCCCTTCAAGGAGGTCTCCAGAGACCAGGTAATATTATATAGGGTTAAGCTCCTTGGAAATACAATGGAGTGAATTAAGGCTGAGATTTCAGCTTCTAACGAAAAATGTCTTGACGTATCCTTTCAGACAAACACCTGGAAATATAATAAACTATATTTTAATGTTTATTTGTTTCAAATACAGTATTTTTTTTTCAACAGACAAATGTGAAGTTTTGAGTCCAGAAAAAAATAGGTTTAAATCACCATCCCAGCAAGCAGTTTTTAAAATAGTACACACAAGTGATCATTTCCATGCAGTTTAATGCACTTAGCCAACAGGCATTAACAGTCTTTTCAGAATAACCTAACACCTGAAGCTTATTTTCTAGTCTTAGTTCAGATGAATTTTAACCTTTCTAAAAAAAACTGGTGATGCAGGGCACCCACTGAACTCATAAATTTTAGTAGATTCTGCATTTGCATTTCGAGCTTATTTTATGAGGACGGAAAAAAAACAACCATCGAGCCTTCCTTTATGTGCGGGTTTTAAGACAATGGTTCCCAGAGCATTTTGAGGCAAAACATGGTCCTCTCCAGCCAGTTTGTGCCGAAAGGCAAGACACTGTGACCAGCAAGATCCCTCACCAAAGAAGGTGGGAGAAAAAGAGCTGAAGGAGGCTCAGAAGAGGGCCAAAAATACGTTATTTACCTTGACTTTGTGTTGGATGTGACAGGTTAAAAACAGAAATCAGCAGTCCATCTAACTGGGATCGTAGACTGCGGCTGAAGAGAGAACCTTGGTGTTCATAGCTCATCTAATCCAAGAAAGTCGAAAGAGGAAACAGACTCAGGGAAAGAAAATATTTCTCCGAGGCTTAAGTTTACAGAGGGAAGAAGGTACGAGAAAGATTCAAGAAAAACACACATTCAATGCACAAAGCATATGGGCCTGCAATGGGGCATGAACTACCATGCAGTAGAGGGAAGAGCCACACCAGATACCCGCCCACTTAGGGCTTGGGACGTTCCTCTGATGTTGACAGATGATTTTTCCCATTCTATCAGTGTGGAAACTGAGTGTCAGAGACTCATGTCCCATGTGCTGGGTGAGGTCAGGTTTCACCGCTTCTTGCCTTTTTCTCTTCCCCATGCAGCCTTCTCCCTTGCCTCCCTGCCACATCACCGTGGGGTCCTCCTGCCAGGCTGACGGCCAGCACATCTCTTCTGGTTTCCCACACAGGTCCCAATTGTATCAAGGCAGGAAGAAAACTCAAGACTAGAGGCCCCAGGCCGCTAAACGATTCATGGCCCACATTGTAGACCTCAAGGATGGGCAAATAAAATGTCACAAGGCAAGTTACATCACCTTGGCTTACGGGAACTTTGCATCTTTAAAAAAAAAAATACCATGAAAATCCATCCTTTGCTTCAGACACACTAGGCTAAAAATAGCTCAGTCAGCCAGTAAGTGTGTGTAATTTTTCCTTTGTGCATCTCCCTATCCACTGATTTCTTCCTCTCAGCAGACAGATGTGCTCCAAGACAGACCACCAGTCCACCCTCCACAAAGGGATCAGAGTGTTCTTGCTCAAAGGCATAGCAGATTGCTTCACTCCCCAGCCAACACAAAACAAAATAAAACAAAACACTTTATTAGCTCCCTCGGCCCAATAGTAGACGCTAATACTGACTGAATCCGTACTATGTACCAGGTGTTGGTCTGAGGGCTTTCATGCCTTACCTCATTAAATTCCCTAAAACAACTCTGTGAGGCGGGGACTACTGTTGTCTCATTTTGCAGATGAGAAAACCAAGGCACGGAGAAGTTAAATAATCATGCTATCGTCCAAAGTATAGTCTCTAAAAGGTAAAGAACCCTGGCTTGGTATTTAAATACCTCCACAATTCGGCCCCTACTTCTTCTCCAGGCCTACACACACAATCATATACACACTAACACATACACCCCAGACCTTAAGCCTCAGCAGTGTCAAAATCTTCACCCTTCCTAAAATATAATATCACTTTATTTGCATTTGCGTTCTTGCTACCTTAAACACCCTTTCCACCACCCTTCTCTAATTGGCAAATTCCCATTTATCCATCAAGACCTTCCTTCCCTGTAAATCCTTACTGTGTCCTCAGTAAGCTCTTTTAAGAGAAGGACTCTGCCCTCTTCGTCTCTAGACTAGTAATATCATGTGTAGTAGATGTTCAATATCCATTAAACAAATAAGCCACAATAATAATTGTTAACCCTTATAGGGTGCAGGCATTATGCTAAGCACTTTACAAGAATTAACTCACTCTATCTTATGAGAACCCAAACACATAGATTCTGTTATTCCCTACATTACCCATAGGGGCATCCCAGGTACAGATGGATAAATTATCCAAGGTCACACAGCCACTAAGTAAAGAAAAAAATTTGCATGACTCCAGAAGTTAAGCGCTTAATGCCAATGCTATGGGAGAGGACATAATCTTATTGTACAACCTATGTTGTACTAGAAGCATACGTGTATGAGGCTTATTTTTAAAAAGCATATTACTCATGTAAAAACAGTGATCTGAGGCGGGAGGATCACTCAAGCTCAGGAGTTTGAGACCAGCCTGGGCAACATAGGGAGATACCACTTCTAAAAAAAAAAAAAAAAAAAAAAACTTTTTTAATTAGTCAAATGTCGTGGTGCATGCCTGTGGTCCCAGCTACACAGGAAGCTAAGGTGTGAGAAATTCGAGTCTTGGAGGTCGAGGCTGCAGTGAGCCTGTGATCACACCACTGCACTCCAGCCTGGGGAGCAAGACGCTGTCTCAAAAAAATAAAAAAAGAAAGTGATAACAAAATGGCTGCTTCAGTGAAATGTGCCTTTAGAAGAAGATTGATATTGGTCACAGAGAATATCAGTTGTTATGACTGATACAAATATGAGCAAGATAGTGCCCAATCCCAAAGACCTCTTTGATCCAGTAAGGAAAACAGGATAACATTACATACAAGTCATGACACAACCCACTTTTTGAGGTATCCCTTTTCTTTTTGAATTAAAGACGTGTCCTTCAGAGGTGTCATAAATTAACTTGCTATATCCCAACTCTCTGGTTCTAGATCAACACTAACCCTTAACATTAATTCAAGCTTCCTCTTCCCAGTATGAATTGTGCTAAAATATTTTGATTTATGGACCTTGTGAAAGATTACGTGCTCGCTGCCTTTTGACTCAGAAATAATACAAGAGAAAGAAAAGCAGAAATAAAAAAGGATCCACCCTCAAGTTGGGGATAGGGAGTGAGAGAGAGGTCTGGATTCAAGACTTCTGACTAGTACTAAATGCTAACGGTCATTATAATAGTCATCATAGTTAACTCCTTCATACCAGTAATCTTCTACCGCAATGGGAGATAAAATTGATTGTTAAGAATACTTAACTCTGGCCTAAACTTGTAATCCCAGCACTTTGGGAGGCCGAAGCAAGAGGATCACCATGAGCCAGGAGTTTGAGACCAGCCTGGGTAACAAAGAGAAATTCTATCTCTACAATTTTTTTTTTTTAAATTAGTCTAGTGCAGTGTCATGTGCCTGTAGTCCCAGATACTCAGGAGGCTGAGGCTCAAGGATCACTTGAGCTCAGGAGGTCAAGTCTGCAGTGAGTTCTGATGGAGCCACCGCACTCCAGCCTGGGCAACAGAGCAAGACCTTGTCTCAAAAACAAAACAAACCAACAAACAAAAGCTGATCTCAAATCATGGTACAATGGAGCCAAATAATTTTTAAAATATCTATATGTTGTTAATTTTTGAAACATAAACAGATGTAAGAATAATTCAGGCAACTCAAAATTATATTTTAAGAAGATTTAAGGACACGGTAAAATACTCATAATTTTACTTAAAAGAGCTGGATTCAAAAGGATGCTCAATATGCTTGTAAGCAAGTAAAGATTTATGTATATGTATGTGTGCATTAAATTTATATACTAACATGTTCACAGCAATTTTGTTGCACAGTAAAATTAAAGACGATTTTCTTTACCTCCTTGAACATTTTTGTATTTCACAAATACTCTACATTAATAATGTACTGTTTTTAAAACCAAAAAAGGAGACATGTATTTTAAAGCACATGCAGCTTTATTCTAAATAAACTGGCAAAGGAAATCATAAATTCAAAAGCAATGAAGGTTAGTGATGTGTTTTTCAACATCAATAGCATGACACTAAAGATCAACACTGTTTTGGCTGGGCACGGTGGCTCACACCTGTAATCCCAGCACTTTGGGAGGCCGAGGCAGGCAGATCACAAGGTCAGGAGATCAAGACCATCCTGGCTAACACGGTGAAATCCCGTCTCTACTAAAAATACAAAAAAATAAGCCGGGTGTGGTGGCGGGCACCTGTAGTCCCAGCTACTCGTGAGGCTGAGGCAGGAGAATGGCGTGAACCCAGGAGGCAGAGCTTGCAGTGAGCTGAGATCGCGCCACTGCACTCCAGCCTGGGCGACAGAGCGAAACTCCGTCTCAAAAAAAAAAAAAAAAAAAAAAAAAAAATCAACACTGTTTTAAGACAATTGGAAAACTGAAAAAGGAGATATGGGCTTGGAATACAAAAGTTTTTGTAGTGTTGAGGTGCAGATTAATGCTTGGTAAGTGTGTTTGGATTTAGCCAGTTCCTGGTAATTACATAGTGACAGGAGAGTGCTAAGACTTGAAAAAAAAAAAAAAGAAAAAGAATAAAAAGAAACCTGAGATGGCTTATGAATTGACAGCACTGCTTAGTCCAAGTTAGCCCCGCTTGGGTTTGACTTCTGCACTTCCATAATCAGGAGCTTGGGCTAGATGATCTCATAACCATTCCAGCCCTGAAATTCTAGGATTCATCTAATTTGGGACTAGTAGGTTCCATCAAATTAGAACCTTTCAAAGGGCAGGTAATATGCACTGACTGTTTAAGTTTAATTTCAAGTAATAAATTTCAGCCAACTACATGGTAATCATGTTAAACTTGTAAGGTCTAAAAAAGGTTGTTTTTTTGTGTGTATTTCCAATTGGTCAGTTTTATGTATTGGTTTAGCTTTTGCTTCTCTACACAGATTTTCAATATTGAGATCAAATCTTCACGAGTCCTAAGAAATGACCTACGTTGGGAAGAGAAGTTTAACACACCCTAACTCCTACCAAAAGGAAAAGAAAAAAAAAGGGCTACAAATAATTTAACGTTTGAGCTACACAAGATCTTACTTTATAAAAGTTGATAAAAATTATTATTAATATAAGACTATAAAAATCATAGGTGCCCTGGTCAGAGAAATGAAGTATAGGACAATGTATGTAATCCGAAGAATTCCTATTGAATTCTTCAATAGGAATTCTTCAAATCAGCATAGTGTAGTGCCCACTTGCATCTGTAAAAAAAAAAGAGACAGGTAGCGTTACTACCCATCCACCTGATCCCTGTGGCCAGAAAGATACCGTATGGTACTCTTCAGCACTTCACTACTTCCACCAGTGTGTGCATTAAGCCACAAGGTGTCACAGTGAATCAATTGGAAGGGCTGTTATCAGTCCAGACACGCAGGTGGTGCTTCAGGCTTCTGACCAGTGCTGACCCAGCTCCCTTGGAGAAGTCTGTGCTGGGCTGCATATTGAGAAGCATGCGTCCTTAGAAGAAATGGCCAGTCAAGGCCAGTGGGTGTGTGCTCTCCAGCCCTCTCCTGGGGCCCCCATTCAGACAGCCCTGCAAAGACACTGGTGAAAGGGAACCTTTTAATGTTTTGTTGTCTCCACTGAGTTCTTAAATGGAGAAAACACCAATCACAGCTTTTTCCCAACAAAACGGAGTACACATGGTCTCATACATTGGTCAACCCTTACTACTTAACCATAGGTATGCCTAAGAAATAATTCTAGCCTTGAATTTGCAGGAGATTGTGACTACTCTGCCATTCCTCTCACATAACAAGGTATATGATTATTATGTCATCCCTGCCATATAACAGTGAAAAGCCCCTTTGGCATTATCACACGAGAACAACCAAACTCAAGAGTCCTAGATCATGTTATTGCAAGTTTTGTTTATTAAATTGAAATATGCTAGTGCAGGCATGTAAAAAGTATTTTTAAAGATACTTTTAAGAAATGAAGCAATGTTTGGCATTACTTACATTATTTAATTTGCTGATAGAATCCAGAATAAGTGTATCGTCGTCATCGTCGTCATCATCATCATAGTTCCCAATGATGTGGCACCTATCATATACCAGGCATTATACATGCATTTATTCTTTACTTTGCAATGTAACTTTCAGGCTAAGGAAATTGAGGCTCAGAAAATTTAAGAAACTTCCTTAATATTACACAGCAAGTAGAAGACAAACTCAGAGTTTGGACCCAAATCTGTCTTACTATAAGTCATACTGAGGTTGAAGCCTTTATGTTCAAGGCTGGTCACTGTTTTCATTCCAGAAGAAAAAACTATTGGTGAAAAAAAATGTTCATATTCCCTAACCAAAAGCTGCACACATACACAAACACAATCTGATTAGGACAAATGTCTCTCTCTCTCTCTCTCTCACACACATAAACACACACACACACACACACATACATACACCAGTTAGCAAACACAAAGTTATTACAGACCACAGCATCATATACTGATAGAACTTCCCATATTTTCTGTTGTGCAAATCACTTCAAATAAGCTGATTAATGGCCCCGAAAGCACTTACCTAAAATGCAAAGTGCTCCAGGAAATGTAACATATTATCATGATTCATACCGTAATTCACGGCTGTGGGCTCCCAGGTAGATATAGAGAGACAGAAGTAGCAGAAATATCAAATGAGAAAAGAAACACTAGGATAAGTATAAATATTTTTAATCAGAAGTCAGGAGATTCCCAACAGATTTGCACTATCCAGAGGGCAAAATAGTCAGGTCAACACTCCCTTCATAGAAGAAATTTTGTTCTCTCAGGGCTTCTTTTTCCTTTGGGCTTGACGTGCGTTCTAGCAGTGAATGCTCACTGGGCTATTAGGCTCACAGATTCTTCTCCTACTGGAACTGTAGGCAATTGTTGGTAAGACTTGGGGAAAATTTTAGCGTCAGGATGGCCAGTGCTGGAACAACTTAATTTTCTTTATTCAATAGGTAATATTTTGCACATCAGCCATGTGCTATATAGGGCACTGGGGATGCAATGATGTGTAAGACAATCAGGTCCCTGCCCTCATGGGGCTTATATTCTATCAAGGACAAGCAAATACTTAAGAAATAAACAAGAAGCAAGAAAATACAGGCTTCCAATAATTCCTATGAAGAAGGCATGTGATAGAAAGTGATTGGGGGTTAATTTTAATTGTTTGAGGAAGGGCTCTCTAGGAAGAGAACATTTAAGTTGCTCAGTACAGGACCTCCTAATTGCTGGGACTCTTTTCCTTTATTGTCCTTCTTTTCTTTTTCTAATTGATTACCTGCAAATAAAGCCAGCACTATGCCAAATCCCAACTCAACTGAGGTCTCCTAATACTTAGCTGAGTTATTACAAAGAAAGCCATATATTCGGTGTTCCCTGACCGAGGGCAAAGGTCCTGCAGTGTGAATCAGCTTGGCAAGCTAATGGATCCCAAAGAAGCCCTCCGTGGCTCCAGTCCAGTGAACACTTGGTAGCAGATAAGAATGGACCATCAGGAAGGAAGAGATCAATAGATTCTTAAAACCAGAGCAAGGAGTTTAGAGCTTGTTCTAGGTTTGAGAGGAAGCAGGAGAGTCACAGGATCTGATTTATGCTTTAAAAATATCACCTTGGCTGTTTGTGGGGATCAGATTATAAGATGGAAAGGGGGGGCACGGAGTGCTGTTAAGAGGCCGTCCTGATTCCAAAAAGAGAGGCTGGGGGCTCGCAATGTCACCAGAACAGGACAGATTCCTCTTCTTCAGAGAGGTCTGCCAAATCCTTAACGCTAAGCCTCCTATTTTGAACTGGAAGACTAAAACTTCAAATTAGGCTGGTCCAACGTGGTACTAATGTGAGAGAAGGGTGTGGCTACCAGGGCATCCAAGAGGAAGTGGGCAGCTGGGAGGCAACATCCCTTTACCAATATGCTCCAGGACAGACCATACAGTGAAAAGTCAGATGATCCAGCCCCTGGGCTCTCAAATCTCAGGATGGCCATGCATGAACTGAGGCCTCGGTTGCTTGTCTGGTAAAGGAGAACCAGAATGCGTGCATCTCAGGCTTTGGGGGTGGATCAAATGAGGAGATCTATCTTATCTTCAACAACTGGCAGGCATTTACTCTCATGACAATGGCTTTGCAGGTAGCTAAAGTGGTCTGCAAGGGTAGGAAGGAAATATCACCTCCCACAAAGAACTTCTGCAGACAGACAGGATGTGGGGAGACTGACTTCCTCTCAGGAGTAGATTAAACTAAGATCCTGAGAAGCCAAACCTGTTGGAAGTTCTTTCCCCTTTATGTCTTTATTTTCCCTAAGATTCCTAATTGATTACCTGAAAAGGGAGCCAATACTATACCCAATTTGAATTGTAATTTAATTTCCTAACATTTATTTTGGTTATTGTTTCCACCAAAAAATGAGATAGCTTTTATACTCATTCACTACTGTTTAAAACAATAAAAACACTATCTTTCCCAGGGCACAACTAAGAAGAAGCACTGAATGGAAATTTAAATATTTTTAAGTAAAAAAAAAAAAAACCTTTTAGATGACTATGCATTATATTCTATAACAGTTTCAATCACTCTTCAGATAAAGTGGGAATCTTAAGTATTCTTTTTTTTTTTTTTTTTTTTTTTTTTGAGATGGAGTCTCACTCTGTCGCCCAGGGTGGAGTGCAGTGGGACAATCTCGGCTCACTGCAGCCTCCGTCTCCCAGGTTCAAACAATTCTCCTGCCTCAGCCTCCCGTGTAGCTGAGACTACAGGCGTGTGCCACCATGCCTGGTTAATTTTTGTATTTTTAGTAGAGGCAGGGTTTCACCATGTTGATCAGGCTGGTCTTGAACTTCTGACCTCATGATCTGCCCACCCCAGCTTCCCAAAGTGCTGGGATTACAGGCTTGAGCCACCGTGCCCGAACTTAAGTATTCTTTAATAAGGAGTGTAATTTGGGTTTTTTTGTTCAGTACCCAGGGTATATTTTCCATCCCTGGATCCATCCCTTGGAATTTCACTTGGTCCCTTTGAAAATTAAGTTAGGCAGTTGAGACACATCTAGCAGAATCAAGTTAGTGAATGGGATCAATTTCCAAGCCACCTCCAAAGTCAATTTGTCTTAGAAAACAAAAATGAATATATTCACATTAAAAATTTCTATAGGTAAAACTAGATTCCTAGCTCATGTTTCCTATTTCAAGAGAGGTGCTATGGCAGAGTAGTTACAACCTCTGAAGCTAAACTACCGTCTA
The DNA here is from genome assembly GCF_000001405.40 of Homo sapiens. Classification (NCBI taxonomy): domain Eukaryota; kingdom Metazoa; phylum Chordata; class Mammalia; order Primates; family Hominidae; genus Homo; species Homo sapiens. The sequence goes on from NC_000004.12 coordinate 16,891,939, forward strand.
TTTGACCTTGGACAATTTATGTAACCTGTCAGTTTCCAGTTTCCTCATTAGTAAAAGTGCAGATGTTAGTAGATATTAGTATCATACGATGTGATCATGAGGGTTACTTGAGCCGACATACAAAAAGCACCTAGTATTCATACTTGCCCAACAGACACTGAAAACTCCATATATGCTATTCTATGACTGCCTTTCAGAAAGGTGTATATACCTTTCACTACAGGAATATGCCCACGATACACCGTGTATTAACCTATCATGGCTCTCTATTGTAAGTGTGGTTTGTATGTCTCCCCTCTTTATCAAATTGTAAGCTTCTAGAAGACAGAAAGTATCTTAATCATGTTTATATTTCCAGGCCCTGAGACTGTCATTGCCTGAAGTATGGAAATTCTTGAAGGAATGCCTGAATTTTGTTTTAAGCATTAATAGTTGCCTAGGTTCAAATGCATGCTGCCAGAATTTAAATTTTAAAAAAAATCTAGGCTCATATTGATTTTTAAAAATTTAAAAAGAAGGAAAACGCCTTGTCAGAAAATGACGAAGGTATTTGTAGTATCTACATCCTTTGGACATTTTTTTAAATGCTATGTTCTGACACTTCAAAAAGACATTGTTTTCCCAGGTCAGTTATATTTTGAGGCCCACCAACCAAATCCAAATAAGTAAGTTTATGAATTTTGTTCTTGATCATTTATAAAGTTGGATGTTTGGGGTTGTTTTACGTTTCGTTTGCTTGTTCAGAAAGCGGGTGCTCTGTGTTCCTCATGAAAAATGAGTTAATGTGGACAATTGTAATAAAAAGAGATTTATGGCCCTGTTCTCCATATACTTTAAATTAATTTCTTTCTGGACCCCAAACAAAAAGCTAAATGTTTAAAAAATGCATAGCGTTTAAATCCTACATCATAATTTACACACCAAAAAGAGAGAAATTTAAATGTGCATTGATTTTAGGCTGATAAGAATCTGTGTTGAATGTGAGTTGAAAGTTCTTTTTTTTTTCTTTTTTCTTCTTGGCCTCCTATGAATAGTTAGTTTGCAGCAATTTTTAATTAAAAACAGTTCCCATAGTAAGAAAATGGGGGAAAAAAAAGACTTCAAGAAAATAAAATCAGTATAAGAGTCTTACAATTGGTTTTCTGAGGCCATGTAGAGATCCTGAAAAATAAGAGAGTTTGGAAGTTCTCATTTTTAAAACTGCACTTTTGGTTTCATTTAACATTTTCAAAATAGCTTTCCTTTCCACCACCCAGCCCCCTCCCCCACCTCACCAACCCTCTTCAAACAACTTGCAAAGTTCTGTTTTTAACACTGAAAATCATTCATATATCTCAGAGTAGCAGCAACATTTTTCTTTCTAAATTTCTAGGGGGGAGAAACCTCCAAGTTACCACAAAGCATTTTTTCTTTTTCTCCACCTATCCAAAATAACTAATCTCATTTTAACTAGATTCCATCTGAACATCAATGATACCAAGCTATTCCATGAATAAACATGATGTTACAACGTGAAACCCTGTGACTAAAGTATATAAAAATGTAGCTGAAAGAAAAGAGGACTAAGAATCCCCCTCCTCCCCACCCCCTCCCCAGGGAGTTTTAGAGTTGAGCTGAGAAGGGGTGAAAACCAGCAGATTTAAATTTCTAGGTCTTCGAACATTTGTAACCTTCATATTAAATCCTGTGAAACTAAAAACTGTAATTCTATAAAATCCTTGTGCGTACAGCTTCCGATTGTAATCACAGTTTTCTCTTTTGGAAGAGGATGTGTAATATTGATAAAAGAAAAAAACCTCAAAACAGGAAAAATACATAACGGAACTCACACTTTTCTGGTGTTTATGGTATTTTTTTTTTTAAATTAGCATGGTGCCAACATGAAGAACTATGTATACTTAAAAATATCTTCACTTAAATGCAGACATTTTTGGTCATTTGAATGAGAAAACAAGGTATAGAAAAGTTATCTCCTCTAACAAAGATTTGTGAACTTTACTTGATAAACTTTCTTAAATTTTATAATAATCGAACATTAGTTAAATCCCTTCACTTACAATGATGTCCACTGTAATGTTTCTCATATATTTTACCTATATTTTCATCTCAGGGCTGAGACCTAAAAATGAAAAAATACATTGTTTTTGCTTTTATTGAAGCTTTTCACAGAACAAATTCTGAAGTCTTCAGAACATATTTTTATATCCTATCTGACTGTATTGTGTGTACAGTGTTAAAACTATATAATTGTGCGGTTGTATTCTTCCAAAATACATTTGGCACTGCCAAACCATTCAAATACATGAATTTTGGAAGACATTGGGTCAATTTTTGACAGCATACACAACAGAAAATGTAAACTCCTTTCTGCTGCCTGGGAATTACAGTGAACAACAGTGATGCTAACCTCAGAATTTTTCTTAATTTCATTTTAAAGGGTGGGAAGAGCACCCACACATTTCTTTATTAAATTCCACTGAGATTCTAATGTTGAAAAAAAAATTTATTTCCCAGAACAGCTAGCAGCATTTAAAATATACTTTTGTTGTTGTTGCTGTTTGCTTTTTAATGCATGCCTATTCCTTTACAGAGAGGTGAGGTCCTGTTAGTACTTAGTCACTTGCTTTCCTCTGCCACAAAGATTATGGATCTAAATGACCTCACATAAAATAAATGTGGGGGATGTGAGATGAACACTTTAGGGAGAGTGAGAAGCAGAGGCGCAAAGCTGCTTCAGCTCAATAGGAGATACCAGGCCCCAAAAAACTTCAGAATTGTATTTCTCAGGGAAGGTGCTAATTTAAATGCATTGGTTTTCAAATTCTCTCCTTTTGTCTACTGATTCACTGATTGGCTAGTCAGCAAATGTTTAATGAGTACCTACTTGGTCCAGGAACTACTTGCTTTAAGTGCTAGCTTTAAAACCAAACTGGACCTTCAAGTTTTCTTCACCATTACCCAATTATTTTATTATTGGATGTGTAATATTGATAAAAGAAAAAAAAACCTCAAAACAGGAAAAATACATAACGGAACTCACACTTTTCTGGTGTTTATGGTATTTTTTTTAATTAGCGTAGTGCCAACATGAAGAACTCTTTGTGATTTTGTGATTTTGAACTAAATACCATGAGCAAAGAAATAATGTCTGCACTCTTTACTTCATAATACTTTTTCATGCTAAAAAAAAAAAAAAAAAGAAAATCTGAATTTTCAATTAAAGGGACACTGTTGGTAATTTGCAAATGAGGAACCAAGACCCATGCTAACTAGTTTGTAAGAGTTAGAAATAATATTAACTCCCAATGCCATCCTCTTTAAACTCAAACTTCCCGGCTTCTGAAGAACTTTGATTTAATTTAATTGGAAGAAATGCATGGATCCCCATGAGAAAATGCCCTGGGATCAGCCATGGAAGGAGAGTAGGTAAACATCATGGTTCTTTACTAATTTCTTTCCATATAAAAAAGGAGGTTTCTAGGAAATTTCCAGAAACTTGATTACAATTTCTTCATCACATACTGATTTGCTATATATTGTTTTTCTAGCCAGGTCCATGTTCAAAAAGGGGTGAAGACTTGAGAGTATTACCCAGTGGGGTGTGTTTGTGTGTGTGTGTGTGTGAGAGAGATATTAGGACTTAATGAAATAATACTATATACTATAGGAGTGGGACCAGAAGAGAGAGAGGAAGAGAGAGATGGAAGAGGGATGGGTGAGTCAGTCTTGCCCAAAATGGTTGTATGCTTTGGCTAAATTCTCAAAGTAGTCACTCAAAGGCATATTTGATTTTGCATGTGAATAAACTAATAACTCTTGCTGAGTATCATTGTATTTTATCCCAACCAATCCCTCTCCAGAACTCAGAGCAGCTTTATCATAAATAACAATTATTGGTAAAGGTATAGTGTAACTTTACATGAAAATTGTTTTTTTCAAGGTACATACATCATGATCAAAATTTAATATTTGATGTAAATATTTAAATATCTTAGGAGCAATTATTTGATTCTCTCCCCTTTTCATATGAAATAAAAACAAATGTATGGCATTGCGTTCATGACAGTATTTACTGCTTAGCAAAGAAAAAAAGAAGTATTGAGGCAATTATTTGAATAATTATTTGAAAAATTATCTAATTAAGGAGGGAAAAATGTAAACGGTTAGCTCTAGGACACACCAGAAAACAGTTCATAGCACTTTACTGTTACAGGCAGGGAGGTTTAAAAAAATCTTTAAGATTTGTCATAGCAAGCTTTCTTCTCTTGGTTCTTGAGCTATGAAGTAGTCTTTTTCTACTCAGAGCTAAATCTTTAAAAGTAATACCCCATAATCCAAAAGTTAGGAATTCCTGAGTTTAGCTCTCACAAAAAATAATGTACCATCTTTGCAAAGCATACTGCGAAAGGAGGTCTTTTCAAATGTCTTGTCTCAAATGGGAAACAAACCTGGGACCATATTGAATCCTGCAGTTTTTTTTAATGAGGGCAAGAGTAGGGAAATCTTGCAGATAAGTCTCCTAGCTCAGACCTGGCCAAGTGCTCAGTAATGGGCAGGAGGGCAGGCAGATATCAGAGAAAGCTGCCTGTGTTCCTAACTGCAGGAGGATGGAGAAGAATCTCTGCAATTCCTCAAAAACTTTCTAAAATGTAAGGTGGACAGGTCATTTTTAAATATTGTTGCTGTTCAAGAATTGAGCCATAATGGTCCCTGGCCTCTTTTTTTATAACTAATCATACTTTTAAAAGACTATTTTTTCCAAATTTGTATTGCAATTAATGTGTGCCTGAACTATAAGACATTTTCTATCCTCCTAATTATGAAAGCAGCCTGTGTCAACCAATGGTTTATGCAGAGATTTAAGATTCCAACACACAGTTGCAAAGATCTGAAGGAAATATACAAACTGTTACACACACAAAGCAACATACACAAAACAGCAAGCACAAATATCAGTCACTGCCAACAGTTCACTATCCTAAGCAAAACATAGTTTGCACTTCTATAGAAGCTACTGGCTTCTAGAAAGAGCAAGAGTACCAGCAGTCATATTTAGCGTCTATGGTGTATTAACATATAAAGAAAACAGCAGTCATTAAAGACAACCCAGCTTTTAAAATACATATAAGTCCTTGTCCAGCAGTTAGCCAATCAGAAAGCAGGTCACATCTTGTTAGCTGTATTAAATACACGAAACGTCATGAATTCTCTATGGCTCTGTTGACAATTCAAGCCAACTGTGTTTTATCCCATAGCACAAACTTAATGGAGTCCCTTCCTAGAGTTAAAAGTCAATCTTCAATCTAAAATTCCACCAGAGCTATTCCCTAAAAGCTCTTTGGCATAAATCTTGTGGTATTTATACTCTGCAGAGAAGACTAAATTCCTAGCAATTTCCACTTCCTAAAGTGACTTTGGTGCACCTATAACAAACTCCTTTTCCGAACACTTCCACACAAAGCCCCAACTTACAGGCAGATGGACAATCCAGCAGCAAGACCTGCCAGCTGAGCTAGCACAGAGAAAAAGTCAACTGACATAAAATATTTAAATTGCAGGAGGCGAGTCTGGAGTTTTGCATTTAAAAAGTTCTGAAAGTCCTGTTCTCTCTGCTCCCAGAGTTGCTGGCTGCCTAGGAGGCTGAGTCTCCCTCTCTCAGGCACAAGATCTCAAATATGCAAAAACTAGAGCTGACTTGAAAGCTGAACCAGCTCCTGTCCTAAGGTAGAGTGATAGGGGGGCACGGCCGACAGCAATAGGAGAAAGTCTAGAGTCCCCTTGCCCCAAGCAACTGGTTTCTGATTTTAACACTGAAATATACAAACATGTGTCCCTCCAGGGCTAGTTCTGAGAAGTAGGCAGGTTTACTCTTCTGCCCCTTTTTACCTCGATTTTGGTGACTCTGAAAAGTAAATACAGGTCAAAGCAGACTTCCTCTAGGATTTGTAAAAAAGAAAATATATATATATATATATATATATATATATATATATATATATACACATATGTATATATATATATATATATATATATATACACATATGTATATATATATATAGCCAGATGCAAACAATCACAAAATTCCTTGGAATTATATCTCAAGAAACACCAACAGGACTGACTCAGAGCCTGTAAAACACCAGAGTTCTGGAAGAGCAACATTTCTGGAAACCCGGCATGTGAATCAAGTGCTGGGTTGTCTCAAGATTCCGGCAGAAACTGTCCTCTGCTACAAGAGTTGCTGTGCCTGGAAACCCAGCGTCCAAACTCGTGGATTCATCCTGGCGCTCATTTCCACGTACGTGGTAGTATCAAGTGGGACACTTCCCATAGAATTCAGCCAGAAACCCTAGGAAAAGCTCATGCATAGCTTAACAAAAATACACAAACACATCCCCAAGGTTGAAGTACTTACCTCTGTGCGAGACTGCAGTCTCTTGTTCATCTCATAGATTCGGTACTCTGGCTGTACCATGTATGGTGTATGCCTCCTATAAAATGGGCCGAAAGGAGAAGAATAGAAGGGGTCATGTGGTGTGCTGGACATCTTGCCTGCTTTTCGAAAATCAAGCTAAACAGAGTATCAGTAACGTCCATGCAGAGCACATGGGCTGTGTTCTTCCCAGTACAAAGTAGACGCACGCACACACGCTCACACACACACAGAGGCAGGCAGGCAGGCAGGCTGAACACGCTGGCTGGGAACTGCTGTCGGAGCCCTCTATAGCAGGAGAGGAGAGGGAGAGGAGAGGAGGGAGGGAAAGAGGGAGGGAGGGAGGGAGCACGGGAGAGGAGGGAGAGGGAGAGAGCAGGAGCTCCAGAGAGGGAGGGAGGTTGGTATGGAGGAAGGGAGGGAAGAAGGGAGGGAGGGAGGGAGGGAGGAGGGAGGGAGGGAGGGGGAGAGAGAGAGAGAGAGAGAGAGAGAGAGAGAGAGAGAGAGAGAGAGAGAGAGAGAGAGAGAGAGGAGCTGGATAGCTTTAGGCACCACTGCTTGTTTTTAAAGAAGCAGTTTGTGGAGAGGTCATTTCCTGTCCACATTGTAGACTAGTTCACAAATATAATTCTCCTCACAGTCTGACAAGAGGTCTAAGGTTTGGTTTTAATTTTTTTCCTCCAGCCAGGACCCTTCACAACCTGATTGCTAAGCTTGTTAGCATAGAGGTGGTCTAACCGCTACATGAGCCGCTCACCCCTGACAACCACACTGTTGTAATGTATCAGAAATGTTGATTACTACAAAATACAGAAACACGGGCACTGTGGTGCCCCGAATTGGGACCGGTGATTCACTCACATGCAGAGATTTATTTCAGCACTAATCTCCCTATGTAGTTTTGCTTTACTTGCTGTTGTTCCAAGGGCTGTTATATTCTTTGCCCTCCACTCCATCTCACTCCCATCTCTCCCCACTCACCCCTCTTCCCAGCCACCTCCCTCTTCTCCAAAGACTTCATTCAGGCCCTTAAGGTGCCTGGGCATTTTCAGGTAAAAACAGTCGTTCTGAATGTGGAAGGTATAAAATACACTTAAGGAGAGCAATGGTCTTTTTTCCCAGGAAGGAAAAACAAACAAACAAACAAACAAAAAACCCAAACAGACCTCCCAATAAGACAGGAAAAGCAAAGAAGGAGAAAACTGCCACAAAAATGACCACGGAAAATTTGGTTGAGAAGGAAATTGCAAATAATTGAATGGATCATCCCCAGATAACATGTCCAACTCTTATGGAGACAAAGTCTGTATTTTCCAAGATTGGTCAAGTAAACAAATATTTTCCCAACTGTGGTATATGATAACCATAAGAAATCCCAACAGCCCATGGAAGGGGAAAATCTCTATAGAGAATTAAACAATCTATAAAATAATCAAATTCTGCTAGAACCCACTATAACCAGAGATACGACACTTAAACAAAGCCCAGCCACACAAAATTTAAATGTATTGAGCTAACACCTAGGTAGGTCAGTGGTATTAAGGAAATAAAGCAAAGGACCACCAAAAAGCATAATGAATTCAAGACCTGAATGCAAATGCATGCAAATGAGACATTTCTTCTTTTTAATAAGCAGATTAATTAACTTTCTGCCCCAATCATGGCTTGGGTATCTCCAAGTCACTAGCCAACAGGGGATAGAGTATTGCTAATTCTGCAATTTACACTCTTAAAAATACTCAGACACAGAAAAGTGTATTGCTGTCTTGATCAGTCCTTCTTCATAATTGCATGAAATATTTGCTGAGTCCACCCCAAACTTCCAGCAGCGCAGCCTAACACACTAATGTCGCTTCCCAGGATGAGATTAGGGTAGGTATTACACTAAGGCTGCTTGGAACTTGCGCTAGGAGACCCCAAGGCAGGCGAGAATGCTTGGTTTCAGGTTTCATTACAAATCCGAAAGCTGGACCAAATTTGCTGCAAGGTTTGTCAAAACACACAACCTTCTAAAGACAGGATTTCAAACAATTTTGGCATGATTTACGTTTTGGTATGGCAGCCACTGCAAAACCTAATGGTTCCTTATGTTTAAACTCTCAAACTAAAGACATTCTGAAAGTTTAGTGTCTGCCTGAGTTTGTGTTAATGTGACCATTTCAGTGCAAGAATGAAAGTAACACCTAGGCAGGCCTGTGCAGGCCAATAGTAACAAAAAAAAATGAAACAGTTCAAAAATCCATTTAGGAAGGGAATCCCTCTCTGAATAAGGTTCTGGTTTGCTCTCATTTGTTTCTGCAGACCATTGCCAATTATAATTGGAAATATTTCTTGCCATTAATAGTGAAAGACTCTCATTTCAGAACTATCTGAAACTTGATAATGCTGATCCATATCCCTGATTCTCATCCCCGTTATTTCAGGAGTCTCCGAACTGGTCCCCCTGCCCACAGATTCACAGTCCTCTTCTAACTTGTGGTCTGTCCTTATTCAAATGAGAATGTGGATTTCAGATAAGTGAAAGCGATCATGTCCCATGTTTTCCCCCTCAGTGTTTCCCTGCTGCCAGAAGGAAAACGTGCAAGTTCCTTAGGAACATGGCATACAGGGCTCGGTAAGACCCGCACTTCTGTGCTGTCTCTTTCTCCCTCTGTCACATACACACACACACTCACACACACTCATTCATTTACTCATTTGTGTGTTCATTCATTTATTTATTTGCTATACTTGATCTTCCTAAACTTGCAATCTTTCTTATGCATGGCCACATTTGTACTTCTGGCCCTAGTTTACCTACAAACTGCTACTTATCCTTCTATTAAATTAAATTGTCTCCTCCATAAATCTTTTTAAATTACACATTCATTTGTTTATTTATTCAACAAATATTCCATTCACAGTGGATAGAGGCAGAGCCAACAGCAGGGCCAGAGCACGTTTCAACCCTAGCTCCACCATCTAGTTGTCGCGTGAACCTGAGCAAAGGACTCAGTCTCTCTGCACCTCAGTTATCTCATTGCAAGATGAGGACAATGATAGAAACTAGTCTATAAGATTGTTGCTAAGGATTAGCAAATACATCCAAATGCATTAGAACCCTGTCATCTAAACGCTCAAATAATAACATGATAGGCCGGGTGCAGTGGCTCACGCCTGTAATCCCAGCACTTTGGGAGGCCGAGGCGGGCGGATCACGAGGTTAGGAGTTTGAGACCAGCCTGACCAACATGGTGAAACCCTGTCTCTACTAAAAATACAAAAATTAGCCGGGTGTGGTGGCACGTGCCTGACCAGCTACTCAGGTGGCTGAGGCAGGAGAACTCCTTGAACCTGGGAGATGGAGGTTGCATTGAGCCGAGATCGTGCAATTGCACTCCAGCCTGGGTGACAGACCGAGACTCCGTCTCCAAAAAAAAAAAAAAAAAAAAAAAAGGAAAAGAAAAACTAGCTGGACATGGTAGTGGGTGCGTGTAATCCCAGCTACTCAGGAGGCTGAGGCAGGAGAATCGCTTGAACCTGGGAAGTGGAGGTTGCAGTGAGCCGAGATCTCACCACTGCACACCATCCCGGGCAACAGAGCAAGACCCTGTCTCAAATAATAATAAAAATAATAATAATAACATGATTATTAGGTACCTGATATCTGCTTAGGTTCTAGGGATCATTGGGAGGCCAAGGTGACATAGCACACAGGCTACCTGCCTTCCTGCCCCTTGCCATCTAGTGAGGGCAAGGGAAAGACAGTGTAGAAGAGCTAGTAAATATTTGGGAACATAATTTTAAACTATAGTGCAAGCTCTGTGCGGTGGCTCACGCCTGTAATCCCAGCACTTTGGGAGGCCGAGGCAGGTGAATCAGGAGGTCAGGAGTTTGAGACCAGCCTGGCCAACATAGTGAAACCCCATCTCTACTAAAAATACAAAATATTAACCACGTGTAGTGGCAGATGCCTGTAATCCCAGCTACTCAGGAGGCTGAGGCAGAAGAATCATGTGAACCCGGGAGGTGGAGGTTGCAGTGAGCTGAGATCGCACCACTGTGCTCCAGCCTGGGCAACAGAGTGAGACTCCATCTCAAAAAAAAAAAAAAAAATTCATCCTCCCCCTTGGTGTCGTCAGTGTAGTGTAGTTTCTATATTCTTCTATTAGAGGACTTATATTAATACATAAAAGGAACAAATACTGTCACTTGTTCAGTACTTGCTATGTGCCAGCCACTGTACTGAGTGGTCTACACAATCACTCTTAGTTTATCTTGCAATAAATCTATGGAATTGATTTGATTACTATTCCCATTTTACCCAATGGGAAACTGAGGCTATGAGAGGCTAAGAAAGTTCTTTGAAGTCATGCAATGAATAAGTGACAGAGACAAAATTCACAGCCAGTTTGCCTGACTGCTTGACTTAAGCATTTTGCTGCTCAGAGGTCAGGTCCATCCTCATCTCAAGGGCATTTCTGTTCTTTGTCCCCGGTGGCCAGCGTGGTGCTGAGCCCATAGTAGATGCTCAAGACACATGGACCTGACTAAATGGAAGAAGAAGCAAAGGATAAAGTGGCTCCCCTCACTTGGATTTTATTCTTCGTTGTCTTGCTTAGTTTCAGACACTCAATGCCCCCTGCCTCGCTCCGACCCCTGTCCCTGAAGCCCTGCCCTGCAAATCACCACTCCCATCTTTGTTATTGTCCCAGATCTCCCAGCATAGATTCCTAAATCCACAAGCTAGGAGTTGAATCCTTTGCACCGCCAGGTTACCGGGTTGTCTTTGTCGTTCATCTGTTTGTCTTCTTTCTTGCTTCTTGAAGGATCAGCTATGACTGGTCTTCTGGGTCAAGGATGAGCTAAGAAGTGAAGAAAACAAAGTGCTTATTTTAAGATTGTAAATCAACTCCTTCAGAAAACCATAGAGAATTGCAAGTATGCAGTATTTGTACCCTAGCAAAGAATAAACAAGTCTAACCCCCAACACAACAGTTCTATTACCCCCAAAGATTAAGCCATGCTCGTTTACGCATCATTTTGTGTATTGAGTATGAATGAGTTCCCAAAGTCCTCATGCAGACGTTCAGGGTGCTCTAAAAGCTGGCCTGCCCTTTACACTCGGGACCTAATTTAGCTGCATTCACCTTAGGTTTAACCCAGAGAATGATTATTGTTCCTTTAAGTGGAAATACTTACCCACAGTTTAAAAAGTGAAGAATTTCACATACAATCCAGATTTTCATCTTCTCTGAAAAATTATAAGCTCTGACCACCCTTGGCCCCATCCCTGCTGCATGGCAGTGTGCAGTGGGGCCAGCCTCTTTGTGCTTGCCCGTTCACCATGGTCTCTGTCACTCTACAGCCGTCCCCTCCAATGTCCCTAATTTCCATTTACCTGCCTGGTTCTTCCAAGTATTTGAAACATTGTCCTTTTTCTTAATCTATCAATTGCATCCTTTCCAAATCCTTCAACCAAGCACTGTTTGCTTCAGACAGCCAGCTTTCTTACCACTCTTCAATTCCCTTTCTCTACCATTCCTTACCTCTTTCTTTCTTTTTTTTTTTTTTTTTTTATGGAGTTTTTGCTCTGTTGCCCAGGCTGGAGTACAGTGGTGCAATCTTGGCTCACTGCAACCTCCACCTCCTGGGTTCAAGCGATTCTCCTGCCTCAGCCTCCCAGGTAGCTGGGATTATAGGCGCCCACGACCATGCCTGGCTAATTTTTGTATTTTTAGTAGAGACAGGGTTTCACCATGTTGGCCAGGCTGGTCTTGAACTCCTGACCTCAGGTGATCTACCCACCTTGGCCTCCCAAAAAGCTAGGATTACAGGCGTGAGCCACCTCGCCCAACCCTTCCTTACCTATTACTGTGCCCTATACAACCTGCTTCTTCAGTCAATAAGCATTTCACTAATAGGTAAAGGCAAGGTAGAGCTGAGATGTGGTGAGGAATACAGATAAATGAAAACATAGAAGGCGTGGCAGATTTCAACCCTGGTGCCACCACTTAGTTGTCACGTGAACCTGAGCAAATGACTCAGTCTCTCTGCACCTCAGTCATCTCATTGCAAGATGGGGACAATGATAAAAACTAGTCTATAAGATTGTTGCTAAGGATTAGCAAATACATCTGACAGCATTAGAACCCTCACATCTAAATGCTCAAATAATAACATGATTATTAGGTACCCAGCATCTGCTTAGGTGCTAGGGATCATTGGGAGGCCAAGGTGATGTGGCACACAGGCTACCTGCCTTCCTGCCCCTTGCCATCTAGTGTCTGCCTTCAGGCAACTTAGCAGACATGCAAAACTATGCTTCTTTCATTCAACAAGGTATATATTGAGCCCCTACTATGTACTAAGCACCATGCCAAGTGCTGGTAATATTGCTCCAACAACCAAACCGAAGGAAACACAGAACTAATCCCTTACTCCAGGAGAGAGGTGGTCTAGAATAATGTTGTCAGCGATGGGCTTTGGAGCCTCACCGCCTTGGCTTGAATCGTGACTCCTGCATTTAGCTGTATGACGTTGGCATTTCATCTGTCTCTGCCTCAGTTTTCTCATCTCATCTGTAAAGTGGAGTTAATAGCAACCCTATGATTCCTATGAGGATAAAACAAGCTAATGCATATATGTTGATTAGAACAGTGCCTGGCATTTAGTAAGTCCTCATAATTATTAGTTATTATTAGAAGAGGCAACGGGCATTAACCAATATCAGAAGCACATGTAAAGTGACACTGTGAAGTATAGAAGGCAGGCTGGGATAAGGAGGAGGCATGAGCAGTAGAGAAGCGGCCAAAAAAAAAAAAGGTCTAAGGCATAATATGATAGGCATCTCCATATTAATAAACAAAATGCTAATTTACAAAGAGCCTTGAAATAAGGAGGGATTCATTCAAACTAGTGAAATCAAGGAAGGCTTCACAGAGGAGTTGGCATTTGTATTTAGCCTCATAGGATCAGTCCCAAGACTAAGATGAAAGTTTGAGAAAGTTCACGCCAAGCAAAGCGGACACCATGGAAATGAACATATTTGACATCAAGCAAAGTCAAACAACTTGGTGAAGGCAGAGATAGTAAAAAGATGATGAAGTTCAATTCCAGGAGACCTGAAAGTGCCATCTGAAGGAATTTGCAGTTTATCGCCTGGGCACTGGGAAGCCAATAAGTGGTTTGCTCAAGCAAGATGACTTGCTAATACAAGGAGGATAAATTAGATTCAGAGCGACTCAAGAACTTAACTATGCTTTGGGAAGTTGATTTTGGTCAACAAAGTCCCCAGCATACATCTGTTCAGAAAATTCTCTCAGAGCACATGAAACAGAAGACCCAGAACAGATATTGAAAAAGCTCTCATTGTTCTTGGCTACCACCTAGAATTAAGATCTTTTATGACTTTGTGGAACTTCAAGGTCATCTTCTAAACAGCACCAGTAGTCATTGTCCAGGCTTTCAAAGTTTATAAATTGAATTCAGAGTTGAGAAGGGCATTGCTGAGTACATCAAAGAGCTTGGAAATCTGTCTCTACCCTGCAGTCTTAGAATTGTCTTGGATTTCCTTTATTGAGGTGTTTGCTGTCATTCTCTAATGTCCTTTTTCTTTTCTTTTTTTTTTTTTTTTTTTTTTGAGGTGGGGTCTCACTCTGTTGCCCAGGCTGGAGTGCAATGGTGCGCTCTTGGCTCACTGCAACCTCTGCCTCCTAGGTTCAAGCGATTCTCCTGCCTCAGCCTCCCAAGTAGCTGGGATTACAGGTGTGCACCACCATGCCCCGCTAATTTTTGTATTTTTAGTGGAGACGGGGTTTCACCATGTTGGCCAGGCTGGTCTCGAACTCCTGACCTCAGGCGATCCGCCTGCCTTGGCCTCACAAAATGCTGGGATTACTGGCATGAGCCACCACGCCCAGCTCTAATGTCTTCTTGACTAAGCCAAATGTAATTAGAAATTATAATGACTAAGAAAGGCCATAGCCATTGAGAACAGCTTATTTCAAGAGTATCAACAGTGAAATCCAACCTCATAGCATGGACCACTTAATGTTCATTTAATTATTAAACAGGTCATCCCTGAGTACCTGCAATGTGCTGGGCCCTCCTCTTTTGGACTCTGTGGGATCAGATCCTCTCTGACCTCCTGCCTTTCCAACCACATCTGTGCCTGTATTCACCCAGCCAACACCACCTGCCATGACACTTCTACTTCATTCCCAATATATGTCAGATTCTTTCTTCTAGATTGTAGGACACTCCTCTCTTGGCCTTAGCATGGCTAGCTCCTTCTCAGCTCAAGATGTTACCTGTTCAAAGAGGCCATCCATGACCAAGTTATATAAATAATTTATCCATGCTCCATTACTTTCTCTCACTGAATTCTGTTTGTTAGGTCTCTGACACTGATCACCATCTGTAATTACATCTGTATTTGTTATTTACTTGTATATTGCCTGTGCCTGTGTTTCCTCTGAGATTATAAATTCCACAAGGGCTGACAATGTGCTGGTTTTATACACCAATGTATAAAAAATTCTGTACACTCAGAATTTCACATAAGGTTTGGCACATGCAGGAACTCAGTATATTTTTTGAAAATAAATAGGTGAAATATCTGAATGCATCCCTGGAGCTGTCCTGGCAAATTATATCTCTTAATTCCAGGCTGAGCTATTCATATAATAGTGATGTATAAAGGCTATTTTTGTTCATTTATTAATGCAATTGGGTACTTACTACAAGTCAGGTACTGGGAAAACCAAACTGGGCAAATTTGATAACTTGAGAGGCTCCCTTTCCAGGAACCAATTCCCTAGAAAGCCCTTTGTCATCATTAATTATTTCATATCCAGAAGACCTCAGAGCTGCTATTGAGACTTCTGTGATCCACTTCTGACCTATGGAAGACCATGCAGCCAAGTGTCAAGGACGCTGTATTCTCTATCCAGCTTTGAACCTTTCTCAGTGTGACAATTGGGTTAAGTCATATCACTGCAGTTAGCTTGAGTTTCCGTACTTGCAAGATGCAGATAATAGCACTAACTTCATAGGGCTGTTATGCGAATTGAGGAATATTTTCTGCCCCTAATAGCCAATAGCTGTTACGAAGTGTCAAGCATTGTTCCAAGCATTTTATAAATATTGATTCATTGAATCCTTAACACAATCCCATAAGAAAAAGACTATTTTGTTCCCACTCTCTAGGTGAGGAAACAGATGCTCAGAGAGTCTGAGCAACTTGCTGTGGGTCTCACAGATAGTAGCTGGTGGAATGGGAGTGGAATGAGGGGCGTCTGGCTCCCCTTGTTGATGCTCTCGGAGGGTCCACAGTCTCTGTTCATCTCCACACTCAATTGTGAGCTGCTTGAGGGCAGGTGACACATGTTTTTCATGAAATAAGAAAAATATAAATGAGAGAATGAAGACAGAGTATCATTCAAGATTCTTCTGCTTGTAGAAAAAAAAAACACTCCAAATGTCTTAAGTAAAAAAGAAAAAAAAGTGAATTTATTTGCTTATCTAATTGGAAAAGTCAGAAGCATTTGAGTTCAGGTTCAGTAGGATCCAGGGGCCCAAACTACATCTCCAGGACTTGGAACCTGTGGCCGCCCCTGTAGGCAGGCTTTCCTCACTTGCTGGTAGACTCTGCCCATGTGGTGACCGTGGGTAAGGCTGGGTTCATATTCTCCCACTTTAGCCCAGCAGAAAGAGAGGTTTCTTTTCCAAGAGTTCCAACAAAAATCCCAGTTTTGTGTCTCATTGCCTGATTCGGACATAAAAACCAATCTCTGCAGCCAAGAGAGTGGCCAGTCCTGGGTCACATGCCCACTCCCCCAGCCCGGGGCAGGTTGGCCCCCCTAAATCCAGGGACCCAACAAAATGGCAGGGTTCTGTTACCAGAAGGTGAGTGCATTTATAGGTATAGCCACCCACAAAATATACATTCAAGTCCTAACCTTTAGTACCTGTGAATGTGAGATTATTTGTAAATAGGGTCTTTGTGGATGTAATCAAATTAAGATGAAGTCATACTGGATTAGGGCGAGCCATAAATCTGATGACTAACGTTCTTACAAGGAGAGACACAGACACACAGATACACACATGAAGAGGGAAGCAGAAGCTAGAGCGATGCAGCTACAAGCCAAGGAACACCAAGGACAGCCAGAAACCACCCGAAGCTGGGAAGAGGCAGGAATGAAGTCTTCCTTAGAGCCTTCAGAGGGGGCATGGGCTGCCGAGACCTTGATCTTGGACCTCTAGCCTCTAGAACTGTAAGCGAATACATTTCTGATTATTGAAGCCACTCAGTTTGTGGTACTTTGTTACAGCAACCTTAGCAAACTAATAGAGAATGGATATGGGTTCTGCATGCAAAGCCTCTGCTACCCAACCACAAAGAGGCTGACTTGGCTCAAAACAGAAGAGACTGCAAGGAGACCCACCTGTTTTCTTTTCCTTTACTAACAAGGGTAATAACAATAACAATACTAATGTCATTTACTGATTGCCTACTAATTGTCATGCAAATGTAAGGTCTGGTAACTCACAAAAAATTATATCATTGGATCCTCACACCACCCCTGCTGAGTTAGCTAAGTTTTCCTCCAAGCACAGGGAGCTATCAAACAGGAATAGAGTCCTCCTTCTTCTATTTAGGTACATATTAATCTTTATATGAACCCTCCCTCCAAATCTCTCTCTCTCTCTCTCTCTCTCTTTCTCTCTCTCCCCGCCCCCCCCACACACACACACGCACACACACACACTGCCGTACCACTAAACTGTGCTTGTCCCAGAATGGGTGGCAAATATTTACAAATGAATAAATGGCAGCCTTTTAAAAATTGTGTTCTAACTTACTAAAAATTATTATCTGTGGTATGATTTTCTCTTCGTGCTCTGTTTTATCAGAACTAACTTTGAGCCATTTTCCTGCCCGATCTGCCAGAACTGCTGTCACTCATCCTGATTTCAGCCATGTGCCTCCTGCCTCTCTTTCCCTCCCCTGGAGCTTTGAGAGACAACTTTTGGATTGGCGGCTGACACCAGGATGCCTCCGGACACCCTGGAGGCTGGAGAAAGACAGTGTGCTGCACAGCCTCACACAGCCTGCCAAGGACAAACTTCCTCTGCGCGACTTGGACCTAGACAATCGTTCTCTGACAAAGGAATCCCCAAGCCTGCGCCTTCGTGGAATTGACTTTTGAGTCCCTTTATTACTGAGACTGACATCTGAAGCACATGTATGTTTTTCTTTCATAAAAGCTCTACCCTAATCCAAGATCAAACAATTTATTTTGAAAATAACTGTACAGAATGGTACATTTTCCAGAACCAAACAGGTTTCCCCTGTCATTTGCCATCGCCTTTGAAGTATTTAATAGCTGAGGTAACTTGGAGAAACGACTGTGTTCCTGAAAACTGCACTTACTGTCGCTCCTGTTTGCAAGGGACTTAGCATTTACTCACTGCTTTTATCAGTCCACTTTTTGCTTTTATCTGCTTTGTTTCCCAAGTGAATTCTCATTCATAGTTTTCTACACATCATTTCTGAGAGCCACGGAGGATTTCCTTCTGGGAATGGACCTTAACTGATCTCAATGTCCCCTGCTGTTGATATTTGCATTATTTCCAATTTTTCTCTAATACAGCAATCCTTGATAAATATCCTTATATCTCTTTGTATATCCATATGTGTCCACATCAAAACTCTAAAAGTAAAACCATTTTAAGGCAAGGGGCATGTACTTTGTAAACCTTTTGTTACATATTGCCAAATTGCCCTATAAATGAGTTCTGTGGATATAGTCCCACCAGTAATTTTTAATTTTGATTTCATTTTTATGTTGATGAGCATGATACACATTCATGAAGAAAACTCATGCAATACTTCAAAGTGTGAAGAAAAATGTGAAATGCACCTGATTTTCTGCTCTGATTTTCTCCACTGTAGAGGCTGTACAGAAGGATCTAGCAGCTCATCTCTTTGTGCATGGGCTGAGTTCTCCAGCCACCATGCCTCCACTGGGAGCTAGTGGAAGGAAACCCACCGTATGGATGCAAAGCACTGTAGCTGACAAATCTTTGAGTGTTTTTTAATTTTTCACAATCATAAACAACAGGGCAAAGAATTCCCTGGAATTCATCCTTCAGCACTGGACATAAATGCCACTTCTTCTTTTTTTTTTTTTTTTTTTTTTTTTTGAGACAATCTCACTCTGTCACCCAGGCTGGAGTGCAATGGCGCTATTTCAGCTCACTGCAACCTCCGCCTCCCGGGTTCAAGCGATTCCCAAGTAGCTTGGACTATAGGCCAACCATGCCTAGCTAATTTTTGTATTTTTAGTAGAGACCGGGTTTCACTGTGTTGGCCTGGGCTGGTCTCGAACTCCTGACCTCAGGTGATATGCTCACCTCGGCCTCTCAAAGTGCTGGGATTACAGGCATGAGCCATCCCACCCGGCCCATAAATGCCACTTCTTGAGCATGCTTTCCTTGACTCCCTAACCTATAATTCAACCTTTTCTTTGATTCATTAACTGGAGTAAGAGGTTCTGAGCCCTATGCCTGGAAACTTGCACCCACAGAGTATCGTGTACTTAGCACATCTTGACAAACTAGGTCTGGATGCACTTACTAATATGTAGCAAACTTTTCAAAACATGCAACATGCTGCGAAATATGTCATCAGTGACAAATTAATATCAAAACCAATCAATATTCTATGGACACAATGGCCCATATGTTCACTTGAAATGGGTAAACATTTGTTGTCACCACAATGCATCACATCTGCTAGGCAAGTGTTGGAAATGGTGATGGTTAATATTATGTGTCAACTTGACTGGGCCACTGGGTGCCCAGACGGTTGATCAAACATTATTCTGAATGTGTCTGTGCAGTGCAGGTGTTTCTGGATGACACTACCATTTGAATTGGTAGACTGGGTCAGCAGGTTGAAGGGCCTCACCCCGCATTCCCAAGGAAACTGGATGGCCTCTCTGAGGCAGTTGCTGTGCAGGACAATGCTGAGTCTCCTTAGGAGCCATCCCATAGTTCCTGTTTGCTTCTAGACCTGTAACCAGAAGTAAGTCCCAGCAGCTCTACAGTTGAGGGACACAGTGTGACCCCTGAGGAGGTGCACTGCACTCCAAAAGAAAGACTTGAGTTTTCTAATGACAAGGACAGAAATCCAGAACATGTGTGGGAACGCATAGTAAGGGATGGAATAATGGTGGAAGAAACTTAAAGTTGGATTGGGCTGAATTTATTGGTATGGACTCACCGAGAGATTCTGCATTTAATGCTGCAGCTCAAGGAGTTAGAAAGGGCTCTAGCAGTTTGGCCGTTTGGTTGGTTGGTTGGAACATGGACCAAAGGGTGGGCCATGGTAACTGAGCTGGAAATGTCAAAGCCATTTTGATTTAAAGTAGAAAAAGGGGCTGGGTGCGGTGGCACACGCCTGTAATCCCAGCACTTTGGGAGGCTGAGGCGGGCAGATCAAGATGTCAGGAGATCGAGACCATCCTGGCTAACACAGTGAAACCCTGTCTCTACTAAAAATATAAAAAAAATTAGCCGGGCGTGGTGGCGGGCGCCTGTAGTCCCAGCTACTCGGGAGGCTGAGGCAGGAGAATGGCGTGAACCCGGGAGGCAGAGCTTGCAGTGAACCGAGATTGCACCACTGCACTCCAGCGTGGGTGACAGAGTGAGACTCTGTCTCAAAAAATAAATAAATAAATAAATAAATAAATAAATAAATAAATAAAGTAGAAAAAGGGATTCAAAGCTTAGGGAGATGGAATGTTAGGGTGGATTCACCATTTAAAACCGACTCACTCACACTGGAAGGGTCCTAAGACCCTACCACCACAACTGTGAGAAATAAACTTATGTGAGGAGCCCCAGCATCCTTGGAAAATCATCCCACAGTTGTTTTTCTATACAGCGCAGGCCTTACAGCGGAACTTCAGTTACTGAATTGGGAAACCTAAATGCAATGGGTGTAATTGGATCCTGGGGTGGCAGGGTCCACACGGCAGCATCAACCACCCGAGGCCAGGTGAACGTGGTCACTGTCTGGCACAGCAGAGTCAAAGCAGCCCTCAGAGCAGTCTGACTCACACTGACCTGTGGGGCTGACTAATTGATCATGCTGTTCCTAGAAGTGAAATAGACAGGAAACCCACTGAATTCTTACTTAATGTATATAAGCAAATTCTAGGTTGAGCGAACAAAAGTCTAACTTGAATCATAGAATCAGAGAGTCATGGCTCTTCAATTCACTCAAGGGGAGGCTGGTGTTGTGGGGCTACATGGAGATTTCCCTTCTAAGGCAGAGAACGCTTTGATGCATCTGGCCCCACACCTGCAAGTGAAAAGGAGACACAATGCCTGATAGGCCTCTATGGAGTTTGGAGGCAGTATATTTCTCATTTGGGTGCATTAGTCCAACTCATTTACTGGGTGAACCAAAAAGCTGCTAATTTGAGGGGCACAGAACAAGAGAAGTCTCTGCAGCAGGTCTTGGCTGCTGTGCAACCTGCTCTGCCACTTGGACCATACGATCCAGCAGATTCAATAGTGCTTGGTGTCTCCGTGGCAGATGGGCAAGGAATGCTGTCTGGAGCTTTAGCAGGCCCATTAGGTGGATCACAGCACAGGCCCTCGGGATTTTGAAGCAAGACCTGCCATCCACTGTGGTTAACTACACTTGTTTTGAGAAATAGCCCTTGGCCTGCTACCAGGCCTTAGTAGAGACTGAACCATGAGCCAGCAAGTCACCATGGGACCTGAGTTGACCACAAGGAATTGAGTGTTAGCTGGCCTATCAAGCTATAAATGGAGGCGTGCACAGCAACACTCCATTATCCAATGGAAATGGTGTATACATGATGGGGTCTGAGCAGGTCGTGAAGGCACAAGTAATTTACATGAAGTGTCCCAAATGCCATGGTCGCCAGTTCTGCTACACTGCTTTCTCTTTTCCATTTTGGACTTATGACCTCATGGGGGGTCCCCTACAATCAGTTGACAGAGAAAGAGAAGGCTTGGAACAGGTTTACCGATGGTTCTGCATCATGTGCAGGCACCACTGAATGTGGACAGCTGCAGCACCACAGCTCTTTCCTGGGGCATCCTGAAGGACAGTGGTAGATGGAAATCCTTCCAGTGGGCAGAATTTTAAGCAATGCATCTGGGTTTTTTTTTTTTGCCAGGAAGAAGTAACAGCCAGATATGCGATTATATACACTTCATGGGCTGCATCTATTGGTTTGGCTGGATGATCGGGGACTTAAAGAGATCGTGGTTGGAAAACTGGTGACAAGGAAATCTGGGAAAGAGATATGTGGATAGACCTCTTTGAGTGGGCATAAAACATGCAGATATGTTAGTTCCACGTGAATGCTCATCAAAGGGTGACCCCAGCAGATGAGGGTTTTAATAATCAAGTAGATAGGGTGATCCAGTCTGTGAGTACCAGTCAGCCTCTCTTCCCAGGCAACCCTATCTTCACCCAATAGGCTCATGTACAAAGTGACCATGGTGTCAGGGATGGAGGCTATGCATGGACTCAGCAACATGGACTTCCACTCACCAAGGCCAATCTGATTATGGCCTCTGCTGGGAGCCCAATCTGCCAGCAGTAGAGACCAACACTGAGTCCTCAATATGGCACCATTCCTTGAGGTGATCAGCTTATCACCTTGTGGCAGGTTGATTACATTGGACAATTTCCACCATGGAAGGGGCAGTGTTTCATTCTTAATGGAATAGATGCTTACTCTGGAGATGAATATGTCTTTTCTGCTGCAATGCTGCTGCCAAAATTACCATCCATGGACTTACAGAATGCCTTATCCATCGTCATGGCATTCTATAGAGTATTTCTTCTGATCAAGGAACTCACTTCAGAAGAAAGTGTGGTACTGGGTGCATGTTCATGGAATTCACTGGTCTTACCATGTTCCCCACCATCCTCTAGCAGCTGCACTGATAGATCAGTGAAATGGCCTGTTGAAAACTCAGTAACAATGTCAGCTAGGTGGCAGTACCAGGCAGGGCTGGGGCAAGGCTTTCTAAAAGACTATGTAAGTCTCTCAGTCAGCATCCAGTATATAGTACTGTTCCTCCTATAGCCAGGATTCATGGGTCCAGGAATCAAAGGGTAGAAATGAGAGTGTCACCATTCACTATTACCTTTAGGGACCCACTAGCAAAATTTTTGCTTCCTGTTCCTGCAACCTCTTCTCTGCTGGCCTAGAGGTCTTAGTTCCAAAGGGAGAAGTTCTTCCATCAGGAGACACAAAAATGATTCTTTTGAACTGGAAGTTAAGACTTCCAGCCATTTAGGGCTCCTCAGGACTCCAAATCAATCAACAGGCAAAGAAAGGAGTTTTTGTACTGCCTGGAGTGAGTGATCCTGACTTCCAAGGGGAAACTGAACTGCTACTCCACTATGGATGTATGGAATGTAGGAGATTCCTTAGCATGTCTCTTAGTGTCACCATGCCCTGTGATTAATGTCCATGAAGAGTGACCCAATCCAGGAAGGACTACAAATAGCTCAGGACCTTCATAAATGAAAGTTTGGGCCACCCCAACAGGTAAAGAACCACAGCCAGCTGAGGTGTTTGCTGAAGGCAAGAGGAATACAGAATGGGTAGTGGAAAAAGGTCATTATAAACACTGGCTACAGCCATGTGACCAGTTACAGAAATGAAGGCTGTCATTGTCATGAGTATTTCTTCCTTATTTTGTTACGAGTATGTCTGTGTGTGTGTATGTGTGCATTAAGCAAACGTTGTTTTCTTCCCTTTCTTATTTTCTTATCACATATTATAAGATGTGTTGACTTTATAATATAGTATTTAATATTATTAACTACATCATAATTTATAAGTCATAAAATATCAAGCAGAAGAGTTAACATCACTCAAGGACTTTATTTCCTCCTCTGTGGAAGGGGTTAGTGCATTTCTGGTTTTACACATGATAGTTGTATAACATTTGGTGGAATTTTGACCTTTTAATTCTGTTTATTTGGAGAATAAGTATGATTTAAGAGGATGTGTGTGGGTGCCAAGTTGACAAGGGGTGGACTTGCGATTGTTAATTCTATGTCAACTTGACGGCCATGGAATGCCCATGTATCTGATTAAGCATTATTTCTGGGTGTGTTGGTGAGAGTGTTTCTGGAAGAGATTAGCATTCGAGTTAGTGGACTGAGTAGCGCAGATGGCCTTTCCCAATGTGGGTGGGCATTATCCAGTCACTGAAGGCTTGTATAGAATAAATGGTGAGCATTAACTAAATCACGTATCATGACTGTGTAAGATGTTAACATTAGGTGAAGCTTGGTGAAGAGCATACAGCAACTCTCTGTACTATTTTTGCAACTTTTCTTTAAGTCCAAAATTTACGCAAATGTAAATTCTAAGTCACACAACATGGTGCCATAAAAGATAAGTGTGTGTATAAATCCTATACACACACTTATTTTTTATGTTTGGCACAAACATTTCGAGTGATGTTTAACAGAAAAATACTCATTTATATTTGCTTTATTTAAAGATAAAACTTGCGGTTGTCATTTACTTTTCTAGTTCAGGGAGTAAGTGGGTTACCACCGCTCTCTCAGTCGCTGAATGACATTAATTTTGCCTTTGGAGTATTTATTACAGCAGTGTGTTTCCTCAAACAAGTTAAAAATTTTGGAATCCCTTTTATTCACCATGTAAATGGCAACACGGTTGTCTTAGAATTCCACAATGTGTCAAGCTTCAGTAGTCAACATGGTCAGTGACCCAGATCTTACACCACATTCCCTTGTGAGGAAGATATTCTTCTGAGCCTAAAATGTTGAAGACGTTTCTCTTTTGCTGCTGAGGTCTTCATACCAGCTTGTTTCCTTCAACCCCTGCTATGCTAAACTCTAAGGCACAATCCCAATTATTTTGCTTTATGTGAATTTCAATGTGTTAGTTTCCCTAGTTTAAAAAATAAGCTCCTCATCTACTGGAACTTGGTTTGACTGCACATTTTTCTTTCCAGTGTGTTTACTGCAGAAGAATTTGAGCCATACATTTTAGTTATTTATAGGACTCTGCTTAAGGTTATGGTGAAATTGAACAATTTCCCAAGATTCAGGCTGTGGGTTTTGGGGAGGGGGCTGTGAGATTGGTCCGGAGAATCCTGCTTTGGGAACTAGATCATCACTCAATGGGGAGGGGACAATGGCCCTACAGATTGGTGTGGTCAGTATATGGACAACAGAAAGTGGCACGCCGACCCTCATATCTGGAGTATGATTGCTTATTTAGAATCAAACAATGAAAACAAACAAAATCAAAGAGATGACATGAGCAGATCCATTGATAACCCGCCTTTTTAAAAACGACACAAAGTTCCGGCCCTCTTTCCCCAGTCAGAACAGCCGGTTTCCCTCCTGTACATTCCCTGCCCTTATAGCAGGTAATGGCCTGAATGCACGGTGATTTCCCTTGAGCAGGGGCGGTACCTGGGGAGCTTGCGTTGTGACTGCCTCAGCGCCTCCTGTCTCCCTCTAGTGGCAGCCTCAGGGAGGGCAAGCATACGAATGTAAATTCTAAATCACACCACAGGGTGTCCTTGTTTAAAGTTCTCCAATGTCTCCTTATCACTTAGAATAAACCCTAGCTATCTACCAGTCTCTGTGAGGCCACTCACTATTGGACCCTGTGTACATCTCTGAGCACGTCCATGTCTTTCCTCTTCCCAGTTCTACCGCCTTCCTTCTGACTTCAAATACGCCAAACTAGAATTCCCTTTAAGGTCTTTGTACTTGCTTTTTACTCTCTGGGATTCTCTTTTGCCCAGACTCTAAGCCTACCTTCTGATCATTATTCAGGTTTCAGCTTAAACACCACCTCTTCATCGGAGTCTTCCCTAATGACCCAATCTACAGAAACCCACTTTCTTCATTGCACAGCCATATTTTATTAGTTCTTCATGGAATTCACCAACGTGGTGAAACTCTGTCTCTACTAAAAATACAAAATTAGCCGAGGGTGGTAGTGCACGCCTGAAATCCCATCTTCCTGGGAGGCTGAGGCAGGAGAATCGCTTGAATCTGGGAGGCAGAGGTTGCAGTGAGCCAAGATCACACCATTGCACTCCAGCCTGGACAATAAGAAGGAAACTCTGTCAAAAAAAAAAAAAAAAAAAAAAAAAGGCGGGGAGGATATTTAAAGAAGGATATTCTTTTTTTTTTTTTTTTTTTGAGACAGAGTCTCGCTCTGTCACCCAGGCTGGAGTGCTGGAGTGCAGTGGCGCGATCTCAGCTCACTGCAAGCTCCGCCTCCCGGGTTCACGCCATTCTCCTGCCTCAGCCTCTCCGAGTAGCTGGGATTACAGGCGCCAGCCACCTCGCCCGGCTAATTTTTTATATTGTTAGTAGAGATGGGGTTTCACCGTGGTCTCGATCTCCTGACCTCGTGATCCACCCGCCTCGGCCTCCCAAAGTGCTGGGATTACAAGCGGGAGCCACCGCGCCCAGCCAAAGAAGGATATTCTGATAATATTGCAATGGGAAAAAAATCTCTATGGGAAATATATTCCAAAGTCAAGCATAAGACCTGGAAGTCAATGGAGAAAGAATTGATAATTATGGCAATGAAATTATCGTTTGTATAACACAGTGAGCCAAGTTAAGAGATAAATAAAACATTTGGTGGCAATATTTGCAAAATAAATGAATAAAGATTAATAGCCTTAATTTTTTTAAAATGTATATCTCAATAGGAAAATGAAAACAATCCTATAGAAAATGAACATTAGATATAAACCAACAATTCACACAGTACAAATCACCACTGAGAATATGGAAAGACATTCAACCTCACTTATAATCAAGAAAATGAAAATCAACATAAAATGCTGGTTTCTGTTAGATTAATAACAGAAAAAATTCACGTCTGTCAGAGAAGTAGAGGAATGGCCATAGTAATCACTGGGGAAGAGTGTGAATGGGTCCTGTCCTTTTGGAAGACAATTTGTCAGTGTCCACCAAAATGTATAATGCACATATACAATAATTTCACAGTTATGTATTTTGTAATAACTGACATTTCTTTGACTATAAGTGAGATTAAGTATTTTCATGACAATCATTCATCTGTATATTTTTCTATTCTGAACTTGCCTGCTTATGGCCTTTGCCTGCTTTCCTACCATTAGATCATTAGCTGAGTAAGAGGTGGGGAGGAAAGGAAGCACAAAAAGGCCCCTAAAATATACTTCCTCATACGTGAGCTGTTGAACTCCTTCATCATTTCACTTTCAATAGTGGAGCCAGTGGAGGCAATAATATAATTACAATCATTTCTTAGTAGTGGCTGTCAGGCCTCTGAGCCCAAGCTAAGCCATCACATCCCCTGTGACCTGCAAGTACACATCCAGATGGCCTGAAGTAACTGAAGAATGACAAAAGAAGTGAAAATGGCCTGTTCCTGCCTTAACTGATGACATTACCTTGTGAAATTCCTTCTCCTGGCTCATCCTGGCTTAAAAGCTCCCCCGCTGAGCAACTTGTGACACCCCCTCCCCACCTTGCCCCTGCCCGCCAGAGAACCCCCTTTGACTGTAATTTTCCTTTACCTACCCAAATCCTATAATATGGCCCCACCTCATCTCCCTTTGCTGACTCTCTTTTCGGACTCAGCCCGCCTGCACCCAGATGAAATAAACAGCCTTGTTGCTCATACAAAGCCTGTTAGGTGGTCTCTTCACGGGGACAGGAGTGAAAGTGGCCCCACCCCCAGAAACTTGCAATCCTTTATTACTTGCTACAAAGATGAAATAATTGCATTTAAATATAAGAAGATCGAACTTAGCATGCATTCTTTAATTCAGTTAGCAAACATTTATTGACTACCTACATTTGCCAGGGACTGTTTCCTTTATCCTTCCGCAACCCTTTTTTCGCCCACTCTTACGTATAAAATATATACAACCTCTTTTTTTTTTTTTTCTTTTTTTGAGATGAGTCTTGCCCTGTAGCCCAGGCTGGAGGGCAATGGTGCAATCTCGGCTCACTGCAACCTCTGCCTCCCAGGTTCAAGCGGTTCTCGGTTCTCCGGCCTCAGCTTCCCGTATTTCTGGGATTACAGGCGCACTCCACCACACCTGGCTAATTTTTTTTTTCTGTCTTTAGTAGAGACGGGGTTTCACCATGTTGGCCAGGCTGTCTCGAACTCCTGACCTCGTGATCCTCCCGCCTCAGTCTCCCAAAGTACTGGGATTACAGGCGTGAGCCACTGCGCCTGGGGTGTACAACCTCTTAAGAAGCAGTGGCATGGCAGAGGAATCAAAGCCAGCCATCAGAGTCCACAAAAAAGGTGATCAAGTTTTCCTTCTGAGCAAGAAGGGAAATTGTGTTATTAAAATTTAAAAAGCAGAATCTTGAAAACTTGAAAATTCTACAATTTTTTTAAAAAGTTAACAAAATTCTACGTGTATTTATAGCTTTTTTGCCCATCTTTGCTAAAATATATATGTGTGTGTGTATATATATATATATATATATATACACACACACACATAAACATTTATATGT
The DNA here is from genome assembly GCF_000001405.40 of Homo sapiens. NCBI lineage: Eukaryota > Metazoa > Chordata > Mammalia > Primates > Hominidae > Homo > Homo sapiens. The sequence continues at coordinate 16,919,955 of NC_000004.12, forward strand.
GCATATTTATATGAATGAATTTAGACAAGAAATGTCCTGGAAGAAGGCATTTGAAACATTTTCTCAAAAGGTGAAATTTCATACTATTTTCATTTCTTTTTGTCTTATTTTTATTTTTTTAACTTTTTGCTACTAAGGTATACTACCCCTAATAAACTCAGAAAAGAAAAGATTCCTTGTGTAGTAGTTAAAAGTAGGTTCTGTAACCAACAGTCCCAGTTTCTTTTTGGTTTCCTTTCTGTCACTTTCTTATCTCATGAATTTGACAATTACTTTTAAAAAGTTACTTGAACTATGCTAAGCTTTAGTTTCTTCACCTGAATCTAGTGATAATAACTAATAACTACTCTTAAGGGTTCTTAGTTTGGATTAAATAAGATCAAGGGAGAAAAGCCCTTAGGATATAGCTTCACACATAGTAAATACTCTCAGGGTTAGTTCATTTCTTTCCTCCTCTCTTTTCATGTGGACAAATGGTTAACTTCAATTAAACATTAGGGAGTCTATAGGAGCCATAACTGTACATCTGGGGGTTTCTGGGATAGTCCCAGTTTCAAATATCGTATCCTGTTGCCAGACCACATGTACTGATTTTAATTTAGGATTCATGATTTTCATCAGGCTTATGTTCCTTTTGTCATCTTATCATAATATCGAACATCTTTGAGCATATGCTATGTGCCATCCAATCTTCTGTAATGAGGAAAAATAGCTCTGAGAGTCTGACCAGTTGTCTGCAGCATTAAGCCTCATTCATAGACAAAGTCTTTATTTTTATTTATTTATTTATTTGAAATGGAGTCTCTCTGTTGACGAGGCTGGAGTGCAATGGCGTGACCTCCGCTCACTGCAAGCTCCGCCTTCCGGGTTCACGCCATTCTCCTGCCTCAGCCTCCCAAGTAGCTGGGACTACAGACGCCTGCCACCACGCCCGGCTAATTTTTTGTATTTTTAGTAAAAACGGGGTTTCACTCTGTTAGCCAGGATGGTCTCGATTTCCTGACCTCTTGATCCGTCCGCCTTGGCCTCCCAAAGTGTTGAGATTACAGGCATGAGCCACCGCACCCGGCGACAGTCTCTTTTATACAGTTAACTGAGATGTTACCTGCCTTCCTTAGTAGATAGGCAACCTCAGTTCATTGGAATGCTAAAAGGGCTTCTCAATGAATATGCATTTTTCATATGATATTAAAGAATAAATGATAAAAATAAGGAGAAATTCTAAATGGATTTATAAAGTGAATATAACATTGGTATAAGTTGACAAAATTGTGTCAAAAAAGAAAACTACATACAGACCATTCACACTACTGAATATTTATGCAAAAATCTTTAATAAAATATTAGCAAACATAACCCAATAGCGCATTAAAGAAATAAACAATCCTAACCTTAAAAGAAAAGTATTAAAAAAATTAAAATAGGCCGGGCATGGTGGCTCACGCCTGTAATCCCAGCACTTTGGGAGGCGGAGGTGGGCGGATCATGAGGTCAGAAGATCGAGACCATCCTGGCTAACACGGTGAAACCCTGTCTCTACTAAAAATACAAAAAAAAATTAGCCGGGTGTGGTGGCTGGCACCTGTGGTCCCAGCTACTCGGGAGGCTGAGGCAGGAGAATGGTGTGAACCCGGGAGGCAGAGCTTGCAGTGAGCTGAGATAGCGCCATTGCACTCCAGCCTGAGCAACAGAGTGAGACTCCATCTCAGGAAAAAAAAAAAAAAAAAAAAAAAAAAAAACTAAAATAAACATTGTAACCATGGATACTTTTGTTTTTGAGGAATGCAAAGGTGGTTCAATATCAGAGGTTGTATTTGTATAAGGCACCATATTAATAAACCAAAAGAGAAAAATTATATGATTACTTTTGTAGACATGCTCAATTTATAATTAAAGAAATCTACTTCAGATTAGGATACCATTTCTCATTCATTAAGTAGCAAAATCCAAGCTTTCTTATTAATTTGGCAAAAATTCTATAGGTTTGACTTTAGGCGAGTAGACACTTTCATATATTGCTGCTAGAAATGCAAAGTTGTAAAACTCTTACAGAAGAGAATTTGTCAATATCTATATATATAAATATAGATAGATAGGTAGATATGTGCATTTAAATTTCGATTCGATCCAATTTCTAGGAATATATTTTACAAATACCCTAGCTAAAAGCAAGGAAGGAAGGAAGGGAGGGAGGGAGGGAGGGAAGGAGGGAGGGAGGGAGGGAAAAGAATAGTATCAAAGCTATTTATTGCAGGATTACTTATAAAGGAAGGAAGGAAGGAAGGGAGGGAGGGAGGGAGGGAGGGAGGAAAAGGAATAGCATCAAGGCTGTTTATTGCAGCATTACTTATAATAGCAAAAACATGGAAATGACCGAAGTGTCCATCAGAAGAAGATTGGTCAAATAAACCCTGGCACATTCACACAATGTAATCACATGCAGATTTATATAAAAAATAAGGAATAGCTCTATCAATATATACTATAGAGTAATAGGATCAATTGTTATATTTAAAAAGCAAGGTAAGAAAAGTGTGAATACTGTGTTTTCTTAAATAAAGGGAGTCTGATATATGCATATACTTGCTTATATTAATAAAAAGCAAATAATTAAAGAATAAGCCCTAAAATAAAAAGAAAATAGTCACCTATTTGGGGTCTATTTTTTAAGATTTGGCTTTGTTTTTTGATTGTCTTGGGAACTATGCCAAAAATTTACATATGTTTAAAACAAATTAAATTTAAAAATCTATTATTACTAATAAAAAGTAAAATGAAACAGATGAATTTCACTGTATATATAGTTTGTGTCAAATCCACAAAAAGAAAAATAATTCCGAATGACTGTAAGTCACAATAATTTGACTATTTATCCCTGGTGGGTAGGATACACACTAAGGACAAAAAGAACTGTCCCTCAAATATGTAAACTTTCAAAAATCTTCCTATTGTTTATGGCAAAGTTGATGCTGTCATTCAGAGACTATTGTGTGTGTATTGTGAAATAATGCAATTAAATAATTATGCAAAATATAAATTTTATTATTCCTGTAAAGAAAGGACTGTGGACAAATAACCCATTTTCTTCAATAAACAAATTGTAGCAAAGAGAGATAGAGAGAGAGAAGAAACAACCTATAGATTAAAATAAATTTAAAATACCTATTAAACAATCACAATATATGGATCTTATTTGAATTCTCATGCAAACAAATAAAATGTTTTTACAAGAGTGACATTTACGAAACAATTGAAAAATTGAGTAACACTGTAAACTTGATATTGAAAATTGACTGCTATTTTATGTAAAGTAATAAAATAGGGGCTATGTTTTTATGAGTTCTTGTCTTTCTTACATACATATTAAAGTATTTATGTGTGAAATGATAGGATAATGCCAATTAGCTTTCTAATAATAAGAGAAAGGGAAGTGAGTAGAAGTATGGATGGAAGAAACTGTCCATTAGTTGACTGATAATCATTGAAACTGAATGATGGATACATGTGGGTTTATTATGTTATTCATTCTGTGTATGTCTGACATTTTTCAAAATAAAATAATAAAAAATGTCAACTGATCAACAAAAAGATTGCTAACAAAAATAAACAAAAAATTGCTAACATTTGCTAGATTTATAAGTAAAGCAAAAACTTCAAAATGAAGCTAAAATCCTAGGAAAGAGCTAGGTTTCATGAATCTGTAACTTTGATGCATTGAATACTAGTTGTTTAGACCCAAATACAACTTCTAAATAGTGTTTTCTATGCATAAAAACCAATCTCAGGGACACTAAAATACAACTTTAACAATAAAGAGTCTTGACTCTGAAGAGAGACAGGCTGGATTCAAATTCCTTCTCCCCACAAACTTGAAATATAAGGTGTTTGGAACTGGCTGCTACAAAGACAACACTCAGAAAATTCCAGCCGTCCTGATGATTATCCTCCTGGACAGTGGAAAGGGAATGAACTTGGTTTCAAATCTTGACCCTTCTATTTATAAACTGGGGGCAAGTTATGAGGTTTGTCTTGACAACTGTATATGGAAGTGCCCTCTGTGTGGTAGGCCTACCAAAAATGGGTCTCTGCTGTTTAGGAGGTTACAGTCTTGATGGGATTTAGGATGCTACCCCAAAATATGGCACCTTGGCATTTGAGAAAACAGCAGAAGCAGGAAGGTCTCTCTGGCCTTCCCCTGCCCGTGTCTTCTGCTACAGATTATAAAAGAATTCTCTGACCTTCCTCCAAAGCAGGTCATAGGACCCTCATCTCAGAGGTACCCTCCCTATACCCAGAGGAAAGAAATGTCCTTATCTCTAAGACACAAGGACACAGAGAAGAGTCTGTATAAACAAGCTTTGTTAAGTTTCCCCTGGTTTATTACCATTAGATTATACCCCTATTGTCCAATCACACTTCTCTACAACTATCCACTTCATCAAACTTAGCATAAAAACATACAGATTTCCTGTTCCTTGGGTCTTTATTTCTGAAGGCTTCCATGTCATGTAAAACTTACATTAAATAAATGTATATGATTTTCTCTTGCTAATCTGTCTTTTGTTATAGGGACCCCAGCCATGAACCCTGTGATAGTAAAGAAAGATATTTCTTCTGCCTCCCCCGAGTTTGTTCCTCACACCCCAGGTAGAACAGCTGAGACTTTTCTGGTCACTTTTAATCCTGCAGATGAGATCCCGGGACAATGAACAAAATGCCAAAAAAAAAGGGAAGAATTCTTCCCAAGGTCAGCACTCCTGGATACTACAGACACTCCCTACTGTCTGTAGTTCCCAGTGGGGTGAGGAACGTTAAAAACTCCTGGATACTACAGACACTCCCCACTGTCTGTAGTTTCCAGTGGGGAAAGGAAGGTAAAAGCTTCTTGTCCTTTTCTTTCCAGATTCAGAGTAGCAAAGGAAAACTATTTGTTTGCATTGTGAAATAAATTTATATGTTTTTCTCTTGTTAATCTGTCTTTTGTTACAGGTGCCTCAGCCATGAACCTACAGAGGGGTGAGGAAAGAAATCTTTCCTCCCTACAATCTACAGTCTAAAGTCAATCTCTGCATCTCTGATTCTAAAATTGTTATCCTAATGGTCACACATCACAATACCTTCACTCAGTTGTTTGCAAATGAAGTAAAATGATTCCAATGATCTAAACAGAAAAATCCCAAAGTGGAAAAAAAAAAAGTTTGCAGCATCCCAACATCTCTACTAGATGAAAATAGCCTTCAAGAGCATCGGACTAGTTTGCTTTCTTTTCTAACCATGCTGACTGCTGATGTTCATTTGCTCCCTGACAGGACCTACCAACCACCCAATGTTCAGCTAACTTCTGGTGTTTCCTATTAATACAAAAGGGGTTGCATTAAGCCAGAAATTATAATTTGGATTTATAAATCAAGGCTTAGCTCATTTTGTTCATGGAAATCCAGAACCTGAAATCCAGAACCTGTTTAACTTTTATTCATGAATTCATCCAATAAGTAGTTCTGAGTGACTACACACAGGGCACTGAGCTAGGACTTGGGACAATCTTCAACACGCAAACAAGCCTACGTCCTAGCGCAAGAGGAGAAAGACAAACAATATGCTTAATAAATGAGTGAATTATTAGTAAGTTAGATAGTGAAATTTGCCATGGGGGAAAAAGTAGAAAAATATACACTAGGTGTTTAATATTTGCTGATTGATTGTTTTACATTTGAATTTTACTGGCCTTTATAATTGTTATCTACAACTCTTGATATTTCACAAACAATTGCTTTTGCAGACACTCAGTTTATCGATAAACTTAGAAGCTTGGACTCAAATGTGTACCAAGAGCTCCATAAGAAGGAATTAAGGCTATGGGTGCATGTGATTTGGAGCAGAAGAAGCTAAATTCTGTTTATGTCTTCATTTCCACAAGTCAATTATTTGAAGCTTCAGGTGCTGAGTGATAGAGTTGGTAAGAGTTTACAGGAAAAAAAAAAAGTTGGAGTTCATAATATTAGGACATGGTGTCGTCCGTCTTTAAGGAAAGCAACACACCTATTGCTTCAGTAGGGTCCAACAGAACTCCCATGTTACACTGAGTGCCCTAGAAACCTGGTAGATTGCAGCTTGGATTGTTTTTTTGTTATTTAATAATTTGCTTTCACCCACAGTACATGGTCTTTGTTGCCTGCTAAAATTCCCAAGCAACTTCTGAATGTATACTCACAGCTCTCCCCTAAAGACTACAGGAGAATAGGTAGCAGAGGGCTTACAGGTGTGGATGCCTCCCTCTCCAGCAAGGTGCAGCTGGGTGCTGCCCTTTCCATCTGTTCTACACACCAGTGCTGGGCAACACTGAATTTAATTTGTTCTTTCTCAGCAGCTTTGCTGTGTAGGATCTCTTTACCGTTGAAGCAGTGGTATCTCTCTAATTATGTATTAGACACATCAAAGGGATTCTTCAAAGTAGGGAGGTTTCCTCTGTGCACCCTTGCTAGGCTGCTGAGAAGTTTAGTGCCTGGTCTTAGATTTAGCTCATCCCCTTCCTGCCCATCTGGATTGACTTGGTTGACTTTTCCTTTGCTTGGGTTAGCTCAGTTGTTTGCAAACCCAATTGTGTTTGAATCACCTGGGGGTTTTGAAAAATAGTGCTAAAGTCCCCCACTCCACCTGACAGGATTGGACATGAGAAGGGCTGGAAATCAGTGTTTTGTGATGATCTCACACCTGGCCTCCAGCCTCTGAGTGCAGCCAGGAAGAGTAAATCGGGGGGCCTTTGGCTTTGCAGTGACAATTTTCTTGTCCCTGCTCTAGCACTTCCACCTACTTAGTTTCTCTTTCTTTTCTTTCTTTTTCTTTCTTTCTTTCTTTCTCTCTCTCTTTCTTTCTTTCTTTCTTTCTTTCTTTCTTTCTTTCTTTCTTTCTCTCTCCCTCCCTCTCTCCCTCCCTCCCTCTCTCTCTCTCCCTCCCTCCCTTCCTCCTTTCCTTCCTTCCTTCCTTCCTGCTTGCTTTCTCTTTCTTCTTTCTTTCTGAGTAAAGTGGAAGCAAGTTTATTAGAGAAGTAGAGAAACAAAAGAATTGCTAGTCCATAGGCAGAGCAGCCCAACTAGTTTCTTTATTTGAGTCATTTTTACAGTTTTCCAGAACTGGGAGCCTGCCATTTATTCACTGATTCCTCTGAGCAGGTGCCATGATGCCTCCTCCAATCATTAACATAATATACAGGCTGCAGAAGTCAGCTACTGGGTGGACATCAGGTGGCAGGACTATCCCTTGGCTGCTGCCACTACAACTTGCTTAGCATCATCGAGCAGTCTAGGAAAAGGGAGTTAATGTTGTCTGCATAGTCCGCTCAACACTATATGCCCGTTCTTTATCTTCTGCTAGATTGAAAACCTGAACTGTTTCCATGGTTACAAAGGCCACTTGATGGGGCAAGGGGCACAATAAACATGGCATGGGGCATTTAACATGCTAAATGTCAGCTTTTGTCTGGGGCCACATCGTAAGAAATTAAAACAGGACTTGTGGAGTCTGCCTCGAGATGAGAGGGCAATTCTTGGTAAATCTATTCACACTCAGGTGCTGAACACTGCACTCCAGGCTGACAATCCCACCCAGCGCCCACCCTCAGATAAAATTCTTTCCATACTTGCCAGTGCTCAAAAGATAAAGTCCAAATTCTTCCACTTTTCTGTAAGACCTCAACAACCTGTTCTGGTGAAATTATGCATCTCCTGTAGACACACAGGTCCTTGGCTTAGCAAATTCCCCACTCTCTCTCCTTTGACTGGCAAACCTTACTGTTTTCTCTAGAGCCGGTTCATTTATCACTTTCTCATGTAGCCTTGGTGCCCCTATCAGAATTTATATCCCCCACCCAAATCCTCCATGGCATTTATATTATGATATTGATTGGCTTACATGCCTTTCTCACCAACTGGGATAACATCTTTAACAACAAGGCTTTGATATATGGAATTTACCTTTGTAACTCTCAGCACTGAAAACATGGTAGACACTCAAAAAATACCCATCAAAATAAATGAAACCGCCTATGAAGTATTCTTGCTCTAAAAACGAGAACCTGAATCTTTTAGATCTATCTTCTTGTTTAAATAAAAGATGACATCAGCACATAGAGGGAAACAACACACACTGGGGCTTCTCAGAGGGTGGAGGTTGGGAGGAGGGGGAGGATCGGGAGAAATAACTAATGGGTACTAGGCTTAATACCTGGGTGATGAAATAATCTGTACAACAAACCCCCATGACACAAGTTTACCTATGTAACAAGCCTGCACATGTACGCCTAAATTTAAAATAAAAGTTAAAAATTTTTTTTTAAAAAAAGAAAAGACATTGATGAAGGCACCAGAGAAATTGTACTATTAGGAGACAATCACAGCGTGGATTTTACAGACAGTTGATGTGGTTTCTGTAATAATTCAATGGCATGGGAAAAAAGGAAGGGGATAAGCTAGGGGCTCTTCTAGATAAAAGAGAAAACCATATGTTACAACCAAATGCAATGTGTCAATCAATTATAAAGACATTTTTGAGATGATTTGGGAAATCTAAGTATGGAGAGGGTATTAGATGATATTATTGTTCATTAAGTACAAAATAGTGTTTTGCTTATATATGAAATGTCCTTACTTAAGCATAAAACAACCTGATATAGAAGTTTTTCTTTAAAACACACTATAGCAGGCCAGGGATGGTAACTCACATCTGTAATCCCAGAGCTTGGGAGGCCGAGGTGGGAGGATCACTTGAGGCCTGAAGTTTCAGATTACAGTGATCTACGATCGGCCACTGCACTCCAGCTTGGTCAACAGAATGAGACCCTAATTCTAAATTAATTAATTAAGTTAAATTAAGTACTACTGCAAAATTTTAAAAACTAATAAATATGCAAATAAGACATAACTGGGATATGTGGCATAACAAAAAAATAAATATTTGGTCTTTGTTCCTCCCACCTCTGTTTCTGGCACAGAGCTCCTAAATTTGCTTGGAATTTCCTGAGTGATAGGGGACTATCTTTTGTTATTCATAACAAGTCCCTTTCAACCTCACCTAAGTTTATCTGATGAAGTGACTTATGGGGTGCCCTAGGTAGCGTCTGGATGGGGGTTAGCCACCAGCAGGGACACCAACCTTGTGATTCGAGGGTTAGAACTTTCAGCCCCATGTCAGGACCTCTGAGGAGGGGAGAGGAGGTGGAAGTTGAGGTCAGTCACTAATGGCCAATGATTAAATCAATCACACCATGTAATGAAACCTCCGCACAAAACCTCTAAGTTGTGGGGTTCAGGGAGCTTCCAGGTTGAGAAGCCCCCCACCAACCATGACCCCCATATTTTGCTCCATGCATCTCTTCCATTTGGCTGTTCCTGAGCTGTATTTGTTATAATAAAATGGTAATTATAAGTAAGGCACTTTTGCTGAACTCTGTGAGTCATCCTAGATAATTACCAAATTTGATAGGGAGAGTAGCCTCACAATTCCCAATTTTGTAGTTGGCCAGGCAGAAATGCAGAGGTCCTGAGGACCCCCTTTCAGGCTGGCATCTGAAGTGGGGGCAGGCTTATGGGACTGAGCCCTTGATTTGTGGGGTCTGTACTAATGCCAGTTAATTAGTGACAGAATTGAATTGAACTGTAGGACATCCACCCAGTTCGTGTCAGAGAATGGGATAATTGATTATTGTTGAAAAATGACACAAGGTAATTATGGCAAAATGTTGGTAATTGTTGCATCTATGAAATGAATATATGAGGGTTCATTAAACTATTCTTCTATTTTTGTGTGTTTGTTTCCTAATAAAAACATTAAAAACTTAAAAGAATATTATTTCCAGATTCATTTGCCTGTTCAAAGAGAATATTTGTAAACTTTAGCCATCCTAGTAGGATGCAGTGGTATCTCACAGTGGTTTAAATGTACATCTCTTACATGATTAATGGTGGTGAACATTCTTACAGGTGTTTGTTGGGCATTTGTATACCTTCTTTTATAGAGCATTATTCCAAGATATTTTGCTGAAGGAAATGAAACCTTTGCCCACAAAAGGACTTTTACAAGAAGATTCATGTCAATTTTATTCGTAATAGCATAAAATAGAATAAAATAAAGAAAATAATCCAAATGTTCATCACCAGGAAAACAGATAAACAAATGGTGGTATACTATGCAATGGAATATCACCCAGCAATAACAAAGGAGAAACTACTGTTATACAAAACAACATAAATGAATCTTAAAATTATTGTGTTGAGCAAAAGATGCAAAACACAAAAGAATGCATATTTTGTTATTTTTAATAAGAATTTTGAGATCAGGCAAAATTGATCTGTGGGGATAAAACTAAAAAGAATGGCTATCAGGGGAAGTTGAATGATAAAAGGCAGCAGAGACCTTTCTGGGGTGACAGAAATGTTCTGTTATCTTGGTAAAGCTATTGGTTACACAGGTGTATACATTTTTCAAAACTCACCAGATTCTATGCTTAAGATCTGTGCATTTCACCGTATATAATTATAGTTCAATTTAGAGAGAGAGAGAGAGACAGCAATACCTAACACACAAAACATGGGTTGCTAGAAGTGGGATTTCAGACACTGGCAAGGGAGGTATTTTAAGATGGAAACGCATGCCTTCCTGGTCTTTCCTCCAGGTATGAACCTGTAATTCAGGACTCTCTGTGTTCACCCTGAAAAATCTCAATTCCCCTTTGCTTAGGTATCAATGCAGAGCAGCTGGCCACCCCTGAGATCTGAACTTCTCTTGCTGCAGACACAATCCAGAATTCTTAGTATGACACCATGGAAAACAGCGCTAGCTTTCTCTATGGGCCACACAAGTGACCCCACTACTGACATCCTCCTTGCATGAAGAAGCAGAAATATTATTAGCAATAAGTGGGCTGTATTTGACTGAAAGGAACACCGTAGAGAGGCATATGTTACTTTTCAATTCTAAGAGCTTATCTCGTGGAGTTCAAGGTTATCGGTTTGCACGACTTACCTATTGGACTTCTCTGGGAGTAGAAATGAAGGCTCAGTAAGGAGAAGGTCTAGAAGAAAAGAAAAGTTGTTTTGTAAATGTTGAGACTGCTATCTGTTTTGGTGTTAATGCACTAGAAATATATTACCTTAGTAGTATATTAACAATAAAGTGTGTTAATCCTCCCCAGGTGAAGGTATTGTGGTCCCCATTTTGGTAGTACAAAAATGAGCCTCAAAGGCATTAAGGAACTAAGTCAAGGCCATTTAGCTGGCAAGTCATAGAGATGGGTGTGGGGGATCATATCCCTCAGGCCTCATCATTGTATTGCACCCCGGCAGACTTCTAACAGGAGTATGTAAACCCAGTTAACAGGGAGTGGAAGGACTTTCTCTGGAGCTCTGAAGGCCACTATGCCTGTCCTTAGCAGCAGCTCTTAACCAGTTACTAATGGAAGTTACTATGCAAATATCCCAGCCCCCTCCCCTTGGGTGGGCTGCCTCTGAGATGCACGTCTACACTGAATTCCACATCTGCCCAGTGAGAGTAAGTTTCCACTGCCTTTGGCTTCTGTTGTGGCTGGCTGGATAGCACGCCCTTTGTGGGCTGCATTTTCTTCTCTGTGTCTCTTCCTCAACTGGCACGTCCCACCAGAAACTCCTTCACCGTGAGTCCTTGTGTCAGTCTGATTCTGTGGAACTCAAGCTAAAATGTGAAATTCACACCTAGGGTTTTTGATTTCACAATCTATTCTTCTACCATACTATAAATTACAGGTCAGACTGTTGGAAATAGTGATATTTGACCATTTTTTAACCAATAGAAATGGCAGTATCATACAGTTCAACTGACTCACAGTAGGAGTATGTGTACATCAATATAAACACTCAAAAATGCATGTATACACAAAATGCACATATGTGCATGTAATAGAAACATAATATGCTTTTTATAATGTAAGGAGGCCAGCCACGTGGACTTTCTAAAGCAAAAGTCTTTGTATCTCTTCCTTTACTAAATCCTTCAGTAATTATATCATCCCCTTGGCAAAATCCAGGCTCTCTAGCATGATATAGATATCCCATTATCTTCTGGCTCCAGCCCTTTTCTTTGGCTTGTACTCTGCCCTCTTTGTTTTGTTTGACATTACTAAACTGCTTAGAATTAAATAATAAAAGAAAAAAGAAAAACACTGGACTATTTCATCATCTTTTCCTGCTCAACAGCCAGTTTTTCTTGTGGCTCCCTTTTCCCAAAGCAAATGAGTCCAGCCCTCCCAGGACCAGCTCTTTACCTTGGAAATAAATCCATGAGTGTATCAATTACATTGAACTATAATATTTTCATTTGCTTGACTCGTTCCCTTATCAGAATGTGAGCTCCTAAGTCCAAGACCTGGTTTGATCTTCTCTGCATGCCTACTGTCTACCATAGAACCTGATGCATAAAAGGTGCTCACTAAATGATGTTGAATGAAGATGAAGTCAGATTTGAACTTTGTCATCTAGGCTCCAGTAAAGCATTGTGCAGAAGGTATGTGAGCAATGCCAATTTCTTTACAGTGCATAGGGACTTTATACTCAGAAACAAAAATAAAGATGCATGACTTTCTGATACCTGGCCCCCAAACCAGGTCTGAATATTTGACACAAACTATCCAGGGAAAATGGAGCTATGCTGAAACTGTGACATCTGAAGTCAGGCTGCGTGGGCTCAATCTCCAGCTCTACCACTAACGAGGAGTATGACCTCAGGCAAGTCTCTCCCACTTTGTGCCTAAGTTGCTTCTTCTGGAAAGGAGGATACTAAAAGATCCCACGTCAAAGAGTTGTTGCAAAGATAGTTCGGTTTTGGCAATAAATACAGGCTATGGATAGCAATAATGCTAGCAAGTCCACAGCCTTTATCTGCATTTCATGTAAACTCTGAGCCTCAGTCTCTGTATCTATACTCAAGGGATAACTTATGAATTACTGAAACCAATGTTCATATATCTGACATGCTCAGCACAGTACCATGTCTAAGGAAATCACAGAGATGAAGATAAGACACAGGACTTTTCCTCATGGAGTTTCTTGTCTGATGAAGGAATACAGGGAAGTGGAAATGTCATGAAAGCTGAGAACTGAGGGTAAGCTAAGTTAGAAGAAAGGGGGCCCAGCGTGGTGGCTTATGCCTGTAACCCTAGTACTTTGGGAGGCCGAGGGGGGTGGATCATGAGGTCAGGAGATTGAGACCATCCTGGCTAACACGGCGAAACCCCATCTCTACTAAAAAAACAAAAAATTAGCCAGGCGTAGTGGCGGGCGCCTGTGGTCCCAGCTACTCGGGAGGCTGAAGCAGGAGAATTGCTTGAACCTGGGAGGCGGAGATTACGGTGAGCCGAGATAGCGCCACTGCACTCCAGCCTGGGTGAAAGAGCGAGACTCCGTCTCAAAAAAAAAAAAAAAAAAAAAAAAAAAAAGAAGAAGAAAGGGATAGTTAGAAAGAGAAGATGAGAAGCTATGTTAAGAAAAATGGAGACTTTATCCTAAGAGCAATGAATCAGGAAAGTAACTCGATCTGAGTGAATTTTAGTTGAGATCACTCAGTCTGCCACGTGCAAAATGGAATTTAACGGGGAAGGCGGGAGCAGAATGATCTCACAGGCAGCATTTACAGCCAGTCATCCCTGCAAGAACCAGGAAAATGACAGTGAGTATGTGTATTAGATTCCTAGGGCTGCCATAACTAGGTATTCAAAGTTGGTGGCTTCAAACAACAGAAATAGATTCTCTTATAGCTTTGGAGTCTAGGATTCCAAGTCAAGGTTTTGCCGGGTTTGAGCTCTCTCTGAATGCTTTAGGGAAGGATCCTTCCTCACTTCTTGCTAGTTTTTCATGATTGCAGCAATCTCCACCTTCTTCCTGTATGTCTTTTTCTCTGTGTCCAAATTCCCGCCACCCCCCCTTTTTTTTTTTTAAATAAGAATACCAGTCATTGAATTAGGGTCAACCCTACTCCAGTCTGATTTTAACTTGATTGCGTACGTAAAGACCCTTTTTCCAAATAAGGTCACATTCATAGGTACTGGGGTTTAGGACCTAAACTTATCTTTTTAGTGGGGCAAAATTCAACCTACAAAAGGCTGGCATTAAATAAGTAAACTCAGGAGATTATTACTAATTTACTGATTCACTGGGAATGGTGAAGGATATGGAAGAATAAAAGATATTATCCAAAAAGCAGACATGGGAAAATAGTAGGTGAAATATGAATAGTAGGTGAATAATGGTTCAATTCACTTTTAAGTGGGAGAAGTAACGTGGGAGAAGTCCAGATTTCATGGAACAGATGACATGGAGTTTTAAACCTGCTGCTGGAGACACCATCTTTTGAAGCTTTGAAAGCCTTGAGGAACAGCTGTCGGGGTAGAATTTGAGAACTGGGGATTGGATTTCTAGATGGTAGAGCTTCCACAGTAAACACTAAGAAGCAAAACTTGAGATGAGGCGGAGGTGAATGTTTCAGTAGGTTTGAAAAAGCATGAAATTTGGAATCATAAGCCTTACGTTCTGAATGTTTAGAAATTACATGTGAGGCCTGGCACAGAGGGCTCATGCCTGTAATCCTAGCACTTTGGGAGGCCAAGGCGGGTGGATCACAAGGTCAAGAGATTGAGACCATCCTGGCCAACATGGTGAAACCCCATCTCTACTAAAAATACGAAAAATTAGCCAAGTATGGTGGTGGGCCCCTGTAATTCCAGCTACTCGAGAGGCTGAGGCAGGAGAATCGCTTGAACCTGGGAGGCGGAGGTTGCAGTGAGCCGAGATCGTGCCACTACACCCCAGCCTGGTGACAGAGAGACTCCATCTCAAAAAAAAAAAAAGAAAAGAAAAAGAAATTACACATGAAAGAGCCTCATCTTCTATATGTCCCTCTAGATCAAACTTGCCCAACTTGCAGCCATGAGGCCCAGGACAGCTTTCAATGTGGTCCAACACAAATTTATAGACTTTCTTAAAACATTATGAGATTTTTTTGCAATTTTTTTAGCTCGTGAGCGATCATTAGTGTTAGTGTAATTTATGTGTGGCCCAAAACAATTCTTCTTCCAATGTGGCCCAGGTAAGCCAAAAGATTGGACGTCCCTGTTCTAGATGAATGTAATGATGCTCATTATAATATTTAGGTAATATTTTAGTTTATAGAATATTACTACATGCATTAAATGATTTGGACCTTACAATAACCCTAAGATGAGATGAAGTAACTTGTCCTAAGTCCCATAGCGAACAAGGGGCAAACATAGCAGGGAAGCCCAGGTCTCTGGTTCCAAGGCTACTGCTCATTTCATGGCACCTCACTGCCTCTAAGAGGTTCCTTGATTGGAACTCCTCATTACTATGCTTGCTTTCTTGGCAACAGCCAGTCACACAGTGCCTTTTAGATTTCTCATACATATCAGCGTGGAGGAACCCATTTTCCTCAGCTCAAAAGACCACCCTCCTTAAAAAGTAGACACTCCCCAAAATATATGGATTTAAATCCTCTTCAACATGGTGTAATATTATTTTTCCAGAGAAAAAGAGCAATGTATCTTTGAAAGCAACTAAAGGTCCCCTAGATTATAAAGAGCCAGATGAAAAGCAGAAAATGACTGCAAAAAAGCACTAAACAAATTTTTGAACCTAAAAATAAAATTCCAAATATTGCTTTTAAAATTCTGATCAAAATAAAATAAATTAGAATCACAGATTTTTCTACAAGTATTTAAGAGGCCAAGGGCAGTCTCACATTTATATCATAACATATAAATATTATTATAACAATAAACAGGACCTTTGGGAGTTATTTAATACATTTTCCTTTCTCAAGAATAGTTGTATCTAATTCAGTGCTTCTCGAAGTTTACTCCATAGATGTTAATAAACATTATTTGTTTTAAAAGAATGGGCGATGGTGGGAAACCTTAGATGAAGTTAAATAGATTTACTTTTTGCAGGACTTTTCAGGGCCTTTGATATGCTAACATGTTTATTGAATCCCTAAGGAGAGGGATGGCATGAATGGATATTTGCTAAACTTATTTGATCGTAAAACCCTTTTATCGCATAAGAGCATGAAGACTAGCATATCATAAAATATACTTTAGGAAACAATCATTTAAGTAATCAAAAGGATAAATTTTTACCTAATTTTAAAAATCAGAATCCGAGATTTCTGTGTTTCTTTCCATGTCTTATTTCTATATTTAACTTTAATATCAACCACATTCTCCTTTAATATGGGACTCAAGTTTTAGCTCCTGCAATGCAAATCATATGCAGCCAGTAAGTATTTATTGAGAGCTTACTATGTGTTGGACTGCTCTAGGTACCAGCCTCTGAAGATAGATAAGACAGCAAATATATTCTCAAAGTAATATGTCTTTTCTAAAAGTGAAGTCTTTCGCTCCCTCATTCTTCTGAAGTCTACATTCAAGAACTGCAATTCTTCTTGCTTCTTGCATAATTGATCTGAACCCCCTTTTTAATGCACTTTCCAAGGGGCAGAGATCAGAGGGTCTGTCAGATCAAAGTTCTCATTTTGTAAATGGAAGAGTGAAACACGAAGGGAGAAATAACTGGTTCAAAATTACAGAAGAGTTAAAGATGGAGGTGAGATCAAACTCAAGATCAGTGGATCAGTGTGAGCAGAAGCTCATGCCTGTAATCTTAGCTGCTAGGGAGGCTGAGGAGGGAGGATCATTTGAGACCAGGAGTTCGAGACCAGCCTGGGCAACATAACGAGACCGCCATATCAAAATAACTAACTACCTCAATGTTTTTTGTTTTGATTTGCTTTGTTTTGTTTTTTGAGACAGAGTCTTGCTCTGTTGCCCAGGCTGGGGTACCGTAGCATGATCTCGGCTCACTGCAACCTCTGCCTCCCGGGTTCAAGGGATTCTCATGCCTCAGCCTCCCAAGTAGCTGGGATTACAGGTGTGTAACACCATGCCTGGCTAAGTTTTGCATTATTAGTAGAGATGGGTTTTCACCATGTTGGCCAGTCTAGTCTTGAACTCCTGGCCTCAAGTGATCCTCCTGCCTCAGCCTCCCAAAGTGCTGGGATTCCAGGCATAAGCCATTGTGCCTGGCTAACTAAATACTTTTTTTAAAGCAATCAGTCACCTTCTTTTGGCTATACCAACCAGTCTTTTTTCCTTTTGCTCAGTTCTCAAGTCCATAGGTTATAGCGTCTGCATACTTAGAACAATAGTGTGACCGATTCTTGATGAAATGCAAGGAACTGCTTGCAGTTCCAACATCCAAAACTTTTATCCACGGAAAGTGACTGAAATGGAGACAAGCATGGACTCAAATTCTATCTCTGTTATTAACCAGCAGTGAGAATAGGAAAAAGTTTTTAAAATGCTCCAGGCCTCAGTTTACCCATCTCTTTAAGAAGGGCAACAGTAACAACTACTACTACAACTACAATAAAATTACAGAATTGAAATGCCCAACTTGAAGGTTATCCTCAATAAATATTATTAAAACTGAAAATATATATCCGTAAGTTCATTTAACAAGTTCACTAGGCTTAATCTCATTCTCTATGACACCCATAATCTAAGGCAGTGTTGGCCATTACATACCCTGCATGCTGCTTCACTACCTTGCTCTCTTCAACAGAACCTTTCCCCAGGGCAAGAAAGAATGGGAGGTTCAAGCAACTCTCTGAGACAGGTGGTAAAAAGAGTGAAGACAAGACACAAATGAACATCTCAGTCAGGCACGTTCATCTGTAATCCCAGCACTTTGGGAGGCCAAGGCAGGTGATCGCTTGAGTCCAGGAGTTCAAGACCAGCCTGGACAACATGGCAAAACCCCCATCTCTACCAAAAATACAGAAAAATTAGCCAGGCATGCATGGTGGTGCATGCCTGTAGTCCCAGCTACTTGGGAGGCTTAGGTGGGAGAATCACTTGAGCCCATAAGGTCAAGACTGCAGACAGCAGTGATCTCACCACTGCACTCCAGCCTGGGGGACAGTGAGACCCTGTCTCAAGAAAAACAAAAACAAAATTAAACAAAACCAAAAATGTCCCAACAAGCTGTTGCATTACACATGCATCATATTGTTTCATTTTATAGCTGTATGTACATCTTATACATAAGCCTCTGAGAACAAGGAATTTGTTTTATTCTTTTTTGTATCATTCAGGCACATTACATGAAGCAGTTCTTAACACGGAGCCTCACACACATACACTAAGCACCTACTACCTGCAGGCTAGAAGGAATCAACGAGGAATGAATGGGTCCCCTGTCATTTGCACTCCTGAGGTTCTGGTCCATTTCTCCTTGTGTTCTCCTTAAGCTCATTTCTGAACCAGAGCTGCCCCCTGCCTTTGCATACCCATCTGCTTCCTTTATCTATTGGGGTAGTTTTGCTTTTCTCCCTGAATCAAACCACCAGTATTCAATCAAGACTTGTTACAACACAGTCCAGCCAAGGGATGCTCAGGCAAAGAATTACCTACAGCATCTTAGCAGATCCCAGCTAAATAAAGCACATCATACATTTGACATAAAAGCAAGATTGTGACTATATCTCACCTTAGAGCAAACAGCAGGGCTTTGAGACATGAAGAAGGGTGGGAAAAATTACTTACTCACTGCAGACCATTAGGCCAGAAACTAGAAAACGAGAGCGATCTGTTAGTGTGGGATTTGACACACCAGAAGTGCCTGCTGTCAATGAAACATCCATCTTCAGATCAAACTGGCAGTCTATGAGGAAGGCTGCCAAGCCCTGCCATCTGAGTTGAGTCTCATCACCGACACTTGGGTGCTGCTTTCTCTATGACAAAGTTTCCAATAAAAAAGCCTCAGGGACTTGGGCTCTGCAGACACGTGTCTGTAATTTCTCTTGACATCTTACAGAAAGTGGAGATAAGGCGTGGCCACTGTCAGTTGAACTGAAGCAGGTCAGTCCTTTAGAGAGATAGTTCAGGGGCAGTCTTCGGTGCTTACAGGCTGGCTGGCAGCACAGAAAGTCTCCTCTTCCTGGAATCTTGCCCTACCTCACTCCATCCTGCTGGGATCATTCACTTGCCCCATTTACACTTGGTCTGCACCAGACCATTACACATTTGTTTTAGATCCTTGGGTAGTTTCTATAGTTGTTCTATATCCATAGTTAAGACTCAGTAAATCCCACCTTAGCCATCAAGGCTTTTCCCATAGCTGCCTGAAGCCCTGGCCAAGGTAACCTCTCATTCACCTTGGAGGGATGGGATATTGAGCTTTAGAGTCGGGAGAACTTGAATTCAAAGTGTATGTCCAACACTAACCACATGATCCCAGACAACACTGAGCATCCCTTTTGTACCTATGGGGGACAATAATCACATCCAGATAAAATAATGTGTGATATAATGGAATGATTGGAAACAAGCCAAATGTCTCATAAGGGCTGGTTGTATAAATTACGGCATATGCATACCTTGTGGGGAGCTTCTGTATTTCTGATGTTTCCTTTGATATGGAGGGAGCTCCACTAGAGTAACCTCTATTCCTCTCTATCCCTTTTCTTACTCTTCCACAGAAAATCAGGGGTGACTTTTCTCATTGATGAGTTTGGGAACAATCAACTGGATGTGCTTAGCCAGTCTCTCCCTCCCATGTCTTAGGAATGAGATGCTTGCAGAGGTTCTTGTTCTCTACGGGAACCACACTTGCCTGTTCAGTGCTGCCTGGGGCTGGGGAGGGAATTCTCTCTAATTCTGGGGTTCAGTATCAGTCAGTCTACCAGTCTTCAGCTAATAGCTGCTGCACCTTCATCATCAGGAATGAAGGTGATATTCATTTCTCAAATAATTCAGAACTCAGGTAAGAAAAATGGTTGCTATTTGGAGGGTCCTCCCAAAGTCCCAACATAATACCATGAAATAATTTAAGTTTAAAATAATGTAATATATGTATGTTTATTGACATAGAAAGATAAAATGATGTTCATTATAAATTGATGGCATAAAGATAATAAAACAGAAAGAATGGTATAATTCTTTTAGTTTAAAATATATATACTTATGTATACGCAACATGTAACAACAGGAAAAAATCTGAAATGACAGCGTGAACTTTTAATAGCAAATATCTTGAGGCAGTAGAATGATGGGTGTTTTTTAATATTCTTCTTTTAGATCATGAGCATTTTAAAAGAATCTACAATAAAAGTATATTCCTGAAAATACCACAGTTATTTATTTGCTAAAAAATAAAAGACATTTTCAAAATTGTCAAAAACACAAATGTCTCCCAATTACCTCTTCAGGAGTTCATTGCTTGGATTGTTAGCTCAAGTAAGAAGTAATTATATATTTGTTGGGGACCATCTGGTGTCACTGGTTTTAAATGGACAAGTTTCTACAGGCTATAAATCCCTTTGAGTTTTAGAATACTAAGGATGAAAAAAAAAAGCTCCTTCAAAATTTGAATAATGCTGTATGCTCAGTATGTGTCAAATAAAAGGGAAAGGATACAGTGATTAATAAGCAAAGCACATAAAAATGTAGAATTGTCTCTCTAGACAGCACCTTAGAGTTGCCCTGGCCCTTCCCTCTGCTTTCACCGTGGCAGCTACTGATGGGTGGTAATGGCCTTTTTCTTTCCCAGTCCATAGCTCAGTTGCATCCTCTACTCCAAGAAGCCACTACATATTCATCAGCTTTGGCAGAACAAATGACACCTTTTGCCCATCTCTCCTCTATCTGAACCATCTGTTTCAGAGATGAGGAAACTGAGACATGTGACAGTGAAGTGGCTTTCAAAAAATCACATGGCTGATGACAGACTCTGATACCAAATCTTTAGTTCCATCCAAAACACTTTTACTGAGCCCCTAACATGAGTAGATCACTGACCTAGGCTTTGTGGAGCTGGTTAGGATAGGATAGGAGAATGTATTCACATGCCTTCAAGAAGTTTACGATCTACTCAGAGTTACTCTGATGCATAAAGGAAGATCATAAAACCACATATAATGCAAGAAATTGAGGTACAAGGAGAGATCAGAGAAAAAAGGACTAATCGTGATTGGAAAGATTGAGAAACCCAGTGGTCAATCTACTACGCTGGAAAAACTGTATACTACAAATATAAACCTAGCACATAATAGGTGCTCAATAAAGGCTGACTGAAAAAATTAGTAGATAAATATTAAAATATATATATAGTCTTCAAATAATTTATATATAAATCACTTATATACAATCAAACCATTTCATTCAAATTATATTGAGATTTTAATAATTTATATATGAGTATACATACATTTATATGTAATTTATATATAAAAATAAACTTAAAAAGATATACAGTCTTCAAATCATTTTACATAATGATGACAGTTACCATAATGTGTATCAGACCCTGCACTGTTTTACATATATGATCTTACTTGATTTCTTCCAATCTTATGAAGTAGTTTATGGGTAATAGAAAATAAAAAAACAATAACAGCTAAAATTTTATTTCATGGGCTAGGTAATCGTCTGAGTGGTTTGCACATATTATCTGACTTAATTCTTAGAACAGTCTCATGAATTAGGTCCTATTATCTTTTACAAATGAGAAAATGGAGGCAGAAAGGGACTGATTAGTGGACGCAGAGTCGCCCAGCTCCTAGGCAGAGCAGCTGAGAAAGAAACTGAGGCAAACACAGGCTGTCTGACCCCATAAATCACTGGGCGCATTATACTATACAGTCTGGGGGTGGACGTACACCCTGCACGGATGTAGAGGGGGCTCTAAGACTCAGGCACAGAGAAGCACAAGCAGGCCCACAGAGGTCAGCAGTAGGGAGACCACTCAGAGACCACTCATACCTAGGGAATGGTGGGTCCTCTGGATTGTGGTGTTTGACTTCAGACCAGCAAAAAACCTTTTGTGGCTGCCTCAAAGAATAGAGGAGAGGGTATAATTCAGATCATTTCTAGAAACTGTTTATGTAAAATGTCCTTATGATTCAGTGAACCTATGATATTTCCTTTAAAATTATCCATGAAGGGCAGAAGCAAATGTGCACCCCCTTTTCCAGCTGTACAGTGGGTCTGCTGGGGCTGAGGGCCCACTTGCTTAAGCTGAGCAGCTATGCCCCAAAGTGCCACTCAAGTCAGCTGTGGAAAGAATTGATTTGGAAGTCACCTATGGCAGCTGGAATCTCCTTCTGTCACGTCCAACCTGGCAGACTCCTACATGCTTTTCCAGGGCCAGTGGACAGTGTGAGCCTGGGACAGATAGCGGCACGATGGGCTTATTCCTGAAAGGGCCACAAGTGTGCTTTGGTGTTGGCCTCAGACGACTTCTGCAACTGCCAAACTACTAATCACATGTCTTTCCAATCAATGACCACATTGTCATTAAAAGCAAGACTACCAGGCATCACTGCTATTGCATTTACTTTGAAAATACAAGGCTGGCTGTGGAATGTTAAGGCAGGTAGACCATTGGGGGATGGGAAGCATTTCCTTAGATGGGGAACTGAAGGAAGGGAAGGTGTTCTGAGGAGAGGGGAAAGCAGAAATAAAAACTAGAAAAAGGAAAGGTACAAGATGTAATGAGGAGTTTCTGAGTAACCTGGTATATTAGTTTGATAGGACTCCCATAGCAAAGTACCGCAAAGTGGGTGGCTTAGAAATTTATTGTCTTGGCCATTTTCCTCCGGAAGTGCGGATCCCAGCGGCGGTCCTGTAGCTGAGCAGGCCTGTGGCTTGGTTCTATGTCCCTGTGGCTATGTTTCCAGTGTCCTCTGGGTGTTTCCAAGAGCGGCAAGAAACGAATAAATCTCTGTTTTAGGGAGGAGCCAAGATGGCCGAATAGGAACAGCTCCGGTCTACAGCTCCCAGCGTGAGCGACGCAGAAGACGGTGATTTCTGCATTTCCATCTGAGGTACCGGGTTCATCTCACTAGGGAGTGCCAGACAGTGGGCGCAGGCCAGTGTGTGTGCGCACCGTGCGCGAGCCGAAGCAGGGCGAGGCATTGCCTCACCTGGGAAGCGCAAGGGGTCAGGGAGTTCCCTTTCCGAGTCAAAGAAAGGGGTGACGGACGCACCTGGAAAATCGGGTCACTCCCACCCGAATATTGCGCTTTTCAGACCGGCTTAAGAAATGGCGCACCACGAGACTATATCCCACACCTGGCTCGGAGGGTCCTACGCCCACGGAATCTCGCTGATTGCTAGCACAGCAGTCTGAGATCAAACTGCAAGGCGGCAACGAGGCTGGGGGAGGGGCGCCCGCCATTGCCCAGGCTTGCTTAGGTAAACAAAGCAGCCCGGAAGCTCGAACTGGGTGGAGCCCACCACAGCTCAAGGAGGCCTGCCTGCCTCTGTAGGCTCCACCTCTGGGGGCAGGGCACAGACAAACAAAAAGACAGCAGTAACCTCTGCAGACTTAACTGTCCCTGTCTGACAGCTTTGAAGAGAGCAGTGGTTCTCCCAGCACGCAGCTGGAGATCTGAGAACGGGCAGACTGCCTCCTCAAGTGGGTCCCTGACTCCTGACCCCCGAGCAGCCTAACTGGGAGGCACCCCCCAGCAGGGGCACACTGACACCTCACACGGCAGGATATTCCAACAGACCTGCAGCTGAGGGTCCTGTCTGTTAGAAGGAAAACTAACAACCAGAAAGGACATCTACACCGAAAACCCATCTGTACATCACCATCATCAAAGACCAAAAGTAGATAAAACCACAAAGATGGGGAAAAAACAGAACAGAAAAATTGGAAACTCTAAAACGCAGAGCGCCTCTCCTCCTCCAAAGGAACGCAGTTCCTCACCAGCAACAGAACAAAGCTGGATGGAGAATGATTTTGACGAGCTGAGAGAAGAAGGCTTCAGACGATCAAATTACTCTGAGCTACGGGAGGACATTCAAACCAAAGGCAAAGAAGTTGAAAACTTTGAAAAAAAATTAGAAGAATGTATAACTAGAATAACCAATACAGAGAAGTGCTTAAAGGAGCTGATGGAGCTGAAAACCAAGGCTCGAGAACTACGTGAAGAATGCAGAAGCCTCAGGAGCCGATGCGATCAACTGGAAGAAAGGGTATCAGCAATGGAAGATGAAATGAATGAAATGAAGTGAGAAGGGAAGTTTAGAGAAAAAAGAATAAAAAGAAATGAGCAAAGCCTCCAAGAAATATGGGACTATGTGAAAAGACCAAATCTACGTCTGATTGGTGTACCTGAAAGTGATGTGGAGAATGGAACCAAGTTGGAAAACACTCTGCAGGATATTATCCAGGAGAACTTCCCCAATCTAGCAAGGCAGGCCAACGTTCAGATTCAGGAAATACAGAGAACGCCACAAAGATATTCCTCGAGAAGAGCAACTCCAAGACACATAATTGTCAGATTCACCAAAGTTGAAATGAAGGAAAAAATGTTAAGGGCAGCCAGAGAGAAAGGACGGGTTACCCTCAAAGGAAAGCCCATCAGACTAACAGCGGATCTCTCGGCAGAAACCCTACAAGCCAGAAGAGAGTGGGGGCCAATATTCAACATTCTTAAAGAAAAGAATTTTCAACCCAGAATTTCATATCCAGCCAAACTAAGCTTCATAAGTGAAGGAGAAATAAAATACTTTATAGACAAGCAAATGTTGAGAGATTTTGTCACCACCAGGCCTGCCCTAAAAGAGCTCCTGCTGTAATCCCAGCACTTTGGGAGGCCGAGGCGGGTGGATCATGAGGTCAGGAGATCGAGACCATCCTGGCTAACAAGGTGAAACCCCGTCTCTACTAAAAATACAAAAAATTAGCCGGGCGCGGTGGCGGGCGCCTGTAGTCCCAGCTACTCGGGAGGCTGAGGCAGGAGAATGGCGTGAACCCGGGAAGCGGAGCTTGCAGTGAGCCGAGATTGCGCCACTGCAGTCCGCAATCCGGCCTGGGCGACAGAGCGAGACTCCGTCTCAAAAAAAAAAAAAAAAAAAAAAAAAAAAAAAAAAGAGCTCCTGAAGGAAGCGCTAAACATGGAAAGGAACAACCGGTACCAGCCGCTGCAAAATCATGCCAAAATGTAAAGACCATCGAGACTAGGAAGAAACTGCATCAACTAATGAGCAAAATCACCAGCTAACATCATAATGACAGGATCAAATTCACACATAACAATATTAACTTTAAATATAAATGGACTAAATTCTGCAATTAAAAGACACAGACTGGCAAGTTGGATAAAGAGTCAAGACCCATCAGTGCGCTGTATTCAGGAAACCCATCTCACGTGCAGAGACACACATAGGCTCAAAATAAAAGGATGGAGGAAGATCTACCAAGCAAATGGAAAACAAAAAAAGGCAGGGGTTGCAATCCTAGTCTCTGATAAAACAGACTTTAAACCAACAAAGATCAAAAGAGACAAAGAAGGCCATTACATAATGGTAAAGGGATCAATTCAACAAGAGGAGCTAACTATCCTAAATATTTATGCACCCAATACAGGAGCACCCAGATTCATAAAGCAAGTTCTCAGTGACCTACAAAGAGACTTAGACTCCCACACATTAATAATGGGAGACTTTAACACCCCACTGTCAACATTAGACAGATCAACGAGACAGAAAGTCAACAAGGATACCCAGGAATTGAACTCAGCTCTGCACCAAGCAGACCTAATAGACATCTACAGAACTCTCCACCCCAAATCAACAGAATATACATTTTTTTCAGCACCACACCACACCTATTCCAAAATTGACCACATAGTTGGAAGTAAAGCTCTCCTCAGCAAATGTAAAAGAACAGAAATTATAACAAACTATCTCTCAGACCACAGTGCAATCAAACTAGAACTCAGGATTAAGAATCTCACTCAAAGCCGCTCAACTACATGGAAACTGAACAACCTGCTCCTGAATGACTACTGGGTACATAACGAAATGAAGGCAGAAATAAAGATGTTCTTTGAAACCAACGAGAACAAAGACACCACATACCAGAATCTCTGGGATGCATTCAAAGCAGTGTGTAGAGGGAAATTTATAGCACTAAATGCCTACAAGAGAAAGCAGGAAAGATCCACAATTGACACCCTAACATCACAATTAAAAGAACTAGAAAAGCAAGAGCAAACACATTCAAAAGCTAGCAGAAGGCAAGAAATAACTAAAATCAGAGCAGAACTGAAGGAAATAGAGACACAAAAAACCCTTCAAAAAATCAATGAATCCAGGAGCTGGTTTTTTGAAAGGATCAACAAAATTGATAGACCGCTAGCAAGACTAATAAAGAAAAAAAGAGAGAAGAATCAAATAGACACAATAAAAAATGATAAAGGGGATATCACCACCGATCCCACAGAAATACAAACTACCATCAGAGAATACTACAAACACCTCTACGCAAATAAACTAGAAAATCTAGAAGAAATGGATAAATTCCTCGACACATACACTCTCCCAAGACTAAACCAGGAAGAAGTTGAATCTCTGAATCGACCAATAACAGGCTCTGAAATTGTGGCAATAATCAATAGTTTACCAACCAAAAAGAGTCCAGGACCAGATGGATTCACAGCCGAATTCTACCAGAGGTACAAGGAGGAACTGGTACCATTCCTTCTGAAACTATTCCAATCAATAGAAAAAGAGGGAATCCTCCCTAACTCATTTAATGAGGCCAGCATCATTCTGATACCAAAGCCGGGCAGAGACACAACCAAAAAAGAGAATTTTAGACCAATATCCTTGATGAACATTGATGCAAAAATCCTCAATAAAATACTGGCAAACCGAATCCAGCAGCACATCAAAAAGCTTATCCACCATGATCAAGTGGGCTTCATCCCTGGGATGCAAGGCTGGTTCAATATACGCAAATCAATAAATGTAATCCAGCATATAAACAGAGCCAAAGACAAAAACCACATGATTATCTCAATAGATGCAGAAAAAGCCTTTGACAAAATTCAACAACCCTTCATGCTAAAAACTCTCAATAAATTAGGTATTGATGGGATGTATTTCAAAATAATAAGAGCTATCTATGACAAACCCACAGCCAATATCATACTGAATGGGCAAAAACTGGAAGCATTCCCTTTGAAAACCGGCACAAGACAGGGATGCCCTCTCTCACCGCTCCTATTCAACATAGTGTTGGAAGTTCTGGCCAGGGCAATCAGGCAGGAGAAGGAAATAAAGGGTATTCAATTAGGAAAAGAGGAAGTCAAATTGTCCCTGTTTGCAGACGACATGATTGTTTATCTAGAAAACCCCATCGTCTCAGCCCAAAATCTCCTTAAGCTGATAAGCAACTTCAGCAAAGTCTCAGGATACAAAATCAATGTACAAAAATCACAAGCATTCTTATACACCAACAACAGACAAACAGAGAGCCAAATCATGGGTGAACTCCCATTCACAATTGCTTCAAAGAGAATAAAATACCTAGGAATCCAACTTACAAGGGATGTGAAGGACCTCTTCAAGGAGAACTACAAACCACTGCTCAAGGAAATAAAAGAGGAGACAAATAAATGGAAGAACATTCCATGCTCATGGGTAGGAAGAATCAATATCGTGAAAATGGCCATACTGCCCAAGGTAATTTACAGATTCAATGCCATCCCCATCAAGCTACCAATGACTTTCTTCACAGAATTGGAAAAAACTACTTTAAAGTTCATATGGAACCAAAAAAGAGCCCGCATTGCCAAGTCAATCCTAAGCCAAAAGAACAAACCTGGAGGCATCACACTACCTGACTTCAAACTATACTACAAGGCTACAGTAACCAAAACAGCATGGTACTGGTACAAAAACAGAGATATAGATCAATGGAACAGAACAGAGCCCTCAGAAATAATGCCGCATATCTACAACTATCTGATCTTTGACAAACCTGAGAAAAACAAGCAATGGGGAAAGGATTCCCTATTTAATAAATGGTGCTGGGAAAACTGGCTAGCCATATGTAGAAAGCTGAAACTGGATCCCTTCCTTACACCTTATACAAAAATCAATTCAAGATGGATTAAAGATTTAAACGTTAAACCTAAAACCATAAAAACCCTAGAAGAAAACCTAGGCATTACCATTCAGGACATAGGCGTGGGCAAGGACTTCATGTCCAAAACACCAAAAGCAATGGCAACAAAAGACAAAATTGACAAATGGGATCTAATTAAACTAAAGAGCTTCTGCACAGCAAAAGAAACTACCATCAGAGTGAACAGGCAACCTACAACATGGGAGAAAATTTTTGCAACCTACTCATCTGACAAAGGGCTAATATCCAGAATCTACAATGAACTCAAACAAATTTACAAGAAAAAAACAAACAACCCCATCAAAAAGTGGGCGAAGGACATGAACAGACAGTTCTCAAAAGAAGACATTTATGCAGCCAAAAAACACATGAAGAAATGCTCATCATCACTGGCCATCAGAGAAATGCAAATCAAAACCACTATGAGATATCATCTCACACCAGTTAGAATGGCAATCATTAAAAAGTCAGGAAACAACAGGTGCTGGAGAGGATGCGGAGAAATAGGAACACTTTTACACTGTTGGTGGGACTGTAAACTAGTTCAACCATTGTGGAAGTCAGTGTGGCGATTCCTCAGGGATCTAGAACTAGAAATACCATTTGACCCAGCCATCCCATTACTGGGTATATACCCAAATGAGTATAAATCATGCTGCTATAAAGACACATGCACACGTATGTTTATTGCGGCACTATTCACAATAGCAAAGACTTGGAACCAACCCAAATGTCCAACAATGATAGACTGGATTAAGAAAATGTGGCACATATACACCATGGAATACTATGCAGCCATAAAAAATGATGAGTTCATATCCTTTGTAGGGACATGGATGAAATTGGAAACCATCATTCTCAGTAAACTATCGCAAGAACAAAAAACCAAACACCGCATATTCTCACTCATAGGTGGGAATTGAACAATGAGATCACATGGACACAGGAAGGGGAATATCACACTCTGGGGACTGTGGTGGGGTCGGGGGAGGGGGGAGGGATAGCATTGGGAGATATACCTAATGCTAGATGACACATTAGTGGGTGCAGCGCACCAGCATGGCACATGTATACATATGTAACTAACCTGCACAATGTGCACATGTACCCTAAAACTTAGAGTATAATAAAAAAAAAAAAAAAAAAAAGAAATTTATTGTCTTATAGTTGTGGAGGCTAGAAGTTCAAGATCAAGGTGTGGGCAAGATTGGTTCTTTCTGAGAGCTATGAAGAAGAATCTCGTTGATGCCTCCCCCTAGCTTCTTGTGGTTTGCTGGCAATTTTGGGCATTCATTGGCTTGCAGATGCATCACGTAATTTCTGCCTTCATCTTCACATGGCATTCTCGCTGTCTGCATGTCTGACTCCAAATTTCCCTTTTCTATGAGGACACCAGTAATACTGGATTAGAGGTTCACTCCTCTGGTATGACCTCATCTTAATTATGTCTGCAATGACCCTATTTCCAAATAAGATCACATTCTGAGGTATTGGGGCTTAGGAATTCAGCATATGTATTTTGGGGAGCACAGTTCAGCATGTGACATTTGGCGTGGCTGGAGAATTGAAAATAAGAGTTTTTGTTTGTTTGTTTTGTTGAGACAGAGTCTCACTCTGTCACCCAGGCTGGAGTGCAGAGGCACGATCTCAGCTCACTGCAAGCTCCACCTCCCAGGTTCATGCCATTCTCCTGCCTCAGCCTCCTGAGCAGCTGGGACTACAGGCGCCCACCACCACGCCCAGCTAATTTTTTGTATTTTTAATAGAGACAGGGTTTCACCATGTTAGCCAGGATGGTCTCGATCTCCTGACCTCGTGATCCACCCGCCTCCGCCTCCCAAAGTGCTGGGATTACAGGCGTGAGCCACCACACCTGGCGAAAATAAGACTTAAAAGAACAGAGTAGGCTGGGCACTGTGGCTCATATCTATAATCCCAGCACTTTGGGAGGCTGACACAGGCAGATCACGAGGTCAGGAGATCGAGGCAAACAGATCACCTGAGGCCAGGAGTTCAAGACCAGCCTGGCCAACATGGCAAAACCCCATCTCTACTAAAAATACAAAAATTAGCTGGGTGTGGTGGCACATGCCTGTAATCCCAGCTATTCGGGAGGCTGAGGCACAAAAATCACTTGAACCTGGGAGGCGGAGGTTGCAGTGAGCCAAGACCGTGCCACTGCACTCCAGCCTGGGTGACAGAGCAAGACTCAGCCTCAAAATAATAATAATGATAATATAATAATAGAGTAGTAAAAACACCATGGTAAAAACATGTGGTGTTTGGTCTTCTGTTCCTGTGTTAGTTTGCTGATGTTAATGACTTCCAACTCCATGTCCCTGCAAAGGACATGATCTCATTCCTTTTCATGGCTGCATAGTATTCCATGGTGTATATGCACCACATTTTCTTTATCTGATTTATCATTGATGAACATTTAGGTTGATTCCATGTCTTTGCTATTGTGAATAGCGCTGCAATGAACATAGGCATGCATGTATCTTTATAACACAACGATTTATATTCCTTTGGGTATATACCCAGTAATGAGATTCACAGTAGTTAACTTTAAAGGGAAAGATTATGAGGTCTACTTTATAAAATATCTGTTATTTTAATTTTACTAATAAGCATGTAGTACTATTGGAGATCTCCTGAAAAAGTGCCCCTCTTCTTTACCTGAGACCTAAACCAATGGTGAAATATGACAAAATAGTAATGCAAACAGAGCTCTAAATGACAAAATGAAGTCCTATTAGAGAACATTCACAGGCAAGTGGCTTCCAGCTTCCCCCACCCTGCAACCTGGGACACAGCCTTGAAGGTGTGGGAGGGACTGAGACAAGGATGCATCTTTCTTCTTTGACACGCCTCACTCAAACTGAGTCATTTCTCCACCTTAAAAGCACAGACAGAAAAAATGAGATAATGGGCAGAGTAAGATCAGAGTAATATTAGACATGAGGTCAGATGGGAATGAAGTGTTTTCCCTGCCCACAGTTACTTATTTATGCTCTGAGCTATCAAAGATGTCCATGTCCTAATCCCTGGACCCTGTGAATATTTTCTTATATGGCAGAGCCACTTTGCAGATGTAATGAAATTAAGGCTCTTGAGATGAGGAGGTTGTCCTGGATTATCTGGGTGGGCCATAAATGTTATCACAAGTGTCCTCATAAGAGAGACTCAGAGAGGTTGACTACAGAACAGGAAAAGATGATGGGACAATGGAAGTCATGGGAGAGATGGAGAGAGATTTGAAGATGCTATGCTGCTGGCTTTGAAGATGCAGGAAGGGGCCATGAGCCAAGGAATGCAGGCAGCCTCTAGAAGCTGAAAAAGGCAAGGAAACAAATTCTTCCCTCAAAGGCTCCAGAAGGAACAAGCCCTGCCAGCATCTTGACTTTTGTCCAGTGAAACTGATTTCAGACTTCTGACTTCCAGCACTGGAAGGCGATACATTTGTGCTGTGTTAAGCCACCCAAGTTTGTGTTAATGTGTTACAGCAGTAACAGGAAACTAATATATAATCCTAAATATTCAATAATATGTTTGCATCTTTACTCAAAATATGTAGAGGGTTCTGCTAACTATAATTAGTACAAAATATAATCCACATCTTTTTTCTTCTTTACAATTATACAATATACTAAACTCTGCTTAAGACAATGATCTACTTTTCTCTCAAATGCGGTGAAATCTAATTTACCTGGTAATGTGGCTAATGGGAAAAGCATATCCATAAATTGTCCAAATATTGAAATATCCTTTTAAAGTGCCAACACTTGAACATTTGATCATTTTTAAATTTTTCTTAAAAGAATCAAATATTTCCTTATTCTTTTATTAAATAGGCCATTCTGAACACATTTGAGCTTTGTTTTTTTTTTTTTTTGCAATTAAGAGTCATAAATGTGACTATATAAAATAGGACCTGTGTATTCAAATGTCCTTAACATATTTAGATGTGATATACCGCTGTAGACTTCTATTTCAAAGTACTCCAAAACTTCTATGGTATCTGAATTCTTTGGTTAGATTATTCTAATTTTTCTGCCTCCTTCTTTACTCTCTGGTATAAGAGAGCAAAGCTTCTTACCCTCACAGAGTGGTATACCTCTGTGTCCCTGCTTTTACGACTGCTTTTAGCAAGCTCTAGCTTTTCTTAATTGCTGCTTCTAATGTATAACTAAATAGGAAATTAGAAAAGAAAGCTTGTAACAATAGTTTCTGAAATAAATAAGAGCTAAGCTTTCTAAGAGGCTTTCTTGAGAGTAAACTATATATCTGGCCGTACAAAGCCCCCATCAGTGAATTACCAGTATCTGAAGTGATCTGTTTTTCTGTCTGTCAGGCAATGAGCTTTCTGAAGGCAAGCACTGTATTTACTATGAAAATTTAGAAGACCAATAATTTACTGTTCACCTACTATGTGCCAGGCGTCACCACTCCTTCCCTCTGCAGGGCTATGGCACGTAGCATACATTCAGCAGAGTACATGGCAATATTTCACAATTCCAATGTTTGTAAAATGCAGAACTTAAATCATGCTTGTCACTGCATGCATCTCCCTCAAACGATACAATAAAAGGGCAGGGCATTCACCGCTGATTCCCAGGAACAGAAACCACTAACAAATGTATCTCGTTAGTCTGCTGTCAGGAGCAAGATTTTTATCAGGAATGTTATATTTCTGAAGACACCAGAATAATTTCCTCCTAATAAATTTCCATCTTATTCAGAAAAGCTGAGATTCTGCCAGGAGCTCAGAGCCTCCTGGGGGTAGGGCTCCGGCAGCTTTGTACTGCCGGATTAGATGTGTGTGCACGTCTGCGAAAGGCTGGGATGAACCCAGCACACGAAAACACATTGGGGCATTTAAAGCAAGAGCACAGTGGCACTCGTAGCCTGGGTATAGGTTCCAAGTACCCTTTTAAAAGGACCTAAAATATGATTTAATGGACTTGCTTCCCCTCCCAGTAGAGGAGGAAGTGGGTTTGCCTGCCTATTCATTCTTGCAAAGAGGAAAGTAAATATATTCCTATATTCATTTTAGACTTGATTCATGGAAGTTTGAAACACTGTTAATGCTGCATGGTTTGTATTTTTGGTTTTGTTATCTCCAGTTTGAGGTTTTCTTATACATGCTCCATTTGCACGAGCACTCATTCCAAATATGTCAAGAAAACACACCCAAGAAGAGAATTTCTGAAGGCCCTAATGGATTAATTCCTGCAAAGGATATAAGATACATTTAACTGTTTAAACATGGATGGCATTTTTAAAAACCAGATAAGAAAAAACTCAGTCTTTCTCTTCTTTCCTTTGCTTACAGCTTCTCCTCAATTCTTTAATAAACAGAAGAAGAGTCTTGGGATCCTTTTCCTCCTTTTATTGAGTAATGTTCTACTTTTTACTGATCCCAAACTATATTTAAACTCCAAATTCTTTTCTCCTCCCCCAAGAGATTACCAAGCATGCTATTCCAAACAATAGCTAATGAAATGAAGAGGAATAGCATGGCTTAAAAAAAAAAAAAAAAAAAAAAGAAATGTCATTCTAGCCTGCAAACTAATTTCATTTGTGATTTAGCCTGGCACCTTTCCCCCTAGAACTTCCCTGGGGAAAGGATGAATGGCCATCTCAACATTGCATAAAAATTAGTATCAGGCTACAAATTATTGGACCTTATTAGAGATTTCTTTTAAGTAAATTAAGGTTATAGATCACAATCTTCCAAGAGGCTTGAATGTTTTGAATTCTCCAAACTCAGAGAATATTTAAAATTTCCTGAAATCTAATAGTAAATATAATTAGAAGACAGGACCTGGTTGTTACAAACCCAGCTCCTTTTTTGTGGCACTCACATTAAAAAAAAAATAAAAATGAGATGATGGATCTTATAATTAAAAGATATTTGGCAAATAAAATTGATCACATGGTTAGCAAATCGTACATTAGGAGTGTACCACCAATTCTCTAATCTGTCAGATCACCAGGAAATTTAAAAGATGCTATTGCTTGTGTGCATGTGTGTACACATACTCACATTTGTGTGTGTGTATACTTGGATTTGTGTTTGTGCCTGTGTATTTCAAGCCACACAAGGGCTGTTCATATTTCCTCCACCCAGACACATCTATGTTTATGTTCTATGTCTTTGTTTCTTCAGTCATCAGTTTTAAGCTAAATTTTATTGCGTTTTCTGCATCTTTCAAGTAGCAAGCTGATATTAAACTCCAATGTTCACATAATATTGAGGAAATCTACACATTACTGCCAAGCACAGTGACTACACATTTCACATTTCATGTTAATTTTACAAAAATGTTAGCCATGTCTAGGTGGAAATGCTATTCTTTCAGGGGAAGTGCCTACCTTACAGATAGGTTCCCATACATTCGCAATGACTTCCTTCCAAAATCATCTTTATCTCATTCCCCTACATCCTAGATGTCTTAGTCCATTTGTACTACTATAAAGAAATACCAGAGGCTGGGTAATTTATAAAGAAAAAAAGGTTTATTTGGCTCATGATTCTGCTGGTGGGAAGATTGGGCATCTGGTGAAAGCTTCAGGCTGCCTCCACTTGTGGCAGAAGGTGAAAGGGAGTCGGTGTATGCAGAGATCACATGACAGGAAAGGAGGCAACAGAGGGTGAGAGGAAAGGTGCCAGGCTCTTTTTAAGCACCAGTTCTTGTGGAAACTAATAGTGAGTGAGCAAAAATAATGAGTGAGCAAGAACTCATTCACTGCTATGAGGAGCACCATGTCATTCATAAGGGATCTTCCCTACGATCCAAACACTTCCCATTAGGCCCCACCTCCAACACTGGGGGGTCAAACTTCAACATGGGGTGTGGGGAGATGAACATCCAAACTATAGCATTCCAGTCCTGGTCCTCCAAAACTCATGTTCTTCTGAGAGTAGAAAATACAATCATCTCTCTCAGTCATTTTCAAAAGTCTTAACTTTTCCAGCATCAACTCAAAAGTCCGAAGTTGAAAGTTTCATCTAAGACTCAAGGCAAGTTTCTTGCAGCTATGAATCCGTAAAAAACTTACAAACAAGTAAAAAAAACCAAGTTATTTACTTCCAAGATACAATGGTGGTACGGGTGTTAGGTAAACATTTCCATTCCAAAAGGGAGAAGACTTCTAGAATGACTTCACAGTCTTTTTCACATTGTTTTCACTATTAGCACCTGACTCCCTTTTGGTCACACTAATCTCTCTAGCAAGTGGTTGCTCCATATCACACATGGATTTCTCTTTTGAAAATGCTCTTTCCTTTCCTATCATATGGCAATGCTACAAATTTTCCAAATTTTTACACTCTGCTTTTTTAAAACTATAACTTAGGTAATTTCTTCACTGCCATTATCTTATTGTAAGCTATCAAAAGTAGGCATGCCACTTCTTGAGTGCCTTGCTACTTAGAAATTACTCCCACCAGATATCCTAGGTCATCACTCTTAAGTTTGGGTTTCCACAAATTTTTATGGCGTGGACATAATGCACCCAAGTTCTTTGCTTAAATGTAACAAGTGTGACTTTTGTTTCATTTCCGAATAAGTTCTTCATTTCCATCAGACTTCATCAGCATGGCCTTTACTGTCTATATATCTACTTGCGTTTGGGTCACAACTACTTAACCAATCTCTAAGTAGTTCCAAACTTTTCCTAATCTACCTGTCTTTTTCCTGAGCCCTCTAAACTCTTCCAACTTCTGCCCATTAGCCAGTTCCAAAGCCACTTCCACATTTTCGTGTATCTCTATAGTAACACCCTAACCCTTGGTACTAATTTTCTTAGCCAATGACCCAAACACCTCCCATTAGGCCCCACATTCAAAATTGGTAGTTGAATTTCAGCATTAAGTTTGGGGGAATAAACATCAAACTGTAGAACTAGGGGATGGCCCACCCCCATTGTTCTCGAAGACTTATCATTGAGGAACCTCACCTTCTATATATAGTTCAAGTTTCGTGTAATAAGAGAAAGATGGTCTGCACAGCTGCTCACTCTTTGCAGTGATAGTTTTAAAGAAAGAAAAGGAAGAGGTGTATTAGGCCATTTGCATTGCTATAAAGGAATACCTGAAAGTGGGTAATTTACAAGGAAAAAAGGTTTGTTTGGCTCAGGATTCTGCAGGCTGTGTAGGAAGTATGGTGCCAGCATCTGCTTCTGGTGAGGCTCCAGGAAGATTTCCATCATGGTGGAAGGTGAAGGGGGAGCAGGGGAATCACATGATGAGAGATGAAGCAAGAGAGAAGAGGAGGTGCTGTATTCTTTCAAGCAACCAGATCTAGCATAAACTCAGAGTGAGAACTCACTCACTATCATGAGGACAGTACCAAGACATTCATGAAGGATCTACCCCTATGACTCAACCACCTCCTCACAGGCCCCACCTGCAACATTGAGGATCACATTTCAGCATGACATTTGGTGGGGACGCACATCCAAACTATACCAGGGGGTGAGTATGTTCAAGTTGCTCTAGCCCCGTCTCTGCTCCTTTCCTGCCACCACACCATTCTGAAGACTATACCTCACATACTGCTGCCCCAATCCTCCCTGACTAATGTTGGGGAAGAGCCCTGGCTGAGAGTATAAAGGCCTGAGTCCCACTCCCAGGTCTGACACTAACAGGCAAAAGTAAACTTCCTGGGATCTCTCTAATGGCTATGCATAATGCTTCGCTCTCTAAGTGTGCTACCTCATTTCATCCTCATGATGCCCTATGAAGTAGGCACTGGTATTAACTCTACTCCAGTTTATGAAACTGAAGCTCAGAAAAGTTAAGTGATTTGCCCAATAAGGGAAACAGGATTTTAACTTAAGCATTAGTACCCAGTGTTGCCGAGTTGAATGGGCCACCCACGACTCCCAGTTTCTTTGTCTGTTACACAAGTGGGCCAAATGGATTTCCACATTTCCTTCCAGCTCTTATATTTTAAAATATTTGCTCTTTCTCTAGTTTGTATGTCAAGTTTTAAAGAAGCCAAAAGTCTTGCCATCATGTTGGGGATATAACCTCATCCTGAGGCTCTGCAGTGGGATTCTCAGGGGTCATATATATATTCTCAAGAAGATTAACAAGAAGTTAACACAAATCCTAAATAAAAGGTAGTATAAAAAAGTATGCCCCATTTCCAACTGCAAAATATTTACAATGAGATTCAAATTTTTTAATTCTTAATTTATGACTGCCTGCTGAAAATACATACCATTTCTGTAAAGTGTTAATTTTCTAAAAGTTCTCCATTACAGAATTTTGTGCAGTATTAATTCATTTGGCTAAAAGAATGCCTTTTCTACATGCTTAGAAAAATAAAAATCTGGAAAGATATATATATATATATATATATATATATACACACACACACACACACACACACACACATATATGTATATATATTATATATATACATAGAAAGATAGAAAGAGCATATATATATATATAGCAAGCTCATGACATTATTGTTGGGTGGTTGGTGACTTAAAACCCTTTTTGTTGTTGGTGGTGCATCTGATTTTTCCATAAATGTACATGACTTTTGTAAAAAGAAGAATAAAGAACAATAAATTAAAAAATAAAAACGCCAAATTCCATTTTCCCCTGTCTAAAATTCCTACCATTTTAAATTGAGGAAGAAAACACAGGACAGAGGGTAAAGGATGGGGAAGAGATTTCCCTGAGACTGAATCCAAATTGCACAGACTTCCACTGTGCTTAATTGAGGAGGGTGGTGATGGACAGAGAGAGTCTTACGTCTCTCTGCAAGGAGTTTTCTCCAGAGGACTTTTTTTTTTTCTTTTTTTTTTTTTTTTTTTCCAGGGCAGCTGATGGCCTGAAAATGAGATTAGAGAGCCTGTACCTTCTTCTAATTATACACTACAGATCCACAATTCCTTCTTTGGAATTCCAAAATCCAAAATACTCAGAAAATTAAAAATTGGAAGCTTTCTTCAAGACTCATTTGGCTCCAAAACCTAACCTTTTACTGACAGCTTTTAGCCCACGTTGTGTGATAATTAATATAATTTTTGAAGAAGTAGTATGGCCGGATTACTGTATACAATGAGTTGCTTTCCTAAAATTTAAATAATCCTAAATTCCAAACTGCATCTGACCCTAGAATCTTGGCTGAGGGCCCAGGGACCTGAACCAAACTGAAGGTTTGGTTCCATTTAAACCTTACAAGGGGTCATGGCTTAATAGTGTACACAAGCGATATCTCTCTCAATTTTCCAGCTAAGGTTATTCCTCATGAAATATATCATGTTGGATTTTTCAAAGGAATGCAGAGTACAATCTTGGAAGGACAAGACTAAGAAGAGAACCTCATGGGGAAATGAAAATATTAAAACAAATAAAAAATAATTGCGAAATAAATAAATCACTTTTTCCTCTCTTTGCCTAGAAAATAGCCCTGTATTTCAAATTACAACTGCCCTTGAATGTTCTTTTTTTCTTTTCAACCCTATACATTTTAAAGCATGTTCTTATTTGATATATACGATCCTCTTATTGGCAATAGTTTTATGAATAGGATACACATATAAGATGACAGAGTTGAGCATATTTTTATAGATAGGTGCGCTAACCTTCATACACATTCCAGGTGATTACATTCCATAGGATGCCAGAAAGCATATCAAGAAGAGAAACTACTTTAGGCATCCTAACTTGGGCAAATGCATCTCTTCTATCAAAACATTTTTTTTTACCTTGCAACACAAAGATGGTAGATGAAGAAAGATGTTGGTGAGATTATTAATATAGGACAGGCTAGTTCAAGGAGAGGTAGGCACCTTGTAGTCAAAACTTTTAAAGAACCTGAGCTACCAAATTCTGGGGCATTTTGTCCTATCAGGTCACAAACTCATCAAAGCAATTTTCAGTCTCAGTTACAGACTCAGATAGGACTGGCCTTTTCTTCACCCTGATGGCTCGCACTGTTCACAGATCAGGACAGATCTCTGTGCAGTAAGTTAGATCCAGCTTCAGTTAACTTAAGTCAACCAAGGGGGCCATATCTTCAAAAAAAGATTCATGCATTGACTATTTCACAGAGCAAAATTTGGCAACGTAATTTCTTGAAAGTTAATTGCCTTGGTTTTTGTCTTCTATGTGAGTACCAAGCTCAGCAAAGAAAAAACAAGACAAAAATGACTTTTTAACTCAACCATGTGTCTACAGGTTTGTTAATGTCATCTCTTGATTCAGAATCTGTGAGCCGGAGCTTAGCTAAGATGCAAAGTACCAGTGCACAGCTCAAGGTTGTGCAAGGGAGAAACTGTGGAAGGAAATAACACGAGGGACAAGAAGAGACGACTGAGGCATCTTTGGAGAAAGGGAATCTAAGGAGAGAGGGCAACAGTAGGTACAATGCAGTCAGAAGGGCCCAGACAAATCCTGGCTCTGAGATGGGAAAGCTGTGTGTCCTGGAGCTGGTTATTCAAACAGTCTGAGCAGTTTCCTGGTATTCAAAATGAAGGCATTCAGAACTGTCCTGCTGACATGAGGATTAAATGAAATCACATATGTAAAGAGTTGAACAAAGTGCCAGGCATGTAAGAACTCACTAAATTGTACTTGTGCTAATATCCCAACTTACCCTCTCCACTCCCCCTACTTTCCTTGCACTGTAAATGAAATCAGAGTTTCAGGCTTACCTTTGTGAGTAAACAGAACTGTCTCTCCCCCATTCTTGCAGAAAGCCTCACAATTAAAAACTACAATAAAATGTTTACTCTTCATGTTTTATTTTAAACAGCCAACAAAAGTTTTTATCCACCTTTGCATTGCAGAAACCCTGCCGCTGATGGCAGGGAAGCAGACAAGAAGCTTTTAGCTGTCCCAGATTCTTGAGTTTTCTGCTGCTTGTTATAATTCTGCCTCACCCATAGCCTAAGTCCACATACTCTTGACTGCAAAGCCTACAGGGCAGAGACTGTTCCGGTTTTATTCATTTATTCATCAAAGATTTATTGAGTATCTTCTACATGCCAGGCACTGAACCATATTGCAGAGCAGCTCAGGCACACGCACACACACACACACACACACACACACACACACACACACACGACACAATGAGGAAAATATGCTAGAGGCTTATCAGGAAGCAGAAAGGAGAGGACATGTCCCCCTCAAGTGGACATGGGAGGGGCAGCAAGAAAGAAAGTTGCAGAATGGAGCTTCTTTATCACATGGCTTGGAGGGGCAAGACTTTCCCAAAGCACTTCCTCTCATTCAAGGAAACTTCCAACTATGCAACCTGTCATTTGCTGTCTTCCTATAATTTATCATTATTAGTACTCACCTCCCCTCTCCCCTGTTTTCATTCATTGCTGTATCTCTAGCATCTTTGAATACTGTCTGGAGCAGGTAACGGGCATACCCCATTTTATGGCACTTCACTTTATTGTACCTCCCAGATAGCATGCTGTTTAAACATTGAAGGTTGTGGCAACCCTACTTTAAGCAAGTCTATCAGTGCTATTTTTCTAACAGCATGGGCTCACTTTGTGTCTCTACATCACATTTTGATAATTCTCCCAATATTTCAAACTTTATTATTATTATTATTATATCTGCTACAGTGATCTGTGATCAGTGATCTTTGATGTCACTACTGTAATTAGTGAAGGCCATGAACTGCACCCATATAAGGCAGTGAACTTAACCAATAAATGTTGTGTGTTCTGACTGCTCCATTATTCAACCATTCTCCCTTTTCTCTCCTTCTCCTTAGGCCTCCATATTCCCTGAGACACAACAATATTGAAATTAGGCCAATTAATAACCTTACAATGGCCTGTAAGTGTTCAAGTGAAAGGAAGAGTCACACATCTCTCACTTTAAATCAAAAGCTAAAAATGATCAAGCTTAGTGAGGAAGGCAGATCAAAAGCTGAGATAAGCCAAAAGCTATGCCTTTTGTGCCAGTTATCCAAATCGTGAATGCAAAGGAATAGTTCTTGAAGGAAATTAAAAGTGCTACTCCAGTGAATAAGTAAATGATAAGACAGTGAAATAACCTTATTTCTGATACGGACGAAGTTTTAGTGATCTGGATAGAAGACCAAACCAGCCACATTTCCTTAAGCTAAAGCCTAGTCCAGAGAAAGGCTCTAAGAGTCTCTTTAATTCTATGAAGGCTGAGAGAGGTAAGGAAGCTACAGACAAAAAATTTGAAGCTAGCAGAATTTAGTTCATGAGGTTTAAGGAAAGAAGCTGTCTCTGTAACATAAAAGTGCAAGATGAAGAAGCAAGTGCTGATGGAAAACCTGAAGCAAGTTATCCAGAAAATTTAGTTAAAATCATTGATGAAGGTGGTTACACTAAACAACAGATTTTCAATATAAATAAAACAGCCTTCTACTGGCAGAAGATGTCATCTAGGACTTTCATAGCAAAAGAGAAGCCAATGCCTGGCTTCAAAGCTTCAAAGAATAGGCTGACTCTCTTCTTAGGGGCAAATGTAGCTAGTGACTTTAAATTGAAGCCAACACTCACTTATCATTCAAAAAATCTTAAGACCCTTAAGAATTATGCTAAATCTACTATGCTTGTGCTCTACAAATGGAAAAACAAAGCCTGGAAGACAGAACATCTGTTTACAGCATTATTGGCTGAATATTTCAAGCCTATATTTGAGACCTACTACTCAGAGAAAAAGATTTGTTTCCAAACATTACTACTCATTGACAATGCACCTGGTCACCCAAGAGCTTTGATGGAAACATACTAGGTTAATGCTGCTTTCACACCTGCTAACACAATATTAATTCTACAGCCCATGGATCAATAAGTAATCTCAACTTTCAAGTCTTATTATTTAAGAAATACATTTCATAAGGCTTTAGCTTCATAGATAGTGATTCCTCTGATGGATCTGGGCAAAGTAAATTGAAAGCCTTCTGAAAAGGATTCACCATTCTAGATACCATTAAGAAGATTTGTAATTCACGGACGAAGGTCAAAATATCAACATTGTATTAGTCCATTCTCATACTGCTATAAAGAACTACCTGAGACTGGATAGTTTATGAATAAAAGAGGTTTAATTGGCTCACAGTTCCACAGGCTGTAAGGAAGCATGACTGGGAGGCCTCAGGACATTTACAGTCATGGCAGAAGGCGAAGGGAAAACAATATGTCTTACCATGATGGCAGGAGACAGAGGGCAAGGAAGGAAGTGTAACCATTTAATGAGTTCGCCTTGCCTGCTGCATAGACAGAATTGATTTATCAAGATGGGGGAATTGCAATGGAGAAAGAGTAATTCACGCAGAGCCGGCTGTGTGGGAGACCAAAGTTTTACAATTACTCAAATCAGTCTCCTGGAGCATTCAGGGATCAGAGTTTTTAAAGATAATTTCGTGGGTAGGGGCTTGGAAAGTGGGGAGTGATGATTGATCAGGTTGGAGATGGAATCATGGAGGGGGCTCAAAGTTGGGTTTTCTTTTCTTTTTTTTTTTTGAGACAGAGTCCCGCTCTGTCGCCCAGGCTGGAGTGCAGTGGCACAATCTTGACTCACTGCAATCTCCACCTCCCAGGTTCAAGCAATTCTCCTGTCTCAGCCTCCCAAGTAGCTGGGATTACAGGTGCGCGCCATCATGCCAGGCTAATTTTTTGTATTGTTAGTAGAGATGAGGTTTCACCATGTTGGCCAGGCTGGTCTTGAGCTCCTGACCTCAAATGATTCATTCAACTCAGCCTCCCAAAGTGCTGGAATTACAGGCATGAGCCACAGCGCCCAGCCATAGAAATCTGGTTTTCTTAATGTCTTCTGTTTCTGGGTGCAATGGCAGAACTGATTGGGCCAGATTACCAGTCTGAGTGATGTCAGCTGATCCATCAAGTACAGGGTCTACAAAATATCTTAAGCACTGATCTTAGGTTTTACAACAGTGATGTTACACCCATGAGCAATTTGGGGAGGTTCAGACTCTTGGAGTCAGAGGCTGCATGACCCCTAAATTGTAATTTCTAATCTTGTAGCTAATTTGTTAGTCCTGCAAAGGCAGACTGGACCCCAGGGAAGAAGGGGGTCTTTTCGGGAAAGGGCTGTCATCAATTTTGTTTCAGAGTCAAACCATGAACAGAATTCCTTCCCAAAGTTAGTTCGGCCTATGCCCAGGAATAAACAAGGACAGCTTAAGGGTTAGAAGCAAGATAGAGTCAGTTAGTTCTGATTTCTCTTACTGTCATAATTTCCTCAGTTATTATTTTGCAAAATCAGTTTCAGAGGTGCTACACACTTTCAAACAATCAGATCTCATGAGAACTTTATCTATCAGGAGAACAACAAAGAAGTCTGCCCCCATGATCCAGTCACCTTCCGCCAGGCCCCTTCCCCGACATGTGGGGATTACAATTCAACATGAGATTTGGGTAGGCACACAGAGCCAAATCATATCAAACGTTAACAGAAGTTCAAAAGAAGTTGATTTCAACCCTCATGACTGACTTTGAGGGGTTCAAAACTTCAGTGCAGGAAGTACCTGCTGGTGTGGTTGAAACAGCAAGAGAATAGGAATTAGAAGTGGAGCCTGAAGATGTGCAATCTCATGATAAAACTTTAAAGAATGAGGAGTTGTTTCTTATGAATGAACAAAAACCATGGTTTCTTGAAATGGAATCTACTCCTGGTGAAGATGCTATGAACATTATTGAAATAAAAACAAAGGATTTAGAATATTATATAAACTGAGTTGATAAAGCAGTGGTAGGATTTGACAGGTTGACTCCAACTTTGAAAATCTTCTTCTGTGGGTAAAATGCTATCAAACAGCATTTCATGCTCCAGAGAAATTTTCCATGCAAGAAAAAGTTAACTGATGGGGGAAATTTTATTGTTATCTTATTTTAAGAAATTGCCACAAGCACCCCCAACTTTCAGCAGCCACCACCCTGATCAGTCAGCAGCCATCAACATGGAGGCAAGGCTCTCTACCAGCAAAACGATTATGATTTGCTGAAGGCTCAGGTGATATTGGCATTTTTAGCAATAAATTATTTTTAAATTAAGGTATGTACTTTTTTTAAGACATACTGCACATTAAATACAGTGCAAACATAACTTTTATAGGCGCCAAGAAACAAAAACTTTTGTGTGACTCACCTGTTGCAATGTTTGTTTTATTGCAGTGGTCTGGAAGTGAACCTGCAATATCTCTAAGGTATTCCCACAGATGCTTGTTATGGGCTGCCTTGCACCCCCCAAAATTCATGATGATATCCTAACCCCTAGTGTCTCAAAAGGTGATTATGTTTGGAGACAGGGTATCTAAAGTTAGTAAGTTAAGTTACTAAGTTAATATGAGGTCATAAAAGTGGGTCCTAATCCAATATAACTGGTGTTCTTATAAAAAGAGGAGATTAGG
The DNA here is from genome assembly GCF_000001405.40 of Homo sapiens. Lineage (NCBI taxonomy): Eukaryota > Metazoa > Chordata > Mammalia > Primates > Hominidae > Homo > Homo sapiens. The sequence goes on from NC_000004.12 coordinate 16,964,377, forward strand.
ACACAGACACAGAATGAAGACGATATAAAGACACAGGGAGAAGACAACAACCATCTGCAAGCCAGGGAGAGACGCCTCAGAAGAAACTATCCCCGTGGATACCTTGATCTTGGCCTTCTAACCTCTAGAACTGTGGTATTGAACTTGAGGTCATGGTTGCATCAAGGCAATTTCCCTATATGACATCTACCATGGTGTATCTGTCCAACTCTAAATCCCTTGTCATCATTATCCTGGGCTCTATCTTCATGGGTGCCTAGTAGAAAAATGTACCTTCCTGAAAGAAGGGACTCCGCCCTGCCAAAAATCACCCTTGATGGAATTTTTGGTCCCACACAAAGTCTAATTTTGGATCTGCATTTACCTGAAAGATATACAAACTGGAATCAATACTTAAGTCACAAGTATAAAGTATATTGAAAATTTTTCAGAATAATATGGGTCCTTTCTAATCTTTTTCCTGAGACTGGCTTTCTACTGCAAGGTGGTAGAATGAGAGCAATATAGAAGATAGCAGAGGGGTAATCGCAGAGCCTAAGGGAAGTTTTTTTTTAATGAACAAATGGATGAATGAGCAAGCAGCACACTGGGCAACCCAAAGTCTAGGGGAAAGCAATTGTAATTGCTGGGATGAGCCATGGAGGACTTCACGGAGAAGATGACAACAGAGCATGGTCTTCAAGAATGAACCAAATGAAGGGAGAAAGAATTCTTTTTCTGCAAGGCATAAGATTCCACCACTAACAAGCTCTCCCAGTAAGTGAGCTTCCCTGTCCAACCCACCATGGTTGTGTCCTGTTTCACGGCTCCCTTCCAGATGCCCCACGCCACAAAGAGAAGACTTGGCATCCAGCTTTATAGGAAAAGTGGGGTCCTCAGGTAAGCCATCCCTCAGCTCCTGCTGTAGTTTCCAACTTACCTGGTGCTATACTCAACTGTTCTTGACTCCACCACAGTGGGAAAAGTGTCTTTCTGCCCACAGTGAATTTCTTTCCTTATGTGCTGAAGTCAATCTCCTTGTCTTCTCCTCAAGGACCCCAAGGTGATGATAGCTAAGAGAAAGACCTCTTTCTCTTCTGTCTACAAGCTCTCCTGGCAAGTGCTTTAAGTTCCAGCCTTTGACTTCCAGTTAAGTGAAGACTACCTAAAAACCTATGTCTCCATGAACTCCTACCCCTGACACCCAGATCCATTGAACATCTATCTAGGTGTGTCATTGTTCTCCCTTTAAATCTGACTTTCCATGATCTTAGGGAATTATACCAACTTTGTTTTATTGCTATAGAGAAGAGTCTGACACTCATCTTTGACTCTTTCCTTAAACATCTAGTAGTCTTGAAATTTAGAGTCCTGACATCTGTTGGATCTGTCCCTTCTTCTATCTCAGGGATCTGCAAACTACAGCCCATGGGCCAAACCCAACTCACTACCTATTTTGGTAAATAAATGTTTGTTGGAACACAGCAAGCTCATTCACTGACATATCATCTTTGGCAGCTTTGGTGCCACTTGGGCAGAGTTTAATCATTGTGACTGAGATGGTAGGGCCCAGCAAGCTTAAAATATTTACTAACTGCCTGTATTTACTATTTTTTAATATATCTTTTACATTTACTTTAATGTTTCCTTTAATATTTACTCTAAATATATCTTTTATATTTACTACCCTTTTCCAGACAGTTTGCCAATTCCTTCTATCCATTTTCCCTGAGATATCCCTTATTTAAGTCCTTGACATTCTTACTCACCTCAGTCATTCATCCAAAGAATATTTATTAAACACCTATTATGTGCCCAGACACTGTTCTACAAGTGGAGTTTACACAGCAACGAACAAATATAAACAAGAAGCATGCACACCAGCACGTTCCTGCTTCAGCGAATGTGCACTTGAGGGGCCTCCTGCCTGAAACTCCCTTCTCCCACATGGCTCCATTTTCAGATCTCTGCTCTGTCATCTCACCAAGCAGCCTTCTCAGCCTAAGCTATCCAGCATGGCAGCCTCCAGCCTTACGGTTTCCTTACTTTTCTTATTAGTATTTCCACCACCTGCTGTATTGCACGTATGTGTTTCCTTCTCTTTGTTGCCATTAGAACAAAGCCACTGTTCGTTTTGCTGAATTTTTACCTCACCTCTGCCCACTCAGTCCAGCTTGCTGCCCACACTGCTTCCGGCCAGAATAAAGTGCAGTGGAGTAGGTATTAGCAGGGCTGAGAGGCCATCCTAGGACACAGTATAAAGGTCGTTATATGCTTAGCTAAGGAGTTTGCTTTTATAACTCTGGGAGGTGTCCACAAACAAAGCATACCTAAATTCACAGCTTTACCAAACAGCAAGAGCTCTGGGGACCAAGAGTAGGAAAATTTGAAGTCTAGTCCTAGTCTTGACTTCAACAATTTGAGCCTGCATCATGTAGGCCCAGGTTTCTACGTCTCATCTGTCAAGACTAGCCAGTGTTGTTGAACGAAGATTTATAAGTCCTTCTAGATCTAGTAGATCCTTGAACAGCCCTCCCTGGGAGCAGAATCCATTTACTGAACTCTTGGGAAGACAGAGGGTGTTATAACATACACACAAGGCAAGTTGATACTGGACCTTTTACAAAATCTGTTCCTCTCACTAGCTTTGAAATGTTGGGCAAGTTGCTTGACCCCTTTGCCAAGTTTCTACATCTGTACAACAGGGATAAACATTACCCCTAAACATAGGACGGTGATACGAGACAGTCTACCTGAAGCCTGAAGCATCATGTGGCACATAGTAAGTCCTCAGGAGATGTTAGCTGGCACAATCACCACTGTTAATTGTTAAAAGTGCACCTCAACAGGCAGGGCGTGGTGGCTCACGCCTGTAATCCCAGCACTTTGGGAGGCCGAGGTGGGCAGATCACGAGGTCAGGAGATCGAGACCATCCTGGCTAACACGGTGAAACCCCGTCTCTACTGAAAAATACAAAAAATTAGCCGGGCGTGGTGGTGGGTGCCTGTAGTCCCAGCTACTCGGGAGGCTGAGACAGGAGAATGGCGTGAACCCAGGAGGCGAACCTTGCAGTGAGCTGAGTTTGCACCACTGCACTCCAGCCTGGGTGACAAGGCCAGACTCTGTCTCAGAAAAAAAAAAAAAAAAATGTACCTCAACTCGGCCCTGATATCCCACCATATTCATCTTCCTTTTTCTATTTACCACCTCCCTTTCTCCTTCCATTTTAACACTTTCATTATTTTCCCCACACCCCTCGCCCGCACCCTCCACTAATGCCCTCAGGGTTCCGCCCCCAAGAGGCTAATCAAAGGAATTTCCTGGAGAAATCAAGTCCCCCTCCAGACAAAATTCTAGTGCCAGCTGTTAATGCTTTTGTCCTCGGGGCTACATAAGCACTTTTATAACCGCTCTTGTTTTTGTAGACACATATCTGCTTTGTTACATAACGTTTGGCTTCAGCTTAACTCTCAGAAGAGAGATACAACCTCTTAATCTTGGGGATCTGATCTGAATCACTCCCTCCATTTCTGGAAATGCAGAAAGAAGCCTGGGCTCTTGCTGAATCTAGAAGCCCAGCCAGCACTTCTCAGAGGAGCCAAATTGCCGCCTGCCATGTGTGGAAACCCGGGAAAGAAGTGGGGACTCAGAGGCAGCTGCAGTGTCAAGGGTGGAGGCTTAAAAATAGCAAAAGCTGCCCTTGGAGAACATTCCCACTGGATGTTTGCATTTTTAAAAGTGCCTCCAAGGAAGACTCTGTTCCCACAAAATAACGAACAGTAAACAGGAGGTGGTGTCTTCAGAGAAGGGTTCACCTGGACTCTTAAAATCACATCACCAAGCCCTTGATTTCAGGCCAGTTTCTTACAATGGAGCACAATCAAAATTGGAAAAGATGGGAAATATCAAGAATAGACAAGAAAAAAAATCCTCTTTACCACATAGTGTGATAAATCCAGATATAATCTCAGACTGAGAGGTTCCTAGTCTTTTTCATTCTTTTCTCTGCATTTATATAATTGTAGATATATATTTTTCTTGCAGAGTTCGAAAGAACCTTAGAAATCTAAGCCAACCATCATATTTTCAGAAGGAAATAAAGCAAGAGAGGTAATGTGAGTTACTAAGGGCCCCACAGCCCAGCAAGGACCAGGGCCAGGAACACTGCTGTCCTGACCCAGTCTAGGTCTCCCATGGATTGGGAACCTCCAGACCCAGGGTCCTAAAAAGAGCTGCCTCCCCCACCCCATCCACCACCACATGGGGTTACTATAAACACCCTCTTCCCCAAGATGACAAGATTTATTTTCCTTTGATGCCCACACTAACTTTAAAGCAAATTCTTGCCTTTGCTGACAGAAGAAGAGACCCAGCGGCTCAGAGTTCAGGAGATCTGCGCCAGGTCCCTGGGATGGTAAGTGAAGGATCCAGAAGTCAAATGTAGATAAATTTATTTCCACCCCCAGGCTGAATTCATGTGACCTAAGGCCAGGAAGACCCCCATTTCTGATATTATTTCCGGTCCTGTCCAGCCTGACATCTTATAATCTGCTGTCATTTTTATTTAGCTGGTTTAAATCTTTTGTTTGGGGCACTTGCATAACAGCCCTGAGAGTGGGCGTCTCCTCCAGTGTTGCTTGCTGGGCACTTGACTTGCCTCCCACTAGTCCTGAATGTGTTGTCATAGCCTCTCGCCTTTAAAAGTCAGGATGATCTTTCCAAAATTGAAGTTGAAATCACTGCCTCTGCTTAAACCCTATCGCTTCTTTCCCTTGCCCCAGGATAGAGTCCAATTTCCTTCATTCAGCATATGAGTCTGTACGGGATGCAGTGCAAAGATCTCAAACTGCAAGGTGTACAGCATCCAACTCAGACACTAATTTTAATCAGCCTACCAATTTGAATATTTTGATTGAAAGGTGCACATTTCTACTTCTCTTGAGGAAAGAGAAGTTACTTTTCATGCCTTAATTCTTTCCTCAGTAAAATGGGGGCAATAATATAGAAAATAAATACAACAGTGCTTGACCAGTGAATGCCATCTTTAGCATTACGTCAACTGATGTCCACGGGCCTGGCCCAAATCAGCTGGAGCTGAGGAGTGGTTCCCTGCCTCACAGGAGCAAGAGGTCATAGCTCTGCCCAGTCTTCAGCCCGCCCTTGCTTTGTGTCATTCAAGCTTCCTTTCTAGCCCCTGAAAATGGAGGCCCCACTTCCTGTGTCCCGTTTTTGAGCAACACGAAGCAGCTTGGGTTCCCTCCATGTTTTTTGGCCTGAACCTGAGTTTTGTTCATTCACAGCACTTAGAACACGTGCATTCCCTGCTACTGACCCTATTGGAGAATCACACTATGCCTCAGCTGGGCCAGGGACCTGTCTTAGTCGTTTCTGTAGCTAACACCAGCATGTGGCCCAGAGCCGAGCACTTAGTACAGCTCAACAAGTGTATTGAGAAATAAACGAAATCGGGAGGCTAACGCAGCAACATGCCAACAGGGATTTAGAGCCTCTCTTGGCTTCTAAAGAGCCTGCACTCTCAACCAGTAACACCAGACTGTGCTCAGTTTCAGAAACTGAGTTTGAAGTTGAATTGAATTGAGTTCAAGGCCTTGCCCTGTCAGTTATTTGCAACCTTGGCCTAGTTCCATTATCTCCGAGCCATTCGTTTTCCCACCTCTTCAAAAGGACATGAGTCAGCCTAAGTATTATGAAAGCACACATCCACACAACGACTTGTATATACATAGTCAAAGTAGCTTCATTCACAACAGCCAAAAACTGGGTGAAACAAAAGTGTCCACTAGCAGGTGAACGGTCAAGCCAGCTCTAGTGTAACCCATGCCATGGAATATGGCTCAGTGATTTTAAAAAGTGTGTACCACTGACACCCAACAACATAGATGAAACGCAAAGGCATCACACTGCGTGAAAGATGCCAGACACATGTATAATTCCATTTATATAAATGTAAACCAATCCATGGTGACAAAAAGCAGTTCAGTGTTTGCCTGAGGCCCGAGGAGGGAGAGAGTGGGGCAGAATCAACTGAAAAGGGGCTTGAGGATTTCTGAGGGATGATAAACATGTTCTGAATCCTGATTGTGGTGGCACTTTTGTGGGTGTATGCCACTGCCAAAACTCATGAATTGCACACACTTTTTAAGATTTACCATAATTATATTTATTTATTTTATTTACATATAAGATATACATATTTTTGGTGTATATGGGGTAATCTGATACATTTTAATAATGAAATCAAAGTAATTAGGATATCCAGCACCTTAAATATTTAAATTTTGGAGCCAGGCATGGTGGCTTATGCCTGTAATCCCAGCACTTTGGGAGGCCTAGGCGGGCAGATCACCTGAGGTCAGGAGTTCGAGACCAGCCTGGCCAACACGGTGAAACCCCATCTCTACTAAAAATACAAAAATTAGCCAGGTATGGTGGCATGCGCCTGTAATCCCAGCTACTTGGGAGGCTGAGGCAGGAGAATCGCTTGAACCTGGGAGGTGGAGGTTGCAGTGAGCCAAGATTGTGCCACTGCACTCCAGGCTAGGTGACAGAGTGAGACCTTGTCTCAAAAAAAAAAAAAAAAAAAAAAAAAAAATTAAGTTTTGGAAAAACTCTCAAACCAGGTTTTTCCTCTGCTCTCATACCACAAGCAATCAACACAGAAGACTCCTGTAGCCCAGTGTGTGGAGGTTTTTCTCCACCAACCAGCAGTGGACACCAGCTGAGTATCCTCCAATTAAATTCTGACACTATGTACTTGGAGACAGTGTCAGATACCATAGGTCGAGAGCTCAGTCCCCAAGACTATGCCCCCTTAGACACCAGTTGCAAGTCTAGGCCTCAGGAACTTCTGACCCACTGGCTTCAAGTTGGGATTCCCATGACCTCCTCTTTGAATTGCACACTTTAAATGCATGTAGTTATTGCACAAGAATAATTATTTAATACATTGCAAAAGAAAAAAATATTAAAATTATAACCCATATGATGTTCACCAGCATTAACAGTAATGGATGAGATACTTCTGTGGGTTTTTTTTGTTGTTGTAGTAATTCTTATTTTAAACATATAAGAGAACCAACATTAAGATCTATTATATTAAGGAAGAACTATATATTATTTTCCATAGCAGTTATTTGACATTTCTCCATGCACTCTTGACAAAGTTCATTGTAATTTTAAATTTAATTCAGCAGTGTTTACACGTACACCACATATGCACTGAAACCACACATGTGAGGGCCTGTCGTAAAAGTATTTAATAAATGCCTTAGTTAATGACCAAAAAGAAAAAGAAAGGAAAGAAAAAAGTGTTAAGCGAATGCTTGCCTTGTTTGGTGGCTGTGTGGGAGAAACGACCCGACATCCAGAGAGGAGGTCTTTACAAAAGCAGCCCGTTTTTACTGACCTACAGCCCCTGGATCCCAGGGATCCTCACCCAGCCCATCTCTCATTTTCTGTTCCTCACATTTGCGTGGACCTGGAGTGGTCTCTTCTTTTCTGTGTGCCTGGAAACACTAGCATTATTGCTTCCCTCCCAGGCTTTAATTTTTCTCCGAGTGCCTAGTAGACAGGGTTTCCCTAAAAAGGACAATTAGAAAAGACTTCATAGTTGGCGATAAATGGGGAAAGTGGGGGGAAGGTGAGAGTGAGGGCCATCCTTTATCTTAACAGCAAATACCAAATACCTATCTCCCACAGTCCACTCTTGACCTCGCTCAGCAATTTCATTCAGCATTTTCATCATTATCTTCATAGGCATCTACTCACCATTTACCAAAATGCAGCAAGTGAGGTGATTATTTTTCTAAAGATAAAAATGACATATCTATACTCTTTGTCTCTCCCTCTTAAATCCGACGCTCGACTGTTATTTTAACTCTAGCTCTTTTTGGCTCTCTGGGATGGCTCAGTGCTATGGGTTTGTCTGTAAAGGTTGGGGAGACAAGGAGTTAAACCATCACCTAGAGACTTTGATCACCGCAGACCTAGACTCCTGGCAGTTCCGTGCAAATGAAAACAGCAAGTTTCTTTTTAGCCTTAATTATCTGCATAATTACTTAGCCAAGATAGATACAGGCTCAGAATCTCAAGAAAGGTGAATTTTTTTCTTCTCAATCCCTCAGTGTCATTGTCAGTAACATTTATTGTGTGCCAACTGCATGGAACAACTCTGTCTTAAATATTGAGAGGTACATAAAAGACTTATTATGGATGCTACTCATGAACCTTTTAATAACCTAACTGCAGAAACAAGATCACTGGAATACCTGACGGGTACCAGGCAGTACACCAACAGCAAAGACACAAGGACATATAATCTGTGGATTTAATGAATGTATAGTCTAGTAGGTAAGAATAAGCAAAATAAAAAAGGTTAATCTGTATACACTATTACTTTTGTGACACTTACAAGTGTGGTAGGACTTCAGGGAGGAAACAATCAAGGTATAGGAACTGTCATCCAACAAACATTTAATGGACAATTACTCTATACTAGGCATTACCTGTTAGACTTTTGCCCACCAGTCATCACAGACTTGAAGTGAGAATCTTTAAGTGTCCAAAATGATGCTGCATTCTGAGCTGAGAGCTAACCATTTAATGATTTGAGGACACATAAGAAAAGGAGTTATCCATGCATTGTAGCCAAGTTGCTGCAGGCCAGGTGGGCAGTTTTTCTCCATGTTTTTGAGTCTTTTTATTGACCTCTTTTAAAGGAGAAACTAATGATGGGTCTGTGCCGATGTTCAGCCATAAGTCTCCTCTGTCATGTTCTACAGGACACAGAAGGAGAAGTTTCTTGCATTTCTGTAATAGAAGCATCGAAATCAAGCCAGCAGAGACTGTAAACAAAGAGAGTTTGGGCAAAAGTTTTTGCTGGGGTTACCTTTTTTTTTCCGTCTTTGATGTAGTATACCTTCGGGAAAGAAGAATATCAGCTTTCTTTTGCCAATATCACAGTCTGCTAATCCCATTTGCTGCCCATAAGCAGTAATAATCATCACATGGTGTTGTTAAAGGTCTCAGATCTGTAGAATTTTTCCACCAAGATTCTTCTACAACACAGACACTGATATGTTAATTCATGCAGAAAAATGTTGTCCATTGGGCCACAGCGACTTCTTTGGCATGATCAAGGCTTTCCCTTGCTCCAGCCCAACTTGATCAAGGATCCATAACCTAATTAGAAGGTGCTGAGTGAGGACGAATCAGAACAAAATGAGTTTGTCAAAATAGCAGAGTATTTAATTGATTTATTCCAATGCAGACATTTTACAATAAGAATCATTTTCCCACCGAGACCTGAAGATACAAATGTGGGCTTTCTTGAACTGTTTTGAGAAGAGCACTGCTGTATTTTCCTTGGGATTCCTCCATGCTGCACCATGGGTCTTTTCATTTGGCTGTCCAGTCAATGAAGCCATAGACGTGTAATGACTTAGACATCATCCTTTTTCCTTAAGACCTTGAACATCTCTGTTATGATTTTATAACTGGTAAATTTTATATTTTAGAGGGCAACTCTATTTTCCTCCTTCCAAATTTGTGAAATATCACATTGAGACCTCAAACTCCAAAAAAATAAGGAATCATTCAGTGTGAAAATATGTTATTGGAGCCGGAATTTCAACACAGTGATTGCCATGCACAGAGCTGGAGTGGAAGGACATTCCAATAGACAATAGGGAAATGTGAACAATGGGATATGAACTTGAAAACTTTCCGCCATCCCTGGACTATTGTCTGAACATAATATTACGCCTCTAGGCCTTTGGTCCATATCGGCTTTTTTCGGGGCCAGGGGTGGTGGTAGATGGGAACTGAGATGCTCTTTGCCAGCTTTTCCAGTTCCAAACACCTATTTTTCCTTCAATTTTCTAATATCTAGTACCAAATGGCAGAAAGGACACCAGAAGGAAAAAACAGGTAAGAAGCAAAGAATAAAGGAGGGAGGAAAAAAGAAACAAAGGCTGCACTTGCCATCAAAACCCTGCATTCAAATCCTGCTCTGCCGCTCACTGCCTACTTGGACAAAATGTTTTACTTACTTTTTCAAACATCGGGTTACTCTTTCAGGAGAATGAGGAGAATGTTACCTACATCCTGAGGTATTACGTTATATGATTGACCAAGAGAATGTGTATACAAAAGCCTGGAACAGAGCAGTAACCAATAAGATGTCAATCAAATCAGATCTGAAAACCTCGCTTCAATATTACCCCCAGAAAAAAGGCTGACATGACTTCTTCAGCAACAAGTGTCCCTCCACCTCCATCATCCCATACACATGGCATGTGCCACCATCACAACACTCACCATGTCCTGCTTTCTGTTTTAGGTCCCTGTCCCTTACTAAAATAGAAGCTCCTCAATGGCAGGTACCAGTCCATGTCCATTGGTGAACCCCAGACCTGGCACTATCCCTTACACAAATGGGGCTTTTATGAACACTTATTGTCAGGCTTCTGAGCCCAAGCCAAGCCATCCATCCCCTGTGACCTGCACGTATACGCCCAGATGGCCTGAAGTAACTAAAGAATCACAAAAGAAGTGAATATGCCCTGACCCACCTTAACTGATGACATTCCACCACAAAAGAAGTGTAAATGGCCGGTCCGGTCCTTGCCTTAACTGATGACATTACCTTGTGAAAGTCCTTTTCCTGGCTCATCCTGGCTCAAAAAGCACCCCCACTGAGCACCTTGCGACCCCCACTCCTGCCCACTGAGCACCTTGCGACCCCCACTCCTGCCCGCCAGAGAACAAACCCCCTTTGACTGTAATTTTCCTTTACCTACCCAAATCCTATAAAACGGCCCCACCCTTATCTCCCTTCCCTGACTCTCTTTTCGGACTCAGCCCGCCTGCACCCAGGTGAAATAAACAGCTTTATTGCTCACACAAAGCCTGTTTGGTGGTCTCTTCACACGGACGCACATGAAACTTATAAGATGAATGAATACATGCCATCAAAATTGCCAGACCTAACTCAGAAAACAGAGGTGTCATTATCATTTCTGTTATGAGAAAGCTTTTCCACATTACGTGATCTTTTTACTTTCTGAAGTTCTAGCAGATATGGCATTTTGCATTTGCTCTCTTTGGTTTCCAGATGCATTTACAATGTACCTCACCAGGTCAGGTCTCACTGATGTAAAATCACACAAGAAGAGTCTTGTTTATACAGGAACAGCATTATCTATTAGTTCCTTTATGTCTTCCTTTTACAGGTTACTCCTTATTGATGTCAAAAACCAGATTTTCCCCAAACAGTTTTAGTCTTTTATTACTTTCTGCCATCAGTTATAATTTTACAGCAGAAATTGTTTCATTTTCCTTGTGTTCATGAAGATTTTAAAAGTTCTAAGCTGGCTTCTCTTTCACGTGCACAGGAAAAAAAAAGTAAACAGCATTTGGGGAGGATAATGTAAGGAAAGAATAATAAAGGTTTCTAAAAAGAATCCAGAGCTCTGACTGGCTATAAATGCTTCTTTACCCTGCAGGCTGGAGCAGAATCAGGATTTAATATTAATGGATAATTTGTCGACAGCCCTTTTCTTTATTTTAGTGTGAAAAAAATACAATGAAACAAGCTCAATGGAGTTTTCCATTAATATTATTAAATAGAATTTTAAATTAATAAAATGTACAGATTTTAAATGTGGTTTGATAGGTTTACAAATGCATATACCCATCAACTACCATCCCTATCAAGATATAGAATAATTTATCAGAATTTTCCTTTTATGTCTCTTTTTTTTTTTAATCTGCTCTCACGCCCTATCCTGCAATCCATGAGTTTTCATATTTTGAGCTCCATAAATTGTTTCTTAGAATCTGATAAAAGCTAGAGAATTCTCCCCACTCGGGGAGAGAACTTGGGGCAGGGTAGATGGATCCTAGGTTAGGAACTCAAAACAAGTTTTATTAATTCTTTTATTTATGCATTTAAAAATCTTTATTGAGCACTGGCTGGGTGCTTTGGGATCGGTATTAGGCAGACAGTGGTAAAGAAAAAATGATATACTTCTCTCCTTGATCTTACATCAAGGAGAAAGGCCATAATAAGCAAAGAAGCAAACCACTCAGTATTCTGCTTGAATAAATGGAATGGCAGAAAGTATTAAGTGCTTTGCTATGAAATCTATAACTTTTATATGTTGTATGTAAAGACTTATATGACCTACAGCAGTACAAACCTAGAGAAAAGGTTTGTCTGCTACTTTTCTAGTTCAGGTGTTTTCTCTAAGCTCTTGGTCATACATCCTTACTGAACATGCATTCTCAATGTATATCTATGTATATGCTACTATGTTAGTATGTTGTTTTATGATAAAACATGTACTAAATGGCCAGGTGCAGTGGCTCACCCCTGTAATCCCAGCACTTTGGGAGGCCAAGGCGGGTGGATCACCAGGTAAGGAGGTCGAGACCATCCTGGCCAACATGGTGAAAACCTGTCTCTACTAAAAATACAAAAAATTAGCCAGGCGTGGTGGTGCATGCCTGCAGTCCCAGCTACTTTGGAGGCTAAGGCAGGGGAATCACTTGAACCCAGGAGGCAGAAATTTCAATATACTAAACTAGAAATAAAAAATGAAACAGATAAGTCACATGAGCAGCCATGATACAGAAAGTCAAAAGAGACTATTTTTGAAATCAGTGAATCTACATGTATAGTTGGAGACTTCAACATTAAGCTCTCAACAATTGATAGAATAACATAGAAAGTCAGTAAAGATATAGAAGAATTCAACAACACTATCAAACAAGACAATCTAATCAACATCTATGAAACACTCCACCCAACAATAGCAGAATACTCATTTTATTCAAGTTCTCAGAGAACATATGCCAAGATAGATCACATCTTGGGCCATAAAAGAAACCTCAACAAACTTAAAATATGTGAAATCATACAGTATGTGTCCTCCAACCACAATAGAATCAGATTAGAAGTCAATAACTAAAAAGAAAAGAGAAAAAAAACTACAAACACTTGAAAAATGTACAACACATTTCTCAATAATCCATGAGTCAAAGAGAAAGTCTCAGTAGAATTTTAAAAAAAGATATAAAGTTAGTGAAAATGAAAATACAACACATCAAAATTTGTGGGATGCAGCTGAAGCAACACTGAAAGGGAAACTTATAGCACTAAATGTAGATACTAGAAAAGACAAACAGTCCCAAATCAATAATCTAAACTCTGATCTCAAAAAAAAAAAAAAAAAAAATAGAAGAGCAAAATAAACCCAAACCAAGTAGAAAGAAGGAAATAATAACTGTAAGAGCAGAAACTATTAAAATTAAAAACAGAAACAATAAAGAAAATAAATTAAACAAATAATTATCTGAAAAGACCACTAGAATAAGCAAAACTGCAGCAAGATTGACAAAGAAAAAGAGAAAAGACATAAATGACCAAAATTAATAATGAAACAGGAGGTACTGCAGACTCTGCAAGCATCAAAAGGATCATAATGAAAAATTACAAACAATTGTACACATATACTTTAGATGTGGTTTGAGTGTCACCGGCAAAACTCATGTTGAAATGGAATTGCCAGTGTAATGGTGTTGGGAGGTAGTGACTTTAAGAGGAGTTTAGGTCGTTCAGACTGATTAATGTCTTTCTTATGCACCTGGGTTAGTTCTTGCAGGGAATGAATCAGTTCCCAAGAGTGTAAGTGGTTATAATGCCAGATGGCCTCTCATGCTCTGCCCCTCTGGCACGCCTGCTTCCCCATCCACTTCTCTGCCATGCTATGATGTAGCACAAGGCCCTCATCAGCAGCTGAGCAGATACTAGTGTCATGCTTCTTGGACCTTCCATCCTCTGGAATTGTGACCCAAGTAAACCCATATATATATAATATATTATATATATAACCTGTCTCAGGTATTCTTCTATAACAACACAAGATAGACCAAGAGAACATTTGACGACTTAGTTAAAATGAACTGATTCCTTGAAAAAAACAAACTATCACAACTTACCCAATGTTAAATTGATAATTTGAATATTCCTATAACTATATTAAAAGTTGAATTTGTAATTTAAAACCTATAAAAAAAAATCTTCAGGCCTAGATGATTTCATTCTAGAATTCTTCCAGATCTTTTAGGAAGCAGGAATATCAATTCTACACCATCTCCTTCCGACACAGAAAAGGAAGAAATATTACTCATTTTATCTTACAAAGTTAACATTACCAGAATCAGACAAAGAGATTACAAAAATGAAAACTACAGACTCACTAAGAAATAAAAACTACATTCCTCACTAAGATAGACACAAAAATTCTTAACAAAATATTAGCAAATAGAATTCAGCAATATATATTAAGAATTTTACACTATCATCAGGCCAGGTGTGGTGGCTCACACCTGTAATCCCAGCACTCTGGGAGGCCGAGGCGGGCAGATCACGAGGTCAGGAGATCGAGACCATCCTGGCTAACATGGTGAAACCCCAACTCTACTGAAAATACAAAAAATTAGCCAGGCGTGGTGGCCAGCACCTGTAGTCCCAGCTACTTGGGAGGCTGAGGGAGGAGAATGGAGTGAACCCGGGAGGCGGAGCTTACAGTGAGCCGAGATCGCGCCACTGCACTCCAGCCTGGGTAACAGAGCAAGACTCCGTCCCCCCGAAAGAAAAAAGAAAAAAAGAATTTTACGCTATCATCAAGAGGGGGCATGCTTCAATAATATAAGGGTGGCTCAATATTTGGAAATTAATAATGTAATGCACCAAATTAATAAGTAGAAAAGTCACATAATCCTATTTATTAGTGCAGTGTTAGATAAAGTTCAATACCCATTCATGACAACACTTTCAGAGAAACAGAAATAGAGAGGAACTTCCTCAATTCAATAAAAGGCATTTTTAAAAATGCCAACATTATATTAATGTGAAAGACCGAATGCTTTCCTGGTACGATCAGAAACAAGGCAAAGATATTCTTACTATTCTTATTCAGCATAAGTTAGAAGTTCTAGTCAATGGCATGAGAAAAAAATGACATAAAAGGCATACAAATTAGAAAGGAAGAAATATAAATTTTCATGTTTGCAAATGACATTATTTCCTACACAGAAAATCCCCAAAAAATCTATTTTTAAAAATCCTAGAATAAGTGAGGTCAACCATGTCACAAGATCAAAGATAAACATGCGAAAACCAATTATATATCCATGTACTGTCAATGAACACATGAACAACAAAATTTAAAAATGCAATGCCATTTATAATAGATTTTAAAAAGAGGAAATTCTTGGGTCTAAATCAAACGAAGCATGGGTGAGACTTGTATGATCAAAATTACACAATGCTGATGAAAGAAATCAAATAACTAAATAAAGATACTATGTTCATGAATTGAAGACTCAACATAATAAAAATGTCACTGTCAATTCTTTCCAAACTAATACAAAGATTTAACACAATTCCTATAAAAACTCTAGCAGGAGGCCAGGCGCAGAGGCTCACGCCTGTAATCCCAGCACTTTGGGAGGCCGAGGCGGGCAGATCAGAGACCATCCTGGTCACGAGGTCAGGAGATCGAGACCATCCTGGCTAACATGGTGAAACCCCGTCTCTACTAAAAATACAAAAAATTAGCCGGGCGTGGTAGCAGGTGCCTGTAGTCCCAGCTACTCGGGAGGCTGAGGCAGGAGAATGGCATGAACCCAGGAGGTGGAGGTTGCCGTGAGCCAAGATCACGCCACTGCACTCCAGCCTGGGTGACAGAGACCTCCGTCTCAAAAAACAAAACAAAACAAAACTCTAGCAGGATATTTGTAGATACAGATTAAAAATTAAATTTTAGGCAAGAATATTCTAAAATTTATATGGAAAAACAAATAAATTAGAATAGCTAATGCAATTT
Source organism: Homo sapiens (assembly GCF_000001405.40). Classification (NCBI taxonomy): domain Eukaryota; kingdom Metazoa; phylum Chordata; class Mammalia; order Primates; family Hominidae; genus Homo; species Homo sapiens. Next base: position 16,980,271 of record NC_000004.12, read on the forward strand.
TGAAAAAAGAATAAAATGGGAGGAATCAGTCCACCAGATTTCAAGACTTACTAGATAGCTACAGTAATCAAGGCTATGTAATAATAGCATAAGGATAGACACATATATCAATGGAACAGACTGGAAAATCCAGAAACAGACTTACACAAACATGTTCAACTCACTTTTGACAAAGGTACAAAAGCAAATCAATGGAGAAAAGATGGCTTTTTCAACAAATGGTGGTGGCACAATTGGACATGCATTGCTATAAAAATTAACTTCAACTTAAGACTCATATCTTATACAAGAATTAACTAAAATTGAATATGAAATTAAACTTGAAACCTTCCAACTCAGAAAAAAAAAAGCATAGAAGAAAATCTTTGGGATCTAGGCGTAGGAAAGAGTTTTTAGACATGATACCAAAAACACACCCATAAAAGAAAAATTGATGAATTTGACTTCATCAGAATTTAAAACTTTTGCTCCATGAAAAACTCTGATTAGAGAATGAAAATGTCAGCTAATGATGGGAGAATATATTCGCAAACCACATATTCAAGAGTATAGAATATATAAGGAACTCAAAACTCAATAGTAAGAAAGCATACAATCCAATTAGAACGTGGATGAAATACACGAAGAGATACTTCATTGAAGAAGATAAACAAATTGCACATGAAAATATGCTTAACATCATTAGCCATTAGGGCAATGCAAATTAAAGTCATAGTGAGATGCATCAAATTAAAATAAAAAAATAGCAACTCCAAATGCTGGTGAGGATGCAGAGGAACAGGATCATTGACATATTCCTGATGCATATGGAAAAGTATGTAATTACTTATGAAAACTGTTAAGAAACTAAATATGGAGCTGCCATACCCAGCCATTTTCTCCTGAGCATTTTCCCCAGAGAAATGATACTTTCATTCACACAGAAACTTGCTCATGAATGTTTATAGGAGCTTTATTTGTAATACTCCAAAACTGGAAAAAACCCAGCTACCTTCAATTGGTGAATGGTTAAAGAGAGTGATGCATTCATATGGTGATAAACTATTACTCAGCAATAAAAAGGCACAAACTACAAATAGACAAAGAATTATGATGGGTGAAAAAAGCCAATCCCCAAATATTACATACTTTATGATTCCATATACGCAATATCCTTGAAATGATGAAATTACACAAGTGGAGAACAGACTAGTGGTTATCAGGAATTAAGGAGAAGATAGGGTGGGAGGAAAATGAATATGGTTATAAAAGTGAAACATGAAAAATCTTTGTGGTAATGAAACAATATGTAGCTTGACTTTATTGATGTCAAGGTCCTAGTTGTAACATTGTACTATAGTTTTACACAAATGCTACCATTGCAGGCAAATGCATAAAGAGTACACAGGATCTCTCTGTGCTATTTCTTACAACTGCATGTCAATCTACAATTATCTCAAAATAAAAAGTTTAAGTTAAAAAGTTAGCATACTTCAATCTCCAGATCTAAAAACTGAGTGAACTCAAAGCAGGATAAATACAAAGAAAACCAAGCCACAAATCATAGTCAGCTATTTGATTGAAAACCAGAGATTAAGAATGAAAATTAAAAGCAGCCAGAGGAAAAAAAAATCCACTGAAAACATATTACCACAAATTGAATCACAACTAACTTCTCACCAGAAATATGTAAGCTTAAAGACAATGAAATGATATCTTTTATGTGTTAAAAAAAATGGGCCAACAGAATTCTGTATCTAGCAAAAACATCTTTTAAAAGGAAAGCAGAATTCTGCCCTTCGAGTGAAGGTGGTGTGATAGGCAGAATTCTATCATGAACCCAATAATCTCGGTCCCACGGTGTTATTGTCCATATTGTCTCCTTCCTTTGGGTGCCCAGAGGTGATGCTAGTGGCTAAGGAGTCAGGTGCTTGTGTGTAGATGAGTTCATGGGGCGCTTTCCGAAGGCAGGTTTCTACATTTATAAACAGTGAGCTACACCCTTGCCTAATCCTCTTGCCTTGAATATGACTGAAGTCTGTGACTTTTTACTAGCTAATAGATATGGCAAAGGTGATGGGATGCCCCTACTGAGATTAGATTACTGTGTGTGTATGTGCTTATAAACATACATATATATGTTTGCATACATGCATACACATATATCTCTCAATGGTCTCTCTCTCTTTCTCTCTCTACTCTCTCTCTCTCTCCTAGTGTGCATGAGAGAGACTCTTCTTTTTGGCCTTAAAGAAGCAAACTGCCACATTGAGAACTGCCTATGGAGAGACCTACATGGCAGCAAACTGCCTATGGCCTCTAGAAAATGGAAACTTCAGTCCTACAAACTCAGGCATCTGAATTCTGCCAACAGTTACCTAAGCTTGGAAGAGGATCCTGAGCTCCATTAGAAGACATGAACCAGGCAATACCTCAATTACGGCTTTGTGGGACCCAACTAAGACATGCCCAAACTCCTGATGCACAGAAACTTTGAGATAATAAATGTGTAGGGTTTCTTTCAAGATGGCTGAATAGGAGATAATAAATGTGTGTTGTTTTAGTTGGCCAAATTGTGGTATTTGTTATAGAACAATAGGTAACTAACACAGGTGGAGAGATTTGATTGGAATAGCCTTCCTTCATATAACAATTATATTGGGAGGCCGAGGCAGGTGGATCACCTGAGGTCAGGAGTTTGGGACCAACCTGGCCAACATGGTGAAACCCTGTCTCTACTAAAAATATAAAAATCAGCCCAGTGTGGTGGTGTGTGCCTGTAATCCCAGCTACTTGGGAGTCTGAGGCAGGGAGAATCGCTTGAACCCAGGAGGCAGAGGTTGCAGTGAGCCAAGATTTTACCATTTGCACTCTAGCCTAGGCAACAGAGTGAGACTCCATCTCAAAAAAAAAAAAAAAAAATTATAAAACCTAGACAAAATATTTTTTTAATCACCATAAAACAAGCTAACTATACCTCAAAGCATTGATATCTACAAAGTATGTTTTCTGACCACAATGATATTTAGTTAGAAATAATACCAATAAGACAATGAGAAAAAATGCCTTATATTTGGAAATTAAACAGTGTATTTCTAAATGATCCATGAGTCAAAAATAAATCAAAAATGAAATCAGAAACTATTTTAAACTGAATGAGGTTAGAATATAACATATCAAAAATTATAGGAGGCAGTTTGCAATGAAATTATATCTGATACTCTTGTAGAAGAAGAAAATTTAAAATCAATTATCTAATTTTTAAACTTAAAAAGCTAGAAAAAGAGGACCAAAGCACACCCCAAGAAAGAAGAATGGAAAGATCACTGTAGAAATCAGTAAAGTGAAAAACAAACATGCTAGGGAGAACAACTTTAAAAATTTAAAAATCAAAATATATTTCCTTAAAAAGGTTAATAAAATTGATAAACCCCTAAGAGCAAATCAATAATAAGAAGAAAAATATATTATAGAGGAGAAGAGATCCCTAAAGATCCTACACACATGGAAAGGATAATAAGGAACTATTTTGAACAGCATAATGTCAATAAATGCAGCAACATAGACGAAATAGATGAATCCCTTAAAAATACAACTTAACAAAACTGACAAAAGCTAAACTACAAAAAGACTCATATTTATTAAAGTAATTGAATTAGTTATGAAAAACCTTTTCACACAGAAATATCCAGGTGCATGTGAATTCTATCAAAAAAAATAAAGCTACTACTCCTTAAAGAAGAAATAATAAAAATTCTATGGAAACTCTTTCAAGTGAAAGAAGAGAATGGGACATGTAATCTACTTATTTTATGATAATAGCATTATGCTGATACCAAACCTGACAAAGGCTTTACAAGAAAATAATATATACACCAATATCCCTTATAAAATTGACTCAAACATACTTAGAAAATATTAGAAAACTGAATGTAGCAATATACTAAAAGAATAATACATCATGACTAAGTAGGATTTAACATTTGAAAATTAATCAAAATAACTCATATTTCTACAGAATAAAGAAAAACCAACTCAACTCAATGGTCAGCTCAATAAATGCATAACATTCTATTCCCATTCATAATAATAACTCTTGGAAAACTAGGATCAGAAGGAAGATTCTTCAATCTTATAAAAGGCAACTATGAAAAACCTACAGCTGGCATCACACTTAGTAGTGAAATATTAAATTATTTTACCATAAGATTAGGAGCAAAGCAAGATGACTCACTCTTACCACTTATGTTCAGCATTACACTGGAGGCCCTAACCAGCTTAATAAGGCAAGAAAAAGAAATAAAATGCATGAAGATTTGAAATTAAAAAGTCAAACTTTTCTATGTATAAGCAATATAGAAAATCATAAGGCGCCAACTCCTCTCTCCCTCAAAAAATCTATGGGAACTATTAAGAGAGTTTAGCAGTATCTCAGGATACATCAAGGCCAACATCCAACTATTAATTACAATTTTATGTACTATCAGCCAACAATTAGAAAACAAAACAAAAGAATATATAAAATTCCATTTACAATAGTGTCATAAAGCGTTAAAAAAATTGGGAACAAATTTAACCAAAGATAGACAAGATTTCTCTTCTCAAAGCTACAAATCTCCAGAGAGAAATTTGAAAAGGCCTAAATATATGAGGAAATATGCTGTCTTTATAGGTAAAAAGACTTAACATTATTAAGATATCAATTCCGCAGAATTTAATTCAATACCATCGAAATAATAATCCCACCAGGATTTTTAAATAGAAATTTGCATGCTGTGTCTATAATTCTTATGAAAATGTAAAGAACCTGGAATAATCAAATGAATCTTCAAAAAGAATAAAATTGGAGGGCTTACACTATGTGACTTTAAGATTAGTGTAGTGCTAAATCACGAAGAGAGTGTGGTATTTGCATAGGTATAGACAAATCAATCAACAGGACAAAATGCAGTCCAGAAATAAATCCTTTTGTATGATCAATTGTTTGTTTCTTTTTGTTTTTTTGGTTTTTGTCTGTTCATTTGTTTCTGAGACAGGGTCTTACTCCAGCACCCAGGCTGGAGTTCAGTGGCATGATCACGGCTCACTAAAGCCTTGACTTCATGGGCTCAGTGACCCTTCCACCTCAGCAGCTGAGACTACAGGTGCACACCACCACGCCCAGCTGATTCTTGTTTTTTTTTTTTTTTTTTTTCGTAAAGATGGGGTTTCGCCATGTTGTCCAGGCTGTTCTCTCACTCCTGAGCTCAAGCAATCAGCCCACCTCAGCCTCCCAAAGTGCTGGGTTTACAGGCGTGAGCCACTGCACCCAGACTTTATGTGATCAATTGATTTTCATTGAAAGTACAAAGCAGTTCAATAGGGAAAGGAAAGTCCATTCAACAAATGAGGCTGGAACTAATAGATATCCATAGAAGCCTAGATTCTTACCTCATGCTATATACAAAATTAATGTGAGATAGATTATAGATCCAAACATATTAATAAAAGCCAAAAAGATAAATCTTCTAATAGAAAACATAGAAGAAAATCTTCACAACCTTGTGATAAGCAAAGATTTTCTGGAAAAAGGCAGAAGTCACAAACCATTAAAGAAAAAATAATAATAAATTATACGTCATCAGAATAAAAATCTTCTATTCATCAGAAGATACTATTTCAAAAAGTTAAGTCATAGAGAAAAATAATTGGGTGAGTATATATGTATATATGAGATATATACATACACACATATATACACATATGTATACATATATACATACATATATCTATATACACATATATAGATATATATGTATACATATATACATACATACAGATATATATACACACATATATACACACATATATATGTGTGTGCGTGTATATATATATATATACACTCACAGTCATCCTTTGGTATTCATGGGGGACTGGTTCCAGGACCCGCTTATGACGCCAAAATTTAAGGATGGTCAAGTCCCTGATATAAAATGGTATAATATATGTATATAATCTGTGTACGTTCTCCTGTATACTTTAAATCATCTCTAGATTACTTGTAATATTTAGCACAATGTAAATTCTCTGTAAATAGTTGTTATATTGTATTATTTCAGCAATAATGACGAGAAAAAGTCTGTACATGTTCAGTACAGATGCATTTTTTTAATATTTTTGATCCATGAATGGTTGAATTTATGAATGTAGAATTATATGTCTATAAAATACAGATTTGATATAGGAGTCCCATTTAGAATATACAAACTCAATAATGGAAAAAAATTAATGGGCAAAAGACATGAACAAACATTTCACCAAAAAGGATATAGAAATGTCCTATAAGCATGTGAAAAAATGCTCAACTGATATTAGGAAACACATAAATGAAAATTAAAATTATAATGAGATACCACTGCACAAGAATGGCTAAAGTTAAATCAACTGATAACATGACAGGATGAGGATGAAGGTGAAGATGAAAAGCAACTAAAACACTCAAACACTCCTGGTGTCAATGTTAAAAGTAACCACTTATAAAACTTAAAAATTCACTTATTTATTGATCTAGCAATTCCACTCCCTGGTTTTTGTACAAGAGAAATAAAGTCAACTGTCCACCAAAACTTACAAAAAAAAAAGTCCATAGCAGCCTTATTCTTAATTGCTAAAAACTTGAAACAACCCAAATATTCATCAATGAAAGAATGAATGTAAATTTTGTGCTAAATTTCTACAGTGGCACATGAGTACACAGTAAAAAGGAACAAACTACTGATAGAAACAACACAGATAAATTTTACACACATTATGTTGAGAAAAAAAAAGCCAAGTACACACACACACACACACACACACACACACACACACGATGTACTGTATAATTACATTTATATAAAATACAAGAAAATGATAAAAGGAATCTTTGTGATAGAAGTTTAAAAGTGGTTGATTGAACCAGACATTTAAAATCTGTGTAATTTATCGTCTGTAAATGATACCTCAATTAAAAAGAAGCCAAAATAAGATAAAATTTTCGATGGACTATATTTTATATTTTCTCCAACATAATGTTTTATGTCATTGTGTTGCTAATAGCTTAAGCATAATCTATTTGAAATCGCTAACAATAATTGATGAAAATTTATTTTTCAAATTGTCTTGGTGGTTGCAATTTTATCTCCACCACCCTCCCTTCTTGTCTGATGGGAATAGATTGTCACTGTTTTGAGGAGGAGGTGAAATGCTGCCTCTGCCTCCTTGGGGTTTTTTGTGTGTGTGCTTGCTTTCATAGTATTGTCTTCAGTACAAGTTAGTTTCTTTACAGGAATTTTTTCAAGGGGCTTGCTCATTTTTGTGAAGTTTAATATAGTTAAAAGCAATTTAAATGACTATAATATTAATACAACTGAGCACAGGAAACCCCCAGTGAGTCAGAATGTGGCAAAAACAACAAATAAGTGAGGGTCTTGTCAAACTGTTTTGTTGTGAACCCCTGCATCTCCCCATGGGGACACCTCTCCAAGTATTAGTGACAGTGAGAGACCTCTACCTGTCTCACACAGGTACCTACTGAGGACTCTAGTACTAAAGAGTATATTAAAAATGAGCAAAGTTTATTTCATTCTTAGAAAAATAAATATACATCAAGGGTCTTCCTATACCCAGTGAGCCACCTATGTGTCCACTTCGGTACCCCGCTGTGTCTTCTCACCTGTTCCCCTCTTTATGACTATTTAGCTTTCAGGTCTCAGATGCCACTTCTCTGGCAAATTTCTCTGACCTTTTAGAACTGAGTTAGGTGCCTAAGAGCCTTTGTACATGAAAGCAGGCCATTCTGTGATTCAGACAACAAGGGAAGTATCTCCTTAAAATATTCTTTCCTTACTCAAGAAATTGATATTGCTAATTATGTGCTAGGGACTGCTATAGGCACTGGAGATTCACTAGTGAACCAAAACATCAATAGTCCCCTGCCCTCATAGAGTTGAAGTTCTGGTGGAGCAGACAATTAAAGAATAGGTGACTTGGTGATAAGTATAAAGGAGAAAAAATAAACAAGAAAAGCAGGTATGAAATACCAGATTGTATGGGGTTGACAGTGAACATTTAGTGGCCAAGGAGCACCCCACTCAGAATGTGACCTTGAGCCAAGAACCAAAGGAGCCCATGTGAATATCTTCAGGAAAATTCCAAGAAGAGGAAGGCTCGGTCTTGCTGAGGGAGAAAGGACAAAAGCAGGAAGAGAAGTGGACAGGTACAAGATCTTTTCTGGAGTCAGTATCCATGAATCTTTCTTGCTTGGGTTAGCTGTGAGGAATACCAGGATAAGGAAAAGGAGGGCTCAAGGAAGACTTCCAAGTGTCTGCTTTCAGCTAGTAGGTAAATAATGGTGCCACTTACGAAAATAGGAGACAGTGGAGGAAGAGCAGGTGAAGTGGGGTGGCACACTGGGTCAAGAGGTCATATTTGATACGATAAATTTGAATTATTAGGTATATAGTGCTCACCTATTTTAAATTTGAGGGTACGCAGGCTCAGAGAGCATAATTTACTTGTGATAGCAGGCTGTGCTTGCTGCCTCTTTGTAATGTGATTTTTCAAAACATCCAATCAAGACCAGTTTATTTTTGTGCCCCTTGAATGTGAGCTTAGATGTGTGACCTGCTTTGGCCACAGAGGACATGAGCAAATGTGACATGAGCTGAGGCATAAAATGGCTGGACAATCCCATGACCACCACCATGGAGAACAAGCTGGGGCTAACTGGCTGGGTGATGAGAGTCACGTGGCCAAGGTCCTCCAGGTGACATCATTCCAACAGCCAGACACATGAGCGAGGCTACCCTGAATAATCCAGCTCCATTAGAGCCATCCCAGAATGTGAGAAATAAAAAAAAAAAAAAAACAATTCATTTGTATTATTAAATCTCATAAGCAAAACCTAACTGATACACTTGCATGAGACTCAGAAAGGATGAGTGGCCATGTCAGGAACTGGCCTTCCTTCTTCTAAGTTAACTGCTTTTCCAATACTCCAAGGTAAGACCATTTATATATTAGTTAGCAGAATCAGAACCAGGAGCACCCTAAGGCTGTGTCCCCTAAGCTGCTGTCTTAAAGCAACTGTGCTTTAAAACCTACTCTATTTGTTAATGTTCAACATGCCTCTCTCATTCTCTCTCTCTCCCTGCCACCCCCCCGCCCCTCCCCAACCCCCTTGATCAGACAATGTTGCTGTAAAAGCAACCAACAGAAATCCAATTCAGTCTCTGGGGAAATTTATAGAAAAAAAAAAATCTTGCTATGCCAGTGCTTTTTCCATGGCAATATGAAGCATATGGGATCTCAGAAGAAGCATCTATCACAATATGTTGCATTGCAGTGCAGGAATTGGCATTTTCTCCAATTCCTCAAAGCATAGTTAAGAGCAAAATAAATGTAAAGATATGAGGTTCAGGCTATTGCTGACATGCTCTCCCTTTCAAAGCATTGTAGTGGTATAGGAGAAGAAAAAGAAAAATCATAAACTAAAGCCCCCCAATGTAGCTAACTTTCAGTCCCAGAAGTCTCTGAACTAAAACTGAAACCCAAAGCATATTCAAAGTTGTAAATAGGATCAAGGAGTTCAGCCACTGCAGCCCAAATTACACACAAGGATGACAGGATAACATTCTGGGGCCCTAGATAGAATGGAAAAGAGGATACAACTACCCAGCCTGGCCTGAAAAATGCAGAGTCCAGAGCTCTACTCCTGCCTTCCTACCATGTTCCTGCATGACTCTGGATAAGTCATGTCATAACCAGAGAGGTATGACCCTAAGAGTCATCATTCACCAGGAACACTTTAGCACAGGAATCACTGTTTAAACCTAAGGGTGAGCAGGTTCAGGACTAGGGATGGCGCTCCAGACACAATCCCCCAAGACATGGCACCTTGACATCGGAGAGAACAGCAGAAGCAGGGAGGTCACTCTGACCCTTTCCTGCCTTTCTTCCCTGAAGCGTGCCATAAAAGGATTCTCTGACCTTCCTCTGAAATAGATCACAAGACCCTCATGTGAGAGGTGCCCTCCCTATACCTGGAGGACGGGAACATCCTTCCCTCTGAAGTCACAGGGACGCAGAGAAAAATCTGAACCAACAGACCTTTCTAAGTTCTCCCCAGTTTGTTACTGTTAAACCATACTCCTTTTGTCCAATTATATTTCTCCACAACTTGTCCACTCTCCATCAAATCAAAGCATAAAAATACACAGGTTTCGTTGTTTCTTTGATCTTCATTTCTGAAGGCTCCTGTGACATGTAAGACTTATTAAATACATTTGTGTGATTTTTCTCGTGTTAATCTGTTTTTATTTTTTAATAGGGGCCTCGGCCACAAACCTAGTGATGGGTGAGGAAAGAAATGTTTCCTGCCCTACACTAGGAAGGGTCTCCTGGACTACTGAGAACAGAAGGAACTGGGGCATCCTGAGTTAGCCAGGGAACAAAAGGAGCATGATGTTGGGTGCTTGGAGTTTAGATGCCGAGAAGGAGTAGGGCTGTGGAATACGGAGGGGAGCTTTACTGCAGGTTGCACCACTTAGCAGTGGGTGCCTCTCATTATATCCACATCCCCAGTGCCAGGTCCTTTTAACTCATGCCATTTGATTAAACCTGGCCATAACAGTGGGGTTAAGGGTGACTACTGGAGCCCTTGTAGTATCAGTGAGGAAACTGAGATGAAAGGAGTTACATGACTTATCCCAGTCCCATGGCCAGTAAGTGATGCAGCTTAGACGTAAACCCAGGTCTTTTGGTCTCTGAATCCCGTGCTTTTATCATTTTAATCTTCCTGGAATATAAAACTTCAAAATAATGCTTATGCACGAGAATTGCTTGAACCAGGGAGGCAGAGGTTGCAGTGAGCTGAGATTCTGCCACTGTACTCCAGCCTGGGGAGCAGAGCAAGACTCTGTCTCAATAATAACAATAAAAAAAATAATAATAATGCCTATGAACATATTCCAGAATATTATAGAACAGATAACTTCGTGCTCACTGGCAGAAAAATAAACTATAGTTCATTATAATACATAATTTTAAGTGATGAAATGAATTATTTCTGTTTTTGCTCCTGTAAATGGATTTAATGTAAGTTTTACATGACACAGGAGCCTATATAAGTGACTGAAGACTCACACAAACAGGAAAACCTGTGTATTTTTATGTTAAGTTTGATGAAAAGAAGAAAGTCATGGAGAAATTTAACTGGAAACAGAGGATTCCATCTAGTGGTAATAAACTGGGGCAAGGGAGAGGGCTTAGCACGGCCTGTTTGTTCAGATTCTTCTGTGTCCTGTGTCTTCAGAGATAAGGATGTTTCTTGTTTCCAAGTATAGAGGAGGCCCCTCTGGAATGAGGATTTTACGACCTATAGCAGGGCAGGAGAACATCAGGGTTTATGACCTGCTTCGTGGGAGAAAAGTGAGGGGAAGGGGAGAGTGACTGATATGGTTTGGCTGTGACCTCACCAAAATTTCATCTTGAATTGTAGTTTCCATAATCCCCACATGTCATGGGAGGGACCCAATGGGAGGTAATGGAATCAAGGGGGTTGGTTTTTCCCGTGTTCTCGTGATAGCAAATGAGTCTCATGAGATCTGATAGTTTTACAAAGGGCAGTTCCCCTGCACACACTCTCTTGCCTGTCATCATCTAAGACATGACTTTGCTCCTCCTTTACCTTCTGCCATGATTGTGCGGCCTCCCCAGCCATGTGGAACTGTGAGTCCATTAAACCTCTTTTTCTTTATAAATTGCCTGGTCTTGGGTATGTCTTTATTAGCAGTGTGAGAACAGACTAATACAGTGATCTTCCTGCTTCTGCTGTTTCCTGCAATGCCAAGGTGCTATATTTTGGGGTAATGTGTCCTGAATCTCATTACTTCCTTCAAATGAGTCTCACACGGTTTGCCTTTCCTCTCCTAATCCTGTTATTAAGAGTGGGAGAAGCAAAATAGTAGTGCTTGGGAGTGCAAGGGCCAAGAATATTAGATTCTGCTTGGTCATCACAGTATTAAACATCTTCACAATGCATGGAACACACCGCCTTACTGCATCCCAGTAATCTCCAAGATTCTATACACTGGGAGAGAGGAAGAACCCAGAAATGGCTCTGGGATTGGAAATAATTTTACAGAGAAGCCCGTCCCTGCCTTTAAATCACTTAATCAAAGTTATTTTCCTAAAATTGTAATTAATATTTGAAATTAGATTATTTAATTCCACTTGTGTGTGTGTTTTATGTGCCTCAAATTAAATTAAAATCAACAGAAACATTTCTTGAAATGGAAAGGCTAGAAAGCCAAGAATTTTTCCAAGCTAAAATAGTTATTTAATTTGTATCCTCTAGGTGGGACCCATATACAAGACGACCAATGAGATAAAAGCACTGATGGTTATTAAAGCCCAATCCAGATATAAAGAGCATTCCCTACTATGTGTCAGGCATCCTGCTGGATGCTGGCAAGGTAGGCAGGATGGAGGGTTGTTAAACGAGGAAGTGGCTGCCAGGAGTTTCTGGAACAGATAAGCATATAAATATCACATGAGTTTAGTGGCAGGTCCTAAGAAATGTTTTACTAGGGAGTTTTTAAAAGGAAAAACATAGCGAACCCCACCTTCACCACTTAACAGACCTGCAACTTCAAGCAACTTACCCTCCCTCGGGCTCAGTTTCCTCCTCTGAACATTGGGGATAATGTTTCTCACTTGGCAGGGGAATTTGAGGAAATGAGATCATGCTGTTTCCCAAACTCACCTCTTCTTAAGGATCATTTGGAGGAGCCTGTCCAAATATAAATTCTCAGAACACTTTCTGGAACTTTCTGGGGCCAGGATTCTGCTTTCAACAAGCATCCCAGCAGGGACATAACCAAGGAAAGGGGTTAAGGCTTTGTCCCAATTCCCTTCACCCAGTTCCACCCCGATCACTCCAAATCCACATGCACTATTTTACTTCTTTTTATTTATTCTTATTTTTAACTCTTCACTATGAAATTATTTTAGACTTGCAAATATTTGTAAAAATAGTATAATGAATTGCCTTATACTCCTCACTCAGCTTCCTCAAATACTAAAAGCTTACATATCCACAATTCAATGATCAAAATCAGGATGTTAACATTAATACAATATCATTAATTAACAAACCTTATTTAAATATCACCCAATGTTCCACTAATGTCTTTTTCTGGTCAAGGATCCAAGCCAGGCAAATGCAAATAACCTAACTAAGGCATGTTTGCTAGGCAAATGCCTTATCTAGACAAGTCTCCAACTGCTCCCAGCCCCTTCCACCTGGATGCTCCAGAGCTGACACTGCACCCACCGGATCTTATGATCCGGATATTGAAATTAATATTGAAGTCATGATTTTTTATGCTTTTGGCACATGTTAGTCTAATCAGTAGAAGCTAATGCAAACCAAAAATTTACATTTATACGTAAGGAATCAAGAAAAGAGTAAAGAAACGTAGACAGAAGCTTTAGTTGAGAAGCCTTGCACAGAAGCTGCTGGCTCTTGTCCTTGCTCTTTCCATTGAGCGATGCTGTCCCCAGGCATAACCACCTGCCACCACCCTACCTGTCAGTCAAGGTCCATTAAATGAGATGATGCATGGAAAGGATTTAGTTCAATGAGCACATACGGAGGACACAATGAGTGTTGGTTATAATTTGATGTCACTCATTCCAAAGCCACTGGCTTCTTGAAACTTCTGATTCAACACATAAAGCATGATAGGCCCATTTCTAATGCCCATCCTGTTCTTTGAGTCTTTCTTATAGCCCCAGTGGAACACATCCTGATTTATACCGTAGTTATCTCTGTGCTTATCTTACACCCCTACTAGATTGTAAATTCTGATCCTTTTATCCCCCGTGGAGGCTTCTCAGGCATCATACAGATCCCACTGCCAGCAGCTTGCCTCCCAAATGCACTGGGGCATCCAGCCTGCATATCCTCTGATTTAATTTATCACCAAACACTCTAGGCTTTAACTTGTTGTAAGCATCTTCAAATAAAAGCTGCCAGTGTGGTCAAAAAGGGAAGCTCCTGTTCAAAACTAGGCCTCTTATGAGAGTCAAGTTTTTAACCCCCTCTTCAGGAAAGAAGAAAATGCCTCTATTCAGGTGGGCCACTTACTGATTATGAGGACTTCAGAGCAAGGTCTGTATTTTGGGTACCTCATCATGGTACTGACAAGTTGCCTTTAGGTAAAAGAGAGACAAAGAAAGTTTAAGGAGGTCGAGGATGCTTCTAGCACTCTGGGTCTTTGGATCTTCAAAGCACTTTACACAAATCAACTAATGAATACTTCATCACACAGCATGTAGGCTCCCCCAGGAATTGGAAGGCTCTAGGCTTCCATCCTGCAGCCAGAGACTTGAAAGGGGCTGAGTAATTTGCAGTTAACAATTGCATTCACGATTGTGACTCCTAAAAGAGAGACAATCAAGTCTCTTGCCTTTTACCGCCTTTCACTGAGTCCTTGCTAGATGTTTGTTGAAAGACAGAATCACACTGAAGGCAGATGTGACTCTACTTCTGCTGCCCACTTTCCCCAGGTCTAATTAATAGGGGCCAGGCCAACTTCTCCCTAGGAAGTTTTTTTCAGTGCCACACTAGGTCATTCAATGTAAAACATTGAGGGTTATGGGTCTCTTATAGAAATCTGATGAAAACTATGACCCCAGACCCTAGAAAAATCCTAAGTGCACACACATACACACTGGAAACATTTTTATGACTTTTCAGAGTCCCTCTGAAATCCAAATTAAGACTCTCTGCTGTAGGTATTATTGGGAGACAGCAAGCATAAAAGGGATCACCCATGTCCAAGTTTGGGAGCAACAATTTATTCTTCCAAGAATACTTTGTTTCACTGGTTTGAAAGCAACATTTAGAAGTGCAGTTGCCCTTTTTCAGATTAGGCATCAAGAACATATGAATATGTTTCTTTGAAAAATATTAAACAAAATAGGTGCTTTCTGGTTGCGGCCCCTTGCAGTGACTATGGGAACTTGTTTTTCTTCTTAGGTTCATTTAATGACATATTCTCATATTTGAGAAAGTAGAAAAAGAACTGCCTGTCTCCTCAGCAAGTAGATGTGTGACTAGGGAAAACTTTTTTGAAAACTTGCTTGCCAGTGTTGACAGCAATGTTAACTAAATCATCCATAAATACCCCCCACAATCAGAGCTAAACAAATCACGATAGGAAGCCCTATCACCCAGAAACTAATTTCCACCCTACTGAAAGTCAGCAAGGGAAAGTAGTTTGTGCACAACCAGATGGAAAAGAGCCACTTTCTAGGAAAAGTGAGCATTCCAGAATGATGCTGGGGAAGGGCCTGGAAGAGATCAAAAGGGAGTTTGAAGTCCATCTGGAAGTGACTCTTTAAAAACAAGAGCTTGCATTTCAATGGCCAGCCTTGAAGTGCAGGAATCTCAGGTTCCTTCTGCAAAGACCTGTGGTATTCACAAGTGCCCAAATCTTAAAGAAGCTTAGATATATGGGCCAATCACTTTCTGGTAATGTTTCTTGATAGAAAAGAAGAGATTAGAAAGTTTGGAGCTAAGGGAGAAGATTCCATAAATAAAAGCCAAGGACAAAATGTTTTCCACACTTCTCACCAATTGCGTGTAAATTTGCACTTCCACCCCGGTGTCCTTAAATGACTGTGTGATTCAACATCTACACCAGAAACCTTGAAGTTCCAGTCCATGATTCTTAGTTAAGATAACCAGCCAGGAGGGCTAATATGCTTCCTGGGTTTCTTGTCAAGTATCCTGGATTTTTTCTCTTGAACCATTCTTTCTTTCCTGGTTGAAAGTTACCTGAATCCCATCCCTACATCCAGTTCTATCTGCTCTTTGCACAACTAAAATGGTCAAGTGTAAATGTCAGCTCATTCACATTTAAGTGTTCAGCTCATCTGTTTGCCCAGGTCAGCCTTGGGAACCCCTCATCTCTGCAGCACAGTGAGGTTGTAGGTCAAGGTCCTCCCACACCCTGAATTTGGGAGTCCTGGCATCAGATTTGTGTTTAGATCCTGGCTCTGCCACCTCCTGGCTTTGTGAGGTAGACAGCTTACTTGAACTCCTTGATTCTTCATTACTTCATCTGTAAAATGGGCCACATGCCCATTTCATCAATTTGTGGTGAGGATTAAATAAAATGTTAAAGTTCATGTAAGTTCATCTGCCTCATTCCATGAAGGGTTTTCAGTGGTACACCCACACAAACACACATTGAAATGAAAGAAAGGAGGGAGGGAAGGAAGGAAGGAAGGAAGGAAGGAGAGAAATAAACCAATTAAAATAAAGAATACTAGAGGTTTAATAAAATATTTATTCTTATTAATAAAAGTTATGTTTGCCATGTGCGGTGGCTCACGCCTGTAATCCCAGCACTTTGGGAGGCCGAGGCAGGCGGATGACGAGGTCAGGAGTTCAAGACTAGCCTGACCAATATGGTGAAACCCCATCTCTACTAAAAATACAAATATTAGCCAGGGGTGGTAGTGCAAGCCTGTAATCCTGTCTACTCGGGAGGCTGAGGCAGAACAATCCCTTGAACCTGGGAGGCGGAGGTTGCAGTGAGCCACAATCATGCCACTGAACTCCAGAGTGAGACTCCATCTCAAAAAAAAAAAAAAAAAAGTGGCATGTTCAGTGATATATAGTCATTTTTAAACTTGAGGTTTCTGGAGTGTGTTTTATTTTAAGAACTTTTTTTTAACCTCAGAACAAATGTACAAAACTTAAAGAAAACACAAGATATGAATTTTTCAACCTACTTTTCAATTTCAATTAGTTTCTGTCCCTGGACAGGAATGGCTTTCCTATAACTAGATGGTGATGTTGCTAGCACTCTATCCCAGGTCCCTTTCCTGGACAGGAAGTTGAGGCATCACCGGCCTGGTTTTACCTCCAGGATGACAACACTCACATCAAGGTGTTAGAGGCATTTGAATCAGAACAACTCCATCTTGAATAGGAGCTGGGTACTAGGTTTTCCCAGAAGGTGAAGCATTCTAAGTAACAGGATGAGAGGAGGTAAGCACAAGATACAGGTCATAAAGACCTTGCTGATAAGACAGATTGCAGTAAACAAGCCGGTCAAAACCCAACAAAAGCAAGATGGCAATGAGAGTGACCTCTGGTCGTCCTCACTGCTACACTCCCACCCATGACAGTTTACAAATGCCATAGCAACATCAGGAAGATACCCTATATGGCCTAAAAAGGAGGGGCATGAATAATCCATTCCTTGTTTAGCATATCATCAGAAAATAACCATAAAAATGGGCAACCAGCAGCCCTCGGGGATGCTCTGTCTATGGAGTAGCCATTCTTTTATTTCTTTACTTTCTTAATATACTTGCTTTCACTTTAGTTTATGGACTGCCCTGAATTCTTTCCTGTGCAAGATCCATGAGCTTTCTTTTGGAGTCTGGATCTGGGCCCTGTCAGGCCTCTGAGCCCAAGCCAAGCCATCGCATCCCGTGACTTGCACGTATATACGCCCAGATGGCCTGAAGTAACTGAAGAATCACAAAAGAAGTGAATATGCCCTGCCTCACCTTAACTGATGACATTCCACCACAAAAGAAGTGTAAATGGCCGGTCCTTGCCTTAACTGATGACATTACCTTGTGAAAGTCCTTTTCCTGGCTCATCCTGGCTCAAAAAGCACCCCCACTGAGCACCTTGCGACCCCGCACTCCTGCCCGCCAGAGAACAAACCCCCTTTGACTGTAATTTTCCTTTACCTACCCAAATCCTATAAAACGGCCCCACCCTTATCTCCTTTCACTGACTCTCTTTTCAGACTCAGCCCGCCTGCACCCAGGTTAAATAAACAGCCATGTTGCTCACGCAAAGCCTGTTTGGTGGTCTCTTCACACGGACGCGCATGAAATTTGGTGCCATGACTCGGATCAGGGGACCTCCCTTGGGAGATCAATCCCCTGTCCTCCTGTTCTTTGGTCTATGAAAAAGATCCACCTACGACCTCAGGTCCTCAGACCCACCAGCCCAAGGAACATCTCACCAATTTTAAATCGGGTAAGTGGCCTCTTCTTACTCTCTTCTCCAACCTCTCTCACTATTCCTCAACCACTTTCTCCTTTCCACTCTTTAATCTCTCCCTTCTCTTAATTTCAATTCCTTTCATTTTCTGGTAGAGACAAAGGAGACACATTTTATCTGTGGACCCAAAACTCCGGCGCCAGTCACGGACTGGGAAGGCAGCCTTCCTTTGGTGTTTAATCATTGCAGGGATACCTCTCTGATTATTCACCCACATTTCAGAGGTGTCAGACCCCGCAGGGATGCCTGCCTTGGTCCTTCACCCTTAGAGGCAAGTCCCGCTTTTCTTGGGGATGGGCAAGTACCCCAACCTCGTATCTCTGCGCCCCGATCCCTTATTTCCGTGCCCCGACCTCTTATATCTCTGCGCCCTGATCCCTTATTTCCGTGCCCCAACCTCTTACATCTCTGCGCCCCAATACCTTACTTCCATGCCCCAACTTCGTATCTCTGTGCCCCGACCCCTTTCCTGCTTTTCTGGAGGGTAAGAACCCCTGAACCACTTCCCTCCATGTCTCTACTCTCCCTTTTCTTTAAACTTGCCTCCTTCACTATAGGCAATCTTCCACCCTCCATTCCTCCTTCTTCTCCCTTAGCCAGTGTTCTCAAAAACTTAAAACCTCTTCAACTCACACCTGACCTAAAACCTAAATGTCTTATTTTCTTCTGCAATGCTGCTTGACCCCAATACAAACTCGACAGTAGTTCCAAATAGCCAGAAAACCACACTTTCAATGTTTCCATCCTGCAAGATCTAAATAATTCTTGTCGTAAAATAGGCAAACGGTCTGAGGTGCCTGACGTCCAGGCATTCTTTTACACATCAGTCCCTTCCTAGTCTCTGTGCCCAATGCAACTCATACCAAATCTTCCTCCTTTCCCTCCTGCCTGTCCCCTCAGTCCCAACCCCAAGCGTCACTGAGTCTTTCTAATCTTCCTTTTCTACAGACCCATCTGACATCTCCCCTCCTAGCCTGGCCAAGCTAGGTCCCAATTCTTCCTCAGCCTCCCCTCCTCCACCCTATAACCCTTTTATCACCTCCCCTCCTCACACCTGGTCCCGCTTACAGTTTCGTTCCGCCACTAGCCCTCCCCCACCTGCCCAGCAATTTCCTCTTAAAAAGGTGGCTGGAGCTAAAGGCATAGTCAAGGTTGATGCTCCTTTTTCTTTATCCTACCTCTCCCAAATCAGTAGCGTTTAGGCTCTTTTTCATCAAATATGAAAAACCCAGCCCAGTTCATGGCCCCTTTGGCAGCAACCCTGAGACGCTTTACAGCCCTAGACCCTATAAGGTCAAAAGGTCGTCTTATTCTTAGTATACATTTTATTACCCAATCCGCTCCCAACTTTAAATAAAACTCCAAAAATTAAATTCCAGCCCTCAAACTCCACAACAGGACCTAATTAACCTTGCCTTCCAGGTGTACAATAATAGAAAAAAGGCAATTCCTTGTCTCCACTGGGAGACAAACCCCAGCCATATCTCCAGCACACAAGAACTTCCAAATGCCTGAACCGCAGCAGCCAGGCGTTCCTCCAGAGCCGCCTCCCCCAGGAGCTTGCTACAAGTGCCAGAAATCTGGCCACCAGGCCAAGGAATGCCCGCAGCCCGGGATTCCTCCTAAGCCATGTCCCATCTGTGTGGGACCCCACTGAAAATCGGACTGTTCAACTTACCTGGCAGCCACTCCCAGAGCCCCTGGGACTCTGGCCCAAGGCTCTCTGACTGACTCCTTCCCAGATCTTCTCGGCTTAGCAGCTGAAGACTGACACTGCCCAATTGCCTCGGAAGCCTACAGGACCATCACAGACAGTCTGGGTAATTCTCACAGTGGAGGGTAAGTCCGTCCCCTTCTTAATCAATACGGAGGCTACCGACTCCACATTACCTTCTTTTCAAGGGCCTGTTTCCCTTGCCTCCATAACTGTTGTGGGTATTGACGGCCAGGCTTCTAAACCTCTTAAAACTCCCCAACTCTGGTGCCAACTTAGACAATACTCTTTTAAGCACTCCTTTTTAGTTATCCCCACCTGCCCAGTTCCCTTATTAGGCTGAGACACTTTAACTAAATTATCTGCTTCCCTGACTATTCCTGGGCTACAGCCACACCTCACTGCCACCTTTTCCCCCAGTTCAAAGCCTCCTTCACATCCTCCCTCTCGTATCCCCCCCACCTTAACCCACAAGCATAGGATACCTCTACTCCCTCCTTGGCGACCGATCATGCACCCCTTACCATCTCATTAAAACCTAATCACTCTTACCCCACTCAACGCCAATATCCCATCCCGCAGCATGCTTTAAAAACATTAAAGCCTGTTATCACTCGCCTGCTACAGCATGGCCTTTTAAAGCCTATAAACTCTCCTTACAATTCCCATATTTTACCTGTCCTAAAACCAGACAAGCCTTACAAGTTAGTTCAGGATCTGCGCCTTATCAACCAAACTGTTTCACCTATCCACCCCGTGGTGCCAAACCCATATACTCTCCTATCCTCAATGCCTTCCTCTACAACCTATTATTCTGTTCTAGATCTCAAACATGCTTTCTTTACTATTCCTTTGCACCTTTCCTCCCAGCCTCTCTTCGCTTTCACTTGGACTGACCCTGACACCCATCAAGCTCAGCAAATTACCTAGGCTGTACTGCTGCAAAGCTTCACAGACAGCCCCCATTACTTCAGTCAAGCCCAAATTTCTTCCTCATCTGTTACCTATCTCGGCATAATTCTCATAAAAACACACGTGCTCTCCCTGCCAATCGTGTCCAACTGATCTCTCAAACCCCAGCACCTTCTACAAAACAACAACTCCTTTCCTTCCTAGGCATGGTTAGCGTGGTCAGAATTCTTACACAAGAGCCAGGACCGCACCCTGTAGCCTTTCTGTCCAAACAACTTGACCTTACTGTTTTAGCCTAGCCCTCATGTCTGCGTGCAGCAGCTGCCGCTGCTTTAATACTTTTAGAGGCCCTCAAAATCACAAACGATGCTCAACTCACTCTCTACAGTTCTCATAACTTCCAAAATCTATTTTCTTCCTCATACCTGACGCATATACTTTCTGCTTCCCGGCTCCTTCAGCTGTACTCACTCTTTGTTGAGTCTCCCACAGTTACTGTTGTTCCTGGCCCAGACTTCAATCCGGCTTCTCACATTATTCTGGATACCACACCTGACCCTCATGACTGCATCTCTCTGATCCACCTGACGTTCACCCCATTTCCCCACATTTCCTTCTTCCCTGTTTCTCACCGTGATCACACTTGGTTTATTGATGGCAGTTCCACCAGGCTTAATCGCCACTCACCAGCAAAGGCAGGCTATGCTGTAGTATCTTCCACATCTATCATTGAGGCTACCGCTCTGCCCCCCTCCACTACCGCTCAGCAAGCCGAACTAGTTGCCTTAACTCAAGCCCTCACTCTTGCAAAAGGACTACGCATCGATATCTATACTGATTCTAAATATGCCTTTCATATTCTGCACCACCATGCAGTCATATGGGCTGAAAGAGGTTTTCTCACTACACAAGGGTCCTCCATCATTAATCCCTCTTTAATAAAAACTACTCAAGCCCACTTTACTTCCAAAGGAAGCTGGGGTCATTCACTGCAAGGGGCGTCAAAAGGCGTCAGATCCCATTGCTCTAGGCAACACTTATGCTGATAAGGTGGCTAGACAAGCAGCTAGCTCTCCAACTTCTGTCCCTCACGGCCAGTTTTTCTCCTTCACATCGGTCACTCCCACCTACTCCCCTGCTGAAACTTCCACCTATCAATCTCTTCCCACACAAGGCAAATGGTTCTTAGACCAAGGAAAATATCTCCTTCCAGCCTCACAGGCCCATTCTATTCTGTCGTCATTTCATAACCTCTTCCATGTAGGTTACAAGCCACTAGCCCGTCTCTTAGAACCTCTCATTTCCTTTCCATCGTGGAAATCTATCCTCAAGGAGATCACTTCTCAGTGTTCCATCTGCTATTCTACTACCCCTCATGGATTGTTCAGGCCTCCTCCCTTTCCTACACATCAAGCTCGGGGATTTGCCCCTGCCCAGGACTGGCAAATTGACTTTACTCACATGCCTCGAGTTAGAAAACTAAAATATCTCTTAGTCTGGGTAGACACTTTCACTGGATGGGTAGAGGCCTTTCCTACAGGGTCTGAGAAGGCCACCACAGTCATTTCTTCCCTTCTGTCAGACATAATTCCTCAGTTTAGTCTTCCCACCTCTATACAGTCTGATAACAGACCAGCCTTTATTAGTCAAATCAGCCAAGCAGTTTTTCAGGCTCTTAGTATTCAGTGACAGACTAATGGTCTACTAAAAACACACCTCACCCAGCTCAGCCACCAACTTAAAAAGGACTGGACCATACTTTTACCACTTTCACTTCTCTGAATTCAGGTCTGTCCTTGGAATGCTACAAGGTACAGCCCATTTAAGCTCCTGTATAGACGCTCCTTTTCATTAGGCCCCAGTCTCATTCCAGACACCAGACCAACTTAGACTGTGCCCCAAAAAACTTGTCATCCCTACTATCTTCTGTTTAGTCATACTCCTATTCACCGTTCTCAACTACTCATAAATGACTTGCTCTTGTTTACACTGCCAGTTTAGACTGTTTCTCCAAGCCATCACAGCTGATATCTCCTGGTGCTATCCCCAAACCGCCACTCTAAACTCTTGAAGTAAATAAATAATCTTTGCTGGCAGGACTATGCTGAATCTCCTTAGGCATCTCTAATCAGATGTCCTGGGTCCTCCCAATTCTTAGACCTTTTATACCTGTTTTTCTCCTTCTCTTATTCCATTTAGTTTTTCAATTCATACAAAACTGTATCCAGGCCATCACCAATAATTCTACACGACAAAGTTTCTTCTAACAACCACACAATATCACCCCTTACCACAAAATCTTCCTTCAGCTTAATCTCTCCCACTCTAGGTTCCCACACCGCCCCTAACCCCGCTCGAAGCAGCCCTGAGAAACATTGCCCATTCTCTCTCTCCATACCACCCCCCAAAATTTTTCGCCGCCCCCACACTTCAACACTATTTTGTTTTATTTTTCTTATTAATATAAGAAGGCAGGAATGTCAGGCCTCTGAGCCCAAGCCAAGCCATCACATCCCCTGTGACTTGCACCTATACACCCAGATGGCCTGAAGTAACTGAAGAATCACAAAAGAAGTGAATATGCCCTGCGCCGCCTTAACTGATGACATTCCACCACAAAAGAAGTGTAAATGGCCGGTCCTTGCCTTAACTGATGACATTACCTTGTGAAAGTCCTTTTCCTGGCTCATCCTGGCTCAAAAAGCACCCCCACTGAGCACCTTGCGACCCCCACTCCGGCCCACCAGAGAACAAACCCCCTTTGACTGTAATTTTCCTTTACGTACCCAAATCCTATAAAACGGCCCCACCCCTATCTCCCTTAGCTGACTCTCTTTTCGGACTCAGCCCGCCTGCACCCAGGTGAAATAAACAGCCATGTTGCTCACACAAAGACTGTTTGGTGGTCTCTTCACACGGACGCGCATGAAAGGCCCCTTTCCGGTAACAAAGGTGCTATCAAGAAACAGAGGGGTTGGTTGATGCTTCTTAACCTTGTTAATGTCAAATTTTCTGCATCTGAGTAGTGCTTTGAAAACCCCGGTAAGGTGTAAGACATGGGAACTTTTGTGCCTATTGGAAACCAGAATATGCCACACCAAAGTATATAGGATTATTGAGCCAAAGGCAATGAAGGAGGAGATGCAGGAAAGCACTCTGCCCTCCATGTGCCTAAAAGCAGGATATAAATATGCAAAGGCAAAGGGTTTCCATGCCCTCACCTACCAGAGAGAAGAAATGTTAACCCTTTAAGACAACGTTAGCCGGTGGAGATGGCAGCAGTGGAATCTACATTAACCAGCTTTCCTAACTTGCCGTTAAGTGCCCTTAGTTTACCTTTCCAAAAGTTGCTATTCTGCACATTCAAAGTTCCTTTCCTTTGTTTTGTCGCTTCTCTAAAATTTTACTGTACTTTGTTAAAGATGCTATATAAGCTGTAATTCAAATTCACCTCTATGAGAATTACTCATTCCCTGGTATCACCCATGTATATATAAAATATACATGTTAATAAATGTGGTTTTTTTAATTAATCTGTCTATTGTTACAGGGGTCCATTCCAACTACGAACCTATGAGAATTGGAGAAAAAATTATTGTTCTTCCCCTACATGCCCGTGAGAAAAATGGGCTTGGACGGAAAACAAAATGGCTTTCCCATAATTAATTAGTGGTGTTGCCAGCACTCTATCCCAGGTCCCTATCGCAGAGCTTACATGGTACCATGAAACTTTTAAATTTCTACTTTGCAAATTTTCCTCCCTTGCTCCATGCTCAGCTGTGGTTCCATTTGTGCTTCTGTTTCTTATGAGTTATATCTTTGTTTTACCCAAGGATCAAGATATTAACCTCCTGGAATGATTGTACCTAGCAACAAGCTGCAGTGGAGATGAGAAAAAACATCCTCATCCATTTCTTGCGGCTTAGCTCTCCTTCATATGGATGGATGGTGGTTGGTGCCTCTTGGAAAGGTTATTTCTAATGATTGCTCCAAATATATGAGCAATATATTTCACCCATTAAGCAAAATTCTTGAATTCTGGCATTTTAACAAAAATGAAAATCTGAAAGCAATATTCTAATGCTTTCTTCTTCTGGGACAGAAGTGTGAAAATGGCATATTTGAAACTTCTCTTCATCAATTTCTGCTAGTGTCCCTACTAGATGACACTGTCAGGCACTGCTCTAGGTGCTTTATGCACATTAAGCCTCACACTAGGCTATGGAATAAGCGCTCCTATCATCCCCATTTTACCAGTGCAGTCACTAAAGTTGAAGGAGGTTGTCATTCAAAGTCATGAACATAGCAAGTAGCAGAGCTGAGATTCAAATCCAGGAGTTTCTCACTCCAAAGCCTGTTCTCTATCCCATTGCAATTTACTGCTTTCTCTGCTCTATATAAAGAAACTACTTAAGATTCTAGAATAGTTGACAATATATTGGCTTTCAAAGTACAAGTTTTCAGTTACAGTAGAAGAAATGGATAACACAGACAACCTTACCATCTTAGCCTTCCACTTGGAAAAACAGGCAGCCACACCCGCCCCCCCGCCTCCCTCCCCCGCTTCTAAATTTATGCATTATATGACAGGCACCAAGGAATGCCAAAAATGATTAAGATATAATTTTTAAGAAATCACAGCTTGATGGCGGGGGGAAGAAAAGGCAGAAGATTCTACCTTTAGTCAGGAGTATGAAAGAGATACAATTACAAGGTGAGAGGAAATAAGAACTCTTTCTGGCCAGGTGCGGTGGCTCATGCCTGTAATCCCAGCACTTTGGGAGGCCAAAGCAGGTGGATCACGAGGTCAGGAGTTCGAACCAGCCTGGCTAACATGGTGAAATCCTGTCTCTACTAAAAACACAAAAAAATTAGCCCGGTGTGGTAGCATGCATCTGTAATCCCAGCTACTCGGGAGCCTGAGGCAGGAGAATTGCTTGAACTCGGGAGGTGGAGGTTGCAGTGAGCTGAGATTGTGTCATTGCACTCCAGCCTGGGCGACAAGAGCAAGACTCCATTTCAAAAAACAAAACAAAACAAAACAAAAAACAAAACTCTTTCTGAGGATGTCAGTAAAGGTTCCCCTGAAGAGGTATCTTCTTGAGCTGGCTTTGAAGCATGGCATCCTTTAGGAAAAGGGCACTTCACCCCTAAGTCCAGGCAAGGGTAAGGACGTGGTACAGTGAGTATGTGGCATCTAGGGCCCTGGGGCTGGAGGGGCAGAGATGAGGCTGTGGAGAGGTTGGTTTGGGTCATATTATATAACAGGGTCTTACCCTGTAGTTTTGTGACAGTTCCTCAGTGAGCTCTGCTGGACGATCTGTCATAAAATGGTGTCTCAATATTTGTGCCCAGAAAATATATTCACTAACACTAAGAGCTGTGTCTTAATGTGTTTTAAAAGCAGAGCCTTTATTAAACTACACCATACTATGTAAGCATTTTTGTATTAATGTTTGATTCAGCAGAAAGGCAGTGGGTGTGGTAGAAAAACAACCTTTGGAGCCATACACCACTGGGCTCAAATTCTCGTTACTTTCCACCCCTCTGATCTTGGGGAAATGCCCAAGCAATTAAAAGAGAAGCCAGTCCTTCGGGGCTCTACCTATGAGCACTGTCTGCATATCCAGCCTGCAGATGATGAAACCTACTTTGTAGGGAAGAAGTGAGAATTAACTGGTACAGAATCAGGCCTATAGAAATGATCAACAATGGCTAACGAGTCAGAAGCTCATCTCTTTGCTGCAGTTGAAAGGAAGCTCATCCTTTTTAATCAATACAGGCTGTGAAGGATTGCTTTTGATCTATAGAGTCACAATGAAGTTGGAATGGGGGCCATTTTGGCTATAGAGATCTTAGTTCTACAAAGGCAGCAAAGAAATGTGTGTGTGTGTGTATATGTGTGTGTGTGTGTGTGTATATATATATATATATACATTAAGAATATTGGCAGGATCTAGCACAATTAAAAATGCACACTCCCTGACATGTGAGAGACTGGAATGCATATCTTTCTCCTCCCAGGGTGCCTCCTTGACAGTGGAAGCCAGGAAGCCACGCATTTCCCAGATTCCCTTGCAGATAAGGTTTCAAGTGTGAATGAGATTCCATCAATCAGAAGTACCATATGAGATTTGGAAGGCAAAAAATGAAGCTGACATTTGCTCCTGCTGTATTTGTGGTCACTAGCTTTGTCAGTATCAAAGCTCACAGCATATAACATCCATTTTACTGGCACAGGATAATTCTGGAGCAGCAGTGGCTTCCTGATCATCACTGATTCCTGATCTTGGTGCTTCTTGATCATGGCTCTGTGGTGGTGGGATTCTGGGAGCTGACATCTGCAAGGCAACTTCCCAGTTAGGCAGCAGCTCCTTTGGTGGATCAGTCCAATAGTGTAACTTTGACAATCATTCCTGAAAGTTCAAACTTGAGTCTTTACCCCCTGGAAAACATTTGATTCTCTGTAACTAAATGTATGCTGATTAAATTCTCCAACCCATCTTCTGGGAATTTGGCCAACAGATATACCTATAATCCATATGTATGCAAAAATGCATGTATAAAATTCACTAAAGCATGGCTTTATATCAGGAAAGATTTGGAAATCACCTAAATGTTCATTAGTAAGGAATTGGTTAAATAATATTGTATCTACATACTTTAGCCCTATGCTGACAATTTTATTTTTTAAAAGAAAATATCTCTAGCTATACAGCTACAGAGAGATATTCCCAACACGATGTTAAGTACTGGTGCTAAATATTTTATTTTTTGCCTGGATAGCCACACCTACCACTCACAGCCCATATGCTTGGAAAATGATAACTCCACCCCTGGCTCTAAGGTGAGTCCTTCCTCGGCTCACATCTAATGAATTCATGTAACCCCATCCTTTTCTAAGGAGATTGGTTCCAATGGAGGCACATGACCCAATTCATGCCAATAAGATGTGAAAATTGTTGACTTGAGCCTCCAAGTGAAAAAACATTAAAATTAATGTTTTCTGGCTCTTCTGAGAGAACTTCAAGAAATAACTCTCTCTCTTTCTGCCTACATATGGACATGCAGGTATGTAGCCCTGGGGATGTTAACAAGTCATATGACAGCCAGGATGGGAAGCCAGCCTTAACAATAATAGCATGAAAGGCAAAGCAGACAGAGAGAAACCATATCTCTGATAACATAGTTAAGCCACTGAGTCAAATCCACCTTGAATCAAGCTCTTTCTCTGAACTTCTAATTATGTAGGTCAACAAATTCAGTTTATTATGCAGGGTAGTTTGGTTTTGGATTATGTGCAATGGAACTTATTCTATAAATTAAGTGCAAAAAAAATGCAAGGAGCCTAAACAGGTATGTAATGCATTATCCCACGTATGTTAAAAATGAAAAATTTTTCTTTTTTCTTTTTTTTTTGAGACAGAGTCTCACTCTATTGGCAGGCTGGAGTACAGTGGTGCGATCTCAGCTCACTGCAACCTCTGCCTCCCGGATTCAAGTAATTCTCCTGTCTCAGCCTCTCGAGTAGCTGGGACTACAGGTGCATGCCACCACCCCGGCTAATTTTTGTATTTTCAGTAGAGACGGGGTTTCACCATGTTGGCCAGGATGGTCTCAATTTCTTGACCTCGTGATCCACCCGCCTCGGCCTCCCAAAGTGCTAGGATTACAGGGGTGAGCCACCGCACCTGCCCTAAAAATGAAAAAATTTTAAATACATATATACAAATGTACTTTATCATGTATAGAAAATTTTTAAGAAGATACACAAAACTGTTCATTGTAGTGATTTCTGAGGAGTTAGGGAGACTTTTCATTATTTATCTTTTTATATTTGAACTTGTTTAATCAATTACATATATGACTTTAATAATTCTACTTTTAAAATAGAATCATCTATTTTGCTCATAAAGAAATATCAACACACACACACACAAAAATAGCTTGGATCTATTTAATCATTGTCTGTGCAGGCAGAGGAAAGGAAAAGCTCCTCTTTAGGTGACATCATCTCTGCACTGGGAAGCAGGGGCCAGAGGCAAGTCAGGGTCTGTATCCCCCATAGCCAGGTGTCATTCAGGACATAGCAGCTGGCTTCAGGCTTCAGATGTAGAGTATACTCTCTCTATCATGTTTATCTGCATGATCTTATTTACATATGGAATTTTAAGAAGTCTATGTCATAGAAACAGAGAGCAGAAGAGTAGTTACCAGGAGCCAGAGGGGTGGAGAAATGGGGTTGGCCCAAGGGCTCGAACTTTCTGTTATAAGAGGAATACGTTCTGAAGAACTAATATACAGCATGGTGATTATAGCTAATAATAATGTATTACCTACTTGAAATTTGTTAGGAGAGTACATCTTAAGTATCATCACCACAAAAAAAGGTAACTATGTTAATCAGCTTGATTGATTGTGGTAATTTCACAACATGTAAGTATATCAAAACATCATGTTGTACACTTTAAATGTATGCAATTTTTATTTGTCAGTTATACCTCAATAAAGCTGGGGAAGATGTAGAGGATGCTGACTATCTATTGATAACATGCCGTGAGGTTTCATGGACCTCATGCAATTAAGCTGTCCCTGCAAGAAATCTGGGGGCAATCTAAGAAGACCTGCCCTTGAGTTTTCCTTTCCCTATGCAGTTGAAGAACCTTTGCCTTTGGTCTTAGAGGCTTCTGGAGAAAGGCCAGTTGAGAAGCCACCATCACTCATTTTGTTGTTGTTGTTGTTTGTTTTGTTTTGTTTTTGTTGCCCAAGCTGGAGTGCAATGGTGCCATCTTGGCTCACTGCAGTCTCCACCTCCCAGGTTCAAGCAATTCTCCTGCCTCAGCCACCAGAGTAGCTGGGACTACAGGCACCCGCCACCATGCCTCGCTAATTTTTGTATTTTTTAGTAGAGACAGGATTTCTCCATGTTGGCCAGGCCGGTCTTGAACTCCTGACCTCAGGTGATCCACCCCGATCGTCCTCACAAAGTGCTGGGATTACAGGCATGAGCCACCTTGCTCGGCTCCATCACTTGTTTTTTACAGCATCCTCTTCATCTGCAGCAACTTCAGAGTAGACAGGAAGAGGCACCTCTGGGCTCTTTATAAGGCTCTCCCTCCCTCTAAACGCCACGCAATCTTCACAGGAAAGCTTGCCTGGCTTTTTCCTCCCTCCCCGCCTGCATTCTGACTGCTCCCTTTACCTTGAATGTCATCACAGGTCGGCTTTCCTGGGAAGCAGGCTAAGGGACTATTTTTAAAATTATTACAATTTTTAAAAATCAGATGAGCCTATTTGTAAAACTAAAATGTAGAGAACAGACACACACACACGTCCCCATTCTGTCCCAGTTATAGAGTTCAAGGGACTAAGATGGTGGGACCCACAATTTCTAGTCACTGCACTTATTTTTAAAAGGAAGAAAAGAAAAAGAAGCCTAAATGATGCTATTATGGCGGCTAATTAAATTTCTTCTTGCTGTTACAATGCATTCATTTTTGAGGATCATTACTTTTCGTGTAGCTTCTCTCAAGAGCTTGGTTTAAGGTTTAAGTTAAGGAAACCGCAAGACAAGCCTTAAAGCCGCAGGCTGTGCATACATCCGCCCGTGGCAGTGTGCGCCCTGCGCAGGAGAACTCCTGCAAGAGAAAATGATGACCAAGCTGCCATTTCTTTTGAAGTACATGAAATGAAAAGGAAGGGGGGAACAGCTCTTCTTTTTATAGAAGGAGATCCACCGAGTTGATAGACAGGAGTGTGTTTGCATATAGCCTTTAGCTAATGTTCAAAATTCAGGGTGTTCATTTCCTATTTAATATTCATTTATTCCACCAAAAGACACGAGTTGCCCTAGATGTGCCAGGAGCTCTGACATATGTAAGGGAAAGAGGGTAGAGAGTAGGTGAGGCTCAGAGACAGCTTTGGGGAAAAGGTAGCACTGCGCTGGCCCCAGGGGTGTGTGCTGGAGACAGGTCAGACTGGAGCAAGGCAATCGTGCACACCTCTTCTCAATGCCACGTTCACTCCCATTTGGTTCATAATTTGAAATAAGCCATTGTGGGATTATTTCCACCACAGAAGTTGGCAAACACTACAATCACAGCTTCTTTTTCTCCCCTTCTGGAGAGCCAGTCTACCAGCTGCACACTGGCTGCACCTCATTTTCCAGATGAGAAACTGAGGCAGAGACAGGAAGGATGTCTTATTCTTTGTCTTCCTTAGTCTACCAGCGCAGTGTTTACCACACCACAGATGCCCCATAAATATGTGTGACTAACTAAAATGGGGGTATTCAAATTGCTTTCCTCCTTTTATCTAAGTTATTGATAAATACAACTAAAAGTGTAAAAGATAATGCAATTGTATTAAACCAAAATGTAGCGGCAGAAACAAATAACCTAAACCTAAGAAAACATATCAAGTGTTACAGAAAAAATAAGTTGCTAGCATTTTCTGCTAGAGGGAGCTTTGATAACTTTTTGTTGTTATTTTCCTAACCAAATTAGACCCTTTTAAGATCTCGAGGCCGGGTGCGGTGGCTCACACCTGTAATAGCAGCACTTTGGAAGGCCGAGGCGGGTGGATCACGAGGTCGGGAGATCCAGACCATCCTGGCTAACACGGTGAAACCCCGTCTCTACTAAAAACAGAAAAAATTAGCCGGGCGTGGTGGTGGGCGCCTGTAGTCCCTGCTACTCGGGAGGCTGAGGCAGGAGAATGGCGTGAACCCGGGAGGCGGAGCTTGCAGTGAGCCGAGATTGTGCCACTGCACTCCAGCCTGGGCGACAGAGCGAGACTCCGTCTCAAAAAAAAAAAAAAAAAAAAAAGAACTCGAATATCCCAGATATCCCAGAGCCTGCAAAGTCCGTTCGGACCGAGGCTCCGCATTTTGAACAGCAAAAGTCTTCATTCACTACATAGACTTTTCAGGCACTGAACAAAGCATTACCCCAAAGTGAAATGGGTGCTCTGTGTAGCCAAATATTTAGGTAAAGGCCAAGTAACATCTCAGCAGATGATACCTGCAAGTTAAAACAGAAAACAAACCTGCCAACATTTGGAAATGTGTGTGGGCAAAAGCAAATAATAACAAATGTATGTTTTTCATTGGAAAATGATAGAAGTTGGATGTGAGCTTTGAATAATAAGGGAAATCCATCCTTAAATAGTCATTTTTATTCTTATCTTTTTCAAAGTATCTAGAAAAAAATAAAGAATTAAAGAAAGCATATGTGATAAAGAGAGATAACACTCAATAACTACCACCAACACTGTATGCAAATGCCCAATTGGAATCAAGTTACAAACAAAACTCTGTTCTGAACCCTCAGTGTACCCCTTACATTCTTCTGTCCACCACCCCCACGCCTCGTTCCTCCCACCCTCCACTCTGGTAGTGATGTGAATGCTGAAAAGTCAAGACTGGGTTAAGAAGGGACCAAAAAGAATGTTTTAGATGAAATCAGATGTGACCCCTGAAATCAAGAGCATTTGCAGAGCATGGTTTTAATTATGGGGGCTCAGTCAGCTTCCCAGTACCTGCCCTTGGCTGCAGCTTGGTGCACCTCTAAAAATCTGCATGGCCTGCCAGTCTGCCAGCAGGAAGGGTTTATGGCCTCTCACTCCATTAAAAAATAAATAAATAAATCAGAAGCCCCTGAGGCAGTCACGTGTTTAGAAGCAATGAAATTGCAACCTGTTTACCTCCTCTTAGACATTTAAATTCCCAGCCAAGGTACACCCTTATAAGCTACCATTAAACGTTATTGTGAAGGAATTAGAATTTTTTGGCTCTGATGCAGTCTGACTTGCAGCATATGGCCCATCACCGAAACCCAGAGGCTCATCCTGTGTTTTTCAAGATCTCATAAAATTGTCCAGTTCTAATGGAAGGAAAGAGTTCTGCATCTTAAAAATCTATAGGTACCTCATTACAAGCTCAAGTTCTTTAAATGATACAGTCAGCGGAACTCTAAGGGCGAGGCCACTTCACAATGCAAAGGAAATGAAGTCCATAAATGTGGGAGTCTGGGTCTAATATCACTGGGGAAAAAAAAAAAAATTGTAAGTCACTGGAAGGAAAGACATAAGTAAGCTGAGGACTGAAAGCCAAAAAAATATATAAATAAATAAATTTAAAAAAAAATCCAGTCCATGGGGTGGGAAGGAGAATCTGAAAACATTTAGCTTTGAGAGAGAAGAGTGCTAACCATCAAAATTTTCCTCTTCAAATAGTTGAAGTGTTGGGGTAATGATTGATTTTAGGTGTCAACTGGTCTAGGTTATTGCTGTTTGCTCAAATGCCAGTCTAAATGCTGCTGCAAAGTATTTTCAAACAGTTATTAACATATAAATTAGTGGACTTTGAGTAAAGCAGATTACCCTTCATCATGAAGATGAGCCTCATCCAATCAGATGAAGGCCTTAAGAGAAATGACTGAGATTCTCCAAGGAAAAAGGAATTCTACCTTTAGATTGCCTCAGGCTCAAGACTGCAAAATCAGCTTTTTCCTGGATCTACAGCCTGTTGGCCTGCCCTGAAGATTTCAGACTTGCCAGCTCCCATAACTGCAGGGAGGAAATTCCTTAAATTAACTCTCTCTAAATGCACATCCTGTTGGTTTCTCTGCAGAACCTTGACTAATATAGTTGATATGTAAAGAAGAAAGAGAAAAGAGAACTAATGTTTGGTAGCATTTTATGATTTCCCATTCATCTCTTTTGTCCTGACAACAACCTTGTAAAGTAAGCAATTGTCCCATTTTCCAGATTAGAAAACTGAGGCTTTGATCTTGCTGAGGATCATGAAACAAGTAAGCAGCGAATCTTACTTTCACTCAGGTTTATCTGTCTCCTATGCCCATCCTTTCCAGGACATCACTCGGCCTCCCTACAAGGCTTGTTCTGAGTTATTCCAGAAGGCAGAGCAAGGCCTCATGCCTCCTATGTAGACAGGCTATCCTCAGAGAGAGAAGCCGGTCTGTAGAGAGAGGTCGAGATGGAAGAAAGAAAAGTCTTAACGACATTCAATGCCTTGACTTCGGTGCCTTCTGAAGCCAGCTCCATGCTGCCCCTTCACTGCAGGTTTATGTTTTGATTTGGTTTGGTTTTTATCAGCTTTATTGAGGTATAGTTGACATACCATAAACTGAACATATTCAAAGTAAACAATTTGATAAGCCTTGCATATATACATTTACGAGACCAATATCTGCAATCAAGATGATGAGCTTATCCACCTCTCTCAGAAGTCACTTTTGTGACATCTTTCTCCTGCCTGCTTCCAGCCCTTCTGCCAGCGACCACTGATCTGCTTCCAGCCCCTATAGATTAGTTTTCATTTTCTGGCATCTTATATAAATTGCATCATACAGTAGGTACTCTTTTTTAAAAATCGGTTTCTTTCATACAGCATAATTATTTGAAGATGCATGTAGTGTATGTATCAGTAAATGATTATTTTTTGTTTCTGAGTTTTATTTCATGGTATGGATATGTCACAGTCTGTGGATCTGTTCTTCTGCTAGTGAAAATTTGGGTTGTTTCCAGTTTTTGGCTATTGTAAATCAAACTGCTTATGACCATTTATGTACGGGCCTTTATATGGATGTCTGCATGGGTTGGCAGACTGTGGCTTCTTGGGTGCTGCCTACAGACACAGCCACACGCACTCATTTACGCCTTCATTTAAGATCTGTGGCTGCTTTTGTGCAACAATGGCAGAGTATGTAGCATTTTGGCTGGAAAGGCTGAAACATTTACTTTACAGTTTCCAAACCCCTGCTTTTCTATATATTCCTAAAAGTAGAGTGACTAGACATGAGATAGGTGTTTGTTTAGCTTTTCAGAGAATGGCTAAACTGTTTTCCAAAGTTGTTACAATTTTACATTGCCACCAGCTTCATATGAGAGTTCCAGTTGCTCCATATCCTCGCCCAAACTTAATATGCTCATTCTTTTTAATTACATCCATTCTAATAGGTGTGTAGTAGTATCTCATTGTGATTTTAATGTGCATTTCTGATAACTAATGATATTCAACCTCTTTTCCTGTGTTTATTTTCTGTCTCTATATCTTTTTGGGTGAAGTCTGTTTAAATATTTTTTCTATTTGAGAGAGGGAGTATTTATTTTATTATTATTGAGTTTTGAGCATTCTTTATATATTCTGAATGCAAGTGCTTTATTAGATATGTAATTTAGTAATATTTCCTCCCAGTTTGGGACTTGTCTTTTCATCTTCTTGTCAGGGTCTTTCACAGAGCAAAAGTTTTTAATATTAATGAAAGCCAATTTATAATTTTTATTTTGTGTATTATGCTTTAGATGTTATGTTTAAGAAGTCTTTACCTTACCCAAGATCATAACACTTTCCTTATGACTTTTATAGTTTGGGATTTTACCCAAAACTATTTTAAGAACTATTGAGAAATGATTAATTTTTAAAATGTGCACACGGATACCCAATTATTTCAGAATCATTTGTTAAAAAGACTATCCTTCCTCTACTAAGCTGTTTCTGCACTTTTATTGAAAATACATGCGTAGGTCAATTTCTGGATTTCCTCTTTTATATCATTAATCTATTTGTCTAAACTATCTTGATGCCAATACCACACTGTTGTTTACTAATGATTTATAATAAGTTTTGAAGCCAGGTAGTACAAGACTTCCAATTTTGTTCTTCTTTTTCAGAATTATTTTAGCTATTCTAGGTCTTCTGCATTTCTATTTGAATTTTAGAATCAACTTATCAATTTCCACCGAAAATAAAAAAACATGCTGGGGTTTTTATGGGAATTGTTGAATCTACAGATCAATATGGGAAAAATTTACATCTAAATAATACAAAATACTCAGATTCATGAACATGATATATCTTTCCATTTTTTATTTAGGTATTCTTTAATTTCTCTCCATGATGATTTGTAATTGTCAGTATATAGATCTTACAACCACAGGCTGATTGGGAACAACTGTTCCCTTGCACTATAATGCAGGGTCACAAAATAAACAACACAACTTGTCATTATTTAAAATTTTGATATTTTACTCATCATAAATTTTTTGCATTAATTTGAATATTTTAAAATAGTGCACTATAATATTATTTATCTTGATTACTGAGTTTTCAGTGCCTTAAATTTTGGGCCTGAAGTGAATGTTTCTTGTAACTCACTCTCATCCCAGGACTACCTAAGTATTTCATAATTTTTGCACTAATGTTTTTAAATTTGAATTTTCAATTATTCATTGCTAGCACATGGAAATACAATTGATTTTTAAAATATTGATCTTGTATACTGCAGCCTACTTATTAGTTCTGGTACATTTGCTATAGATTTCTTTGGATTTTCTACATATTTGATCACATCATCAATTTTCTGGAAGAGATTGAGTACAATTGGTATTATTTCACTCTTAAATATTTGGTAGACCGGGTGTGGTGGCTCGTGCCTGTAATCCCAGCACTTTGGGAGGCCGACACGGGCAGATCACCTCAGGTCATGAGTTCGAGACCACCCTGATGAACATGGAGAAACCCCATCTCTACTAAAAATACAAAATTAGCCGGGCGTGGTGATGCATGCCTGTAATCCCAGCTACTCGGATGGCTGAGGCAGGAGAATTGCTTGAACCTGGGAGGCGGAGGTTGCAGTGAGCCAAGATCGCGCCATTGCACTCCAGCCTGGGCAACAACAGCAAAACTACATCTCAAAAAAAAAAAAAATTCGGTAGAATGTGCCCTTGAGCCACATGGGCCTGGCATTTTCTTTGTGGGAAAGTTTTTAACTACAAATTCAATTTTATTAACAAATATCAAGGTATTTGGGTAACTGATACTTCCTTAGCCTGCTTTGGTAGTTTGTCTTTTAAGGAATGTGTCTATTTTATTTATGTTGTTGAATTAATTGGCATAAAGTTATAATATTCCTTTATTATCACTTTAATATGTGTAAAATCTGTTTTTATGTCACCTTTCTCAGTTCTAATATTGGCAATTTTTAGTTTGTTTTTATCTCTTTTTGTTCCTGAACAGTCACCTTTCTTCTAGAACAAGAAACCCCAGTTTTTGAATGCATTTTTCTAAATTGTTTTTCTGGTTTCTGTTTCATTCATTTTCACTCCAATCTTTAAATTATTTCCTTTTTTTCCCAACTTACACTGAGTTTCATTTGCTCTTTTTATTTTCTTAAGGTGAAAGAATATGAGACTTTCTTCTTTTCTACTATGCATAGGTGTTTAGTATTGTAAATTTCCATCTAAATACTGCTTAAGCTGCATCCCACAAATTTTAATATGGTGTGGTTTCATTTTCATTCAATTCAAAATAATATATAATTTCCCTTTTGATTTTTTTCTCTGACCCAGGAGTGTGTTATTTAATATATAATTATTTGGGAAATTTTTAGGTTTATATTTCTATTATTTATTTCTAATCTAATATCATGTCCAGGGATAATAGTTTGTATACATTTAATCCAATTTATTGATACCTTTTTATGGCCCAGAGTATAGTCTATTTTGGTAACTATTCCATGTACACTTGAAAACAGTGTTAGTTCTATCATTATTGGGTGGAATGTTCTATAAAGTCAGTTAGGTCCAATTGGCTGCTAGTGTTGTTTAAGACTTCTATATTTTTATTAATTTTCTGTCTAGTTGTTCTATCAATTACAGAGAGAAGATTGTTGAAAAATCTAATTTTGGATTCTTCCAATTCATCCTTCATTTCTAACAGTTTTTGCCTCGTGTATTCAAAGCTTTGTTGTTATGTGCACACACTCAAGATACTTCACTATGTTGGTAACTTTAAAAAGCCAGTTAGATAATCTTGTGCCCTCACCTTACACCTTCAAACATTGACAATCCTGAGATTTTATCCTATTCCTATAGAAGTAGGAATAAACAGTATTTCTCCCAAATCAAATTGCTTCAGAAAACAATAACCAAGCACATTTTTAAAGCAGCATGTTTTCTTCCCCTTAAGGTACTTGAAATCTCATTGGAGAACCAAAACCATGGCACTATAGCAAACAATGAAAGGCCGTTTGTTACTAATAGCTGGGTCTGGCCCTGAAAAATTCTGCAGAATTCCAAAGAGGCTGGAGTTCAATCAGCACTGGGGCCTGTTGTCATGCGTTCATTCTTTTGTTTTCACACCCTCCCTTCTGTCCTCTCTTCCTCTCTCTGTCTCCCTTCCTTCCTTCCTTTCCTTCATTTTGCATTTACTTTGTACCTAATCCAAGTCCATTTCTTTGTCAGGAAGAGGATACAGAGCTGATTCAAACAAAGTCCCTGACCTCAGAATATGTAAGAAGGGAAATTGGCTTGGAAGAAGTGAGACTTGAGTTGGCCTTGAAAGACAATAGCTGAAGGACATATTATGTATGATGAATAGAGCTGGTACGTTCATTATGAAATAAATTGTATAGTTGCCTGTAAAACTTGAAGTTTTAAAATCTTGTATTTTATTCTTGTTGATTAAAAACTAAAGGTGCTTTTTTGTTTGTTTTTTTTTCTGTCATCATCACATAAGGGGACACTAAATAGCAGGGAAATACATTCCTAATCACAGAACCTATGAATAACCATTTAGAGATATTTTGGTAGTTTTCTAATTGTATTTCTTGTGTATTATAATCATTAAGTTTTGTGTGTATCCAGAAAATTTTTTTTTCTCTTTCTTTCTCTTTCCTTCTTTCTTCTTTTTTTTTTTTTTTTTTTTTGACAGGGTCTTGCTCTGTTGCCCAGGCTGGAGTGTAACAGCACAGCTGTCTCACTTTTGGGCTTAAGGGATCCTCCTGCCTCAGCCTCTTGAGTGGCTGGGACTACAGGCATGTCCCATGACACCCAGCTAATTTTTAAATTTTGTGTAGAGACAGGGGCCTCACTATGTTGCCCAGGCTGGTCTCTAACTCCTGAGCTCAAGTGATGCTCCCGCCTTGGCCTCCCAAAGTGCTGAGATTACAGGCATGAGCTACCATACCTGGCCAGAATTTTCTATTTTCTATAATTTTTATCAGCATAATTGTTAAAATATTCTAACTGAATGTCTAAACAATAGTGTACTTTAAGTTCTCCCTGTTTTTTTATATCTGAATTGTTCACTTGCCAATATAAGCTGCCAATAGATTTTTATAAACTCTATATTTATGACTTTAGTGTTTTATAGGTGAAACAAACTTTTAAAGCTTATCAAGTACAACTGTCTCAATTTTCAGACAAGAAACTGAAGACACAGGTAATTGACTAAGTTCTCTCAAGCTACACTTCTCAAACTTTAATAAGTATGGAGATCATCTGAGGATTTTATTAGAATGCAGTAGGTCTGGGGTGAAGCCCAATATTCTGCATTTCTGATAAGCTTCCAGGTGGTGCAGATGATGCTCAAAATATGCTTTCTGCCCCAGGCAAAGGTCTGGAATCCAAATGTGTCTATTTGCAAAGCCCCAGCATACTGAATACTGCCTCTCTGTTCCAGGTTAATGCTACAGTGGCTAACTAGGACCAATGGGTAGAAGCTTTCAAATGGAATTGAAATTTAACTTGATTTCTTAGTTTAGGGTGGCTTTTCTACCAGCCACTGGAGATATGTAAGCTCTGGCTGAACATCCAATAGGTGGAGACGTTTAATGGAAATTCAGCAATGGAGGGGAGCAGCCAGCATCTGCTGACCTTGAAGGTCTTCCCAACTCCAAGGTTAGGGTTTTAGAAGTTATTATTGTCTATTCTGAATGTTGACCTTAACAGCTAGTTCCTCATCCGTTTAAGATTCAAGGAGCCCTTTTCTGACAGAATGTGATGGTTAATACTGTGGGTCAATTTGACTGGATTGAAGGATACAAAGTCTTAATCCTGGGTGTGTCTGTGTGGGTGTTGCCAAAAGGGATCAGTATTTGAGTCAATGGGCTGGGGAAGGCAGACCCACCCTTAATTTGGTGGGTACAATCTCATCAGCTTCCACCGAATATAAAGCAGGCAGAAAAACTGACATGAGAGAGACGAGACAGGCTTAGCCTCCAAGCCTGCATCTTTCTCTTGTGCTGGATGCTTCCTGCCCTTGAGCATGGGACTCCAAAGTCTTCAGTTTTGGGACTCAGACTGGCTTTCCTTGCTCCTCAGCCTGCAGACAGCCCATTGTGGGACCTTGTGATCATGTAAGTTAATCTTAATAAACTCCCCTTTATAGGTATATAGGTAGGTAGATGATAGATAGTTAGATAGATAGATAGATAGATAGATAGATAGATAGATAGATAGAGATAGAGATAGAGATATCCTATTAGTTCTGTCCCTCTAAGAGAACCCTGACTAATACACAGAAGTGGCATTGTCAGGCAGAAAAACCAGATGAAATTAGTCCTTTTTTTTTTTTTAACCAGAGCAGTGGGGGTTAGAGACCCAGGCAGGAGACGGCCAGAGTTGTCACATGAAAGAAAATCCTCTCTCTCTTTTGGAAAAATAAAACCTCACATGTGAGAAATTTTCAGTAATATAATTTGCATTTGAAGAAAATGTCAGAATTATTTAACACAAGATGGGAAGCAAAAGTGAAAATGTAAATGATTGGGGTGTCTTTACAAAAGGGAGATAGTGTCACTTAGTACAGACACATTTCTCTCTGCAAGGGTTTCAAATGATAATGTTCTCCTTGAAACATGTTAAAAGTCTGAGTCGCAAATTTCAAATTGTCACTGCATGATGAGCTCTAGCATTAAAGAGAAGGAAAGATCTGCTTGTTTTTCATGCATGCTACATTAAAACTCCTGAAAATTCCCATTTGAGTTGTTGATTTTACTTCAGTTTTCCAAAAACTGGAGACCCTGCCTGGTGATAAGTAGGTGCATGGACAAGAGACAATGCCTTAGAGATCACCTTGGGCAGCCCATGACTCTGATCTGCTTCAGTGTCCTGGGGTCCCGTTTCCAGGTACCTGTCAGACTTTTCTCCCCGGGTTGGACACTTGCAGCACAATCTGTCTAAAACCAAGCTCATTGTCCACCTTCTGCTGCCAAACCAGGTCCTCTTCCTGATTCTGAATACATTTGTGTCATCACCTTCTTCTCAAAGGCACAAATCAGACCCCAAACAGATTCTCCAACACCCAGTTCTCCACCCTCACGGCAAGTGCTGTTGATTCTCTTGTTCCAAATGATTTAAAAATTAAATCCTCAGCTAAGGCTCAGTTCAAATTCTTGCAAACTTGGCTTTTCTGATGCATCCTCTACACTGATGCCACAAATCTTCCTCTTAAGTGCCAGGTCACCCATTGATCAGGAGTCTTTGACGGACTACAGCCTTCCTCACCTAGAAATCATCATCTTTCATGAACTGCCCTCTCCTGTTCTGTTCAGCCTCATCCCCATTGAAGCTGCAGTCTAGCCACTCAGAAGAATGCTATTCCCAAAGACACACTTAGAAAGATCATTTTGTAGCCAAGCACGGTGGCTCACACCTGTAATTCCAGCACTTTGGGAGGCTGAGGTGGATGGATCACCTGAGGTCAGGAGTTCGAGAGCAACCTGGCCAATATGGTGAAACGCTGTCTCTACTAAAAATACAAAAATTAGCCAGGTGTGGTGGTGTGTGCCTGTAGTCCCAGCTACTCGGGAGGCTGAGACAGGAGAATTGCTTGAACCCAGGAGGCAGAGTGCAGTGAGCTGAGATAGCACCACTGCACTCCAGCCTGGGCAACAGAGCGAGATTCAGTCTCAAAAAACAAAACAAAATAAAACAAATAATCATTTTGCAAAGTGGTTACTGGGCTTTGGATTCAAGTCTCAGCTCCACTCTTTTCAAATTGTGTGGGAATTTGAACTCAACTCTGAGCCAGTCTCCTCATTTTTAAAGAGGATACAAATAGTGCCTACCTTCCATAGTCAGTGCGAGGTTTCAAGTAACAACCCAGAGCAGATATTCTAGTTTCTGCTCAGGATATAAAGAGTTGGGAAAAGCATTGCTCCTGACCTTTTAACAAAAAGAAGTCAAACGAATGGCAAGCTGGTGAACTTTCTCTAATAAGTCAAAGATCTGAGGTCACAGGCCACTGGACTAGCCCAGAATCCCAGGAGAGACAGTCACTTGCAAAGAGAGAAAGGACACAAGCAATTGCTCACTTGGAGCAGAGGCTGCAGGATACCAGGAAGAATTCAGCTAGAATATTTCATGAGTGGAGGCTGGTGAGGGCATAGAGCCCTTAAGGGGTACAGGTGTAAGAGAAATTTACACCCTTTTGTGGGTTTCTTCTCCATGGACCACACTTGACGAGAGCCCTATGAAAGCATTCTTCATGGTGCTGGCATGTGGTTGGTGGACAGCAGTCACTGAAAGATAAACGTTAAGTACCACCAGGACCCATCCTACAAATGAAGACTTCATTGATCCATGGCCTCATCTACCTCACACTTGCACAGGGCTTTATTCTTTACATTTAAATTACGTATTTGAAGGCAGGAATTGCTAGTTTGTTTTTTTTTTTTTTTTTTTTTTTTTTTGAGACGGAGTCTCGCTTTGTCGCCCAGGCTGGAGTGCAGTGGTACGATCTTGGCTCACTGCAACCTTCGCATCCCGGGTTCAAGCGATTCTCCTCCCTCAGCCTCCCCGGTAGCTGGAACTACAAGTGCGCAGCACTATGCCTGGCTAATTTTTGTATTTTTAGTAGAGATGGGGTTTCACCATATTGGCCAGGCTGGTCTCGAATTCCTGACCTCAGGTGATCCACCTGCTTTAGCCTCCCAAAGTGCCGGGATTACAGGTGTGAGCCACCGTGCCCGGCCACAGCATTTTTGATAGAGCGGGACAACGGGTGTCAGATAATTAGGCTCTGTTCTCAAGGGCACACAGTGAGCTTTTCTAAAGGCAGTCTGAAAATCATAGTCAAGTGCTCTAAGTCTGTGTCCTAGAGTTGGTGGGAAATGTCTAGTCAAACACGAGATGTGAAAGGTTTTACCAGACATGCGGTCATTTTGTATGATGTACGGCTATTCTGTCAGTTAGATTAAAGTAAGGATTGGTAAGCCCATTTTACAGATGATAAACATGTTCAGGGAGATTAAAGTTTGTTCAAGGTCAAAGGGAAACATCATTAAGGAGAGGATGAGGGAAAAAAGCTGGAGAGGGGAGAGAGGAGGAGGGGGACAACCATTCAGGAATCTGGAGCTCTTCTTGAAGATGGTATCCCATGCAAAATTTGAAACTGTAGATGTTTTAAGAACACATAAATATGATCTGATGTGGGTTTGGGTGTTAGCCTTTTTTGTTTTTTTTGAGGCGGAATCTCACTCTGTCACCCAGGCTGGAGTGTAGTGGCACGATCTCAGCTCACTGCAACCTCTGCCCCCCAGGTTCAAGCAATTCTCCTGTCTCAGCCTCCCGAGGAGCTGGGATTACAGGCACGCACCACCATACCCGGCTAATTTTTTGTATTTTTAGTAGACATGGGGTTTCACCATGTTGGCCAGGCTGTTCTTGAATTCCTGACCTCAAATGATCCTCCCACCTCGGCCTCCCAAAGTGCTGGGATTACATGCATAAGCCACCATGCCCGGCCTAAGGGTGTTAGCTTTTCAAAGGATGCATTTTCTTTATAATATATTAGTGGAAAAAAAAAAAAAACTGTTTCTCCTACTATCCTCTCACCACACAGAACACTTCTGTGACTCTAGATGTGTAGGGCTTTTTTCCACCAACAACTAACTCTGCAGATGATTCTGCAGCGG
Organism: Homo sapiens; assembly: GCF_000001405.40. Classification (NCBI taxonomy): domain Eukaryota; kingdom Metazoa; phylum Chordata; class Mammalia; order Primates; family Hominidae; genus Homo; species Homo sapiens. Next base: position 17,023,718 of record NC_000004.12, read on the forward strand.
ACAGCAACTGGCTGTCCTCTAATTCAATTCAACTATGACACCATCTACCTGAAGATAGCATTAGATCCCACAGGTCAAAGGCTCAGTCCCCAAGATCACCCCCATTTTTGATGCCAGTCACAAACACAAGATTGTCACTTGTACTTCTGACCAATCGGCTATAAATCCGGAGCTCCCACAACTTTCTCCTCAGGTTTGATTAATTTGCTAGAGTGGTTCACAGAACTCGGGGAACACTCAGACTCACTGATTTATTATAAAGGATATTACAAAGGATACAGATGAAGAGATGCATAGGGCACCATTATGGAGGAATGGGAGTGAAGTTTCTATGCCTTCTCTGGGCATGCCCCACCCTCTAGAAACCTCCATGTGTTCAGCTATCCAGAAGCTCTCTAAACCCAGCCCTTTTGAGGTTTTTATGAAAACTTCATTATAAATATGATTGATTAAATCATTGGCCATTGGTGATTAACTCAAACTTCAGCTGCTGTCTCATTCCTGGAAGTCTTGGGTGGAGCTGAAAGTTCCAACCTCTAATCCTGCCTTGGTCTTTCCTGTGACCTGCCCCAATCCTGAAGCTATCTAAGGGCCCCCAACCAGTGGTAATCTTGTTAACATACAGAATACATTCACTGTTTTCTTTTTTTTTTAAACATTTTAACTTTTATTTTAGACATGAGGGATACATATGCAGGTTTGTTACATGGGTATATTGCACCCAGGTAGCCAGCACAGTACCCAGTAGGTAGTTTTTAATCCACACCCTCTTGCCACCCTCTCCTCCAGCAGTCCACAGTATTGTCTCATGTTCATGTCCATGTAACACTCACTCTTATCCCTGCTGAGTTCCAATAATTTCAGAAGCTGTATGTCAGAAAATGGGGATGAAGACCAAATATGTATTTCACAACATCACAGTATACTTTTACATTTAGTCATCCAACATCCTCTCCCTTTTCTTGCTGATAGCCATCCCTGCTTTGGCTTTGAGGAAGCTGCCCTCTCCTCACCATAGCCTATAGATCCACGGCACCCTCACTGTGCCCCTGCACCTCAGAGGAGAAGTCTATACCAGGGCCTACTCCACTACCTGGTACACTGTTTGGCCACGTGTCCTGTGTAGGTCCAGCCTGGGCCAAAAGACTCAATTCTCAGGTTTTTATTAGACTCCCCCTTCTCAGGCCTAGACATTGAGATAATGGAGGAGAAACCCAACTCAGAAGATGCCCAGTCTCGAAATGGGTTCCAGCAATGTTTCATATCTTACTTAAAGTGAGATCTACCCCAGAGACTTGGTGGTTCAGTGGGCAATCAATCTCTCCCTTCCTCCAACCCCTGACCTCTTTTGCTTAAGCTATTTGAGTCAGGTCTTTAAAAACTGCATGGAAAGATATCTAAATAGCATACACTTTCACGGCTATTAAATAAGCCAAAGTGTAAAAATGATAATGACTGATCTGTTGGCAAGAGCATGGAAAAATAGACTCTTTCCTACACAACTTACAGAAATATAAATTGACTATATATATGGAATACATTAAATATATATAAATAAACTTAAAAATGTGCGTGTCCTAACACTCAAAAATCCCACTTTAAAATTTTATCTTAAATAATCAAGAATGTATGAGACAAATTTGTTAGCAAGAGTATCTACAATTTTCATTTGTAACATCCAAATGTTGGACATAATCTAAACCTACAATGGAAGATAAACCAGATAGTGATGCATTCATACAACACAAACTAAGCAGAATTTACAGTAAGATTGTGGTAGAATATTAGCATGTTAAAACATTCATAAAATATCACTAAGTAAAATCTAGACTATAAATTATAGATAGAGTATGATTTCATTCTCGTTTATGAAAATGGAGGGTTGTGTGCATGTAGAGAGAATGGGAAGCTATACGCTACTGTGTTACCAGTGGTGGAAATACCAGTACATTTTAACTTTTTCCTTTTTGATTACATTTACTTTTGAAAGCATGCTTAATTATCATGAGTTACAAAAGCAACATTTAAACAATGTCTTTTAAAAAATTACTTAAATGTTGCATAACAGAAAAATTAGAAAAACAGAGGGAAACACCGCACCCATAATCCCAGCACCATAATATAGTCATTCTCATATAACTGGATATTTTTCTCTGTAGTCTTTCTTTAGCTGCTGTTTTCTATTATGTTATAGCTATTAGAGTACACCTGCAATTTTGCATCCTGCCTTTGTCACTTAACATTTTGTTGATGTTTAGAGTTTTCCCAGATCATTATTAGATATTTCTATTCAACGTTTGTAATGGTAACATTCCATGGGTTGATCACTCTTCATTTTTTAACCATTCCCATATTGTTGGACATTTAGGCTGTATCCAATTATTCAAAACCAAACTGCATTGCTCTGTGTTTTGGATGATTTTATTAAGAGAAATCTCCAGAAGAGGATCATTTCATCTTCTAAGGAAGAACTCTTCCAAAAGCACTGCGTGAGTGACAGCTAATGGATGAAAGCTGTTGCCCATGCCCCCTGTCTACCTCTCACCAGAACTCCTAATTCCTGCAGAAACTGGAAGCAGCAACCTCTACGGAAGCCACTGTCAGGTGTAGTGGAATTGGAATCAGAGAGCTTCTGAAACCAAAAAGAGGGCTGGGACCAGTCTCAAGGTCTGCTGGGGAAAAGCTAAGAGGCAGGAGCAGAGCAAGATTGTTCCAGTTACTCCTAAGTGCAACTTAAGGCTTAGCGGCCATTATTTGAATCAATATCCGACCTGGAGCCCAGTGTGCCAAGAAGTTGAGCCATCTCCTTATGTCCAAGACTACAAAGTGGAGACTCTGTAATGGACAGGGAGGGCCCTTTTGCAGTGAGGGAGGGAGGGTAATGGAGGGAGGCTGGCCTTGGGTCAGGAGGCCTCAGTTCCACCTGCCAGATATGTGAAAAGCTTCCCGACAAAACACGGCTGATAATACATGGCCTGCCTGGAAGGCTGAGAGTCTTCAATGAGAAAATGGATGAGAGAGCCCTATAAATGTTAAGAGCACGGTGTCTTTGTGAGGGATTAACAAAGACCATGTTTGATAAGGGCAAGAAAATCACAGAGTGCTCTGCTCATTACGCTCCTGGCATCTGACAGCAAAGGGGGCTGTTTCTTCTTTCATTCCACACTGGCTGGGTGCCCGCTGGGTGCCAGGTTGTCTTTTAGGTACTTGGGACACAAAAGTGAACAAAACAGATAAGGCCGTTCATGGAACTTGACAGTCTACTGGGTAGGGACAAAGAAAATAAGTAAACAAATAAGTAAACAAGATAATTTCAGAGAATGGTATTAAGAAAAAGATAAAATGGGGCGATATGACAGAGAGTACAGGAATGAGGGATGTTGTTTCGTGCTAGCATGTAAGCAGAGAGTTGGGAAAAGGTGATAGTTGTGCTGAGGCCTGGGAGTTGTAAAGGTACAAGCCACCTGAAGACCTCAGGGAAGATGTTCCAGGCAGAAAGAACCAAAAGGGCAAGAGCTTGGAGCAGGAACACACTCTCAAGGTTTAAAGATCAGAGAGATGATGGAGGCAGAGGGGCTAGAACTTCCTCACTGCTCTAGGTAGATGTGTGGGTTCCCCACACAGCACAGGTAGGTGGGTATTCAACCTGCCTTCCCCAGGAATTCCCATGCCCTACTTGTTTAACAGCAAACTCTTTCATACACGTCCTGAGCACTGTGGTTTGCTCCTCCTCTCCCTGTGAAGTCTTCCCCAGCCACCCTAGGCTGGGTTCGCCTCATAATCTTATGGCCTCACGCTGTGCTTTTTCTCCACTAAGACTACGTCCAACGCACAGTGACATATATCTGCTCTCTTTCTGGTCTTCAGCGATTTTAATAGTAAATGGCTTACAGTAGTCACTCAACAAACACGTGGAGAGCCCAAAGGGAGTAGATCCCAAAATAGATTTTGGCAGAGTGTGCCAAGTGCTATAACGGAAGTATGAGCAATATGCTGATGAAACACAAGGTGGGTGGGAAAAGAGGAATGCATCATAGAATTTGAGTCATCATGTTGGAAGCATTGGAAATGGGAAAGAGGCATTCAAGGCAGAGCAGAAGCCTCCAGGAGTGAATGTGGGAAACCCAGTTTGAAAAATACTGGATAGTTATAAGTGCAGGTTGTAAGAAGCTGTGGTTGGTGCAGGTGGAGCACGGAGGAGGAAAATACATTGGAGATGGACTTCTTTATGGGGAAGTGGGAGCAGACAAGATTCCAGTCACTCACGTCTAAATGTTCTTTGTGATGCCAAAGGTTTTGGTCAGCAAGAAACAAAGAGCCTGGACTTAGAGGAGATGGATAGGGACTGAGCCTGGAGAGATCTGGAGTCAACCCCTCTAATCTGGGAAAGAACAAATACAAGAGCTATAGGACACAGGCTGAAGGACTCACTTCAAAAGCACCACTAAAACCCCAACTGTGCTGGGTTGAATATTGTTCCCCACCAAATCCATGTCCACCTGGAACTTCAGAACATGAACTTTGGAAGTAGGATCTTTATAAATGTAATTAGATCTGTTCAGATGGGTCATACTGAATTAGGATGTGCCCTTTCTAAGAAAAAGAAAAGATGCACAGAGACACACAGGGAAGAAGGCCATATGAGGATGAAGGCAGGGACTGGAGTGACACATCCACACACCAAGGAATGCAAAGGACAGCCAGCAACCAGCAGAAGCTACCAGACGCAAGGAAGGATTCTTCCCTCGAGTCTTCAGAGGGAGTGTGGCTCTGCTGACACCTCTATCTTAGGCTTCTGGCCTTCAGAACTATGAAAGAACATAGTTGTGTTGCTTGAGCCACTCAGCCCTAGGAAACTAGTACCCCAGCCCTGGGAGGCTTGGCTCTATGTGTGTCCCCACAGTTCACCAGTGTATCAGCAAAGGAAAGAAGCCTTTGCAGATCTCCCGGTCCTCAGTGCAGAAACTTGAGTGTGACAGGTGAACAACTTGACCAAACAAAGAGGGAGAATGTGAAGAGGAAAGAACCCAACTTGCGAATTGTAGGATACACCTCCAACTTCCGAATGAGTGCTCCAGCAACTCAGAAACAAAGGAAAGCATGTCACATGCTCACTTCTGTTGCTATGGCAAATCCATTCTCCCCTCCCTCATAACGCCTCCCCAGACCCTGCCACCCTTGACTAAAACTGTAAATATTTCCATAAATGTTTAGCACATAAAAATCAGGACTGCCCCTAGTCATCCTTATTTACCACTCCTATTTTAGAAACAAAATTAATTTGTACAATGTATCGAAGTGAATATGCCCTGAAGTCTAGAAAGTCAGTGAGCCAGAGAGCAAATGTTACCCAGCGAGCTCCATGGCTGGTTCTGTTGGCTGAGACAAAACTAGGGGGAAAAAGTTCATGGGCTCAGGAATTTGGAATTGCAGTTCTTGAACTTTAGTGTCAAGTAGACCTGTACCTGAAGGTTCTCACCTGCAGAATGAAGCGTCAAATTGCCTAAGCTAAGATTCTTTCCAGTTTGAAAATTCTCTGCCAGGAGGGCTGGGCTGGGAAAAAAAATAAAAATAAAAATAAAAAAAGCCATTTTTCAAGGTGTCGCTGGGCTAGTCAGTTGAAAATTCATGCTCCTGCAGTACAATTGCCACTCATTCAACATCGCACAGCTTGTCAGTAAATGTGGTAAAACTGCTACTTCCTCCTCCTGCCTCCTCTCTCATTCCTGGCTAAAATTCATTTCCCCGAGCCATGCGAACTCTGGACTTCTGGTCATGTATCCATGCTGCTTTAGTCAACCAGGAGGGTCTGGAAGAGGGGCTGTGGTCTGCCTCGGTGCTCCCGTCATGCAGAGCAGGAACTGAGGCGTAGGGAGATGATGTCATTGACCCAACGTCTTGAAGCTCTGGCAGAACCAGGATCTGAAACAGCAAAATAAATCACAACTGGAACCCAAGACTGTCTTAGCTGCACCTGATGCCACAGGGCCTCTCCTCTGTATTGCTCTGACTTCTCAATTCCAAAGCACCTTCCTCAGTCCATGTCAAAAATACGGATCACAAGAAGCTTGTCTTGTGTGTGCTCTTCTTTTCCTCCCTTCCCAGGGACTTGCTCCTAGATCTCTGCTCCTCTAGAACAGCTCTGCCCAGCCTGACATCTGCACTGCCCTAAACACCATGCTCATATTGAAAAGTCCCTACTATATTTACACCCTGTGTATTAGTCCATTTTCATGCTGCTATGAAGAAATACCCAAAAAGACTGGGTAATTTAAAATGAAAAGGAGGTTTAATGGACTCCCAGTTCCACATGGCTGGGGAGACCTCACAATCATGGCAGAAGGCAAGGAGGAGCAAAGGCATGTCCTACATGGAGCAGGCAACAGAACATGTGCAGGGGAACTCCCATTTGTAAAACCATCAGATCTTGTGAGATTGATTCACTACTAGGAGAACAGTATGAAGGGAACCACCCCCATGATTCAATTATCTCCACTTGGCCCTGCTCTTGACACGTGGGGATTATTACAATTCAAGGTGAGATTTGGCAGGGGACACAGCCAAACTATATCACCGTGCATGGCCACTCCTACTTGATCTGATCAATTTACCTATCCAAACACTTGAGAACCAGCTGTATTAAAGAGGCACGATTTGGCATTTTCCAAAGAAGAGCTAAAACAGTCTCTTGCTCCTACGGGCTGCTGGATAATCAGAGATTTCTGTCTCTAAGGAAGTGTAAACATCTTGGGGTACTTGTTAAAATAAACAGCTTTCTGAATCCCTTGGGGAGAGTGGATTCTGTAGGTCTGAGGTGGAAACTAGTTTTAATGCACTCCCAGGGGTTGTGGAGTGGGCCCCTCTGCTCTGGATCTACTTGGATCAACAGGCTCAAGTGGTCTCTTTGGACAACTGATTCACGCAAAGTCATGCCCAGGCTTTTTGATAACTTACTCTTGTCCAGGCAAGGAGTTTTCCTCCTCAGCAGTCTTTGAATTCCCTTCTCTTCCCTTCCACCTTGGCAAACATGAGCTTTATTTCATAAGAACAGTGACTCAACACTGACTCATGCTGACTTTGCAGCCCACCTTTCCTATCCTGAACTAATCAGGGCTTTTTTAAATTTCTTCAACCTCCTCTGAAATAGAAAAAGAAAGGAAGAACAGAGAATTTCTGACTGGTGCTCCTACTCTTTAATTTTACATACACACAACAAAATGCTTCTTCTCATCCTTTTTGCCCCTTCATGTACCTAAGTATAAAACTCAGCCCCATATCCAAGCTTAATACCAATACCATATCCAGTATTAATATACAAAGTATGCTTCTACAAACTAGTGGGGTCTTTGCCACAGAGGACCATATTGGTTCCCCCAAATAACCACAATATGATGGATAAATCATGATGGGAATAAAAGATCTCTGAGTTCTAGGGTTAAATGTTTTTGACTTCCCTTACTATCAAAGTTTTCCAGGGAAAAGAGCAGGATTGCTTCCCTGTTATTGTGGACTCCCTTCCCATGATCTTAAAAGAACAACTGGCCAGGCGCGGTGGCTCACGCCTGTAATCCCAGCACTGTGGGAGGCCGAGGCGGGCGGATCATGAGGTCAGGAGATCGAGACCATCCTGGCTAACACGGTGAAACTGTCTCTACTAAATATACAAAAATTAATTAGCTGGGTGTGTTGGCGGGCGCCTGTAGTCCCAGCCACTCGGGAGGCTGAGGCAGGAGAATGGCATGAGCCTGGGAGGCGGAGCTTGCAGTGAGTCGAGATGGCGCCACTGCACTACAGCCTGGGTGACAGAGTGAGACTCCATCAAAAAAAACAAAACAAAACAAAACAAAAAAAACTTCCACTCACTTCTCAACTTTCTGTCTCTCACTTGCATTCCTGCCCTTCATTTGTAATCCAGAGCTGCTGTTGCTTTGATTCCGGGCTTCTGGCTATCTTGGTGAACATTTCAGACTCCAGTGGAATAGACTAAAGGCTCAGTGGAATGCTACCTACAATGCTTCTTTCGCTCCAGCAAAAAACATTCAGAGAGGGGACGCCAGAGCCCAGCAGATTCACACAACAAGTGCTTCTGGAACACATTCTGCATTTCTCTCTCAGAAGAACCCACATTTCCACACTACCCAAGACCGCCTCACATTCAGAAAATTGTTATTTCTCTTTGGGGAAGCCACCTCCTCATCTATCTGGTTGGATATCTCTGCCTCAGCTCTAATACCAATCATTACCCGTGTCCTGAGCCCTTCCTTTCAAAGAAGATCCTGGCACCTCCCATTCTCCATGTCCCAAATGGAAACGATCAACTTCTCCCAGAAACCTGCTCCTCTTTCTAATCTACTTGCTTCCATCTAATGTCCAAAGTCCCCTTTTGAACCATGCTGCATTCATTCCCAAATACAAATGAACTAAGATAAGTTATTATGCACTTTTCTTTTAACCCGCACAAGGTACGAAGCAGGGCATACCAAGCACTCAATAAATACTGAATTAGAAGGAAAGCACTTAAGCAAAAAGTTGATGGAAAGTGTGAAAAAGGCAAGGGATTATACTCTTTTAACCTCCACTACAATGATTACTTTATAGAAAATGCTTTACTGATGGCAATACCCGATCTTTATACACAACTTTCTAACACACTTTCAAATACAGTCTCATTTAGTTCTCATCCCAGCAGTAGTTTAGGAAAAGTTCTGCAGTCGAAGGATCTGAATCCAAGCGTCAGTTTTAGCTCTTAACTTTAGTTTACCGAACAGGAACACACGGCATCAAGATGATGATGATTATAACTCACAGGGTATTTAAGATTCTAAGAATTATACCCTGAGTGTGAAAGTGCATTGTAAACCAATGACCTCCTCTAAAACTCTACCTTTGTGAAGTCACCTGTTAGAGGCAACATCTTTCTCTTTGTAGTCCTACTATGGGGTCCTACTATGCATAATCTTACTTAGGTAGCAATGAAATGACCCTACTAACCTTATTAATTTCTGTGGTCTCTGACTCTCACACAGTGAGGTTCTTTGATAATCATTTGTTGAATGAAAGCGTAAACTTTTAGCAAATGTGATCATTAGGACCATGTTTGCAATCTTATTTTCAGTTGAAATCCTTCATTTAAATTCAGGTCTCCATCCCTAATTGTGTTCTGAACTCTGATGGAAATGGAAGAGTGTGTTTAATTTTGTAAGAACACTAAAAAAAATTCCCATGTATCTGTTTAGACTTTTGCCCTTAAAAACAACAACAACAAAAATATATACAGTCATATGCTACTTAAAGACAAGGATAGGTTCTGAGAAATGGTATTGTTAGGCAGTTTTGTCATGCAAACATTATAGAGCATACTTACAAAAATGTAGATGGTATATGTATTTTTATGTATGTATATTTATTTCATATGGAAAACCAAATGTCCCAGCACCATTGTTAAATATGAATCATTTCCCCTACTTGATTTGCAATGCTAATATCAAGCGCCACGTATCAGGTTTCTCTATGTGCTCTAATATACTCTTATAGGACCACTATCATATATGCAGTCCATCATTGACCCAAATGTCATTTTGCAGTGCATGACTGTGTATAAATATCTGTCCATATATAAAATCATTATCCTGAGAAAAGCTTAGAGGGAGGAACTGAATCAGAGTATGAAAAAATGACCCCTAATTCCTGAACTAACAAAGAGTAAGTAATTAATCAATTTTTCAGAAGTTACTCATTGTTGGAAGTTAACCTGAAACTTGATCTCCAGTTATAACACTTGAGTGGTAAGATGATGTATGAAGTTTTACTTTTTATTTTTAGGGATCACTGCTGCTGTACTCCTCCTTCCAAGAAGTCCCTTAATTCAGGTCCAGCTTCTTTCACTCATTGAAATTTAGTAGTTGAGGTCTGCCTTCAACCCATAAAACCAACCTGTCACTGTGGAATAACTCACACAGGGCTGGGGAACAGGAAGACAACAATTGAGAAGCCAGATAAAAAATGCAACTGGGGTTCAACTTGAGCATCATTTGCAAAGTCCACGGCACACCTTCCTTATCCATGGCGTGTGTGCCCAACTGGAAATCAGGATGCCAGGACCATGCAGCTCCTTCTAGCTCCACAGAGCTGAAAGCTTCACTCACAGCTTACTCACTCCAGTTGCCTGCTGACCTTTTATGGGTTGCAACCTGCATGCCTGACGAACTGATTTTTTCCAGCTGTAGCTATATTTTCTACCTTCCTTGTTACTTAATTGATCCTAGCTGTGGTCCTGCAAAGAAGCCCTCCCAGACCTTGCAACATATGCTATATATCCTGTATGTACTCCCGTGTCCTGACAAGGAACATAAAAATCAGAGATGGCAGGAGACAAGGGGAGGGAAAAGTCAGCCAGAACACTATGAATGCAAATAACTTGGCTTGCCTCATTGAGTCTCTCAACCGCCTTCCGCTGCTTTCTGGACAAACTGACTTTCTACAAACAGCACATCTCTAGAGACTCAGATTTTCTTTTCAAATTTTAAAAACTGTAATCACCTACAGACCTTAAAAGGCAAAAGAAAAAAACAGAATAATAAATGCTTTCCTTCATTCATTCTTTGTTCTTTTGGCCATGTGGATTAAATTTCTGCTAAGTACTTGGCACAGTGCTAGCCTCCAGGGAAAAAGGTGAATTAGACAAAGTTTCTGCCCTGCTGTAGCTCACCGTCTTACAGGAGTGGAGACACAAAAATCAATAGCTCGATACTATGGGACTCGCCTTAACCTAGATCAGCAATTCTCAATATATGGTGAGGAAGCCCTGGGTATTTCTGAAACACTTCCAGGGGATCTGCGAGGCCCAACCTCTTTGCATAATAAAACTAACATGTTATTTGCCTTTTTCACCCTCTTTCTCCCATGAGTGTACAGTAGAGTTTTCCATAGGTGACATATAAAGTCACAACAGATAGAATGCAGAAGCAGATAGGGCAATGCAGCTGTATTCCATTCAGCCAGACATGAAAGAGATTTGCAACGTGGAAAATAATGCCATTCTCCTCACCATTGCTTTGTCTTGGAAAATATAGTCATTTTTTATAAAATGTATTATTTATGTCATTGTATAATTGGTTCACTGTTATTTTAAAATAAATTAATAAATAAATATATAAAGCTGTCTCAGAATTTATGTCTAACATAGTAAATACTGATAAATATAGCACATATGAACAGAAGCTCTTTAATAATACTTAATAATTTTGAAAGAGAAGACTGTCAAGAAGTTGCAAAATTAGTACTGAGAGATCCTATGTATCCTTTGCCCAGCTTCCCCCAATAACAGCATCTTATGTAACTATAGTGCATTGTCAAAACCAGAACGTTGACCTTGATTCAGTACCATTAACTAGAGATCTTACTTGTATTTCACCAGTTTTTACATGTATTCGTGTGTGTGTGTGTGTGTGTGTGTGTGAGAGAGAGAGAGAGAGAGAGAGTGGGGAGAGAGAGAGAGGAAGTTCTATGAAATTTTATCACACTTATAGATACATGTCACTATTAATTTGGATGAACATACAGAACTATTCCATCACCACTAAGCTATTTCCTCATCACCTTTTTTATGGTCAGATTCTCCTCCCAACCCTAATTCCTGTGTTCTCTGATCTTCTATCACTATGATGTTGTCACTTTTTAAGAATATTATACCAGTGGGAGCATACAGTATGAAACCCTCTGAAATGAGTGTTTTTTGCTTAACATAAAGCTTTTACAATCCATCCCAGCAGTTGTATCAGTAGTCCGTTCTTTTTTATTGCTAAGTAGTGTTCCATTGAATCAATAGATACCATTCAATGGAATGGTATCCATTGTGGATACAACAGTTTATTTATTCATTCACTCATTAAGAACATTTGCACAGTTTTCAGTGTTACAAATAAAATTACTGTGAACATTTGTGTACAGGTTTTGTACATATATGTGTTTTTATTTCTCTAGTCTAAATACTTAGGACTGTGCTTGCTGGGTCATATGGGGAATGTGTTTAACCATATAAGAAACTGCCTTATGTTTCCACCATGAGTATACTATTTTTTCTTCCCATTTGCAATGTACGAGAGACCCAGGTGCTTCACATCTTCACCAGTACTTTTTTTAAAATTTTTTTATTTTTTTATTTTTTATTTTTATTTTATTTTATTTTATCTTTTATTTTATTTTTTCTTTTTTGAGACGGAGTCTCGCTCTGTCGCCCAGGCCGGACTGCGGACTGCAGTGGCGCAATCTCGGCTCACTGCAAGCTCCGCTTCCCGGGTTCACGCCATTCTCCTGCCTCAGCCTCCCGAGTAGCTGGGACTACAGGCGCCCGCCACCGCGCCCGGCTAATTTTTTGTATTTTTAGTAGAGACGGGGTTTCACCTTGTTAGCCAGGATGGTCTCGATCTCCTGACCTCATGATCCACCCGCCTCGGCCTCCCAAAGTGCTGGGATTACAGGCGTGAGCCACCGCGCCCGGCCTATTTTTTTTTTTGAGACAGAGTCTTGCTCTGTCACCCAGGCTGGAGTGCAGTGGCGCAATCTCCGCTCACTGCAGGCTCCGCCCCCCGGGTTTACGCCATTCTCCTGCCTCAGCCTCCCGAATAGCTGGGACCACAGGCGCCTGCCACCTCGCCCGGCTAATTTTTTGTATTTTTAGTAGAAACGTGGTTTCACCGTGTTAGCCAGGATGGTCTCGATCTCCTGACCTCGTGATCCGCCCGCCTCGGACTCCCAAAGTGCTGGGATTACAGGCGTGAGCCACCGCACCCGGTCCTAATTTTTAAGACAGGGTTTCACTCTGTCACTAAGACTGGAGCGCACTAGTGTGACCATGGTTCACTACAGCCTCGATCTCCCAGGCTCAAGCGATCCTCCCCCCTCAGCCTCCTAAGTAGCTGAGACTACAGGCATGCACCACCACACTCGGCTAATTTTTAAAAATTTTGTAGAAATGAGGACCCACTATGTGCTCAGGCTGGTCTGGAACTCTTGGGCTCAAGTGATCCTCCCACCTCAGCCTCCCAGTGTGCTGTGCTGGCATTCCAGGTGTGAGCAAATGTGCCTGGCCACCAATACTTTTTATTGTCAGTATTTTTTATTTTGGCCAGGCTAATAGGCATGTAGTAGTAATTCATTTTAGCTTGTATTTGAATTTCTCTAAGAGTTAATGATGTTGAACATCTCTTTATGTACTTATCCTATGTTTTTGGTTAAATGTCCCTTCAAGTTTTGTCCATAGATTGGGTAGTCATTAGATTGTATGTTGTCTTACTGTTGAGTTCAAAGGGTTCTTTTATATTCTGCATACAAGTCTTCTGTAAATATATGATTTGCAACTATTTTCTTCTAGTCTCTGATTTTTTTAAATCCTCTTAACAAAAGTTTTAAATTTTGACAAAGTCTAACTTGTTGATATTTTTCTTTTACAGATTATGCTTTTTGGTGTCAAGTCTAAGAACTCTTTGCCTGGCCCTTGGTCAATAAAGATTTTCTCATAAATAATTTTTAAGCATGCGAAGTGTCCTGAGACCAAAAAGGTTGAGAACTGCAGGCCTAGGTGCATGTACAGTGTTTTCAGAGTATAGAAAAAGAATCTTTTATTGGCACTTGTTTGTAAAGAAGACAGAGAAGGTGGTAGGAAGAAGATACAGAACCAGACTCTACAGAGAAGGTGAATGCCCAGTCAGAATGTGGGGTCATGGGGGCAGGAGCTGGGTCTTAGGTCTGTATTTTTCCTTCTTCCTTTCTTGCTTTCTTTTTTTACATCCTTAGCACCTGGTATTGAGACTGGCACATAGAAGGATGGGACAACGGCATCTCATAGAATACAAGCAATGAAGCAAAGCTGAGCGGCTGTGGAAATTCACAGCATGTTTGGAAACAGCAAGCCTTCCAGTGTGGTTGAGACATAGGCACATGCAGAGACTGGGGAGTAGAGGTGAGAGATGAAGGAGGAGAGGTGGGGAAGGGGTAGGCTGTGAACAGGCCTCATGTGCCCTGCTGAAGGGTGTTTCTGTATCCTTCTTGTACTGCTTTTCCATTCTAGACTATAGCTTATTGCAATAAGTTAATTACAAAACTCTTTGTCAGATAACAAAAACTTTCCAACACTAGCTACAGAGGCAAGATCTCCTGCATTTTATTGAGGTGAAAAAGGAATAGGAAGTGGGGCAAGGAATAAGCTTATTTTTTTCCTTCCTATGTGCTAGGCATTATAATACGTACTTCATAGCTCCCCCTGAGGATCAGAGACTGGTTAGTTTTTCATCAAAACCCTGTTGCTTTTGGGAGCATACAGGTAGGCTCCATTGCCAGCCTCCCTTGCAAGTAGGTATGGTCAGTGGAATCCGAGCAAAAGTGAAATCAGGTCTTGCACACAGAAATTGTCAACACAATCTGCCATGCTCATTCTCTTTCCTCAGATTGTCACAAGATGGGTGCAAAGGTGAGCCTGAGCCTCCGCATTGGAGGAGAGTTGCCCATATCAGGAGCCCCTGTTTGGGAATTTATATGAGCAAGATATAAACCTCTACTAGGGAAAGCCATTCACGTTAGAAATTTTGTTATAGCAGCAAACATGACTTTAAGTAACACATGCCTCGAGGAGTGTGGTCACTTTTCTGTGCCTCTTCTGCTTCTCACACTCACTAGGGCTTTCTACTCAGCTCTTTGGCCTTAGAGGGGAACAAACATCTTTCAGGTTGGCTCTTAAGGCCCCATCCTCTGATTCTATCCAAAATGAGAGGACAAGAGCTTCCTGAACTGCCTGGCAGGTGCCTTCTGGGAGTCCAACTGACTTTAACATCTCAAATTTTCTTCCTATGCTTCCTAATCAGGGTCAATAGCTGGGAGTGGGAGGAATGCCTCAACTCCTTAGAAAAGCACGTAGGCCCTTTGTAATCTGATCCTTCCCCGCCGTTCCCCCTTCACTTCTTGCCTAACCTCCTTGCACAGCCTGGACTTCCTCCTCTGAATTCTCACCACACTCTGTTCATACCTCGACTCGGATCTTTTCCTGCACTGCGCAGCTCTTTTGTGTTCTGTGTCTTTGAGGAAGCTGAGCTCCTTGAGGAAGAAGACCTTATTCTACTAACACTGCAGAATCCATGACTACACCTGGAACATCTGTGACTGTCAGACATTTTGAAAGTCACTGAAATATAAGAAACCCATAGACAGAGCATTGCCCCTGCCTGTCCTTTATCTCTCTGATATCAGCTCTTAGAGCTCCTTGGCTCCCTCCTTCCCCTTCTGCCACACTCATTTCCTGTTCCCTCTGCCAGGAATGAGGGTCAGGGTTAGGGCTACAGCTATGGTCTTCCCCAGATAGCTCCCTGGCCTGCTCCTTCTGCTCCTGCAGGCTGCATTGACCTGCACTTTTTCCGGGGTCTTCATGTAATATACACATTATAATTGCCATGGCTTCCTTCCTTAAAGCGCCCTCCCTCTCCTCTTTACCTGCTTCATTTTCCTTCAATGCACTTCTTACTGTCTGACATAATTTATGTCAGTGGCTCACGCCTGTAATCTCAGCACTTTGAGAGGCCGAGGTGGGTGGATCAGCTGAGGTCAGGAGTTCGAGATCAGCCTGGCCAACATAGTGAAACCCTATCTCTACTAAAAATACAAAAATTAGCTGGGCATGGTGGTGTGCGCCTGTAATCCCAGGCACTAGGGAGGCTGAGGCAGGAGAATTGCTTGAACCCGGGAGGCGGAGGTTGCAGTGAGCCAAGATCACGCCACTGCACTCCAGCCTGGGCGACAAGAGTGAGACTCCATTTCAAAACATAAAAGTAAAAAATAAACTCTATAACACCTAACACTAGAGTATCTAGGGCACTGGGATGACATTGATTTTGTTTTTCACAAATCAAATTAAAAAGTGAAAACTGTGATGGAATATAACACTGTTCTCCCTAAGACCAAATCACACTTATTTTTTTTACTTAACTATTTAGCATTTACTGAGCATCCGTTATGTACCTGTTCTTGTGATACACTCTGAGAATAAGAATACGAAATATAATGCCTACTCTCAAGGAGTTTCTGTTCGGGGAGAGATAAAAGTAACAGTGACATGGTGTCCTGCATTCAGAGATGACGTGTAAATATTTTCAGTGCTGTTTGATGAGTGTTATAGTTACAAGGCCAGATCCATTTAAAACTTCTTTTGCATTAGTACCATATCTATTGTAATTTTTGTTTTAGTAAATATGGTCCTAGGGTGAAGATTGTGAAACCAAAATACACTGAGGTCATAAAGGAGAGAGCAGCCTCGCCTGTATGGATCAGAAGATAGTGAACAATCAAAAGAAGAGGTGATAGTCAGGATGGGTTTTGAAGGATGAGTTGAAGTTCACAGAAAGAGGAGAGGAGAGGATTTCAGTAAAAGTAACACCATGCTGTGAGACATAAAGCCAAGGAATAGCCATAAAAATGAAATGATAACCTGGATCTAAACAGCAATTCATGCCATTGTTACAGGGCACTGAATGGCTAATTAGTGACCAAATAAATGCTACGTGGAAGAACAGGAAGGGACGTGGAAAAGGGAAGGATTGCTTTAAGCTCAGAGAAAGCTTCACGGAGAAGGTCAGGTTTGAAGCAAAGACAGAAATAGTTACAAAGGCTGAAGATGTTTGAGGCTTTTCTTTTTAATCCATTGGGATAGAATTCTTTAAACTTGAGTATTAAGAAACTCGTCTTGGAGATAATTTCTTAGCCTGGGAAATGGGCTTCCTCTTCTTCTTGGAGAAATAGAAGACAGCTAAAGTATTTTTCTGTATATGCATTGCATCATCTGTATAAAAGCCCTTAGGACAAAGACTTGACAATTTCTTATGGCCTCAGTATCCCTGAGAAGGTGTTTCAGACTAATGCTTCCTGTTATGCTGAAAGAGGGTATAGAGAGCAGTCCCTTCGGTTGAATTCATCACAGACCACATCAGGCCAGGTATAGATCAAGGCTAACTGTCTCCTGCTCCTTCTCGTCATAACATGGAGAGAGGAAAAAGATTGAAATTCAAATAAAGCATGATTAGAAAAATCTGTATTTCATATAAGCACATAGGTAAATGCCACTTTTTATTTTTTGGTTCTTTTTGGCAGCAGAAACTAAAAGAACAAAGAATACTAATGTATATTTGAACAGAATTAATTTTAAAGTAGATTTGAAAAACCAAATTCTTACCACCCCTTTAGTTTTCTCTTAGCGGTGTTCGGGGCTCCCGGGGGGTAGGTACAGTAAGCACCCTAAAATACTTTAAAACTCAACAAACCAGTCACAGCATTAGGTTCCATGTCAAAAATATTTCATGGGCAGAACATTTTCACTGGAAAATACATAGGAGAATGGGTGAGGGAAAGAAATGATTTTAAAAATAAAAATATTTTATTGTATTTTTTCTAATTAAGATGTTTTAAAGAAAGACCAGAGCTGAGGTTTGTCATTTGGCAGTCAGCAGACGTTGGCACTTGCCTCATTTCAGGTTAAAGCCCAGACTGCCTCCTAACTCCTTGTTCTTTATGGTCAGAAAATGGGATTTTAGACAGTAAATTATGTGTCTGCTTATTTATTGAAGCTTTCTAATCGGCTTCTCTTTCTGTCTTTCCTGGTGTGCCCAAGAAGGAGCTATCTACTGAAAAGTTGGCCAACATGATTTTGTTTCAGTAGGGATATATTACGCCCCTAGGATATATGAGCCACCGTAGTGGACGCTGCAGTTGCACACACATAAGATATTCTCATTTTTGCCTAAAGGGTGCCATAATTGCAGGGTGAGATAGGAGTGTGAAATGTTGTGGAAATGAGATGAAGGGCACTGGGCCTAACCTGGGGGTACCAGGGAAGATGTCCTGGATGTGGGGCAGCCTGAACTGAGACAAGAGAGCCAGAAAAATCACCAGGGGCCTGACAGGGGCACTTCCAGAGAGAAGGAAGTTCCATTTTCAGAAAGCAAGGGACAACGTGGTGACTCTAGGCAGCCACAGATAGGTTCCAAAGCCCAGAGCAAAGAGCACCCTGGGGAGGCAGGAGACAGCATCATGGGGAACTGGAGGCCAGCGTACAGGCCTCAGCGCACGATGACCAGGAGGGTTCTGGCAAGAACAGGCTGAAGGGACCACTCACAGAGCAGAGTCCCAGGAACTAACAAGGGATGTCAAGGCATCCAAGCACCAGGTGAAGCTTGTACTACCTCTGGGCCTGGGGGAGCAAGGGAAGGATAGTGAGCCCTGGAGCTGTGGGGAAGTCACCCACTGGGAGATGTTGTTGAGAAAAGACACAGCCATGGCTGGGATCCTGGCGCTGCAGCAGGGATGGGAAGGGAAGCCATCTGTTATTCGTCCATTTTCACACTGCTATAAAGAACAACCTAAGACTGGGTCATTTATAAAGGAAGGAGATTTAACTGACACAGCTTCGCATGGCTGGGGAAGCCTTAGGAAACTTACAATCATGGTGGAAGGCGAAGGAGAAGCAAGCACCTTCTTCTCAGTGCATCGGGGGGAGGTGGGTTAGTGTCACACCCTTTTAAACCATCAGATCTCATGAGAACTCACTATCACAAGAACAGCATGGGAGAAACTACCCTTATGATCCAATCACCTTCCACCAGATCCCTCCCCTGACACATGGAGATTACAATTTGAAATGAGATTTGGGTGGGGACAGAGAGCCAAACTATATCACCCTACCTTCCACTCTCTCTCCTCCTGCCCTCAGTCTCTTCCCAGCACCTCTCGCCATCCAAAGCCAACCAGGAGCCTGGGGGCAAAAGAGCCTTTGGGAGGTGGGGGTCAGCCCCAAGCACCAGGCTTCCCCCTTACAGGTTCTGCATCCAAACTGCAGCCAGCATCAGTGTGGACCCCCCACAGGTACAAGGAACCTTAGTGAAACATTTTAAAAGGACACAAATACCAAGTGACACATGGTGTTTAGGTAACTATAACAAACATGAGTAAATTTCTCTATGTAACTTTACGTAACTTTTCTATATTTTGTTAAAAGCATACACCCAAAATATCATCCTAGTGTTTCAGGCCTAGATCTATTATTCCTATAAACCCCTGAATATTGGATCCTGTTACTGGTTTATGGGAATATAGCTGAGCTTTTCTTAGTGGTTTATATGTTTAGGTGAAGGAAGTTAAGGGGACAATGTTGGTGGAAGAATAGAAAATGAAGAAGGGAAGCATTTGCTGAACACTTACTAGGAGCCTATATATGGACTTAATCCTCCCAACCACCACCCAATTTTTTTTCACACAATGTACGTAGGGTTCCATCAGAAACTCATTAAGTAACTCATGGAGCCAGGATTCAAGCCTGCCTCGCTAACACCAAAGCCCATATTCTTTTCACAAAACCATGATGTCTTTGTGCTAACATTTCATGTTGGTCTTACAAGCCAAAGGCACCAAAATGGGCAAAAATATCTTTTCTTTTTAATTTTTTTTTTTTTTTTTTTTGAGACGGAGTCTTGCTCTATCACCCAGGCCGGAGTGCAGTGGCGCAATCTCAGCTCACTGCAAGCTCCACCTCCCGGGTTCACACCATTCTTCTGCCTCAGCCTCCTGAGTAGCTGGGACTACAGGCGCCCGCCACCACGCCCGGCTAATTTTTTTGTATTTTTAGTAGAGACGGCGTTTCACCGTGTTAGCCAGGATGGTCTTGATCTCCTGACCTTGTGATCTGCCCGCCTTGGCCTCCCAAAGTGCTGGGATTACAGGTGTGAGCCAAAGCGCCCAGCCTTCTTTTTAATTTTTTTATTTCCATAGGTTTTGGGGGAACAGATTGTATTTGGTTACGTGAGTAAGCTCTTTAGTGGTGATTTGTATACCCTGAGCAGTATACCCTGAACGCAATTTGTAGTCTTTTATCCTTCATCCCCTTCCCACCTTTTTCCTCTGAGTACCCAAATTTCACTGTGTCATTCTTATGTTTTTCTTTTGTTTTTTCAATTTTTTTTTTTTTTTGCCATTGGTCCCTAAACTTCATGTATTACAGGTAACATCTCATTCATCCTCAATCCCTGATGCTTTCTTTAGAAAACGAATGCTAGGTCATAAACATATTTTTAAACAGTCTTTCAATAACTGTTAAATGATTGCCACTTGGGGTGGGGGGACATCTTTCTACAGGGACCATCTGTGTGAAGAACTCCTATAACAAGACAACAAAAGCCTGCTTTTATAGGCTTCTATTTTATTATGAAGAGTTATTTCTTCTCAGGGATTATACCCATAAAACATGATCTAAAAAGAATACAAAAAGGAGGTATATGAGTTCTATTTTACCTGTTCTGGTTCAAGGGCTATATGAGTTTCCCACTTCTGGAAAAGATAACATTTTCTAGAAGTGTAAAACTCATATAGCCCTTGATTCATGCTTTTCTGTGGAATCCAATTTGTCCTCACATGTGTCACCTGAAAAATCATCCGCATAACTATTATGGGGGAGAGGAATAATCCTTGTGACTTGACAATTCACACATGCTGAGGGAACTCAGTTTCAAACAGCCAACTTCACGTTAAACAAGTCAGATGGGAAAGACCAGATGTTTCCACAGGCTTTCTCTATTTATTCATTCATTAAAGTTGGTACTTTAAAACCATCTGAACTTCCAGGTACTCCATGAAGCATGTTTTATTATGCAGACTCCTATTAAACTTCAAAACAGACCTAAGTCAAGGCCTTGGTCCAATGTTTAATACACATGATAGTACACTTAACAAATCTGAGCCCTTCATACCACTACTGTTCTTAAGCCATTTCTAACAGTCTTGAGTGTCTTCCACTTAACTGGACTCTTAATTTCAAGTCTCTGCATGCTTCATACATTTCTTCTCCCAGCTGGTACACTCGTTCATTCAGTCACCAAACACTCACTCGGTACCTCACAGTCTGTTCCTTCTCTACACTCATCTCATGCAATTCTCATATCAAACTCCAGCCATCCTAAACCACTGTGGTCCCCAAGAGGTCAGTGGCACTAAGTAAAAACTTTCAGTCTTTAAACCATGCATCAAAATACAGTTTTTGTAGCCTTTGGTTGGATGAATGGAAATAATCACTTTGATGAAGTTGACATGGAATTAATGGTGCACGCTGGCATGGCTAGGTCTAATGAGGGAACCATAAAATGCTGTTTAGTTAGTGCCCCATCAAGTGTATGAGCTCCTACAAAGTTCTAAGGTAACTTTCAGGGCCTTGTAAATGCTGGTCCCTCAGGTTGTGATGCCTTCACCTAAACTCTTGCTCCTGGGGAACTCAAAGTCAAGTTCAGCTAGGACCCAGCTACCTCCAGAAAGTATTTTTCTTTTTCTTTTCTTTTTTTTTTAATTTGGAAAAATTTGAACATATACAAAAGTAGAAAGAATAGTAATGAATCCCCATGTCTTACCCATCTACCAGATTCAACAATATCATCTCATGTTCAATGTTGTTTTCTCTATGGACGTGAGGATGAGAAGCAGATGGAGACTACAGCAAGCAAGGAGATCAGACCTTATGCAAAAGACAATGGAGAGACCTTGACAGGTTTTAAACAGGGAAATGGCATGGCCAAATCTGCTTTTTAGCACAAAACCTTCTGATCTTAGAGTGAAAGATAAGTTAAAAAGATGCAAGACTAGGCTGGGTGCAATGGTTCACATCCATAATCCTAGCATTTTGGGAGGCTGAAGTGGGAGGATTACTTGAGCCCAGGAGTTCAAGACCAGCCTTGGCAACATAATGAGACCTCATCTCTATAAATAATAAGAATAAAAAATTAGCCAGATGTGGTGGCACATGCCTGTGGTTCCAGTTACTTGAGAGGCTGAGGTGGGAGGATCACTTGAGCCTGGGTGGTCGAGGCTTCAGTAAGCCGTGATCACATCACTGCACTCTGCAACAAAGCAAGACCTCATTTCAACAAAAGAGGGTGGAAGCAAGACTAAACTCAAGGATACAAGGGAGGAAGGTATTACTGGAAAGTAGATGGAAACTTAAAATGTATAAATTGATGGGATAGGCTATGGTAGTGCTATGGAAGGCCTGCTTTAACACCCGCAGAATATGGGGAGGAAAAGTTCTGACCCTGAGGGTCTAAGAAGGCTTCTTGCAGAATAGTAAGGTTTGAATTCATTCTTGAAGCAAAGTTAAGACAAGCAGCTCTAACCATTTTCCAGTGAAAAGAGAGTTTACCCAGCAAAGAACGTTGTTTATGGTGCATTGATAATTAAACCTGACCCTCCATTCGCCATGCTCCACCGATCTTCACTTGGAAGAATCCAGCATATGTGTGTTGTTATTTTAATGAACAGCATTTCCACCTCACCCACCCAACCATACAAATCCCAGCAAGTCGATATGGTCCTTTAAGAGTCGTTATCGTGGGAGTTCACACTTCCAACATAAAACCTCAAATGAATGTTTCTTGCAACCACTTTGCTTTCTCATTGAGGCTGTTCAAATGTCAGTGGTTTTAGCACTGAGCTTAACCTTTACGCATTTTCACCAGAGTTTCAGAAACACAGCCTGTGCTGGATTTCCCGTCCGGTGGTGAGTGGGAATGTTTTAGACACATAGCTACAAGCCAAGAATTCTGGCAGTGCCATCAAACTGCCTTTGAGATATCATACAAGTTTGAATGCTTGCAATGATGCTCAATCACAACTAAATGCCAAGCGCATATAGTCATTCATTTCTTCACTCATTCATCAAAATACTTACCAAGGGCATACTATGGGGCAAGCACTCTCAGAGGCAATGGGGTAATAAGATTGAACAAAATGAAATGCCTGTCTTCATGAAGCTTATATTCTAGTGGAAAAGACAGACCACTAAAAAAAACAATGGATCAAGTGGTGATAAGAGCTATTTAGAACAATGAATCATGAGAAGAAGGGTGGAGAACACTGGAATGAATGGAAGCCATATTGCAGTGGATTCTAATGAATGGGGAGATCATATTTTATGTGAGTGATCAGAAAATAGTTATCTGCTTACTTCAGAAATACTGGAGGATAATTGACCTAAATCTTAACAATACACAGTTGCTATTCATTATTTGTGGATTCCATATTTGTGAATTTGTCTACTTGCTGAAATGTATTTGTAACCCCCTGATCAATACTCATGGCTCTTTCACAGTTATTTCAGGACATGTGCAGTGCAGTGAAAAATTTGAGTCACCTGGTGTGCACTTTGCCAGCTGAGGTCCAATGAGGCGATGCTCTGTCTTCTCGTTTCAACCCTCACATTGTAAACAAATGTCTTTTTCGCGGTCTATTTAGTAGCACGTTTTTTGAATCTTTGTGCTTTTTTGGTGATCTGCTATTTAAAATGGCCCCAAGCATGGTGCTGAATTGCTGCCTAGTGTTCCTAAGCTCCAAGGTCTGTAATGTACCTTACGGAGAAAATGCGTGTGTTAGATAAGCTTCCTTCACTTGCTGTTGGCTGAGTTCCACGTTAAAGAATCAACAACATGTATTAAAAAGGTATCTTTAAACAAAAGCACACATCAAACAGAGTTATGTCTTGATTGGTTGACCAAAACGTCATGACCAAAGCCTCACAGGAAACTAACCCTGTATTTTCTCTAGGAGCAATGGTTCAGTATTCCCAGTTAAGTGTTAGCAGTGACTTTATAGAACAAAACTATGGCAAATAATGAGAATCAACTGTATATCTCCCATTTCTTTTATTTCTTCTACTGCATACTAACAGGCACCCTAGTATTGTTAAAAAAATAAATAAATAAATAAATAAATAAAAACCAATGGGCTTTAGAGTTAAATAGATCTAGATGTGGTTTTGTTGTTGTTGTTGTTTTTTGACAGACTCTTGCTCTGTCACCCAGGCTGGAGTGCAGTGGCGCAATCTCAGCTCACTGCAATTTCTGCCTCCCAGGTTCAAGTGATTATCCTGCCTTAGCCTCCTGAGTAGCTGGGACTACAGGTGCGCCACCACACCCAGCTAATTTTTGTATTTTTAGTAGAGATGGGGTTTCACCATGTTGGCCAGGACGGTCTCAATCTCCTGACCTTGTGGTCTACCCGCCTTGGCTCCCCAAAGTGCTGGGATTACAGGCATGAGCCACCATGCCTGGTCTAGATCTAGATGTTAATCCCATGTCTGCTACTTATATCTGTGTCATTTGGGGTAAGATAGCTAAACTCACTGAATCTCAATTTTATCACCTGTAAGATAGATATATTAGCACTTACCTTGCAGGGTGGTTGTGAAGATTAAATGAAATAACCAATGCAGACCAATTATTTGGCACATCATAGATACTAATGAAATTGAAACCACTTTAAAAATATTATCTAAATTTTCTATGTTGGTTATATGCTATGCATGGAAATTTTATAGTGGAAAATAATCACTTGAATCTATTTTTTTTAACCAAACCAATTTTTCAATTGAAAAAATATTGTGTACATATGCTAAAAACCCAAATGATACCAAAAGCCATGCATGAACAGTGAGCCTCTATCTTAACCCCAGAATGCCAGCTTTTTTAGTATAACTTTATTTTAACTACACTCTAACTAAAATTTAGATTTTCCTTCAATTTATTAAGGTAGCTAACGAATGTAGTAGTTTTACAGTTGTTGCAGAGATCTTGAAATGGTCCTTACATTCCTTTCATTAAGACTTTGAAATTATAGGCATATTTTGGAGATATTATGGGTTCAGTTCCAGACCATGACAATAAAGTGAACAACACAACTGAGTCACACAGATTTTTCGTTTTCCCAGTGCAAATAAAAAGTTATTTTTATACTATACTATAGTCTATTAAGTGTGCATTGTGTCTAAACAATAATGTTGTACCTTAATTTAAAAATACTTTATTGGCTGGGCAAGGTAGCTTATGTCTGTAATCCTAGGATTTTGGGAGGCCAAGGTAGGAGGATCACTTGGGGCCAGTAGTTTGAGACCGGCCTGGGTAACATAGCAAGGACCCTTCTCTACAAAAAATAAAAAAATTAGCCACGCATGGTGGTGCGTGCCTGTAGTCCTAGTTGATTGGGAAGCTGAGGCAGGAGGCTCTTCTGAGCCCAGGAGTTTGAGGTGTCAATGAGCTGTGATCACACCACTGTACTCCAGCCTGGGTGATGAAGTGAGACCCCATCTCAAAAGAAAAAAACTACTTTATTTCCAAAAAAATGCTATTACCTGAACTTTTCAAAGAGTCATCTTTTTGCTGGTAGAGGGTTTTGCCTCAATGTTGATGGCTGCTGACTGTTCAGGGTGGGGTGGCTGCAGCAATTTCTTAAAATAAAACAACAATGAAGTTTACACCATCAATTGACTATTTCTTTTACAAAAGATGTCTCTGCAGCATGCAATGCTGTTTGACAGCATTTTACCCACAGTAGAACTTCTCTCAAAATTAGAGTTAATCCTCTCATACCCTGTTGCTGCTGTATCAACTAAATTTATGTAATATTCTAAATCCTTTGTTGTCATTTCAACAATATTCACAGCATTTTCACCAGGAGTAGACGCTATCTCAATAAACCACTTTCTTTGCACGTTTGTAAGAAGCAACTCCTCATCTGTGAAAATTTTATCATGAGATTACAGCAGTCACATCTTCCAACTCCACTTCTCATTCTAATTATCTAGCTGTTTCCACTACATCTGCAGTTACTTCCTCCACTGAAGTCTTGAATCCCTCAAAGTCATCCATAGGGCCTGGAACCAACTTCTTCCAAACTCCTGCTAATGTTGATATTTTGACTGCCTTCCATGAACTACAAATCTTCTTAATGGCATCTAGACTGGTGAATCCTTTGCAGATGGCTTTCAATTTACCCAGATGCATCACAAGAATTACTATTTATGGCAGCCTTATGAAATCCATTTCTTTTTTTGGGGGGGGGGGGGGAATGGAGCTTTGCTCTTGTTCCCCAGGCTGGAGTGTAATGGCACAATCTCAGCTCACTGCAACCTCCACCTCCGAGTTTCAAGCGATTCTCCTGCCTCAGCCTCCTGAGTAGCTGGGATTACAGGCATGCACCACCATGCCTGGCTAATTTTGTATTTTTAGTAGAGACAGGGTTTCCATGTTGGTCAGGTTGGTCTTGAACTCCCGACCTCAGGTGATCTGCCCACCTTGGCCTCCCAAAGTGCTGGGATTACAGGTGCGAGCCACTGCACCCAGCCAAAATGTATTTCTTAAATAATAAGACTTGAAAGTTGAAATTACTTCTTTATCCATGGCTATAGAATGGATGTTGTGTTAGCAGGCATGAAAACATTAATCTCCTTGCACATCTCTATCAGAGCTCTTGGGTGAGTAGGTATATTGTCAGTGAGCAGCAATATTTTGAAAGGAGCCTTTTTTTCCCTGAACAATAGATCTTAACTGTGGGCTTAAAATATTCAGTTAACTATGCTATAAGCAGATGCGCTGTCATCCAGGATTTGTTCTTCCACTTATAGAGCTCAGGGTAGATTTAGCATGATTTAAGGACCCTAGGATTTTAAGAGTGGTAGATGAGCCTTGGCTTCAACCTAAAGTCACCAGGTGCATTAGCCCCTGACAAGAGAGTCAACCTGTCCTTTGAAGCTCTGAAGCCAGGCATTGACTTCTCCTCTCTAGCTATGAAAGTCCTAGAGGCATCTTTGGCATCTTCTTCTAATACAAGGTTATTTTGTCTATGTGGCAAATCTGTTGTTTAGTGTAGACACCCTCATCAGTTGTCTTGGCTAGATCTTCTGGGTAACAGTGTAGCTTCTTCATCAGCATTTGCTGTGTGTCACCTTGTACTGCTTCACCTTCTTTCATAAACTAAAAGTAGATAGAAGTGGTTTCTTTTCTTAAACCTCATGAACCCACCTCTGCTAGCTTCAGACTTTTCTTCTGCAGCTTTCTCACTTCTCTCAGCCTTCATAGATCTAAAGAGAGTTAGGGTCTTGCTTTGGACTAGGGTTTGGCTTAAGGGAATGTTAACAGCCGGTTTGATCTTTCATCTGGATCATTCAAGCTTTCTCCATATCAGCAATAAGGCTGTTTTGCTTTTTTTTTTTAATCATTTGTGGGTTCACTGGAGTAGCACTTTTAATTTCCTTCATAAACTTTTCCTTTGCATTGACAACTTGGCCTAACAGTTTGGCACAAGAGGTTTTGTTTTCAGCCTGCCTGGACTTTCAACATGACCTTTCTCACTAAGCTTAATTATTTCTAGTTTTTTACTTAAGTGTGAGATGTGTGACTCTTCCTTTCACTTGAATACTTAGAGGCCATTGTACGGTTATTAATTGCCCTAATTTCAATATATAGATATATAGATTTATATATATATTTATATTTATATCTATGTTACATACATATGTTACATATATATATGTGTGTGTGTATATATATATATATATATATATCTCAGGGAATAGGGACCCATGAGGGGAGAGAGAAGAGGAGGGGGAGGGAGGTGGGGGAAGAGTCAGTGAGTAGAACAGTCAGAACACACACGACATTTATCAATTAAGTTCACCATCTTATATGAGTGAGATTTGTGGTGCCCCAAAACAATTATAATAATGACATCAAAGATCACTGATCACAAATGAAAAATTTTGAAATACTGTAATAATTATCAAAATGTGACACAAAGACATAAAATGAGCACATTATTTCTTTTTTTTTTTTTTTTTTTTTTTTTTTTTTTTTTTTTGACAGAGTCTCACTCTGTCGCATGGGCTGGAGTACAGTGGTGCGATCTCAGCTCACTGCAACTTCTGCCTCCCAGGCTCAAGCAATTCTCCTGCCTCAGCCTACTGAGTAGCTGGGATTACAGGTGCATGCCACCATGACCATCTAATTTTTGTATTTTAGTAGAGACGGCATTTCACCATGTTAGCCAGGCTGGTCTTGAACTCCTGACCTCAGGCAATCCACCCACCTCCACCGCCCAAAGTGCTGGGATTACAGGTGTTAGCCACCACACCTGGCAAAATGAGCACATTCTATTGGAAAAATGGCGCAATGGACTTGCTCGGCACAGGGTTACTACAAATCTTCAATTTGTAAAAAACGCAATAAAATAAAGCTTAGTAAAACAAAATATGCCTGTGTTAATTATTAAACCTACCATGAGATCCTGATATTTAATGACTTCAAGAGGCCCATATATGAGACACTACACATTTTAAGCATGTTTGAGAACTTACTTTAATTGAATTGCAATCCTGCATCTTTTATGGATTTAAACATTATCCTGGGAAGGGGATCCATGGGCTTTGTCAAATTGCCAAAGGCATCTTTGGCATAAAAATGGTTAAGAATCGTTTTTTCTTTTTAAGTGATGTAACTGGGTGAGTTATTAAGAAAAACTGGTGTCAGCATCTCCTTCCTCTTCTATAATATTATATCCAGGTATTCCCTGTATTTCCAAATGAGTCACTCTGGAGGAGCTGGAGCCCAAAGGAAGGGCTTGGAGAAGTAGAAACAGAAACAGCTCACTGGGAGAGGGAAGCACAGTATTAGGAAAAGATGGAGTTTGCGTGGTTGTTGGCAGTAAAAGATAGCTGCACTCCTTCTTTGCAGTCCCATAGGGAGGTATGACAACCTAATATTCATGGGTAAACAGCAAGCCAGTGGGCCCAGGGGCTGGCAGAGACATGAAGGCTCCCACCTTCAGCACTGACTCCCTTGCAAAGCACAGCACAGAGCAGTGAACCTTCTGAGTTAGGACAGTTCACATTGCAGCAAGGACCTTGGTGTTCTAAAGACCAGAGACCCTGGACACTCCCTAACCCCTGTTCACACACATGTACAAAGAAAAAACAATAGAAATGAAATTTTTTGCCTCCTGGTGAACCAGGACTTAAAGTCCAATTTTCTTAAATAAATATTGTGCCATTTCTTATTTCCAAGTGTTGTAGCTGAAGAAAATTCACGTCTGCTTTCCTAAGACCTGAAAGTTGAGTAAGAGTTAACTAAGGAAGGTTGGTGGGATCAGGGCTGTACTTGACAGGAAGCAGCATGTGCAAAGGCCCAGGGGTGAGAGACAGGATGACACTGGTGGAAGGGAAGGCCAGTGAGCCTCAGGGTAAGACAGGAGAGGGAGATGGAAGCCTGCACCACAGAATCTTCCTTGAGATGGGCCATGCTCAGGAATGTGGCCTTTCTCATCCCAACACTGGGATGGCTTCAAGTGTGTGTATAGGTTTTAAGGATGTGGTTAGGGTGGAGTGAGCAGAAAAGAAGGGTGTGAAATGATGAAATTTGCATTTTACATAAATCTCTTTGGCTAAAGTGTGGAGAAAACATTGGAGAAGGAAATAAATAGGTGAGCAGAGGCACTTTCAAAATCTACTGCAACTGTCCCATGAGAGGTAATGGTAGCTTGGACCAGTGAGGAGGCAGTGAAGGCAGAGAGGAGTGAGGGCATTCAAGAAAGAGGAAATCAACCCAAGCAGGTGTGGGGATGGAGCAGGCCTCTAGGGTGAGAGACGCTGGGGTACTTGGCACATATGCGTGGGGATATGGCACTCCTTAAGGTGGTATCATTCCCTGGCATAGAGCTCCCTGAGGAAGAAACAGGGAAGAAGGGAGAAATCAGGAGTCTGCTTATGACAATATTGTAAATGAGGTGCTGGTGAGATATAAATAGTTGGATGTGTGGGTGTAGAGAGTAGTATCCATTAGCTGTACAGGTTCAAGTAGAGATCTTCACATCTTCAAATTTTATGCTACTCTCCATTATCCTTGGCCTTTGCACATGGCAATGATAAAGATGATTACAATGATGATGATGATGACGATGATGATGATGACGAATAACGTTCATTGACAATTACCTTGTTCTAGGCACTTTGGTGCATTTTAAATTTAATTATTATGACTACACTGTATGTTTGATTACTATCCCATTTCATGCTTGAGAAACTGAGGCGTAAGATCACATAGCCAATCAGTAGCAGAGGCATGATCTAGACCCAGACAATTTGTTCCATAAAATGGAGATACCAATCATATTCACTTTATAGGATTGTTATGAAGATTAAATTTCAAATGATAATAACTGACATTTATGAAGCACCAGACATTCTTTTAAGGGCTTTTAAATTTAATCAGTAAAACAACATTATGAAGTAAATAGTACTTATTATTATCTCCATTTTTGACATGAGAAAACACAATTACAGGGAGCTTGAATAACTTGCTTGTGGTTAGTAAGTCAAAGCAAAGATTGAGACTCAAGTTTTCTAGCTCCAGAGTCTATGGTCTTGACCACTACAGATTCATAAAGTGATGAAGACAGTTCCTGCTACAGGGCAAGCATTCAATGGCACAGTCCAGGAAATTAAAACAAATTTGTCTCAGGACCTACCCAATGACACTGATCCTTTGCAAAAGATAAGGATCTAAGCCTACATTTGCATTAAGGGCTAAGAGCTGAAATGTAAGAACACCTGCCAAGGGAGCACAAAGTAGATGCTCAATAAGTATTTGTTAAACGATAAATAAATGGATAAGCCCTGGATGAGATTAGTAAATGGATCAGAATATAGGACCTGCTCTGCCACTGTCCCTTGGCTATGTCTCTTAGAAATATCACTTCTTTTCTTAGGTCACAGTTCACTCGTTTGTAAATATGTTGGTGGAACCATCTGACAGGGCAAATGATATACATGCTACATGTTATCATTCCTTACTCCTGCCCCCTTTGACAGACATTGGTAATCCATCACAGGCCTATTTCCCAGTAAGCCCAAGCCCACTTTCAACACCATGCTCTCAGAAATCGCCAGGGATGCCACTGAAGGTGCAATCTGTTACCTGATCCTGAATTCCATGGTCTCTGATGTCACTTCCAGCCCTGACATCTCATCACTCCCTGAAATAAAGTCCTGCTTTCTTGAGACCCTCTTCTGCATGAATCTGCTGCCTTTCATTGTCTTTGCTCAACCCCAAACCTAGATCCTTGAACAGACTGCATTCTGTTCAGGCCATGGGGGGAGAATATGAACCACATGCTGAAAGAACTCCAGTTATTGACATATCTGACTGGCAATGCTGAAGCTGCCCTGGTGACTGGAGGCCACGTGCTGCTGTCAGCAGCATCCTTCATGAGAGGCCTTCCCATGTTTCCTAGGCATTCCCAGTGTTCTCAGGAGTAATTGGCTTTTGTTTTCTTTTTGCAAGAATTCTGCTCTTCCAAAATTTGTTTCTTGTCTGCCTGTTCACAGCTGCAATCTACTAGGACCAAGCAAACCAAAATGAAAGCACTATTGCTGATGCCCTCAACCTCTCCCATCATGCCCAGAAAAATGGGCCTCTGTGATGCTCCCAGGATTGTCCAACCTCCTCTTGCTTCCCTGTGTCTTCTCTCTGAGGCTGTGCACTGGGACTTTAGGAAGCACTTTGACCAGACACACATTTTAAACAGCTTTAGAGCTGTTTTTCACCATCTGCTTTTAAGTACTGAAACCAACAAAAAATGTCTTTGAGCATCATTCTGTATTTCCCCCAGCCCTCTCTCAACACTGAATCAAGACCCATCACCAACTCTAATTTAAACTAGGGAATAACAACATTTATAGTATGATTCTATATGTGCAAACATGTAACACTGCAAATGAGCATAGCTGGATGGCCGCCAGCCACCAGTCCCCACCATACTGTGTGGGTTGGCCATGGGTGGAGCCTTGGTAGGATGAGGCTGGACTGGACGTCTGAGTTTCCACTTGGCTGCCTACTCACCGTATATGACCACAGGCAAGTCACTTTGCTACTGTGAGCCTCAGTTTCCTTCTCTGTGAAATGAAGCCATGGAGCCATTTCCTCCACAACCATGGGGGTGAGACCCACCTTGCTCTGGAGATGGGGAATGACTGTCAAAGAGAAAGAGGAAGAGAACAGAGTTCTGGGGGCCCCCTATCTCAGGTGTAGATGAGAAAAGAAGGCTGGAGAAAGGATGGCAGCAAGACACCAAGTTTTCAGTGTTTGACTTTTCCTATAGCTACGTTGGGTAGTGAGTGGGGATAGGGTGCTTCCTGTACCTGAGCAGCACACAAACGCTGAGAATAGGTCCTTCCAAATGGGCCCAAAAAAACAATTCGCAAACAGAGAATGGTGCAGTGGGCCCCTGCAGTTCCCTGCCTGATGCCCTCCCACAGGCCCTCTGACAACATGGCAGTTTGCCTCTCCAAAGCCAGCAGGAGAATCCCTTGCTGCAGTCTTATGTGATGCAATGCACAAGAGTGAAATCTCATCAGCTTTGCCATTGGCTAGAAGCAAGTCAGATTTCACTCCTACTCAAGGAGAGGAAATTATATAAGGGGGTGACTCATTGGGTGTCAGCTTAGAATCCTGCCTACCATAAGCACCCCATGCTGTCTTCTGCATATAAACACCCTGACTCCTCAGCAGCCAGCATCAACCCCAGTGCAGGGAGCCTAAGGGCACTGTCTGACCTCAGTAGTCCCGATCTTACCCTGCCTTTACATAGCACATTTGCCAGTGAAGACGATCTCAATCAATAAATCTGCAAATATTTATTGCCAATATATTATATACAGATGGTATGAAAACATTTTTATTATAACGATTATCATAATAGAAACATTTATGGTGAGTTTTACAATTTGTAAAGGACTTTGATCTGCCCTCTTAATTGATCCTTACAGAAACAGACAGGGGAAATATCCTTGTTCTTTTATTTCATAAGGAAGCTGGACCTCAGGAAGGTTAGATGACATCGTTAAGATTGCACAGCTAGTAAGTACAGGATCAATGTGAGAACCAAACATCCTAGGTTCTTGTTTCCAGGGATATATATCCAGTAGTGTAAGTATAATAAATGTGCACTTTTATGAAAAGATTAGCAACAGTAAGTGGGATATCACTTAGAACCATATGAGCAGTATGATGTTAAAGGATTTTGCAAAAAAAGTCTGGTCTGGCCCGGGGGGATCTTATAGAAAAGGTAGGACATGAATTGAATCCTACAAAACAAGATTCACCTACCTGGTAGGGTGGATGAAAAGATGGGCATTCAAGTGAGAGGAACAGAATGAATAAAATCAGAAAATCATGAGAGTTTCCAGGGGGCCAAAGGAAGACCACTCAGCTAGAAAGACTTCTGTAAGAGACAAGTGGAAAAGACTGGAAAGCCATCTGGAATCCCAGGAGTCTCTTTGCGGATCTAGAAACTGTGGTGCCAATGGGCCCCTAAGCCCTACCAGCTTTCCTTGAATCTCATGCATAAGCAGCAGCCTGCAGACCTGATCATGCCTGGCTACCTGGGGCAGGATGCTAGGGCAATGCTGATGCCAGTGCCTCCTCTGCCGCTGAAACTTAGACACTTGGCTCACCTGGAGAACCAGCAGTGTGAAAACAGCTGGGCAGATCTGGTTCGCTTTTCACTTTCCAGGTAGGTAGCTTTCATCTCTTCGAGCCTCAGTTTCTACCTCTACAAAATCGGGATTAAAAATACCTATCTTGCAGATTTTTTGAGCAGGAAAAAAATGAGATCATACTTGCCAAGTGTCTAGCTCAGCACATTCAATAAAGAGGAGCTATTATAATGAAGTTAATTAATCAAACTGTTGGTATGCTATGAATTTGTCTCCCAGGCTTGCACCCATGAGAACTCCCCGGCATATATTCCCCATACTCTACGTGCCTCTTCCTTTGTCATAAGCCCCAAGAATCTCTTCCTTGTTTGTCTTCAGTTAAAAGATAATTGATATTTTAAAAAGTTGCTTCTTTTACAATTGTGTCATTGGTGATAAAAGTGAAAATGCATTCACAAGTAACTTAGCATAGAAGTTCCTTTAGACCAGAGCAGTGGTTCTGAACCAGGAGACAAGCATTTGGTGATGCTTGGAGACACGTTTGGTTGCCACAACTGGAGAGAGCTACTGGCATCTAGTGAGTCGAGGCCAAGGATACTGCCAAACACTCTACAATGCACAAGATAACTCCCCTATCCTCTACAGCAAAGATTTATCCAGCCCCCAATGTCAATAGTGCCACGGTTGAGAAACCTTAGGCTAAAGACAAGAAGAACTGGGTTCTGGTCTTAGCGCTGCCTAGAATAAACTCTGTGATAGTTACCTACTTTATGTGGGCTTCAGTTTCCTTATGTGTAAAATGAAGACTGCAGCTTAGATCTGCCTGCCATAGAATGGAAAAAAAAAAAAAAAAAAAGCAAGTTGTAGCAAACTTTGCATAAAGCTAAATGTGTTCACTCTAAAATAATATCCTTTATACCGATGTTATAGTCTGCTTTGTTGAAGCACGATGTTAAATGCCTTTTCTTCTAAAAATGATTGTGATAGTTTACTTGAAAAACACGTAAAAATATTCTCAGCAAAATAATCATTGTGAATCCCAACTCAGTCACATACAATTTAAAAAATTACATTTGTCAATGAAATCCAAGTTTTGAGGAACTATCAGCCTACATGATCTCAAAGATCTCCTTCGGCGTCAGCAAACTGTGATTCTGTAAGAAATAACTGAGGGAAATGGCTGGTGAGTTCCTGCTCTGTGAAGTGTTATGCTTTTCTGAAAAATATCCTGCATTAACCAGGTTCCTTCAGTGAACTGGGAGCCAGTCTATCCATTCCACTATTGGAATTAGAGGGCTGTATAACTGAGGGAAGAGTTGGAAAGTGGAGGCCAGAGAAGCCACCGCTGAAGTCGTCAGCCTGAAGCACTGAAGCAGGTCGTTCTCAAGCAGTTGTCAGGAGGCCTCTGTGAATTTCACCTCTGTGCACATCCCTGCTACAACTGCCTCCAGAGAATCACAGCTTCTCCTGCTCTTCAACCTTCCAAATCTTGTGCAAGTATGTCTCCCTGGCCGGCAAATCTGGGGAAGGAGATTTGGGAATATGTAGTCCCCACTTCTCCTCTGTAACATGGTAGAGACCTTAGAAGGGACAGGGTGGAGGGGGTGAACAGGCTGCCAGATTGACCAAAATCCAACCCACTTAGTAAACAGGGCCAAGATGTCATCCAGTGCCTCCACCCACACCCTTCTGCCCCATCGCTACACAGATGCCTGGAGTAAAGCCAGCCAAGACACAGACAGCTTGCCCTTGAATGCGTGCTGCTCTGTTGCAGAGGAGAGGAGTCTGAAGAAAGGGACTACAATCAGTTAAATAAAGGAACATTGCTTACAAAAAGGTCTGATTGTTGAACTAATTCCCGAACTGATTTGTAAAGATCGTTGGGATGCTTTTTGGAGCTTTCAATTCCCCACTAACGTTTTGTAAGCCAACAAGTCTCTGAGACTCAGATCCTGTGACCATCACATTAAGCTATAAAACATTGTTCTGCTGATGCAGTAATTGCCTGACATGGCTACCTGGTTCGAACTCATGCTTAGTATGCAAATCTGCTCCAAGAATGCATTTGACAATCACTTTTCTGTCCACAGAAACTGCCCCTTGACAGAAAATATATTCCAAAAACAACTTTCAATTTTTTGCCTTTAAAACGAAAGCTTGCAAGTCCAGTGGTAGCTGAGAGCAACAACATATGCTTATAATTAGGATTACCATCAGGGAATTCAACCTTACTGAGGGAAGGGGAAGAGGTCCGCCAAGGGGGAGCACAAAAGCTCTCCAAAAAATAGCAGATGAAACAGCCCAGTCGGTTTGGCTATTCCTGGGTAATGGGAGAAACTTGATTGTGAAAAACAGTGCTGGTTTTACTCCAGATTCTAAAGAAATGTTGCGTGGGCAGAACAAGAAATGCTGACAAACAAAATCAAGCTTTGGGGAATCTGCCTTCCAGGGCAGCCTGAAGGAGCCTCACTAAGGGCAGGCAGCCCTATCCCTAGCAGCTGCCCCAGGGTTGGGCCTGGAAACCAGGCAGGCCACTTGCTTTAGCCCCATGTGACCCATGCACTGCTTTGCTCCCCAGCACGGGAGGGTGTGGGAACTCTCGCTTCTCTCCTGCTCTGATTCCCTATTGGATTTCTGGATTCCAAGCACGAGTTTGCAATCAAAGAAGCAAGTCTTTGAATCTCAGCCTCTGATAGTGCATGAGTTGGACAGTTCATATAACATCTCTGACCTTCAGCCTTTCAAAGGGGAAGGAGAATGCCTGCTTCGCAGAACCATTAGGGATTTAAATAACATGATGGAAAGGAATGCCTGGTGTCCACCGGCCACTCGGAAAGCAGGCACTGCTGTTGTTGTTCCTTCATTTGGTTGGCTCCTAAACGTCTTGGGATTGGTTACTGTTTGTGGCTCCACGGCTCTTTATTAATTAATTTGTTCCACAATTATCTGTTCCATGCCTACTATGTACCAGGCATGCTGGAGCAGCAGTGGCATACAGGACAAATGTCATCTTTGTTGGCTGCCTGGTAAAGGAAACGGGAACTAATAAGGTATTACAATAAATGAGATGGGGGAGGCACGGGATGCTAGAGAAGCATCTAAGAGGGAAATTTTACCCAGATTTGGGGACCAGGGGACGTGGAGGAGGCAGCTTCTCAGTTACACTTGAATGGTGAGTCTGATAAAGCCAGATACAGGATGGTGTGAAGGAGTAGAGAGAGGGAAGGAGACCTGTAACTTCAGACCACAGTGAGTGCCAAGGCGCGTAGTGAATGACTCCATTTTGTGCCTGTTACTGAAACAAGTTCCATATAGGTGAAAGGGGCGAAAGAGGCCTAAAGGAAGACAGCAAGCAGCCTGTGAGTCACACAGCCAGCCAATGGGCAACCGGGCTTAGATGTTCCTATGCTATCCCAAGTCTGTGTGCCAGTTAAGCCCTTTGCTCTTCTGGGAACCTCCTTCTACCTTCCCCTTCATTTCCTGGTATTCTTGCCATGAATCTGGCAGAAGCTCACTGTGTGGCTTTGGGCAAGTTGTTTCATTTTCTGAGCCTATACTTTTTAGCCAATCAACTGTCACTCTTGTATTAGTTTGTTTTCATTCTGCTATAAAGAACTGTCCAAGACTGGGTAATTTAAAAAGAAAAGAGGTTTGATTCACTCACTGTTCCACATGGCTGGAGATGCCTCAGGAAGCTTACAGTCATGGTGGAAGGTGAAGGGGAAGCGAAGTCCTTCTTCACATGGTAGCAGGAAAGAGAGAGCTAGCAAGAGAAGGGAAAACTGCCTTATAAAACCATCAGATCTCATGAGAACTCATTCACAATCACGAGAATAGCATGGGGGAAACTGCCCCCATGACCCAATCACCTCCCACTGGGTTCCTCCCTCGACATGTGGGGATTATGGGGGTTACAATTCAAGAAGAGATTTGGGGGGGACACAGCCAAACCATATCAGCTCTATTTGTGAAAGTATCCTGAAAATTTTAAAGAAAGTAACTGCACGACAATTGGGCCCAGGGTCAGTAATGTATTAAAGAGACAGAGAAGGCTGAAAGCAAAATGTCCTGTCAGTGAGCAGATGGACCATGGACTCTGCTATCCACTATATGTGTCCCAAGTTCCAAAAGGATATTTCAATCATTGCCACAGACCCCTGTCAGTGTCCAGAGTCACTCAATTCCCATATGCAATAAGAAGCATCAGGGTCTAATGTCTTTGCATCGATACCAACTAGAATTGAAATTCCTTTTATGGAGAGCCAAGGTCAAGTCGTTCAACCTCTGTGAAGCTTTTTTGTATGGAAGAGACAATCAATGTACCTCATAATCTTGTTAACAAGACTAAATTAAATGCAATAAACTATGTGAAGTGCCCAACACACACTAGACACTAAATACATTCTTATACCCTTGTTCTCATTGAGCCAAAAAAACTCACTCAATACTCCACTTACCCTGATGTGATTATTACATATTGCATGTCTTTATCAAAAAATCTCATGTCCCCCATAATTATATACACCTACTATGTCTTCCCCAAAATAAAAACCAAAGAAACTCACTCAAAGACAGAATGCCATATGTGGTGTCAACTTTAAATTCACTTTCTCCATTATTTCCTCTAATTACTCTTTTCTCCCCCTATCCCAAATCACCATAACTTCCAGTGTAGATGTTCTGCTTAGCCTTTTGTTTTAGAACAGAGTTTGCTCAGTTTCACTTGAGAAATGAAAGGCTTATGAAAAGGGAGCTTGGGGAGATAAAAAAGCAAGAGTCGCAACTGTTTAGCCCGGCACCATGAAAAGACAGTGAGCTTCGTGGACACAGGAACAGCTGGAGTCTTCCTACTCATCCGCTTTCACCCCTTGGCAGAAAACAACCCAACAATCCAAATCTTCACACTATGCCTAGGCGCCACCACTACCCTGTTTGCAGCAGTCTGTGCTCTTACACAAAACGACATCAAAAAAATTGTAGCCTTCTCCACTTCGAGCCAACTAGGACTTATAGTAGTCACAATTGGCATCAACCAGCCATATCTAGCATTTCTACCCATCTGTACCCACGCTTTCTTTAAAGCCATATTATTTATATGCTCCGGATCCATCATTCATAACCTCAAAACAGGCCTTTCAGAATCCAAAGATGTTTTGGCTCCACCATGTCTCGCCATCAGAGGAGTTCATGGATCACCCCCTGGATCTCCATTATTGTGACTTGGTTTACCTCTTGGTGTCTTCCCTCTGTGTGTCTTTTGTTGTCTTTCATCTTGCCAGCAGTTGGCCAACTCTCTCCAAATTAAGTTCTAATTCCCTCAGAGAGAAGATGTAATTGGCCTCATTAGCCATGGTTTTCCCAGTCAGATGCAGTTTTCAAGCCAAACCATCTCAAAGGCAACTCTCAGCCCAGAAACTGGCTACTCTTAGGAGCTTTGCCTACACTAAATTACCGGGGTCAGAAGGTGGGGGTCCCATGGTCCTAGGCTAACCAACTCATCACGGTTTGCCTGGGACTTTCCCAGTTTTAGCACGGAAAGCCCTGCATCCCAGGAAAGCCTTAAGTGACAGTTTTAAAACTAAAAGTATCTCACCCTATAAAGAAATCAACTTAAGATGGATTAAAGACTTAAATCTAAGACCTGAAACCATAAAGATTCTAGAAGATAGCATCAGAAAAACCCTTCTATACATCGGCCTAAGCAAAAACTTCATGACCAAAAACCCAAAAGCAAATGCAACGAAAACAAAGATAAATAGATGGGACTTAAATTAAACAAAAAAGCTTCTGCACAGCAAAAGAAATAAGCAGCAGAGTTAACAGACAATCCACAGAGTGGGAAAAAATCTTCATAATCTATACATCCGACAAAGGACTAATATCCAGAATCTACAAGCAACTACAACAAATCAGCAAGAAAAAATCAAACAATCTCATCAAAAAGTGAGCAAAGGATATGAGTAGACAATTCTCAGAAGATATACAAATGGCCAACAGGCTTATGGAAAAATGCCCAATATCACTAAGTATCAGGGAAATACAAATCAAAACCACAGTGTGATATCATCTCACTCCTGCAAGAATGGCCATAATTAAAAAATCAAGAAATAATAGATGTTGGTGTGGATGCAGTGAAAAGGGAACACTTTTATACTGTTGGTGGGAATGTAAAATAGTACAACCACTATGGAAAACAGTGTAGAGATTCCTTAAAGAACTAAAAGTAGAACTACCATTTGATCTAGCAGTCCCACTACTGGGTATCTACTCAGAGGAAAGTAAGTCATTATCAAAAAAAAAAAAAAAAAAAAAAAAAGAACTTACACATGCATGTTTATAGCAGCACAATTTGCAATTGCAAAAATATGGAACCAGCTCAAATTCCCATCAATCAACAAGTGGATAAAGAACATGTGGCATATATATATATAACATGGAATACTATTCAGCCATAAAAAAGAATGAAATGATGGCATTCACAGCAACCTGGATAGACTTGGAGACTATTATTCTAAGTGAAGTAACTCAGGAATGGAAAATCAAATGTCCTATGTTCTCACTCATATGTAGGAGCTAAGCTATGAGGACACAAAGGCATAAGAATGACACATTGGACTTTGGGGATTTGTGAGAAAGGGTGGGGGCTGGGGAGGGATAAAAGACTACACATTAGGTAGAGTGTACACTGCTTGGGTGATGGGTGCACCAAAATCTCAGAAATTATGACTAAAGAACTAATTCATGTAACCAAGCACCCCCTGTTCCCCAAAAACCTATTGAAATAAAAAAAATTTAAAAAGAAAACAAAAGATAAAACTAAAAGTCCCATATCCCGGAAACTTCTTCAGTCCCAGGCAAACCAGGACACTTGGTCACCCTTTGTGCCCCCAGAATGAGAATTTCTACAGTGGAGGTGTGACCGAGGCATGGCCTCTCACACAGTAAGAATTAAGAACTCTGTAGCCTGCCAAAATCATTCTGACATGGTAGAGTCAATCTGTCTCAGAGGATCATCTTATTGGTATGTGGGATTCAACTGATTTCTATTAAAACAATGTTTAAAATAAACATTCTGGGATAAAAAAATCTCTCTTAACTTGCAATTTGGAAGTTTTAACCTTTTTTATTTTTACTGCATTTCAG
The DNA here is from genome assembly GCF_000001405.40 of Homo sapiens. Taxonomy (NCBI): domain Eukaryota; kingdom Metazoa; phylum Chordata; class Mammalia; order Primates; family Hominidae; genus Homo; species Homo sapiens. Next base: position 17,064,186 of record NC_000004.12, read on the forward strand.
CTTTCTAAGCTTGTAACCGAAACAGTGCCACTTGGACCCAAATCAAATATGATAGTCTGGCTCAAAAGGAAACGTTGATAAAGTCAGTAAAACTTGAAAGCAGATTTATGGTATAGGGGACCCACAGACACAACCAGGGATCCCCGGACTGTGAAAGTGGTATGTGTGCTGACTGCCCACTATCATTCTTTTATTCTCTTCTTAAATCAACATTCAGTAGGAAAATTTATTGGGCGATCACCACATACCATGCTACCCAGAGTTAGCCAATGTATAAGATTTGCGGACATAGTCCTCAGACTGCCAGGTCTGCTCAAGGTGTCTAACACCAACTGCAAGTTTGGGGATATCCCCAAATTACCCTCAGCTTGGAGAGTTTGCTGGAAGGACTCCCTGAACTCACTGAAAGCTATGTGTTCTGTTATAGTTTATTACAAGGAAAGGATACATTAAAATCACACAAGGGAAGAGATGCATGGGACAGAATCTGGAAGCGTTCTGAATGTTCATCAAAGTCTTTGATGAACCTGGAAAGTTCACCTGAGCCATGGGGTCTAGAGCTTTTATTGGCACTGTACTACTTGGGCATGATTAGTTGATTACCCATGTGGTTGAACTCAGGCTCCAGCCACCCCCTCCATGGGTCAAGCTGGTTTTCTGTGGCTTGAGGGGCCTACCACGAGTCATTTTCTAGAATAATGAATTATCAAGTGTGAGCCAAGGGCAAGCTATGAATTTCAAAGACCTTCGTACCAGAAATTTTAAGAGTTTAGAGGTTACCTCCCACGAGCTGTGGAGAAGGTCCAGAGCTCTTTTTGGGCAAGGTCAAATTCTTTACTACATCCAGCCCAATGATAAACAATCTGTCTTTATCTTCCCATTTAATCCTCAGAAATTTGTGAATAAGCATTATTATTATTATTATTATTTCGATTGTATCTTGAAGAAACAGAGACTTAGAGTAACTAACCCACGATTGCATAATAGTGAAGCTGGGATAAGAACAAGTTTTGTCTGACTCCAAAGCCTGAGCTCTTAACCACTGTGCAGTGCAGTTGCCAGGTGTTCAGGATTTGTGATACCACTCAAGATATACCAAGATAAAAATGGCATGGTCCATGTATCTATCAGGGGCCTGGCAGGAAACATATGGCCTATATACTCTTCCGAATTCAAAAGACTTTGATGAAACGACCATTTTCAAAAGTGCAAACAATAGCACAGGTTGGTGCTCTATCCTGGTGCTAGCAATAATGAGGCACTGTTAGCAACCCTAGTCCTGAACATGAATGGAGTCAGTGATTCCTGGATCTCAGAGACAGTAGGCCCAACTACTGGGTAGAAGCTGTGGCCTCTGGTAGGGAAACACAAATACAGCCAATACACAATCCAGTTAGGAGAGAGGAATTGAGAGCTCTGGTAAAAACACTCCAACCTAAACTTCTTTCCTTCTTCAGATTTCCCCCCAGTGTCTCCCATTGGCTGAAATCTCCAGGGAGCCTGGAGCAAAAGAGCTTATGGATATAGTCTATACATAGTCCTGGACACAAATCAGGGTTGAAACATGTGGAGAGTTGATCTGGAGGGATAAATAAAAAAATATTCTGCACTCCTCTGCTCACCACAAACTCAAGTATAATAGGGTAAAAAATAAATACATACATAATGGCAACTCACAGAATAAACATCATCTTTAACAAAGATAGTAAGAATGGGATTAGGTGCAGTAGAAGGGCTGAAAAAAATCATCAACCAGCAGAAACACTTGCATCTTTTCTTGAAGGACAAATAGATTACTATCTGAGCAGGAGAAGGATGGTCATGCTCGAAGAATTTTTTTTTAAATAGGCAAGACAGGGAGGCTTGAAACAATGAAAAGAACTGTACAATGTTCATCAGGCTTGGTATGGACTGTTGGGGGAAGCAGCTAGTGATGAGGTTGTGAAGTTAGAGCCAGACAGGGAGGGACTTCAAGTACCTTATTAAGTAAAGAGTGTCTTAATCCCCTTAACGCCATGAGAAACAGTCCATAATTTTATGATAATATTTTAATTTAAGAAACTCCTTCTGGCAGTTTGGAAGATAAATTAGAGACATATGATTTGGTGGCAAAAGATCTGTTAGGAGACTATTGCAATAGTTTGGGTAAGAACCACAGAAGATGTAGTATAGGGAAAGGGTCTGATGAGCTTCCTGGATGCAGAGGAAGACAGCATGGAGCACATGCAAATCACTGCATGACGTGGAACCAGGATCACTTAGGAGGCTGATGACACAATGAAAAGGAAGGTCACTGCTAACAGCATGTGACAACAGTACTCAGATATTTAAGTATTAAGCATTTGAAAAGATGAGCATTTGTTCATCAACATCACACCATAAGACACTCTTTCCTTATCTCCTTATCTCCTGATAAAGAAGTCTTAAAGAGAGACTTTTAGTAGATGATGTTGGATATGGGCATCTGAAGTCTAAATGGCCATGGATTTATAAAATTGTAAGATCAGTAGAAAAAGGAAAAGTGATTAGATGATGGACCAATAAATGATGAAAAAAACTTAACAGCAGTGGAAGAACTTTTGAGTTGTATAGAAAACCTTTGTACTCTAAAGAATGAACCCTCAGTAGTCATGAACGTGAAAATGGAAAACTATTTTTAGTGGTTCTATAAGCACTATTCAGAAGGAAGCTGCAAAACTGACCCACTTTGGGATTTATTTATCTAACAAACTTTGATCCAGCACCTGTTACGTACCAGGCATTATTATACTGTATTTTAGGTTAGAGCGGATTAGATTCTCTCTCTGATCCTTATAAAGACTTAAACTTTACTACAATTATTATATTATTATCTCATAATATAAAAAGATTCTGATTCTATTCCCTATTCCTATCCAGGCAGAGTTACCAGCTACAGTGATGCAGTTTATTCACTGCCAAAATATGCCTGCCTTAGGGAGTGAGTCAGGGCCAAAATCCCTCACTGCATGCGAGTCATGACTCAGGCTGACATTTACCTAGAGGAGAGAAGGATCACATTTCACTGTTATTCGTCCAGAAAAGTTCCTTTTTCCTAATTTACAAAAAGGCTGATGCCTGGCCCAAATTTAAGGTCCCACTGAGAACGGAGACTTGGCCAAGATGCCATCCAGTTTACTGTGCTCCCCACAGCCTGTCTAGCTCTCTCTTGCCAACCAGGATCCTCTTCCCCAAAGTTCCACGGATGGAGCTCTAGTTCCTTGACTTCTAGTTGATCTTCTGCTCGGAATAGACTGATTATCCCAAAGCTATCCAGGTACCTGTAGTCTCTGCTACACTCTCAGAGCATTTACACCAAAAATAGGCAGTTCCAACGTGTCTTTGGTATAGGATTTGCTAAGTCGTGAGTGATGTACATTTGAAGTAGTCCCTGGCTCAGAGTGCCTAGATATGGAACTTTCTGTCAGATATTGACAACCTGAGATGATTTGAGGGCAAGGGATGGGTGGGGAACTGGTTGCTACAGGTGTGAAAGCATTAACTCTGGTCTCACTTTGTCCACCACTTCCTGAGTTTGGAAACTGAAAGCATGGCCATTTAGAACCTCTGTTCCCTGGAAGCTAAGAGCCAGATCATAATTCTTCATAGAAGGCTGATGAGGCTTCCCAGTACCCTCTTCATTAAGCTCCTCTGTCTCCCTACCTCCCTCATTCCCTACCCTTAGTCCCAACACCAAACCATATTTCCACAGCCCCACTCAGGCAATCTGAACCCTTTCTGGCTAATTCCAAAATTGCCAGGAGATTTGTTTCTGATAAAAGAAACTCACTCTCTGATGTTGCTTCTAGGTGCCTTTTCTTAATAAATAGGCAAGATCATGACATGCATCTTAGCCACATAAGAAATTAGTAGAAAATGAACAAAATCAAAACAGCACGGGCTTCAGGGTCAGACAGAACTGAGTTCAGTGCTAGAATAGCTAATTATTAGCTGTGTGTCCTTGAACAAGTTACTTCACATCTCTGAGTCTCAATTTCAAAACATGTAATATTGAGGGTACCAATAATTATCTCCAAGTGTTGTCATGAAGATGAAAGTAGGGTCCCCTACAAAAAGTGCCCCATGTAGTTGCTGGCAAAGAAGAAGTACTGGATGAAGCACTTGGAGGAATTGGAAAGACTACCTCTGCCTGGCTTGTTTCCTTATCCAAAAGGAGCCCACAGAGCAGCTGATTCCAGAGAGAATTCACTGATGAATTTGTACGCTGACTTCCCCCATCTGATAGTATGCAACAAAGGAATAATACTTATGTAGATATGTGTTTGAAGCACCATTTGCCATCAACATGAACATAAAGAACCTATTAGACTCTAAATACCTCATGTAAGCTAAATTACTCATCTGCACACTGTGGCAAAGACTTGCCTTGGAATTAGGCACTCAACTTCTAAGTCTGGCTCTGCCTGTCATCAATCATGTGTCCTCGGATCAGTCACACCCTTGCAAAATCACAACTTTGCAAACAAATGTTTGCAAGAAACAGATAAAATCATTGATGTGGGATACAACATAGAGAAGAGGCTCAATATATTAGAATTCTCTACAGTTTTTTTGTAGATCAATAGTGCCAAATTTACAAACTGTGAGATGACACCAACTGTACCCTGAACTGTTATTTCAAATCCTTTATTCTTCAGTATGTTTTGGGAAAAGGACTTGTTGATATTTGGACATGTTTACAACATGGTTTTGTTTTATGGGCTGCCAGTACTAAATGTTGTCTGTATGCACGTTCATCTTGTTTTTATTTGAGCTTTTGCATAAACTTCTCTTCTATGTGGATTTGACCTTTTCAAAGCCCCATTCTCCAAGTGTTTGAGACAAGATGAGGATATGTAGAGTGATGAAGCTGAACTCACGCCTTTTAGACTGAGAGGGGAGTGAGCCCAGGCAATTGGGTTCCATGCCAGGAAAGCCTATTAAAATATCAAATGAGGAGTTCATGACAGGTTTAACTAGGTTCTTGTGGCATACCTCCAAATCTTAACTTAGTTAGGCTGGGTTTTGGCTGAAACAAACCAGCTGTCACAAGCTGTGCGAGACCATTAATTATGTACGTGAGCATTGATAAATTAATGCCTGATGGCTAAAAAAATTAGGGGTTCTTGTTTTGTTTAATGCACCCTCTTCCCACCTTTAATGGAGTTCCATGAGAAAATTACATTGTACAACAAGTTGATGGAGCTACAGTGAATAAAATGAACAGTAACAAATGCATGGCATAGATCTCACTGCTAAAGAATGAATGTTGGACTCATGTTCCTAATAGGTTACTCTTACAGTGGAGCACCTATCCTGGCATTTTAGAAGGTTGTCCTGGGAGATCGTTCTTAATGGGTCAGGCGGGCTTATAATGAGGCCATTTTTTATATTTTACTAACCAAGAAACTTTGGACCTGTTCCAAAAATACAACAACTTATTCTGAATATCTGCACTATAATGATAATAGCCTATATTTACCGAGCAGTTATGGAGTACCAGGCAATTGCAAAGCCTGGAGATTATCCTAGTAATTATAATATGATATTAATAACATGTAAGTAACGAGAGAATACACTGAGGCAGGACATCCTATGACCTAAAACGAGAGGAGAGGAGAGGAGGGGAGGGGAGGGGAGGGGAGGGGAGGGGAGGGGAGAGGAGAGGAGAGGAGAGAGGAGAGAAGGGAAGGGAAGGGAGGAGAGGGGAGGGGAGGGGAGGCCTTTGTGTATTTCAGTCTTATGCTTGATATTGCAGGGGGTCAGCTGAGTTTGGGCCAACACTAGCTGGTACAGTTCCCCTTGAAATGTCAGAGTTCTCCAGACAAAGAAAAATCATTCCTGATATTTCATTTCTGACATATTACTAGGGATGACAGCCAGCCGACGTGAGTAGACAGTGAGATATGGTTACTAGAATTTGATTTCATGCTAATAATTTAGAATCCATGGTAGACTGATTGTAATAATGGCTCCTTTTCTCATCCCTCAATGTAAATCATTCCCTTTGCCACATAATTTTGCAGTCCTACTCATTACAGAGAGATAAAGTCTATTTCGCCCAAAATTGAATATGGTTGGCATTGTGACTTGCTAAGGCCAATAGAAGGCAGCAGAAGTGACCATACCCAGTTTTGAGCTTAAGCCTTAGGAAATCTTCTTGAACTTATGCAACTGCCATGAGAACATGCTTGAGCTAGCCCACTAGAGGAGGAGACACATGGAGCAGAACTGAGTTGCCTCACTTATCTCAGATGGGGCCAACCAAGATCAGCCAACAGCCATCCAACTCTGGAACTCAGAGTGAGCCCAGCCAAGATCAGTAGAGGCATCTAGCTGACCCGTAACTGTCTGTAGACACATAAGCAAACCCAGCCAAAATCAGCTAAGCCCAGTTCAGATCAGCTGAACTCTGAAAACTCAAAAACCAGAAATTTGTTTACTGTTATTTGCCACAGAGAATCTCTGGTTGTCATACAGCATTATTGTGGCCATTGATAAACTATATAGAGTCTTACAGAAGCTACTGTTTGACTCGAGATTTCTAAGAACAAATTCACTAATGAGAACACCATTTGTAATTCACTTCACAGGGCTTGTGTTACTGAGTCAACAAAAGGAATCTTAAAGCTTATCTTGCCTGCCTGTCCAATCTTAAACAGAAGTTCTACCAGATTCAATTCTACTCAAAACACATATATGGAACTTGCAAAGCACAATTTTGTTACTGGGAAGGATGATTCTCAATGGCAGTATACACTGAAGAAACAGAGCAGAACCATGCTGTGTAACTCCCTTTTTCCCTCTACACTGAGATTCAAGTGGGTGATATTTCCATCATCACCTCTGTAAAGCACCTCTGTTGCTAATGGGGGGAAGTTATATCCTTCAACCGTGTTGGGTGAAAAAAATGAGACCCATCAACCTAAAGTCAGAGCTTACTTTCTATTGTCAACTATAGCTATCATTTGTGTGTTATTCATCATAACAATGCCTGACAGGCAGTAAGGAAAAGAAGACAATGTTCACAAGTCCCCATGATTTGCAGGTTCTGTTCCCCAGCAGCCTCCCTCTCAGTCAATGTTTTCACATAATGACAATTTACAGATGGGCACAAGGTCTTCCTGGAACCAAGAGATGATTATTCATTCCAAAAGAACTCTAAACAGGGTTCTCATTAATGAATTTGTTCTTTACTCCACAACTTAAACATAACATCAAGTGGTTCATTTAGTAAATGTCATGCTTGAAGCCAAGCTTTGTGATGAGATTCGTAACCCAAGTGTGGGTTAGCAGATGAGTACGTTAGGATCCTCGTCCACACAAGAATATGAGTAGTTGGGAACCAGAAAACTTGGCTGAAAGACATTCCCTGATTCTAGCATGTATTGCTCAGATCCACAAAATTTATTTTACTTTTAGAAAGACCCTCAGTGGTATGCAGAATATTCTATTTGATGGTTAATATTCTGTGTCATCTTGGCCAGGCTATAGTATCCAGTGGTTTAACCAAACACTAATCTAGATGTTTGCCTTGAAGGTACATGGTAGATGTGGTTAACATCTACAATCATTGACCTTAAGTAAAGATAATGTAGCTGAGTCTAATCCAATCAGTTGAAGGCTTTAAGAGCAAAAACTAAGGTTTTCCAGAAAAGAAATTCTGCCTCAAGACTGCAACATCAATTCCTTCCTGTGTTTTCAGCTGCCAGCTTCATCTACAAATTTGGGATTTGCCAGCCCCCACAATCACATGAGCCAAGTCCTTAAAATAAATCTCTTTCTCTCTCTCCACATATACAATATATTAAAAGATATATATTACATGTATAATATACATATGTAATATATGTATATATGTATGTACATATTACATAATACATACTCATGTAATATGTGTATGTTATATATATATATTTAATATGTACATATCTTACTGGTTCTGTTTCTCTGCAGAATCCTGGCTAATACACTACATCAATTTAAACTTCCATCGCTCTCTCAAAATTAACTTCTGCAACCCTGAAGGAACTACTTGCACCTATTTTACACTCAGTATCTGAACTTGCTTTTGTTACGTTTGTTTCTAACCATTTTTATGGTCTTAGGATTTGGACGTGAAGTTGCTTTGTGTATTATTTGCGACTTTTGAGGGGGACACTGTTAGCATTCTGCTCAAGTCCACCTTGGATCCCTTTTAACTTTACTGTGAGTCTTTCCCCAGAATGTTGTGTGTTTTTGCTTCTGCAGCTCTCTTTGTTGGGTCTTCTCTTATGTTACTGAAGCCTTCTTCCCCATGAGCACAGAAAGCCTACGTGTTAATATCTTAGTCAATGACTGACTGGTGTGGGAATATGGAAGCCCAGTATCCTCGGCTTAAGTTGGGGTAAACACTGAAATGTAGTTTACACTCCAGAGGTCCCTGTGGGATCAGATTGAGTCTGGGACTCTGGCTTGGCTTCTGCCAATTTCCTGTCCTGCTTCCTGCCTCTCTTACTACTATCTCCTAGGAATGCTTCCTTATCTCAGGCCTTGCTTCTGGCAAGCTCAGTCTAAGACACTCTGTTATATTCTCCTTTCTCTGGAATCCAGATTCTTATTCTAGCTATGCTAGCTTGGAAGAGCCTGGAGAGATAACCTGCCTGTAATTCCGCAGACCATCCCATCAAGAATGAAATTTTTAGTTAGTTCTGTCTCCCTGAGTAAGATCCAGACAGATCTGAGAAAATACTAAATACAGAAATGCAAAAGCAAAGGTAGAATTATAGAATGACACAGTCATAGCAGCTCAGAGTTGGAAGAAACCTAAAAGTATTTCATCCAAAATCCTACCTACTCATGAATTCCTTCTTTAACATCTCTGGAAAGTGGTCGTTGCATTCTTTTTGAATAGTCTCTACTTTTCAAAGCATCATGTCCCATTGTTGAAGTGTTATGTCAGAAAGTTTAATCTTACACTGAGTCAATTTATTCTCCTATAAACTTCACCCATTTGAAAAAAGAAGTCTTTGCTGTTTATAAGAATTGCATTGAAAAAGAGTGATCCCAAGGGCTCATGCACACCACAGTGCAATTCCTTAATGAAAAATTTTAGAAGTTTCCTTTTACACCTGAGTTTAATCCAATATCCCTCCAATAGTTGCCTTGTTTTCCACAGGAGTGAAAGAGCCTCAAGACACATATGTAGGGAAGATAAGACATTTCATTGTTCAGCACAGGAGAGACCCATGGCTACAAGTTAGCAAACTTCAGAAAGACTTCTCATAAGACTGCTGATAATATATTTGAAAAGGTCCCAGTCCTTATCCAATAAACACTTAGGATCTATAAAAGGGTTTACAATATGTGTTCAGCTGAGTGAGACTCTCAAAATCAATAAAGAGCCCCAGTGCTTATCTGGAGGAGGTAAGCATCAATGATCTCTTTGTTAGTTAAAAATGTTTACTTCTAGAAAAGATGATGTAAAAGCCAACTGATTATGTAGGGGCTGATTTCAGTGTGAATATACATAGTAGGTCTAATTCCATGTTCATTTAGCTGCCATTTAAACATTTGAGTCCTGGCCTAAGGCTCTCTTTGACCATCTTCAAGTGCTCCGGTCAGTTTTCAAAAGATACAGCGAAGCTCACTGCTCTCAACCCTTACCTCTCAGCGCCGTGCCCTCTTCTCTTCCCAGGGATTCCCCCTCTATATTCCTTTCTGGGCTCTGGGTCCTCCTGATCTTTGCATTTTGTTCACCATCAAACTTTGTTTCTTTTTGAGAGCTGAAACTGGAGTGGAAATGACTATTAATTTAATATCCTTACTCTGGCCTAGAGGCCAACATGATTTCCTCCCATCAACATTCTGCTCTGAGCTCCTATCACCCCCATTAGCCTCTCCAGCCCCACTGGTCTCTGCTGTTTCTCAAACACTCCTGGGACTCATGCTTCAGGGCTTTAGCATTTGCTTTCTCTCTGTCTGGAAGGACCTTCCCCACATGGATTCTGATGGCACCGGGGTTAATCCATTCTCACAGTGCTATAAAGACATGCCTGAGACTGGGTCATTTATAAAGAAAAGAAGTTTAATTGACTCACTGCTCTGCATGGCTGGGGAGGCCTCAGGAAACATAATCATGCCAGAAGGTGAAGGAGAAGCAAGTACCTTCTTCACAAGGTGGCAGGAGAGAGAGAGTGAAGGAAGCCACACACTTTTAAACCTTTAGATCTTATGAGAACTCACTCACTATCACAAGAACAGCACAGGGGAAACCGTCCCCATGATCCAATCACCTCCCACCAGTTCCTTCCCTCGACACATGGAGATTACAATTTGAGATGAGATTTGGATGGGGACACAGAGCCAAACCATACCAGAACCCTAACCTCCTTGAGGCTTTTGCTCCACCTTCTTACTAGAGCGACCTTGTCTGACCACCCTGTATATTTCCTTTCTATTTCCATTCATGGCATTTATTACCTCTTGGTGTTTATAAGCTTCTTCATGTACTGTCTTTCTACCCCTATTAGAATATCATCACTAGAGGGCAGGGAATGTGTCCATTTTGTTTTCTGCTGCCACCTGACACTCAGAACTACGTTTAGCATCCAGTGTAACTACTCTATGTCTATATAACCAAAAGTCAAATTTTCATATTACCAAGGTTCATGTCTTAGCATATTTCTTTATTTGCAATACTTTTTGCAAAAGTTAGAAGAGTATCTCTGCATCTCTGCTCCCAACTACCTAGATTTTCTTCCTAAAGGCAACCAATATAATAATTTCTTTATGTATCATGCACGGGAAACTTTTTGCATATACAGGAAAATATACATGAAGGTATTCTTTTTTATATTTTACTCAAATGAAACCATACTATGCATACCATTTTGCTAACTAAGTAATATAACATGGAATCATTTCATACCAGTATAAATGAAAATACTTTATTTAAAAAGACGTATCCACACGGTCTTCCACTGAAAGGATGTACCATAACATATTTATCTAATCCCCTAATGATGGACACTTTGCTTATTTCTATTGTATGATTTCTTTGTACACTCATTACTTTGATCATTTTCAAGTGTTACATTGGACCATACACAAATGTAGATATTTAACCATTTTGCATTAAGAGGATAAATTTCTAGAAGTAGAATTGCAGATTAAAGGAGACAGACATTTGTGAAGTCAATCAATATTGTCAAATTGCCCTCCAAGGAAGATGTACAGGTGACTTTCCCATTACAGGAGAGTTTCTATTTCCCCACACCATGCTGGCACACAATGTTATTAAATGTTCTTAACTTTACCAATTTGATAGGCAAAAAGTGATACCTCATTGTACTTCTAGTATGCATTTATTTTATTATTAGGCTGAGCATCTTTCTGTATGTGTAAAACCCATTTGTATTTCCTATTTTATAAACTGTTTTGCCTATTTTTCTATTAGGTGTTTTTATCTTTTTTTATGTTGATTTGTAGATTCTCTCTATTAGATAGATGATTTCTATATTTGCAGTCTGAGTTGCAAATATTTGCTCCTACTTTGTGTTTTGTCTTTGAATTTATGCTTATTTTTTTCTTTGCGGAATTCTATTTCTACATTTATGTGGTTAAATTTATGTTTCATGTTGGTTTTGTGTTCTAGGAAATGACTTCCTTTCTCCAAGATTAATATTAAAAAATTCTTCTATATTTTCTTCTAGTATTTTATGGTTTCCATTTATATTGAATCTTTTAAAAATACGGAGCTTATTTTCAAGTGTGGGTGAGGTCAGGAGCCAGCAAGATATGTATTTTTTTCAGATGGCTACCCCATTTTCCCAACTCCATTTTTTGAAGTTGGCTTTATCCCTTTTTCATATATTAAGTTCTCATATGTATTTGCATTTATATTCTGCACTTTCTGGTATATTTCACTGACCCATCTGTGCATGCATATAGCAATACTACACTGCTTTAATTAGTGTAGATGTATAACATGTTTTAATAAATGGAAAACCTAGATTCCCTTAATCGTTCTTCTTTTCTAGCATTTTTCAACTCTCTCTGCTTGCCTTATTTCCATATTAATTTTACACTCAACTTACCTAGATCCCCCCAAAAAATTCTGTTGAAATTGAATTTAATGAGTCTATTGTTTCTTCATTAGGCATAATGTTGATTTTCAGGTTAAGGTACATTTAAAATACATATTCATATAGTTGTATGTCATATAAATAAGCATTTCTCTTTTTATTAATTAAAGTTTTATTAAGGTGAACTATTGAATTTTATCCAATATCTTTTCAGTAGCTTTAGAAATAATTATATAATTTTTTCTTTTGATCAGTTTCTCTGATGAATTACATGGATGGATTCCCTAACATTTCAATACCCTGGGATTAAGACCCCCTTGATTATAGTATTACTTATTTAATGCATTCTGGATTCGGTTTGTTATCAATACAGGTAAATTAGTTTGTTCTGCAATTTACTTTTTTTTTCTCTTTATATATGGTTTAGGTTCAATATTATGCTAAGTTCAAAAAGGAGAATTTCAAAAACTGCTTTATACTTCCATGTTCTGGAACTGTTTAAGTCACATTGGATTAGCCTCGTCCTTAAAGGTTTGGTGGAATTAATCTGTGAAACCATCTGGGGTGGTTGCTCTGGGGGATGTAATACTTTGACTATACTCCCAGGTTTAGTGGATGCTAGTGAACTTAAGCTTCAGGGCCCCTTGCATGGGACCCTAATAAGTCCCTGAAAGGGCCCTAGCAATTTGTCCACATGATCATATGCTTTTGTGAAATCTGTAAAGTGAGATGTTTTAGTCACAATTGGCTTAGGCCACTATCTCCATGCTAATTTCTAAGTTAGCCTTCTGTTTCTGTCAGGTGGTGCTGGAGGGACTGCAGACATTTTTGGGGGTCTGGCTAAAGGGAACGTGGTAGACTTGCAACTAGGCCGCTCAAATCCCCCTTTAAGAAAGGACTTGCATCTCACCTGCAGAAAGTGTGCTCGGCAGTCTGCAGCTGCCGGCTCCTTTGGGGATAGCCTCCCTGCTGACCATGTTACCCTTGTCAGGGCAGCCCTCTTACCTGGTGATTGAGTGAGAAGAACATGAATGCCCAGGTGTTTCAGCCCAATGGAGAACACTCTGACAAATGCTACCCTCTGGAGGGCTCTCTACAGCACTGTTGATGTCTTCCTTTGTGCGATCCTGTGTCCTCTCCTTCCCAACACAGCTGTTGATTCCTAAGGAACACCTTGTACCCCAAATAGCCTCCCAGCATCTGCTTCTAGAGAATCCAGCCTGCAATAGGAAAGTTGAGTTCGACGTACATTTAGTTTGATTTTAACAGGATACAACACACACGCACACACACTATGGTTTTCAATCAACCACAGTCAACCAGCTTCTGTGTTTTGTTATTTATTGTTGCCAGATTTGGTGTGTAGTCTTGGCTTCCAGAGTACTCCTACTCCCCAGGGTATTTCCTCACCTGGCATTATCACATGAGTGGTGCCCGGCTCTGCAAGTATCCAGGGTGAAGAAGAAACCAAGTTTGAAGTATAGGGAATCAGAACGTAGTCTGTAAAAAAAAAAAAAAAATTCCAATTGCCATACGTGTAAATGTGTAAGCAAAGAACTTGTTTTCAGTCAATACCAGTCAAAATGGAAGATTACTCCTGAAAGAAAAATCCTCAATAATGTAGCATATTCACTTTAAAAAGCATCACACTTTAAAAAAATCAAGCTGCACAAAATAGAACTTGAAATTCTCCTATGTACGGCACAAATCTGCAGCAATACTCAAAACAGCAAATACATCTGTATGTGAAGTAGAATGTTGTTTGTCTGCTTTTGTGTCCCTATCTATTGAATTGCACCTTAGCAAAGTTGAGAGATTCCAGACAAATGGCATGCCAAATTACTACCCAAAACTGAAAGAGCCTGAATAAACAAGTATTCCAGTGACAAAATCACACATATTTATCAATATGTCAATGCATGCTACTTATGAGTAATTTGGTCACACAGTTATGTAGTTCAATGCAACACAGAAGAAATTTTAAAATGTTTTAAATTGCTCTAGGTAATGAGCGATATAAATTCAAACAGTAATTAAGATTAGTCATTGCATAAGAAAATTTAAAATACCTGAAAATACGTATCTCATATAGGAAAAAATACCATGGTTTTCCCAAACTTGCCAATAATCCTAAAATACTTTTATATTATCAGTAATGAGTTGTGAAGCTAAAAAAAAAAACTGTAAGAGGCAATAATTAAAAATTTTTAATTAATATCACTAGAGGAAGACCAAATTGCCTTTCTCATCTTTCTATAGAAAATGATGCTCAAAAGGCATTATTATATGAAGAGATAACAAAGTATGCTGCCAAAAACTGTTGCAAAAGTATAGTATGGATGTATTGTTTAATAAAAATACTATGTTATTTACCTGAGCTTTGCAATATTTGCATTTGGGTTTACCATTTTGTTTGTAATTTATCCTTTTTTATATCTTCTTTCCAAACAAACATTAACTTTGCTTTTTTTTTTTTTTTGAGACAGAGTCTTGCTCTGTCACCCAAGCTGGAGTGTAGTGGTGTGATCTTGGCTCACTGCAACCTCCGCCTCCCAGGTTCAAGCAGTTCTCCTGCCTCAGCCTCCTGACTAGCTGGGATTACAGGCACAGGCACACACCACCATGCCAGGCTAATTTTCTGTCTTTCTAGTAGAGACGGGGTTTCATCATGTTGACCAGGCTGGTTTTGAACTCCTGACCTCAGGTGATCTGCCCGCCTCGGCCTCCCAAAGTGCTGGGATTACAAGCGTGAGCCACCGCACCCAGCCTCACTTTGCTATTTTTATTTCAATATTTTTATATTTATTTATGAAGAGAATAACAAAATTTTTTAAGTATTGAGACCCTAAAAACTGGAATCCAGTTCTGCTCTCAATGTTTATGGGTCTGTGTGTGTGAATGCAAACATGAGCAACTTAGGGAATTTTATCTTTTCGGATGTTTTATTTCTTATAGGGTCAGTTTTAGTAATCTATGTATTCCTAGATAATCATTCATTATCATTACTCATTTTATTCTGCTTTCCAATCTATTTGCAAAAAGCAAAGTAGTCTCATATTTTCAATTTCCTTTGTCAGTAGTGGTCTGGCTCTTATGATGTAATCTGTATGTTCTCTCTGTTTTTCCTGAGTTGATTATCCAACAGAGTTTATCTATTTATTGTTCCTCCCTTAAAAACAGTTTATTTTGGCTGGCCGTGGTGGCTCATGCCTGTAATCCCAGCACTTTGGGAGGCTGAGGTGGGTGGATCACTTGAGGTCAGGAGTTTGAGACCAGCCTGGCCAACATGGTGAAACCCTGTCTCTACTAAAAATACAAAAATTAGCCAGGCATGGTGGTGCACACCTGTAATCCTAGCTACTCAGGAGGCTGAGGCAGAATTGCTTGAACTTGGGAGGTGGAGGTTGCAGTGAGCTGAGATGGCGCCACTGCACTCCAGCCTGAGGGACAGAGTGAGACTCTGTCTGAGAAAAATAAAAGAAAAAAAAAAAAACAACAGTTTTTTTTAGTTCAACAATTGTTTACATGCATTACTTTCTGCTCTTATTTTTACTTAACCATTTTTTTCCTGGTGTGTCTTTCCTAATTCTTATATTTTCAACCACTCTTTGCTTTAAATGAGTCTTTTTTCTCAGCATATAATAGGATTTTGCTTTGTAAAATCCAGATTTTTTTTTTTTTTTGAGATGGAGTCTCGCCCTGTTGCCCACGCTGGAGTGCAATGGCACAGTCTCAGCTCACTGGGACCTCCGCCTCCTGGGTTTAAGCGATTCTCCTGCCTCAGCCTCCCAATTAGCTGGGATTACAGGCACGCGCCACCACGTCCAGCTAATTTTTTTGTATCTTTAGTAGAGACGAGGTTTCACCATGTTGACCAGGCTGGTCTCGAACTCCTGACTTTGTGATCCACCTGCCTTGGCCTCCCAAAGTGCTGGGATTACAGGCGTGAGCCACTGTGCCTGGCCAAATCCAGATGTATTTTTAAAATGTAGTAGTTAAGCCATTTATAGTTATTGACACGTCAGATACATTTAATATTGGCATCATGTTTTGCTTTCTGTTCGTATATATTTTCTTGACTTTAAAAAAAATTTTCACTATACAGAGTGTATTGTGTTTCTTCTCATCATTTGGAAGATTTGTGTATATCTTCTGGATAAGTTCTTTATAATTATAATAACATAATTCACTTAATGATGTCTTTCTTTAGACAGTATCAATTGAATTTCTATAACAGTGATAAAATTGATACATGTCCACATCTTCCCTTGCCCTACTCACCAATTTTAGTTGAATGACTTTCCATAAATTATCATGTTTAAATGATATCTTTTTACTCCTGGTTATAAAGGATAAGAACATAAGAACACACTTATACTGCCTTCATTTTTTTCTCATCCTTCTCTCTCAACTATTATAATTTATATAGTTTCTACATTGGTCATATATGTAGCATTTGTGTTATGTTTTGTAGCTAAAATACTCTTATTCATTCAGTCTTTATTCTACTTCTCAGTATAATCCTAACAGGGTGTTTTTTTTTTTTTCTTTTTTTTTGCTACGGATTCTCCAGTCATCTCTTTGTTAACTAAACATTATATTTCAGTGGTTTCTTCAAGAAAAATTCATAAGATCTACACATTCAAAAATGTTTTTCTGATTTTTTTTTTTTTGGTGTCTGAGCAAGGTGTAAAATTAATGGGTCTTACTTTATTTTCTTGAAGACATTGTCACTTTTGTGTTTTTATATTGGGGTTTCTGATGTTATTTAGAAGAAATATAGTTGGGTCAATGGAATTCCTAGAGCCCCAGAAATTAAAGCCACTAAATTGGTCACTCACTCTCTAGATTGGGTGAAACCTGAAGCTTTTTGGGTTCTTTCTCTCTGATATTTTGTAATCTGGGTTTAAGCCAAATATGCCCCTTTCCGATGATACCAATTGATTTGGGGTGATATAATTGCTTATTCATTAGCAGCTTGTTGCCTTTAAAAAAATTGTTCATTTTTAACTCTGCATTTCCTAATCAAAAGCCTGTGTGGATTTGGGGTCCACAAGAAGCTAGTGCTCACCCTTTCTGACAATGAGGATGATGCAACTTTGTCACACTCCTCTTTCTTCTGTGGCTGACAAGAAGCTTGCAGCAAATCTGATCCCTATTCACAGGCACTTTCCTAACTCCAGTGATTTGTGTGTTTGCCTCTTCATCCCCTCGTGGTGCTGACTTTTTGCTTGGCAGCCTTGCTCATATGCAGGGTCTTTTGGTTGCTATTCCCTTTCCAGGAGAGCATCCTTTCCACTCTCTTCCCATTGATAACTCCTAGACACCCTTCAAGGCTCAGCTCACACATCAGCTCTTTCGGCAAGCCTTCGTGGGTGCTTCCACAACCTTCTATTATTGCACTCATCCCAGTGCATTATAATGTTTTTGTTTATGTGGTTCCTCAACTACACATAAAGTGGGAACTCTCTCAGGATCACATAAGTGTTTTTTGTTTTGTTTTGTTTTTGTATTTGTGTTTTTGTTTCTTTTTGTTTGTTTGTTTGAGACAGAGTCTCACTCTGTCACCCAGGCTGGCGTACAGTGGCGCATTCTCAGCTCACTGCAACCTCTGCTTCCCGGGTTCAAGCCATTCTCCTGCCTCGGCCTCCTGAGTAGCTGGGATTACCAGACACCTGCCACCATGCCCTGCTAACTTTTGTATTTTTAGTAGAGACAGGGTTTCACCATGTTAGCCAGGCTGGTCTCAAACTCCTGACCTCAAGTTATCTGCCCGTCTCAGCCTCCCAAATTGCTGTAGGTGTGAGCCACCACGCCTGGCCGACATAAGTGTTTTTTATCTCTGATTTCCCAACATCGAACAGTGGATTTATGTTTATTCAATGAATAACTAAATGAAGGAATGATGCTTGTTCTTCTATTTTTTAAGCTGTAAACCACATAAAATATATTTTATCAAGGGCCCTCCTGCTATCTTTCAAGGCCTTTGCTTTCTGTATTTAGTTGTATCATTCATCACTTCCTTACATAGACCATCTGACCCAACCAACCGTAAGTCTTTACTCATGCAGCTTGCATTTCCTCCCTCACCCCATCCCCAGCTGGCTCCGCAAAACCAGACATCCCACATTTAATCTGGTGACATTGCCTTTCCCCTGACTCCACTTACCTTGCAGCCAAAAGATAATTGGATGCTTAGTTAAGATAGATCCCTGGCAGGAGGCTGGCATTGTTTTCTCCTGATGTGTCTGTATTTCGACACCTGGGTTACTCTTCGGGCTTCTCCAACTGACTCTCTGGTTTTAATTTGCCTCAACATACCATTTGGTTTCTTCAAGTAGCTGAACTGCTCCCTTCTTTTTGTCCCTGGAAGAGGGGAGCTCATTTAATAATTTCATAATGGAATGCATTTCTCTTATAAAACTGATTAATGTCCCAACTACATCTAGGAAATGAAAAAACAGATATCCCTGGAAGTTTAGTCAATTACTGATCGGCCAAATTCCTAGGTTCCATTATCGGATAGAAAAAACGAACACTGAATTTGGAGAAAAATGATCTGGAGTTGATCCTAGCTTTATCACTTGCCCATTACGTTTCTTCGGGAATGTACACCTCCTGAGATTTGATTGCCTCCTTGGAACTAATGATTCTTCTGTGCTTCATAAGATTATCACGGGTATGAAGTGATTTTACGAAGTCAAGAGTCATTTTAAAACTTTGATGGATTACACAAGCAATAGTTGTTACTATATAAGAAATTTCCACTCAAATCTGTAACTCCTACCTGACCTTTTCTTTTCAACAATGGTTATACATTTTTTAAACATGCAATATAGTTATTATCCTTCTAGCAACAAAATCAGTGAGGGCCAGCATGTGAAGTTCTAATAAATCCTGAACTCAGTGTGTTCTAATATGCACTGAATTAGTTTTTGACACACCCTCTCCCAATACCGTGTGATGTAAGGGTTGTGATCAGTCTTATAAATTTTCATATCATACGCCTAAGTGGTGACAGAAATTCTAAGCCTACCAATTCATTTGTTCAAAAATTCATTTGTTTCTCCAAATATGAATTTAGAAGTGTGCTTCCTAACTGGCCTTTAAGAAGCTGTGTATCGGCTGGGTGCAGTGGCTCACGCCTGTAATCCCAGCACTTTGGGAGGTTGAGGCGGGTGGATCACGAGGTCAGGAGATCGAGACCATCCTGGCCAACACGGTGAAACCCTGTCTCTACTACAAAAATACAAAAAATTAGCTGGGCGAGGTGGCGAGCACCTGTAGTCTCAGCTACTCAGGAGGCTGCACCAGGGGAATGGCGTGAACCTGGCAGGCGGAGCTTGCAGTGACCTGAGATCGCACCACTGCACTCCAGCCTGGGCGACAGAGCAACACTCCGTCTCAAAAAAAAAAAAAAAAAAAAAAAAAAAGAGCTGTGTATCTGGCTCTGGAAAAAGTTCTACTCAGTCTCATCACAGTGGGGCTCAAGTAGTGGATGTGATTTATTTTGTGTTGGTTTTCATCATAAAGCCCTGGTGTTGAACTTTAGCTTCTTTGATTCAATAATGATAATACTAACGAATGACAATGATTATGTTATTTTTAAGGCTTCTCTGGAGCTATGTATTTTAAGAAATTAAGGCAATTTACATGTTTTATACTTGAAATGATGGTTCGTGACCTCACTATATAAGGCATTAGATATAGCTAATTATTTGCCTGTGTTAGAATCACCTTATTTTGATATAGAAAGCAGTCTTTTTTTTACTTTGCCAGATTTTAATTTTTTTCTAAAATTTCAGTAATCTCATTATTAATTTCCAGACAGTAAATATTAATTGCATAACATTAAATACACAAAAAGTATGAAGATATTTAATAATATTTACAACCTTATTTTTGATACTACATGTCAAAATTGTTGTATATGTCCTTGCAAATAAACACACACACGCATACACATTTTTAAAGTGAAATGTATATTAAATATTTCACCTGGGACATTTTACAAATTTTTCCCTGTTTTAAAACAAATGCCTATTTATTATAAAAAATTTGAGAGGACGTTTAAGATGTTTTTACTCATTAAAGACATCTTAAAGAAAGTAAAACAACAAATTACCAACTGCAAGAATTAATTTGTAACACAATTAATTGATAAGTGACTAGAATCAAGAATATATAAAGAGTACATAAAAAGTTCCTTTAGGCCAGGCGCAGTGGCTCACGCCTGTAATCCTAGCACTTTGGGAGGCTGAGGCAGGCGGATCACAAGGTCAGGAGATCGAGACCATCCTGGCCAACATGGTGAAACCCCGTCTTTAAAAAAATAAGTAAATAGCTCCTTTAGATACAAAACAAAAAGACAAAATACCCTAATGAAAAATGGATTTTAAAAGTATGAACAGGAACAAAATAGGAGCAGAAATACAACAGGCTAAAAAAGAAAAATACAAACAGATGTTCAATCCCCATAGTAATTAGGAAAATGTAAATCAAGATTAAAATGTAACTTTACAGCCAATTGATTGAAAAATAATGTTTTGGACAAATTTGTGATGGACAATAATTTAAAAAGTTGGAAGAATATCAAATTTTGAAAAAAATTTGGGAAGAAGTTTAAGATGTTTTTACTCATTAAAGACATTTTAAAGACAGTAATAACAAATTCCCAACTGGGAGAATTCATTTGTAACACAATTATTGATAAGTGACTAAAATCAAGAATATGTTGATATTCTTGATATCAATGGCACAAATTTTGGAGACAGAGAGGGAGAGGAGAGAGATTTCTGTCCATTATTAATTACCTAGTCTCAGGTATCCTATTATAGCAGCACAAAATAAATTGATATACCTTCTATGGAAAATTGCCTCAATCACATCCCTTGCGAAGGGACACAGCCAGTGTTTTTGCCTTTATAGCAGGGGCCATATTCAGTACCAAACAATCACTCCTCAGCCACGATAATTTAACTAGAAATGATCACCTGACTCACAGTAAAATAACAGGTTGATAATTCAGACACTCTGATTTTAAAAATACGGCAGCAAATTCTTTGGCACCCTCCTATAAAGAAGACAGAGGTCATCTATGCCTCCTCTCCTTGAATCTGTGCTTGCCTAGCCGAAAGAATATAGCAGAAATGATACAATGTCAGTTTCCAAAGGGAGGCCTTCTGAGGTTGTAACCTCTACTTCCTCTCTTTTGAAATGCTAGTCACCATGCTGCAGAGAAGCACAAGTAGCCATGTAAAGAGGCTCATGTGGGAAGGAACCTAGGCCCCTGGCCAGCAGCCTCCACTGAGCTCCCAGCCAACAGCCAGTACCAACTTCCAGGTATGTGAGCGAGTCATCTGGGCTATGGATCCTTCAGCCCCATTTGAATCATTTCGGTTGATACCTCATGAAGCAGAGATAAGCTGGACTCACTGAACCCTTCCCAATTGCAGAGTCACGAACGAGTTTTGGGATGGCTTGTTACACCGCAACAGATAACCAGAATTCCTAATTTCTCAGGCCCCACTTCTCAGATTTTTTAATGTGGCCTGGCCCAAAAACGTTTCAGGAACAGGGAGCGACCAGTCCCATTAGATTCCTATGATTAGGAATTTAAATTAGAAAAGATGGAGAAATAAGTGTTGGCAAAAAAGAGAAGTTAGAAGTCCACCAGGATGGAAGAGAGGCCATGAAGGGAAGAGGAAGTAAGGCAAGAGAAGCCAAGAGAGAACTGAGGGAGTCCAGGTTAAACCCTGGCCTATGCTGTCATGTGACTATTTACATTAAACTTCCTCTGCATAGACAAAAACATGGGTTTTGCTGGTAGTCAGCATATTAGAACTCTCAAAATAAAACTAATCCTGAGCATCACCTAGTTAAGAGAGAAAATGACTTATCATTTCCCTCATCTGGGATTTATGAGTACCTCTGGAATTACCAAAAAGTGACCAAAAATTTTTTAAATGAAGACAAAGTGGCTCACACCTGTAATCCCAGCAATTTGGGAGGTAAGGTGGGTGGATCACCTGAGGTCAGGAGTTCAAGACCAATCTGGCCAAGATGGTGAAACCCCGTCCCTACCAAAAACACAAAAATTAGCCAGGTGTGGTGGCAGCACCTGTAATCCCAGCTACTTGGAAGGCTGAGGCAGGAGAATCACTTGAACCCAAGAGATGGAGGTTGCAATGAGCCAAGATCATGCCACCGCACTCCAGCCTGGTCAACAGAGCAAGACTCCATCTCAAAAAAAAAAAAAAAAAAAGAAGACAAAGAAATTTGTCTTGATTTACAAAAGGACAAAGAAAAAGACAGAGTTTGATGTGGATGTGTGTATTAGTTTTCCATTGCTGTTTAGTAAGTTACCACAAACTCAGAGGCTCAAAACACCACCAACTTATTATCTCAGAGTTTCCAGGGGCATGAGTCAACTGGGCTCTCTTCTGAGGGTCTTACAAGGCTGAAATCAACGTGTTGGTCAGCCTGCATAACTGGAACTACCATTTCTTCCTAGTTGTACCTGGGGACTGCTCTCAGGTGGTAGTCACATGTGCTCCTCCATTGGCTCTCTCTCTCCACATGGCTGTCTACTTCTTCAGGACTAGCAGAGGAACCGCTTATACTCTATACCTTTTCCTTCAAGAAGAGAACAATGTCTTTGAAAGGCTCACCCAATTAAGCCACACTCAACCAGAATAATCTTCTTTTTGATTAACTCAAAGTCAACCCATCAGGGACCTGAATTACATTTGCAAAATGTCTTCATTTTTGTCACATAACCTAATTATAGCCACAGTCTTGCCCCACTCAAGGGGAGGGCATCATATAGAGCATATACATAAGGGGTGTGGACAGTTTAGGGGCCACCTTAGAATTCTGCTTACCACAGTAGGGTTATCAGGTATAATTATAGGATGCCAAGTTAGATTTCAATTTCAGATAAACAACAAATAATTTTTTAGTATGCTTGCTTCCTGAACTTAGCCTTCAGAATGTTCTAGTGCCTACAATAGGGTCATGAGCTCAAATGTTCCTAGGGGGCAAGAAGGTGATGTGAGTAGAGAGGCCAGGTAGGAACTGTGGCCGACTTAGAGGCTCATGCCTCAGGTAACGGAGGCCACAGCTCTGCAACTGCAGCTGGCTGTTGCCATGAGGACTCACAGGCCAAGTGGCAGGAACTTCTGATGCTTTTTCAAGAGATAGTACTTCAACTTGAATTTCTACATGAAGTGTTCCAGGGATGACCGTTAATCCAACATTTAAAAACAAAAACATTTTATGAGTTACATAAAACACATTTATGGAATATATTTTGGCCCATGGAAGCCAGTTTGCAACCCATAATCTAAGATCTGCAATCCTTGAGACTTTGGTTCCTCCAGGATGCGGGGAGGGCTTCCCTTGGTCCTGCTCATGACACTCTCCTGTCTGAAGCCCACAAAATTTATATCTCTTTGTACTCCCATCTCACTTAGCCACTGAGCTTCATCTCTAAAACAAAATTGATTTGCCACATCAGAAAACTGATTTACAAGTCCTCTACGGCAGCCCTAATGCCAACAAATCAAATGCCAGATTTACAAATCCTCCGAAATGCACAATAAATGCCAAATAAAAACTTTCAATTTACCAATCTTTATTTGTAGGAAGCATAAATCAGAAATGGGATGGAATGGCTCCTGGCATTATTACGATTAAGTTTTGAAGTCCAGATTTTTTTTTACTTTACATTTCCTTTCAAATTTGATCTTCTCTTTATGAGTGGACTTCTGGTTTTAATGACTGTGTAAAAATAATAGCCTTAGTTGCAGCTTAGAAAAGATGTTAGGCCAATGGAGGCTTCAGTTGGATATTAAAGCCCACAGTATTTTTAATTTGGGGAATCAGCAAGGCCTTTGGGGGTCATTTCTGGCCAGTGTTTTATTCGCCAAGAGGGTTTGCTGGACACAGGCCTTGTGTAGCCAGGAAAGGCCCTAAACATCCCAACCCAAAGTCTTTTACCTTATTTGGTTTGTTTTTTAGTGGCATTTAATACTCTCTCCAATTTATCATGAGGCTTGACTTTAAGATGCTTTTTTTCAGAGAAGTCTCAATCTTTGGCTCAGAAGCCTTTGAAGACCTGACTTCTGCCCAAGACAAACAGAAAACATTAGAAGTGATGGGTGCTCTTTGGCAATTGTCAGCTCTAGGTAGTGATGAGGAAGGTATTGTGTCTGGGGATCATGGTGCTGGAGCTTTGAACATTTCTGCCTTTGTTCTTTTCATCATTAACAATGGCTAACACCACCGCATATCGGTTGATACGGTTTGGCTGTGTCCCCACCCAAATCTCATCTTGAATTGTACCTCCCATAATTCCCATGTGTTGTGGGAAGGACGCGGTGGGAGATAATTGAATCATGGGCATGGTTTCCCTCATATTGTTCTCCTGGTAGTGAATAAGTCTCATGAGATCTGATGGTTTTATAAGGGGAAACCCCTTTCATTTGGCTCCCCTTATCTCTTGTCTGCTGCCATGTAATATGTGCCTTTCATCTTCTGCGATGATTGTGAGGCCTCCCCAGCCATATGAAACTGAGTCAATTAAACCTCTTTTTCTTTATAAAGTACCCAGTCTTGGGTATATCTTTATCAGCAGCATGAAAACGGACTAATACATTGGTAATCACCATGATACATGGCAACCTATGATATCAATAAATACTGTTAAAAGGAAAGAAAGTGCCAGACAAAAGAGAAATGACGAGCTCAAAGCAGGCCTTCTCTAAGCTGTCATCTTAGGTAGCTCACAGTTAAAAGCACATAATCTCATGGCAGAGGGATCACGAAGAGCACCTAACCCGGCTTCTTTGCCTGTATGTCTATGTCCCCATCAACTACGCAGTGGTGGGGGAAAGGAGCAGCTTCGGGTGAGACTGAGAGACATGAAGGGGCAATTGAAGCATTGGGATTCTTGGGGTGAGGGAGGAGCCATACAGGGGTGCAGAGAAGGGAAGGTGTCAACAGGCAAGGCAGGAGGTGTGTTCGGAGCAGTGGGCACCATCCTCTCTAGGATGAAGATCCCTCCCTTTGGTAAGGGGGTCAGGGGACACTTCTATCTAAAAAAAAAAAAAAAAAAGAATCAGAAGAAAGAAAAGAAAAAAAAAGAAACTTAGAGCGATGTCTCTTTATTCAGAAATCTTAATAAAAATTTTAAAAGCCTATAAAATATACATATAATCTGTTCCATCTAAAGTTAATCCTTGTATGAACTCCCTATTAAAGGACCTTTTGGTAAGGGGGTGAGAGGACCCTTCTATCTAAGAAAAAAAAAAAAAAAGAAACCTACAGCAATTTCTCTACAATGCAGAAATCGAAATAAAAATTTTAAAAGCCTATAAAATATACAGATAACCTGTTCCATCCAAAGATAATCCTCGTACGAACCCCCTATTAACAGACTATACATAGTAATGGAATATAACATTATATATGATATTATCATATCATACGCCACCACAAAAGAAAAGTTGTTTTGTTAGTGTTTATTGATTGTGAAAATTCAAAGTGACAAACAGTGAGGAGTTTGAGACCAGCCTGGCCTACATGGTGAAAACCCATCTCTACTAAAAACAAAAAAATTAGCTGGGTGTGGTGGCACACGCCTGTGTGGGAGGCTGAGGCAGGAGAATTGCTTGAACCCGGGAGGTGAAGGTTACGGTGAGCTGAGATCACGCCACCACATTCTAGCCTGGGTGATAGAGTGAGACTCCATTTCAAATAAAAAAAAAAAACAAAACTACAATGACAAGCAGCCATGAATTGAGCATCAGTGCACATTTGGAGTGTAGTTATGCACGGCTCTAAGGAGTTTAGGCTATAGATCAAGTTTTGTGCACATCTTCTTACCTTGTAATATCTCCCCTCCCTTAACCCATCCTACAAGCACTCAGTTATTCCACTCACACAATCCAGTGCTGTGCCAGCAATACATGAGTGAAATCATTTAATACAAATATTTCCCATGCATCTACTATGTTTAAGGCATTTTGCCCAGATGCTGGGAATGTACTTGTAGGGAAAAAAAATCCGAGCAAAATACCTGTGTTCCTGGAGCTTGTATTATAGTGGGGAAAACGTCACTCAGTTGTGAGATGTTTCACATGTGATTTTTGCTAAAAATAATTATTACAAGTAATGGCAAAACCACAGTGACTTTTGAACCAATCTAACAATTTAAAATATTTGCAATTTATTTATTTATTTATTTATTTATTTATTTATTTTTGAGACAGAGTTTTGCTCTTCTTACCCAGGCTGGAGTGTTGTGGTGCAATCACGGCTCACTGCAACCTCTACCTCCCACTTTATTTCTTTGGTAACACAACTCTCACTGCCATTTTGAGTTTGCTACCTTGGGTGAGAAAGGAGGAGATGGAGTTATGGTTACCATTTAGGAAAATGTAGATAATAACCCTGTGCTTTTCCAAGGTAGAGTATCACATATAGGAACATTCTGTATATAACTCTCTGTTATAACTGACCAGAAAAGAAGCAAGGATCACTGCTTTGTGGAATTAATCATAATGGGTTGTTCTGTGGGCAGACATGGTACCCACAGAATGAGCCATGGACCTTCTGCAAATACCTACTGTTGCAGTTTCTGAAAGTAAAATGATCTTTACTGGTATTGAGGAAGGAGAAAATGAACAGATATGACCAAGCAGGACTCTAGAAAGCACAGCAAACCTTCATGAGGGTGTCTCTGTGCTTGGCTCCAGAATACATATACATATCACCTCTCCCCATACCTGATGGGAGCTTCTGACTGAGGGAAAAAAAGAAAGTTGGCTGAGTAATCCACAGACACAGTACAATATGTCCAGCTCACAGTTGAATCAACTGTTAGTAGAAGGGACAATAATCACTTTGCAGAGTCTCACGAAGGGGGTGACTACTGTAGAGTAAAAATGGTCTGTCCAGCAAAGAAGGAAGTGAAAGAGCATAATTCCAGTAGAAGGAACTGTATATGCAAAGGCACAGAGCCTAAGGGATCACGATATGTGAAGGGTGCAAAATCCCTGGAGCCCGGAGAACCAACTGGAGTAAGATACAAGGCCAGAAAGGTGATCTGGGGCCAGATCAAGAAGACCTAAGGCTATCTCATCTTGGGATTTAATCCTGAGGGCTAGTGCTCCCAAAAAAGAGCATGTTACCCTTGTTGGCATAGCAGATCATTTTAGAAACATTTAAAAATCATTGTTTACTTATTTTAATTTTCCTTCATGTTCAATGAAGAAAAAGCAACACATCAAAACTGAAATGTAATGAAAATTATTGCTTAGGACAAGGGCAAGTTTAAAATAAGAGTACATTTAAAGAAAATATTAAAGAAAGCATTGTAAAGATGGTACATGATACAGCTAAAAATATTGTAAAATGTGGAGGCAAATAGTGAATGTTTGAGAAATAATCCTGCTAGAGTTAGACAGGTGAGCAACCGGAATGACATGACTAGGTCTGCAGGGTGTTGTTGTGCACTGTGATTTGCCTTCCAAAGATCACCCAAGCACCAGAGCGGAGGTTGCACTAAGGTAAGTAGAGGACAGTCTGGAACTCTGATTTGGGAGACCAAAGAGTAATCCCAGAAAAAGACCTTGAAGACTGGAACTACAGCAGTGACAGTGTTGATAGTGACGGAAGGACACATTCAAATATGCTCCCCCTGCTTCCTTTCAAAGTAGAGCACAGCCTGGCACACAGGCAGGAAATGAGAAGGAGAGATGGCTTTTCCCCAGATTATTATCATTTATGCTTCCTTTCCCAATGACTGGTATTAGAATTATAACGTCGCGTGATAGTGATGTTTTCTCCTGGTGTCCGGAAGCTGCAATCTAAGTGCTCATAAACATCTTTGGGAATGGATGAACAGAGAGTATGAAAATGGACTTTCTGATTTAGTCATTACAGCATCTGTGCTGAACTGTCAGCCACCTGCAACTGGCCACATGCAAGGAAATGCCACTTTGAAGTTCACAGTCACCATCAAATATAAAAAAGAAGACAATTTATACCAGGTGGGTTGATGATTGTTTCAATCCCCAAATTTTCCTCCTTGGTGTTCATCTTTATTCTCTCTCCTATCAGCACCCCAACTTTCCTCCAAAAGCCACCCTTTCTCCACTTTAATCCCTGAGTTTAGGTGGTCTTAACACCCTCCCTTGCCTTTGAGGTGGACACAAATCTCAGGTTTGGCCTGGTTCACAAATAGGCACTTGGTACAATCTCAGTAAAGAAGATTCAATCAGCACTATGTGCTGGGACTATTTGATAAGGAAGCACTTTGTCCATTCCTGATATTCAGACCTGAAGTTCAGGAGGGCCACTACAGGGAAGGAGAATGACCCTCATCCAGAAAGAAATGGACCTTTGGGAGGTAAAGACTCTATATCCTCATGGCAATTTTTAGCCTTTTGGATATGGTTTTTCTCCCTAGACTTTTCAGTTTTGTGAGAAAATATTCCCCTCTTTTTTCCCCTCAGGGCAATTTGAGTTGGGTGTCTATCACCTACAAACTAAATGTCAGTGCACAGTCAAGCCCAGCTTAGTAAATCAGCATGTAACTGGGATGGGATGGGGGAACAACAGTGAAAAGGAGGCAAGCACTGCCAGGAAGAGGCCAAGGGGCTCATTCTGATTCATCTCTAAAAATTTAATGAGGACTTGCTATGTGAAAGGAAGTGTATTGGACAAGGTCGGGTAGGGAGTAGGAATGTAAAGACTTAAGAAAATGGTCTGTGTCCTTAAAATTATTATCCTCCCTTCAGGTTGGAGTGTTACCAGTGTAAAGCTTACAGGGCATAGGTGAGTTTCTACCCTGCCCTAACTCTACTGACCTTTAGGAAACAGGATGCCTGTGGTCAGAAGTTCCCCTTCGTGGCCAAACCAGTCAAGACTTGTGAGATCTAAGACAGCAGCTCTCTTGACCTAAGAAGAACCTCTAACTTTGTTATAACCTAATTTCCATGCTAAATGACACTCCCATAGTACCATGACAGCTGACAATCACCATGACACTGACCAGAAGAAACTATAAAAAGACAAAAAGGAAAGCAGTACTCTGGTTCCCAGAAGTTGTCTGCCCATTACCAGAAAAGATATGAATATCCCTCCCCTTGTTTTTAATGCCCAGCCCTTTCACTAAATATGTCCTATATTTCTGGCTTCCCAGCTCTCATGAGCTGAAAGGTTGATTTGGGAGCTGAGCTCCTGCCTCTCAATTCCATGGCTGTGGAATAAAATCTCTATCACTCAATGCTCACTTTCAGTTTTGCATATTGGCTTCACAGCACTGAAAAGGGAAATATCCCATTTTGGGGAGGACTGGCTTCGTTGGTAACAAGAGAAAGGTCGTGTTACCTCTGGACCTTGCCTCTACCAAAGCACGCTCCACTGCCACCTTCTCTCTTACTCTCTACATGAGATGCTATCTCCAGTCTCATTGAGGAAGTCCACACCGTCAACCAAAAGCTCCCCTAACATCCTTCACGTTGTATGAAGGATGCATTGTATCCTGCATTGTATGGAAGGTTTTAGAGCAGGGAGTGCTGCAATCAGATCTCTGCTTTTTGAAAAGTCACTTTTGAGACTTAATTTTGGCATAAAGCATTGTATGAATTTCCTGATGACTATTTTTTTTCCATTTCTGGGCAAAATTAGCACTCAGGAAATTATTTTTCTATGTATATGTATAAAATTATTTTTGTGTGACATGTTAAAAACCCTAAAACTGAAAGGGCAACATGCAGTTTGAATGAACTATGATGACCATTCTCACAGCCTTTCCTCTCCTTGTAGCCTCTTTCCTACTGTGCTTGTCCTTCTGACAATTGCACTTTGAGTGTGACATGAAACATTTGGAAGGAAAGAAAAAACAAAAAGGAGGTAAAAGGAAGGAAAAGGTGGGAGAGAGAGAAGGAGCAAGGGAAGAAAGGAGGGAGGCAGGGAGGAAGGGAGAGAAGGAGGGAGGGAGGGAGGAAAGGAAGGAAGGAAGGAAGGAAGGAAGGAAGGAAGGAAGGAAGGAAGGAAGGAAAGAAAGAAGGAAGGAAGGAAGGAAGATTGGCAGCCTCTTGGAGTTTGTTGGCATGGAAACACAATGTTTCTCTGAACAAAGCCTCCTGCACAATTGCAATGCTACTATGTATCAATCCCACAAAATAACCACTGGCCAGCAATCACAAAGTATTACCAAAGAAATGCAGGCTGAAGGGGAGCCTGGATACAAAGGGCAAATATGCCCTGAAAAGTCACAGAGAAGTATCTAGGGCTGGAAGTTGAAGTCAGGAAGCTGAGTCCCAGCTCTGCAGAGCTGGAGGAGGCTGCTGTTATGTTTCTCTCCTCCTGCTTAGCCAGCAGAAATCAGATCATTTGCAGATCTTGCCTGCCCTTCTCTTTTGGAGTAAGAGATGTATGGCCATTTGTTATTTCTGCATGTGCTGAGGACTCTTCTCCCTCCCACCTCCTAAATGGAACGACGGAGTCTGTAAGTGCAGCAAGAATCCAGCATGCAAAGCATCAACACTATGGATCCCTTCTTGCTTTTTTGCTGCGCGCCCCCTTCTTCCTGCCTTAGGAAACCTTATCTTTATCCTCCTTTGCCCAGCTGCCGGATTCTTAGTGTGGCTTTTCAAACTGAAGGACACATATTTATGGCTCTTCCTCTGAAATTAAAATCCAGGATAGGTTACGCATATGGGGAAAGGAGGGGTCCTTCAATCTTGAACATGCTGCCAAGCGAGTCAGCACACAGGCTGGCTTGAGGGAGACAGAAATATCTGTAACAAACAAAAGCCAGGAAATAAAATCATGATGCTTGCAATACTTATCAAAATGATGACCACCACAGGAATCTAACATGGGCAACCCCACACTTTGGGCAGGGCAAAGGAGATGTGTTTCCATAAACAACAATATACAGTTGCCACCTTGAATGCTTTCTTTTGGAAGTAGGAATGTATAAGTTGTAAATTAGGATTAAACTCAAATTCACATCCGCCTTTATAAAGACCCTATAGCAAAACTGATATGTGAGCCTAGACAAAAGAAGGTACTGGATCCCTATAGACTCTGGCAACCCCTGGGAATGGAGTGCATTGTCCTCTAAGGATGTGTCAAAGGACAGTTGTGAAGTCCACAGGGACCCACAGCATGATCATTTTGGGATGGAGATAAAAGCACGTGGCTGAAAAAACACAGAGTCTGTTTGGGAAATGGTGACTGGCCCAGGAACCAGATCGGGAGTATGAGATATGAAGAATGGCATTGAAAACCAAAGAGGTAGTATCGGAGTCAAGGAGCACTATTTTAGGGAATTTGAACTTTATTCATAGGCAGGGAGGTGCCATGGAAAGTTTTGGAGCAGGGAGTGATGCAATCAGATCTATGCTTTTTGAAAAGTCACTTTTGAGACTTAATCTTAGCATGAAACCTACAGCAAGCACTTCAGGAAATTAATCTTTCTATGGTCACGTATTCTAAACTTTTATGATAAACTGGTGATTCCGGGTATGGCAGAAGCAGAGGGGAAGGGTATGACAGAGAGTATAGGGGTCCTCTGTTTTAGACCCATCTTTGGAAGCAACCACAACCTGGCCCTGCAGCCCATCCAGGCTCCCCCTGTGGAGTAAGTTGTTAGCTCATCACACCAGAAGCCATTTAGAGATATAGCCATTTAAGGGGAATTCCTTCCTCCTCTCTTCTCCTCCCCTCCCCTCTCCTCCCCTCCTCTCCCCTCTTGTCCCCTCCTCTCCCCTCCTCTCCCCTCCTTTCCCCTTCCCTCCCCTCCCCTTTTCTTCCTTCCTTCCTTCCTTCCTCCTTCCTTCCTTCCTTCCTCACACAGCCTAGACAAGAGATAGGTCAATCTATAATATCATGAAAATTTTTTAATTAAAGGAAAAATGAAAAATCGGCTGCCTTTGGGTGCTTGTCACATAACAACATGATACAGCATTACTTAGGAACAGATTCCAGTTTTTTTAGCCTCCCTCACTGTCAGGCTCAGATGCCAATCAATCCCTGAGCCCTTAATGTCTTAGCATCCTCAGCAACAATGAACTCCACCTTTAATTCACTAAGGGGGCCTATTAAAATGGCCTGGCTGCAGTCCCCAAACATGGTTCTTCTGCTTCCTTCCTTCTCCAGCAGATGCTCCCTGCTGACAGTTCAGAAGCCCCCTTGCTAACCCTCTTTACCCTTGCCTAATGTCGACTATCCTTATCCACCCTTGACCACTCCTCTCAACCTCATGTATCTTCAGTAACCCTCATCTACCCTCGATCACCCTAATCCGTTCTCCATTCTCCTCATCTAATCTTATCTCTATCCCCAACTATCCCCATCCACCTTTGACTACCCTTGCCTCCTTTTATGAATCATTAGCTTGCATTACCACCTTCATACCTACCCCCAGAATATAGTAACAAGGATTACAATCATGCCTTCTCTGACACGCAGCATGTTTTCCACTCGAGAAATATCTTTGGAATGAAGGATTTGTGTAGCAATCATAATCATTTGTGTTTACTGGCAACTGATATCTTCGACGTCATTTTACATCATTGTTATTTAATCGTCATAAGAATCCTGTAAAGAATGTGAGATTTTCCCCAGATGAAGAAATTTCACAGCTTTATGAAGGTGAGGTTACACCTAAGTACAGGACAAAGACTCAGGGACCTCCTGCTATTCCTGCTCACAATAACAGATATTGTTTAGTGTCACACTGCAGTATGTTCAACCCAACCATGCATGAGGAACTTTATGGATATGGTGTATCATCCTCAGAGTCTCACAAGGAAGGCAAGCATATTACAAGTGAAGAATCTAGAGCTCAGGAAACTTCAGTGACTGACCCAAAGCTACCAAGCCAGAAAACGGCAGAATAGGGACTGAGAAACAAGGTCCTCTAACTCTGGGTGTTTCTTTTGTATCAGAAATAAACTTATTCACACTCTGATGTTATCGAAGTCATGCGCATTTCTTTTTCATGAACATGTGCATTTTAAAAGGAAGAAAAAATTCACCTTCATGGTACAGAAAATATTTTTTTAGTTGGAAGAATTGTCTGAAAAATTATACCAGAATGATTAAAGTTTCCATAGTCCCTCAAGTTATACTTTGTACTTCTAAAGTCATTCCTGTGTCAAACACCAAAGAAGAAAATAGGTCAGATATTGAAGTTATCTTCCTTCTACTACATTCCCCTCTCTTTCATGCCTGTTTCTACTGCAGAGCACATTTGACTCTCTTGAGCTAAGGCTCAAGAAATGTGAGATACTCTGTTATGCAAATCACAGGAGGAAAGAGCAAGCAGGAAAAAAGGGGACAATCTGCTACGGTGGAGGTTTTTGAATTATGAAGCTTTAAGGTAAATAGACAGATTAAGCAGTGACCTAGTTTGACCTCACAAGCAGATGGAAGACTCTTAAGAAATTGTGTTATGAAGAAAAACTGGGAAGAAAAAGGGAATTGGTACCGACTGAGGGCAGAATAGCACATTGGCTTGGGTGAGTGTTCTGACCCCAGACTGCCTGCATTTGATTCCTGCTCCACTTCTTAACTGTCTCAGTTTCGTGATCTCTAAAAAGGGAATAATAATAAAAATAGTACCCAACTTAAATAGTCAGAGAGAAGCCAAGAAGCTGTTGTGTATAGCCTATTTCTTTTCTTTTTCTTTCTTTTTTTTTTTTTTTTTTTTTTTTTTTTTTTTTTTGAGACGGAGTCTCACTTTGTCACCCAGGCTGGAGTGCAGTGGCATGATCTCGGCTCACTGCAACCTCTGCCTCCCGGGTTCAAGTAATTCTCCTGCCTTGGCCTCCTGAGTAGCTGGGACTACAGGTACGCGCCACCATACCTGGCTAATTTTTGTATTTCTAGTAGAGACGGGGCTTCACCATATTGGCCAGGCTGGTCTTGAACTCCTGACCTCAAATGATCCACCTGCCTCAGCCTCCCAAAGTGTTGGGATTACAGGCGTGAGCTGCCATGCCTGGCTGTGTGTAGCGTATTTCAAACAGGCACTGGTGTGTTTATTGAATGCAGCATGAATGATAGAGAGACATCACTAGCAAGCACCCTTCCTGGATGCTCTTGGGCCACTTCCTGTGCTGGGTGAATTAGGCTGCTTCACTTGTACGGTGCAGAACCTCATTCAAGGTGCAGCAAGGAGGAGGAGTTTCCCATAAAATGTACAGGAAATGAAGAAGAGCAGGAAACAAGTGCTCAGACAGACTACACGGAGACTGGAATGTGCTCAGCACATGGGAAACTCTGTTCTGAGCCATCGGGTGCCAGCTCGTGACTGAATGGATAGTGTACTCTTCCCCAATCTCTTGCACCACTGTTAGGGCAATGAATTCATTCTCTCTGTAGCAGGCTGCCTTCAAAGGCCACTAGAAATAGGATCTCATTGGTTCAGTGGGGCAACATAGGTCTTGGCAGTTAAAGCCAAGTAACCCATAGGTATTTAGCCAAGTAACCACATAGGTTCTCACCAACCTATAAATTAGCCTCCAATGGGCCAAGAGCCAACCATGATCAATAAACTGAAGTCTAGGGAGAGAGACCCCAGAGCCAGCCTTCCTGAGTGAGGAACAGGGTAGGACAGGTGTAGAGAGTACAGTAGGTTCCCATCTAATACAGTTATTTCATATGATCTTATACAGCCTGGTGAAATGGGCGTTATTAAGTCCTGTGTTTCAAAATGCATTCTTCTAGGCTTTTTTTTTTTTTTTTTTTTTTAAGAATGATGTTCAGCCGTAGACTTCAGAAGTAACTAGGGCTTCAAATCAAACCTTTAAAAAAAATTTTAACTTGAGAAAAGTTAGAGTTCCCTAAGGAATTCTAACTCGAATGTGTTTTTATTTCACCAATCCTCAAATATGCAAAGTTACAAATACTTTATAGAACTGTTATGGCATTTGGATTTTTATCATGTGTTCTTGATTTTTATTATCATCTTTCCTAATGAAGGATACACACTTATTCATTTAAGAAAGGAAGATGGGATTTAGAAAAAAGGGAAGGAATGAAAAAAGCATTTTAGAGCCAGTGTTCCCCAAATTAGATACACATTAAAATCATCTGGGAAGTCTGTTTGAGAAAGAGCTTTATTAAAGTATTATTTACAGCCCATAAAATTCACTCATTTAAGTATAAAATGTAATACTTTTAGTAAATGTATACAGTTGTGCAACTACACTACAATTCAGTTGTGACATTTCTGTCATCCCCCAAATACTCCCTCATACCTCAAAGCTTTTAATTTTGATTTCAAATCAATTCATTCTCGAATTACATAGAAAATCAATGTTAAGAGGCTGGTGTTTTTTCCATACTTTTATCAATACATTTAGGCATTTATATACTGTCTTAGTAACTCAGGCTATCATAACAAAAAATATAAACTAGGTGGCTTGTCAACAACAAGCGTTTGTTTCTCACAGTTCTGGAAGATGGGAAGTCCAAGATCAAGACATTGGTGGATTAGGTGTCTGGTGAGAGCCCATTCCTCATAGACAGTGCCTTCTCATTACATCCTCATGTGGTAAAAAGGGACAAGGCAGCTCTCTAGAGCTTCTTTTATAAAGGCATTAATCCCAATCAGAAAGCTCTGCCCTCATTACCTAATTACCTCTCAAATACCCGACATCCTAGTACCTTGGGGGTTAGGATTTCAACATACACATTTGAGGGGGACACAAACATTTAGAACATAGCACGTACGTAAGGAGATAACAGCCATACATGTGTTGAGGCTTTTTTGTTTCATTAATAAAATTAATGGGGCCAGGCATGTGGCTCATGCCTGTAATCCCAGCACTTTGGGAGGCCAAGGCAGGTAAATCACTTGAGGTTAGGAGTTTGAGACCAGCCTGGCCAACACGGCAAAACGCTGTCTCCACCAGAAAATACAAAAATTTGCTGGGTGTAGTGGCACATACCTGTAGTCCCAGCTACTCAGGAATCTGAGGTGGGAGAACCGCATGAACCCAGGAAGTGGAGGTTGCTGTGAGCCAAGATTGCACCACTGCACTCCAGCCTGGGTGACAAAGTGAGAACCTGTCTCAAAAAAAAAAAAATTTTTTTAATATAAATAAATAAATGGAACCATAGCATATATTATCTTTCATGACCTGCCTTTTTCAGTGAAAAAGATGTCTCAGAGATCTTTTCATGTTGGTTCTCTTTTCTCATTCTCTTGTAATGTCTTCCTGGCATTCCAGAGAATAAATATAGTATAATTCACGTGGCCACCATTTCCCCTTTTGATGAAAATATAAGCTGTTTTTTTTTTTTTACTTTTTATCTTAAATAATGTGGCAGTAACATTTGTGTACTATATCCATATGCATCTGTGTGTTATTCCTGGAGGACAGACTCCTAGAAATGCAACCACAGGTCTGAATTTTTTTAAAACCAGGTATCCTAACAACCTTCTTCTCCATTCTCAGTCCTCCAAGAGTTTATTAGATCTGGGTGGAGCTGTATTTTTACCAAGAACCTGCTCTAGAGATTCAGATATAGCCAGCCTGGCACCAGCTGCAACTGTCATTGTGGAGTCTTTGTTCTAAAGCAAACATCAGTGACTTTGTAGTCAGAAAAGTATAGATTCACATCCCAGCTCTGTCCTTGCAAGTGGTATAACCCTGGATGCCATTCATTCTTGTCTATGCCCATGCACTCATTCATTCATTCACCATCTAGTAAACAAGCATTGAGCACTTATGTGTTCAATTCTCAGTCAGCAGGTGACACAGATACAAAAACAAATGAATAAATACAGTAAAGTATCACAGATATTATGAAGAGGAGGCTAGTCCATTGCATGTAGAGAAGGATGACTGGGGAAACCTGAAAAGATGATAGAGGGAACGCTAAGGGTGAGCCTTAAATTAGGGTTTCTTCCAAGCCACCACACATAACCCACTCAGAGGAAACAATGAATGTGATGGCCTGGAGGTAGCATGCATCGTGATTTTGCAAAATACAAGGTGCAAGGGGCAGCAAGGAGGCTGGGAAGGCAGACAGGATTATGGTAGGCTTTGTAGGGTGTACTAGGGTCCTTTTAAAGGGCTGTGCCATGGGACATACCATGGTAGAGTTGCATTTAGCACAACTTTAATGCTACGGTATGAAGGAAGAAATAAAAGGGCTTTAGCAGGGAGACCCAGGTCATAGAGTGAGTTGGCATGGAACCTTGTCCCAGGCCAGCACTCTTTGTACAACCCACACCAAACACTAGTGTTAGAGCCCATTAGAAAGCCAAGTAGTGCTCCCTAATTATTGTTGACTTGCCTAGTTGATAAGCTTATTGTTCTTGGCCTTGATGCAACCCAGCACTAAGCCTAGTATTGAATGTTCAGCCAGGTACGACTGTTAATTTTATGTGTCAGCTTGGTTAAGCCACTGTGTCCAGATATTTGGTCAAACATTATTTTGGATGTTCCTGTGAGGGTGTTTTTGAATAAGACTGACATTTAAATCCATGAACTTCAAGTAAAGCAGATTGCCCTTCTTAATGTGGGTGGGCCTCATCCAATCAGCCGAAGGCTGACTAGAACAAATGCACGACTTCCCCCGAGTAAGAGGGAATTCTGCCAGCAGATGGCCTTTGGACTTGGACTGCAACATCAGCTTTTTTCTGGGTCTCCAGCCTTCTGGCTCACCATGCAGATTTTGAACTTACCAGCTTCCTTAACCGCATGAGCCAATTCCTTGAAATGAATCTCTCCAGATATATGCATACTCCGTTGTTTCTTTTTCTCCAGAGAACCCTGGCTAACACACCAGGGAAGACAGTATAAGTCTTTAGCAGTTCTCTCTAGGGCTAGAAGCAGCCCTAATACTATGGTGGGAATGCTTCTCATCACAGGAAGAATATCTAGAAAGGTTGTGGGGGATAGACAATCTGGTGGCATCATCTCTTTCTCTACAAATGTCTCCATTACAGCAGTTATTTATAGATATCTTTTCTGAACTTCTTTTCATTCTCTATCTTAGTTCCGGATCTGGACTGGACCAGGACCAGGATACCTGCCTGAACCTGCACAGAATGCTGCTTTGCCTGTTTTTGTTGTGGTTTGTTGTTTTGTTTTGTTTTCTTACATTTTCTTCGGTTATTGGCACAAGTTGCTCAACTCTCAGAAGGTGGGATCCATATATTGAAAATTTTTCATATTTTCCTTATAAAGTGAAGGTAGTAGTCAGACTGGCACTTTCTGTTTAATATTACTTTACAATTTATAGAATAGTGCTTGGTTTAATTAAGCTCTGAGCCTCAGTTATGAAATCTGTAAATTGAGGATAATATAATAATTGGGACTGGTACTACAGTACCTCATAGATTGTTCTAAGGATTAAATGAGAACATGCATGTCAAGTGCTCAGCAATGTACCTGGCATTTAATAAATGCTAGGTCTTTCCCTTATGAGATCATAAGTCTTACATGATTATTTCAATAAGCCTCTAAAGTAGACAAGAAATGATCAGTTAACCTTGTTTCATGAATGAAGATGAAGCTTAGAGGAAAAGTATCTTCCTTGGGGCCACACAGCCAAAAAGTAGAAAAGCTAGAACCTGAATTCAGAACTTCTGACTTCAATGCTCTTACTACTGTGCACACTCAGTTTCTGGGGCACACCATAGACCCCGAAAAGATACATACACACAAAAGAGTTTATGCAGATCTTTATGAGTATGTACAGCCAACAATAAAACAAATATGCTGTCTATGTACTTACATGCATTATTAGAAACATACATGCACATTTTCCCAAATCTGTTTTAATTTCCTCTTAAAATCTTTATGAATGGACTGCTAAAAGTGTATACTAAGGCCATTCATTTTTTGGCAGGTCAGGTTTCTCACAGCTCTTTTAATGTACCAAAGTGGTGGTAGAATGTGAAACTTTTAATACAGCCACTTGAATTGTCTACATATTCTTTTTAAGGGATATGAACCTTAGTTACACATTTTTTCTTCTGTATGTTTACATAGACTCCATCAGAAAGGTTTCAGCCAAGTAGCCTCTTTCCAGCTTCCAATGCCACATATTTGCAGAATGAAGAAAACTCAACTGGAGAAGAAATGGAATGTATGTGGCCGACTGGAACAGTGCTTTACTACAGCATCACCATAATATTGCACATCAGTAGAAAACCACATCCAGCATAAACTTCAGAGAAGGCAAATGTGTCATGGTGGAGACACAGGCTGTGGAGCCAAGTAGGGGTGGGTTTACATCCCTATTTGTCAGTGGAGCAAACTTGTGCCCATCTTGAGTTCAAGGCCATACATTTTAATAAAATATTTTTGTCTGAGTAGATGTAGAAATATTATATTGGTCAACATCTGCACAATTGGTATTAATTAATTGGTTGATAACTAATTATTCAAAACTCAGTGGCTTATAACACTAAGCATGGATTTTCATGTTCATGGATTTTCATGTTAATAATTTTGGCTGATCCAGGCAGGACTCAGCTGGGCATTTCTACTGCAGGGCGCTGAACCTACCTCCAGTGTATGAACTGTGTTACATTTGGGCTCAAGCCTGCAGGGCAGTGACAACTCAGTACACAGAATAACCATGTTAAGTTATGGGACTGAGCAAAACCTCAAACCAACATGTACAGTCAAATATTTGATAATGACATTGATAAATAATTATGCTTTTTATCCTTTATAATTTTTCAAATGCCTTCAATTTTAACTTTTCCTTAATTAGGAAGTAAAGATAGGTATATATTTTCATGTGGCTTTAAATAGAAATTTCCTTAAATGGCCTCATTTGGGGGGAAAATATCTGAAGTAAATATTCCTTAAAGTATAGCTTCTTAAGCTTTGCATGGATCACTTGTTAGCTTCCTAAAATGTAGATTGTCATTCAGTTCATCTAAGGTGATTCCGCAATGTTGGATTTCTGACATGTTCTCAGGGATGCTGATGATGCTTTTGAATTCCGGACAAATTTTAAGTAGGAAGGAAAATAATGCTACATCCACTTTTTTATTATTTTTGTAGAGAAAGATTTTGTTTCTCAAATGATAGTTATATGGTTTATGTAATAAAATGAAAAAAGTTTATGCAGATCAATAAAAATGTGTATTTCAACAGTTTCTAGATCATGCCAGATGAATAATAAACACTGAATGATATTCAACAAAAGAAAAACCTCAATCAACAGTTCTTAGCCTTGATACATTTCTCTGTAAAATATTGAGCAGATCATTAATACCTCAAATGCCTCAGCAAACAACCTGAAGTTCTAGCATGCACTCCCTTCAGCTCCCAGGGTCACTTCTGTTCCAGAAAGCACAGGCCTATAGCCTCTTCTGTTCTGAAACTCTTAGCTACTTTTGTGTAGCTGCTGCTTCCAACTTCCATTGCCAGGATTCCATTCTCTATCCTTCATCATTTCTTCTAGCATCAGAGATATCTTTCTGAAACTCAAATCTTACCATAATCTTCAACCACTTATCTGCAAATTAAGTTCCCTCCCAGCACCTCTGGGTTAAAGTTCAACTCCCCTCACAAGGCCTACCGGCCATTCTACATGCATTCAATCAACAAATATTTACTGTGCCATACTATGTGCCAGACGGAGTTCTACATGCTGGGGAAATCAAAGTCTCGACCTTCATGGAGTTTGCATTCCAGTAGGAAAGATGGATTCACAAGCAAATAAATGTAAATAAATCAGATATTGTCCTAGTACAGTCGTACCCCCTTCTCCTCCTGCCACTGTGCCCTATACAGTGCATACCTGCTCCCCATTTCTCTACACCCCCAGGTACATCATGTTCTTTCCTACCTTTGAGCCTATATGATTGTTGTTTCCTCTATCTAGAATGTCCTTGACTCTTCTCTACTTGGAACAGCATAATTATCTTTGAAGATACAGTTCACATGACCTGCAATGTGAAGCTTTTACATATATAGTTATTATTATTACTATTATTTTTTGAGATGTTGTCTCACTCTGTCGCCAGGCTGGAGTCCAGTGGCGCAATCTCAGCTCACTGCAACCTTTGCCTCCTGAGTTCAGGCAATTCTCCTGCCTCAGCCTCCCAAGTAGCTGGAACTACAGGTGCGTGCCACCATGCCCAGCTAATTTTTGTATTTTTAGTAGAGATGGGGTTTCACCATGTTGGCCAGGATGGTCTCGATCTCTTGACCTCGTGATCCACCCACCTCGGCCTCCCAGAGCTTTTCCATCTTAACTCCATGTAGTTATGTCCTGGTATGTGCCTAATTAAATCTGAAATGTCTGTTATGGCCACGTTTTTATTCATCCTTTTTTAATAGATAATCCACCCTCACCCAATATGGGCTTGCACCATCCAATTGGCTGATAGAACCAAAAGGCAGGGAAAAGGCAAATTCTCTCTCTCCATTATGGGGCTGGGACTTTTTTTTTTTTTTTTGAGACAGAGTCTCACTCTGTCGCCCAGGCTGGAATGCAGTGGCACAATCTTGGCTCACTGCAACCTCTGTCTCCCGGGTTCAAGTGATTCTCTTGCCTCAGCCTCCAGGTAGCTGGGATTATAGGCATGCACCACCACACCCTGCTAATTTTTGTATTTTTAGTAGAGATGGGGTTTCACCATGTTGGCCAGGCTGGTCTTGAATTCCTGAGCTCAGGTGATCTCTGCCTACCTTGGCCTCCCTAAGTGCTGGGATTATAGGTATGAGCCTTCACGCCCAAACTGGGACATTCTTCTTATCCTGCCCTTGGACATCAGAACTCCAGGTCCTTTGTTTGGCCTTCGACTGAAAGTGACACCATTGGCTTCTCCAGTTCTCCAGCTTGCAGACAGCCTATCGGACTTCTAAGCTTCCATAATCACATGAGCCAATTCCCCTAATAAATACCCTTTATATGTCAAATTATCTACATGTGCTATTGGTTCTGGAGAACCCAAATACAACCCCTCCCCTCATTCCAAGCTTTGCAAATATGACTTAACAGCCCCTTTTCATCAAGAAGTACAGTCTATTTCTTTACACCTTGAATCTGGGCTAGACTTAAACTTGCTTTGGTCAGTCGAATGTGTCAGAGATTTGGGGTTCTTGCTGACTTCTGCTCTCTTGGACTCCTGTGTCTGCCATGAGAACAAACATGGGCTAGCTGGCTGACGGATGAGAGATTTAATGGAACAGAGTCAAGATAAACCAGTAGTCCCCACAAGATCACAAGGCAGAATCAACAAATCCCTCCAGATAACCCACAGATACATGAAACGAATTCAATATTTATTGCTCTGTGTCCCTAAGGTTTGTGACTGTCTGTTACACAGCATCATTGTGGCCCTTGAACACTGATACAAATGCTTTAGGGCATCATCAAATCTTATGATTTTTTATATCTGACACATCATTTACATTGTTTTAGTCATTTATTCACTTATTCATGTATCTGTATTGCAAGGAGGTTTGTCTACTATATGCCAGACACTATTATAGGGCTTAAAGATTAATATGGTATATTTTGTGCCCTAATCAATAAATGTCAATGAGACAATTGACATGTGTCTTTTCCCCTTGAGCAACTCTAGAAACAGAACTTCCCTGACTGCTCCATAAAGCCAATTCCTCTGTTTAATCTCTCCAGCAGTTAAGAAGTTCTTCCTTATGTCCAGCCCCAAACTCTCCAGCTTTAGTCTGAGCTTCTGTCTTTTTGTTCAGTTGCCCATGAACCTGGGGAATAAACCTCAGCATCTGCCTCATACAAACCCTTTATGAATTTAAATTCAGTCATTAAGTCAGGGAAATAGTTAAGCCACTTTATATGTGCTGAAGATTTTATTTTGGGATATCTCTGTGGGAAGGGATGTTTGGGATTAATTGAGCTTTCTGGATATCTGCACATGAGCACCGGAATTTTATATATAGAACCAGAACACCTGATCACAGCACCTGCAAAGGGAAATTACTCATTTAACCTCTTGAACTCCAATCAGAGAGAGGAAGGTGTTGAGGATCTGAAGGGAAACCCTGTGGCAAGGGGTCAGATCCCATGGATGGGGCGCAGGAGGGACATTCCAAAGATACCATCTTGGTACTCACCTTTGTCTGCATCCCCTCTCCCATTCCTCATGGTCATTCCAAGTCATATTCTGCTTAAAACCCTTTCTCAGGCCAGGTTCTTAATCATTCACTAATGTATATGTCTCTGTCTGATTGCTCCAGATACCATCTTCTATAATATTTTAAGAGGGTGGTTTCACAGACTTTTGTAAATACTGGAAAGGAAAATCTATTTATCTTTTTCATTCTTTCTTCCACCATAGAGTTTAGAAAATCATCATTCTTGCAGAAGGTTTGATAAATATTCACTTTTCTCTTTCCACCATCTTTAAAATACAATGAACTTTATCCAAACTCATGTTCTAAACTCATATGATCAGAGAGAACTTCCCTGACCATTCTATGTAAACTTACATGCCCTCTCATTATTTTTTTCTGGCTTATTTGTCTATTTATTTTATCGCTGTAGTTTATTCCATTGTGTGACTCTATTACATTTATTTATTTATAATGTGTGGGCTTCTTTTTTTTTTTTTTAAAGTAAAACAGGTTCAGGGGTACACGTGTAGGCTTGCTATATAGGTAAACTCCTGTCATGGGGGTTTGTTGTACAGATTATTTCATCATCCAGGTACTAAACCTAGTGCCCAAAAGTTATTTTATGCCCCTCTTCCTCTTCCTCCTCCTACCTTCCACCCTGAGGTGGGCCCCAGTGCTTGTTGTTCTCCCGCTCTGTGTCCATGTGTTCTCATCCTTTAGCTGTCACTTATAAGTGAGAACATGGAGTATGCGGTTTTCTGTTCCTGCATTAGTTTGTTAAGAATGATGGCTTCCAAGGGCTGGGTGGAGTGGCTCATGCCTGTAATTCCAGCACTTTGGGAGGTTGAGGTGGGTGGATCATGAGGTCAGGAGATCGAGACCATCCTGGCTAACACGGTGAAACCCCGTCTCTACTAAAAATACAAAAAGTTAGCCGGGCGTGGTGGTGGGCGCCTGTAGTCCCAGCTGCTTGGGAAGCTGAGGCAGGAGAATGGTGTGAACCTGGGATGCAGAGTTTGCAGTGAGCCGAGATTGCACCACTGCACTCCAGCCTGGGTGACAGAGCGAGACTCCATCTCAAAAAAAAAAAAAAAAAAAAAAGAATGATGGCTTCCAGCTCCATCCATGTTCCTACAAAGGACAGGGCATCATTCTTTTTTATGGCTGTATAGTATTCCATGGTATATATATATACCATATTTTATTTATCCAGTCTACCATTGATGACATGCACTCTCATTCTTGATCTCCTTTTGTTCCTCTATTCTTTCTAGTTCCTAGCATCAGCTGTCCTCCATGTATTTATGTGCATATGTTTTTTAATGTGTTTTTCTCCACAAGAAGTGGGAATTTGTTTTGGTGTTTTGTTTCGTTTGCCTATTTTTTTTCCATTTTTTATTGAATGTGATTTATATGGTATAAAATTTACCTTTTTCAGTGTAGAGTTCTATGAGTTTTGACAGGATATCTGTTTAAATTCTTTGCCAATATACAATCATATAACCACCACTACAATCAAGATGTAGGACAATTCCATCACCCCCAGAAATTTCCAAATGCCCCTTTGTAACCAGCCCTTCCCCTCATCATTCACTAGCAACTATTAATTTGTTTTCTGTATCTCTAGTTTTACCTTCTCCAGAATGCCATAAAAATTGAATCATGTATTATGTAGCCATTATGGCTTCTTTTACTCATCATAATACATTTGAGATTCATCCTCGTTGCATTATCAGTAA
Organism: Homo sapiens; assembly: GCF_000001405.40. Classification (NCBI taxonomy): domain Eukaryota; kingdom Metazoa; phylum Chordata; class Mammalia; order Primates; family Hominidae; genus Homo; species Homo sapiens. The sequence goes on from NC_000004.12 coordinate 17,109,114, forward strand.
TTTTTCTTCCTTTTTAAAAAAAATTAATATATTTTATCCATTTTTCAACAACACATTTTGAAAATGGAATAAACAAATTATAACATAAAACAGGGTCTGCTAGATTCCAAGTATTTTTTTGTCACAGTTTCCAGAAAAGGTCATGTAGTCGTGCCTAATGAGAAGCAGCTGTCCCTCTAACAGAGATTTCTGGACCAACTGGGTGGATCTTTTGGCATTCCTGGGGAGGCTCTTTCACCATCTTTATACCATGCACTTCAGCATTTGATTGCAAATAGATGTCTGTGATTCTAGCCATCCACTTTGTGACAAAACATCTTGCATATATATTGAGATCCACTGCTGTTTTCTCTACACAAGGCATATCAATTCAATGACACATCTCTAATCAGCGATCTCATGAGCCTCTACTTTTTTGTACCTCATTCATGCTCACTTAGACTGATGTTGGTCTATCCCTTTGAGATGTTCCTAAGTCCCAGAGTTACTGCAAAGATTTGTTAGTGCAGCAGAAAATCCCTCTCAAGTAGCCACAAGAAAGCTCTCTACCTGTTTTATCTCAGATTAATTTCCTGGTATTCTACCAGCCTATCTTTTAAACCAGGCCATCCTAAACAAATTCAGATTGGTAAAAATTCATTTAGCCATTTTCTTGTATACTTTAAGTTCTGGGATACATGTGCAGAACGTGCAGGTCTCTTTCCTTTTTTAATGCTAAGAAGTGTGCCATTGCATGAATTGTACCACAGTCATTTATAAGTTTAAGGACATTTGAGTTATTGCCAGGTTTTGGCTGTTACACACAAAGCCGTTATAAATATTTACATTCACACTGTTTTGTAAATATAAGCTTTCGTGTCTCTTGGGTAAATACCTAGGAGTGGGATTGGCAATTCGTAGATTAAGTGTATGTCTAATCTTACAAGAAAGTGTCAAACTGTTTACCAAAATTACTGCACTATTTTGCATTCTCACCAGCAGTGTGTGCGAGTTCTAGTTGCTCCACATTATTTCCAGAACTTGGTATTGTTAGTTGTCAGTTGTCCACTTTTGCTCTGTTTTGTTTTGTTTGGGATTCCAGCAGGCAAGTGGAGGTATTGTGTTGTGTGATTTTGATTTTTCATTTCCTTAGTGATAAATGATGCTCATCTTTTTTTTTGAGACTGAGTCTCACTCTGTCACCCAGGCTGGAGTGCAATGGCACGATCTCAGCTCACTGCAACCTCTGCCTCCTGGGTTCAAGCGATTCTCCTGCGTTCAAGCGATTCTCCTGCCTCAGCCTCCTGGGTACTGGGATTACAGGCACCCACCACCAGACCTGGCTAATTTTTGTATTTTTAGTAGAGACGAGGTTTCACCATGTTGTGCAGGCTTGTCTCGAACTCCTGACCTCAGGTGATCCAACTGCCTCGGCCTCCCAAAGCGCTGGGATTACAGGCATGAGCCACCATGCCCGGCCACTGAGCATCTTTTTATGTGCTTATTTGCCATCCATTCATGTTTGCTGGTGAGGTGTCTATTTAAATTCTTTGCCAATTTTTAATCAAGGCATTTATTTACTTATGAGTTTTGAGAGTTCTTTATGTATTCTGGATACAAGTCTTTTATCAGATTTATGATTACAAATATTTTATTCCAGTTTGTGTTTTGTCTTCTATCCTCTTAAAACGGTCTGTTGAGGAGCAGAAGTTCTTAATTTCAATGAAGTCCAATTTCTTACTTTTTTTATGGTTTATGTTTTGGTGTTGATTCTTTCCCTAAACCAAAGTTACAAAGATTCTCTACCTTGATTTCTTCTAAAAGTCTTATAGATTGAGGATTTAATTTCATAAGTATGATTCATTTTGGATTAATTTTTGCATACGGTACAAGACAGGAATTTATTTGTTAGTTTGGTGAAGGCTATAGATTCCTTTCTCAGAATAATGTATGTAAATACACAAAACAAAAGCATAGGATTACAAAGGAAACCAATTATATTGAAATACAGTTTTCAAAATACTTTTATAAAATTGTGACATGGTAATATATGTGTTTCTTTATTTAAATATCATAACACAATCTAGCAGCAAGTCTAATGACTACCATCGTGTCAGAGCAGTGATAAGCTTTAGATACTTTAAGAGGTCTGCAACAACCTGTAATGTGATATAGAAACATCTGGGATTTCTATTGTTGCAAAGTTACAGGCACTGCTCATTCTACTGTGGCTTGTTGCCTATATCATGATTGAAGGACATGTTAAATTTCTGTTAGAGGTTAGTGAAAATAAAGATGTATTCTCTTCCTATTCAAATTCCCAGCCCCAAGAATTGTAACTCCATTGAAGAACTCCTGAGCTGGAGGGATGCACAGATGAATAAAATAATAAAATGTGGCCCCTATTCCTAAAGAAATTACATTCCAGTGAAAGGAAAAAGACATATGAGCAAGAGAGTCTACAAGATGCCAGATTGTGTTGAATGTGCTAAGACAGCATGGCAAAGGATTTACAAAGATGGAAATAATTTAAGTCATCCCTAGAGGAACATATTAAGCACTGTGGTCACATGAGAGGAAAAGATGACCTCAGTGATCAGTATAATCTCTTTCTCCATCCCACCACTGAATAATCAGACATAGCCGTGTTTTTAAGAGCTTGGCCATTATTTAAAACTTTTTGAAAATGGAAAAAGAAGGTACTGCTGTGTGGGGCAGATGGTGGACATGACAAATAAGTTATCTTCCAGTGGAAGGGGAGAGCTGCAGTTGTTTGCTTTCCCTGGTACGTGTGCATGTTATGTGTGTGTGTGTGTGTGTGTGAGAGAGAGAGAGAGAGAGAGAAAGAGAGAGAGAGTGCATTCAGGGGACAGAAATCACACCAGTTACTTGAAGAGAGTATTTAATATAAAGAATTGTTAACTAGATATAAAGTTGTTACCAAGGTAACTGAAAGAATAAAAGAGAGCTCAAGGGTATGGCAGAGGTAGTAACTGCAAGCAGCAGCTACCACCCATAGGGCTGGGGGAACACAGGGAGGAAGCTGGTGTCATTACAACCTAGAACTTGGAGAACAGCCCATGGAGCTGGGACTGAGACCTCTGAGGAAGGGGCACTGCCAGCCTAGGAGTGCCGCTGTGGTGCAGGCAGGGGGAGTATAATGAGTTATATTTTACGAGTGTTTTTTTAAAGCTGCAAACTGGATTTAGCCACTTCTATATGAAGGAAACACCACTGCCAGGGTGAAGGGAAGAGGCTGGGTGATGCTCAAATGAACTCGAAGTAGCCAGGAAGCCAACAGACAGTTTCCTCCTTTCCCCTCTGGCCTCCCATACTCTCTCTCTAGTGCCCCCTATTGGCAGATCCTAGCAGGGAGTAGCCGATAAAGCCCAAATGCAGTCCCAGTCCTGGCATTGCAGAGATGAGTATTAAAGGGTGGATTTGGAGCCAAAAAACAATAGTGTAACAATTAGCATAAGGGATGTATGTGTATGTGTGTGTATGTATCAGTATGGTGGGGCGTACGTGTGTGAAATAGGAGTGGGAGGAAGTAAGTTCACCTCCACTTCTAGTCTAGTTTTATGACTATTAAGGCATTTGATTCTTATGTGACTATTATGTTTATCTTTTAATTGGTTAAAAATGCAAAAGGAAGAACAGTGTGATTCATTACCGCCTCTCACAAACCCTGAGACATTTCTTACCCAGGAACTCTGCTGTGAGAATATAATTCTAAAACATAAGTGAAATGGCTAAAACAGTTCCTTGCACAAAGTAGAAAATCAACAAATGCAAATGTTCTCTTTTTTTCTCACTCTTCCTCCCATGTACAACTGAAACACTGGATATAGAAATAAATTTTTCCTAACATAATTACTTATATTTATAAAAAGTAGAGTTGATAGTGAATTTATGTTTATAAAAGGTTTTCACATGTATTTTATTCAATTCTCACAATAATCTTACAGGCAAAATATTTATTCCCATTTTGCAGAGAAGAAATCTACAGCTCAGAAAAGTTGGTAAACTGGCCCAAGGTCAAACAGCTGGACTATATACGTAACTGCTCCAGTGTTTCTGCAGTGTGGCCCTTTTACCATTTGACTCAGAAATACTTCTGGTATTTGTTCATATGCATATTTATAAACCTCACCCCAAATCTATGGATTCAGAATCTCTGGACTTCTCAGATTGTGAACTTCACCAGGACTTTGTATTTTTCACAAACTCCCCAGATAATTGGGATGAACAACCAAGTTTGAGACTCATTGTGCTACAGTGTATGTCTCCCTAATTGGTAATAAAAATGTATTCTGGCAAAAGCCCTTTAATTGATTCCCTGATGGTTAAGATACTACTCCTGACATGATTCTTAAAGATTTCACTATCTTTGTAGCTATTAATTGAAGTAATTCTCAAAGTATGGTCTTGAAACAGGAGCATCAGGAGCCCATGGGAACATGTTGGGAGTGCAAATTCTTGGACTGCAACAGACATGGGGGAGAGGGGCCTCCAGACGATACTGGAGCATATGAAGTTTAAGAGCTACCTTTGCAGATGACACTTCTGCTAACTATCTTTTCAATTCCTTGGCCTACTTTCTTTGGAGGATCAACCGTCCCACCTGCACATACTGTCATCTGTATCTAGCATTGGTTATACTTTCATAAACTCTGTTCTTACCAATAACTGCACCCTCTCCATAATCACTATTTCCCTCTCCTATTCTCTAACCAGCACTTTCTACCTTTGCAGATCATTCTCTTTAGTACTGTAAGTCCAACAACTCTTCAATCCTATGGGAACTTCCAATCCATTGACTCTATCTCCTTTTCATTCTCTTTATCCACATACGTAGTTCTCCCTAACTAGATAGTACGGTCCACCATTACATTCATCTCCTTGCATATACCCTCAATTTCCTTACTTCTGTCCCTTTATTGTGTTATACCTGGCAAATTCCCAATGCTGGCTACATCCAATGCTCTGCCTATTTTGAGCTTTCACATACATAGTGGAACACATCAAGAGAAAAATATAATCATGCTGACACGTCTCGCATTGAATTCAGTCCTTGGACCACATCTCATCTGTATCTACATACATTCCTTAGGTAATCTCATTTGATCCTCTAGCTTTCAATACTTTCTACATGCAACCATTCTAAAAATTATATCTCTACCCAGATTCATCCCTCAAACTCCTGAATCATATAAAATCCAAACTCTTCACTTGTATACCTACCTGGAATCTCCAACTTCATATCTCTGAAACCCCTGATTCCACCTCCTTCCCTGACCTGCTTCTACTACCAGTCTTCTCCTCCAAGGAAAGTGGCAGGTCTGGCCTTACAACTTTGAGATTATTCTCCATTCTTTTGTTTTCTAAATTCCACATCAAAAAGTCTTATCAGCATCACCTTCAAAGTATATTTTGAACCTGACAACTTTGTCTCATTTCCATCACTATGATATTAGACCGTGACAACATCATCTCCCACCTGGATTATTTTACAAGAGCTTTCTAAACACTTACCTTGTTCCTACCATTGCCCTGCCCCCAAACCCAACATCAGCCTAAGGGATCATTTTCAAAACAGGAAGTCCAATCATGTCAATTATCTGCTCAGAACTTTCCATCGGCTTCTCATCTCAGTACAGAAGACAGATCTCCTACAGTTGCCTGCAAGGCTCCGTATCATCTGCCTCCTCTTCCTCTCAGACTCTACCTCACACCACTTTCCTTCTCCCTCCCTCCCTTCCAGCCACTCTGGGCCTTGCATCTCCACATACCAGACAGGATCTCATCCTAGTGTTTTTGACTTCACTCTTCCTCCTTCATGTCTGTGTTCATGTGTCCATATCAGTAAGACCTTCCCTGACCATCTGCATACCCAGCAGCCACCTTGGATCAAGTCTTTATTGTTGTCCCTATTTCCCTGCTTTATAGCACATATCACCATTGGGATATTATATTTATGGCCTACTGTTTATTTGTGTATTGACTATCTTTTGACACTAAAAGATAAACTCCTTGAGAACAGATACTTTCTCCCTCCATTGTTATACTCAGCACACATCGAACAGTGCCCAGCACACACCACATATTGTATTTACCTCATTAACCTTGTTGAATAAATAAACTAGTTTTTGAAATTGGGAGATTTTTGCACAAAAACTGATATATCTCCTTTTTGAAAAAAAAAATATGTGATGTCTATGAACCCATAGCTCCTCTGCATCCCCTCTGCATTGGGCCTAGCAGCTGAGGGTGAAAGGGAGCAGATCCACTTTGGAGGGTGTGAGCCCTCCAGTTTACAAGGTCCTCCCTCACTCACTTGCCAGCCTAGACTCCATAGGCACTTGAGTGTGTTTTAAAATCTTGTTTTGTTTTTGTGGGGTTGTTTGTTTTATGGGTTTTTTTTTTTTTTTTTGCTTAAACAACAGAAATGTATTATCTCACAGGCACTTGAGTTTTCGAGAATCAACTGTAAACTTTTAGCCTTTAAAGTCACTAGAACAAGAAGCAAAACTCGATTGCTTCCTCTCCTCCCCTGCCTGTGTTGCACTGGGTGGAAAGAGCTGAGATGGATTAACCACCCTTCAGCCAGATGACAGGAACACACATAGCAATCCACCCAGTGGCAATATAAAGGCTCTGCTCCGTGAAGCCACGGCTGCCTGCAGTAACTTAGTTAGAAAATAAATAAATAAACCACCCCTATACATTGACCAGCATGCCCGCCCCAAAGCACTTCAGTGTTGTGAAATAAAGGGAGGGGCTCTGAAGTTGTACAGCTGTCATTCAAATCCTGCCTCTGCCATTTATAACTGGTTGACTTTAGGCAAATGTTTTCATCTCTCCGTTTCTCAATTTTCTCATCTGTAATATGAAGAAGATAATAATATTGACCTCACACAACCCTCTTGAAAGGCCTCACTAATGATCACTCAGTAAGAGTAGCTATTGTATCTATTCAGATTTGTATTCCTTTCTCTCTCCACCATTAGACTGCAAGCTCCTTTCAAAGTCAAGGATGATGTTATCTGTTCTTGAATCCTCATGCCCCACAGCTGTGATTCTCAGGGTAATGGGTTGGGAGTGATCCTAAGTTACAGAGAATGGAAGCGGGTGTTTCAAGTTATAAAGGGGGCTTTCTTCCCTGGTTTTCTGAAATCTAGCTAGGCCCAGGGGAGTCTGTTGCATATTTTCCAACAACCACATGTTCAATGATTTAGGACTCTGGAGTCAGACTGCTGAGGCCTGAATCCTGACTCTTTCAGCTGTGTGACTTTAGACAATTGTTCTGCCTCCCTTTGCCTCAATTTCCAAAGTGATCATATCAGAAGGTGGAGTCTTTGATATGTGATTAATGTTAGGTCATGAGCGTGAGCCCTCACGAACAGGTTTAGTGCCCTTATAAGGGGATAAAGAGACGTTTCCAGAACTGTAAGAAATTTCTGTTGTTTGTAAGCTGTCTAGGCTATGGCATTTTGTTATAGCAGCCAAAAATGAACTTATATATTATATGTACATATGTTTAAGATTATATATATGTTAAGATATGTATATATCACATATATACACATTTAAGATTATATACATTTTAAGCTATACATACCTTAACATAAGATATACATATCTTTACATATATAGTTTATGTTTAAGATATATATATATATATATACACATCTATGTTATGCTTATGTATAAGTAAAATGAATGACAACAATGATATGAGGGATAAACTAGGATTATTTTGTTATTATAAGATAGTCACACTACCTGTAAGGTGGTATAGTGTTATTTAAGAAGCTACTTGGATTACTTGTAAGTGTATGTTGCAAACTCTAGGGCAATCACTAAAAAAGGTTAAAAAAAGGTATAACTGATATGCTAAGAAAGAAGAAAAAATGAAATCATATAAAATGCTCAATCAAAACAACAGAAGGCAGAAAAAAGAAGACAAAAATAGAACAAGGGCAACAAATAGAAAATAGAAACAAATATGGTATATAATAATCTAACTATATCACTAATCACTTTGAACATCAATGAAATAAATGCTTCAATTAAAATACATGTATTGTCAGAGGGGATCAGAAAACAAAACCTAACTTTATGTTTTCTACAAGGAACCTACTTTATTTTTTGAGACAGCATCTAGTTCTGTCACCCAGTCTGAAGTGTAGTGGCACAATCACAGCTCACTGAAACCTCAAACTCTTACGCTCAAGTAATCCTCCCACCTCAGCCTCCCAAAGTGCTGAGATTACAGGTATGAGCCACTGCACCAGGCCAAGAAACCCACTTTAAATATAAAGACACATGTAGGTTAGAAGTAAATAGATGGATAAAGATATACCATGTAACAGTAATCAAAAGAAAGTAGGTGGGGCTGGGCGCAGTGGGTCATGCCTGTAATCCTAGCAATCTGGGAGGTCAAGGTGGGCAGACTGCTGGGGCTCAAGAGTTCAAGATCAGCCTGGGCAACACGGTGAAACCCTGTCTTTACTAAAATACAAAAAATTAGCTGGGAGTGGTGGCGTACTCCTGTAATCCCAGCTACTGGGGAGGCTGAGGCACGAGAATTGCTTGAAAACGGGAGGTGGAGGTTGCAGTGAGCTGAGATGGCGCCACTGCACTCCAGCCTGGGTGACAAAGCAAGACTCTGTCTAAAAAAAGAAAGAAAGAAAGAAAGAAAGAAAGTGGGAGTAGCTATATTTATTTCAGAAAAAGCAAACTTCAGAGCAAGAAAAATTATTGAGGATATAGAGGGTCATTACACACTGAGAAAAGGTTCAATTCTCCAAGAAGACATAATAATCATGAATGTGATTCACCTAACCACAAATCAGCAAATCGTGTGACGCAAAAACTTAGAGAACTTCGAAGGGAAATAGATGAATCCACTATTATGGTTAAAGACTTCAACATTCCTTTATCAGAAATAGATCTTGCGGGGGAAAATCAGAAAATAACATAGTTGAATTCAGCAACACCATCAATCCACTGAATATAATGGACATCTATAGACTATATCATCCAGCAACAGTAGAATACACATTCTTTCCAAGCTCACATGGAAAATTCACCAAAATAGACCACATTCTGGGCCACAAAACACATCTTAACAAACTTAAAGGAACATAAATTATACAACGTCTGCTCTCAGACTACAAAAAATTAAACTAAAAATTTGTCACAAGAAGATAGTTGAAAAATTCTAAAATATTTGAAGAGTAAACAACACATTCCAAATAACACATAGGCTGAGGGTGAAATCTCAAGAGAAATTTAAAAATATTTTGAACTGAATGAAAATGAAAATAGAACTTATCAAAATTTGAGAAATGCATCAAAAGCAGTGCCTACAAATAAATGTATAGCACTGAATGTACATATTAGAAAAGAAAAAAATCTAAAAATAATTATCTAAGCTGCCACCTTAGGAAACTAGGAAGAGCAAATTAAATTTAAAGTAAGCAGAGGAAAAAAACAAATAATAAAAATTGAGCAAAAAAATCAGTGAAATTGAAAACAGTAAATCAATAGGAAAATCAACAAAACTAAAAGCTGGTTATTTGAAAAGATGAGTAAAATTTAAAAAAAAAAATATGTAGCCAGGATAACTAGAATAAAGGAGAGAGAACAGAAATTACTAATATCAGAATGAAAGAGAGGATATCACTACAGACTTTATGGACATTAAAAGAATAATAAAGAAATGATTTCATGCCCACAAATTTGAGAATGTAGGCAAAGTGGAACAATACCTTAAAGCACAATCTGCCAAAACTGTCATAAGAAGAAATAAACAACCTGAATTAGTCTTTACCAATTAAAGAAATTGAATCAATAATTAATAACCTTTCATAATAGAAATCAACAGGCCCAGATAGGTTCACAAGCGATTTCTACCAAAATTTAAAAAAAAATTATACCAATTATCTACAACCTTTTCAGAGGATAAAGGTAGAGGGAATACTTTCTAACTCATTCTGTGAGGTCAGAATTATTTTAATATGAAAACCAGACAAAGTCATTACAAGAAAGGAAAACTACAAACCAATATCTTTCATAAATGCACATGCAAAAGTCCTCAACAAAATATTAGCAAATTAAATTAAAAAAAAAAACATGTAAAAATTACACACTATGACCAAGTGGGATTTATCCCAAGTGTGTGAGTTGGGTTCAACATCTGAGAATTGATTAATGTAATCCATCACATCAACAGGCTAAATAAGAAAAACCACATGGTCATATCAATACATTCAGAAAAATCATTTGACAAAATCTAGCACTGATTCATAACAAAAACCCTTAGGAAACAAGGAATAGAAAATAACTTCCTCAACTTTATAAAGTGTGGACTACAACAAACCTGCAGCTAATGTCATATGTAATGATGAGAAATCTGAAGGTTTTCCACTAAGATCAGGAATAAGGCAAAGATGTTCCCTCTCACCATTCCTTTTTGATATTGTACCAGGAGTCCTAGCTAATGCAAAAAGAAAAAAAAAGATATATGGATTGAAAAGGAAGAAATAACATTTCTTTGCAGATAACATAATTGTCTACGTAGAAAACTGAAATGACAAAAAAAAAAAAACCCTTCTGGGACTAAAAAGCAATGATAGCAAGGTTGTAAAATACAAGATTAATATACAAAAGTTCATTGCTTTCCTATATACCAGCAACTTAAAAAGTGGAATTCAAACTTAAAAACACATTACCATTTACATTAGCACCCCTAAACATCTATACTTAGGTATAAATCTAACAAAACATATACAACAAGATCTATATGAGGAAAACTACAAAACTCTGATGAACAAAATCAAAGAATAACTAAATAATACAGATATATTCCATGTTCATGGATAGGAAGACTCAATATTGTCAAGATGTTGAGTCTTCCCACTTGATCTATAGATTCAATGCCATGCCAGTCAACATCTTAGCAGTTATTTTGTGGATATCCAGAAACTTAATTTTACAGTTTATATGGAGAAGCAAAAGACCCAGAATAACCAACACGATATTAAAGGACAAGAACAAAGTTGAAGTACTGACATTAGCTGACCTCAAGACTTACTAAAATGTGACAATAATCAAGAGAGTACAGTATTGGTGAAAAAAAAATAGACAAACCAGTGGAAAAGAATAGAAAGCCCAGAAATTGACCCAAATAAATTAAATCAACTGATATTTGACAAAGAAGTAAAGGCAATACAATGGCACAAAGATAGTCTTTTTAGCAAATGGTGCTGAAATAACTAGACATCCACATGCAAAAATAAATACACAAATCTAGACACAGGTCTTACATTATTCAAAAAAATGAACTCGAAATGGATCACAGACCTAAATTTAAAATGCAAAACCATAAAACTCCTAGAAGATAATATAGGAGAAAATCTAGATGACTTTGAGTTTGGAGGTGACTTTTTGTACAACACCAAAGACATGACCTATAAAATAAAGAATTGATAAACTCAGTTTCATTAAAATTAAATTTTTCTCTTCTGTGAAAGACACTGTCAGGAGAATGAAAAGACAAGCCACAGGCTGGGAGAAAACACTTGCAAAAAAACATATCTGATAAATAACCGTTATTCAGAATAAACAAAGAACACTTAGAACTTAAAAATAAGAAAAGAAAAAACCCAACTGAAAAATGGGCAAAAGACTGTAAAGACACCTCAGCAAAGATGATGTACAGATGGCAAATAAACATAAGAGAAGATGCTCTATGATGTATGTCATCAGGGAAATGTAAATTAAAAGAATAAGGAGCTACCACTACTTACCTACTACAATGGCCAAAATCCAGAAAACTGACAACACCAAATGCTGTTGAGGATGTGGAGCAATAGGAACGCTGATTCATTGCTGGCAGAAATGGAAAATTGTAGAATCACTTTGGATGACAATTTGGCAGTTTTACAAAAAAACTAAACATACTCTTACCATACAATCCAGCAGTCACACTCTCTGGTGTTTACTCACAGGAACTGTAAACTTGTATTCACACAAAAACATACACACAGGTGTTTATGGCAGCTTTAGTCATAATTATTAAAACTTGAAAGCAACCAGTATGTCCTTCAGTAGGTGAATCAGTCAGTAATCTGTAGTACATCTAGACATGGAATATTATTCAGGGCTAAAAAGAAATAAACCATAAGCTGTGAAAGGACATGGGGAAACATCACTGCATATTACTAAGTGAGAGAAGCCAATCTAACTATGCTACATACTGTGTGATTCCAACTATATGACATTCTGGAAAAGGCAAAACTATGGAGACAGTAAAAGGATCAGTGGTTGCCAAGAGTTACAGGGGAAGAGAGGAATGAATAAGCAGAGCACAGCAGATTTTCAGGATAGTGATTCTGTATGCTACTGTAATTGTGGATACATATGATTGCATGTTTGTCCAAACTCATAGCATGTACAACACCAAGAGTGAACCCCAATGTAAATGCTGGACTTCAGATGATAATAATGTGTCATTGTAAATTTGTCAACCATAACAAATGTACACTCTGGTGGGGGGTGTTAATAGTGGGAGAAGCTGTGCATGTGTGGAGGAGCAGGGTTATTGGAAATCTCTGTACCTTCCCTCAATTTTACTGTGAACCTAAAACTGCTATTTTTAAAAGTCTATTAAAAGGAAAACTAAACAAAAATATGCCTATGAGCATCACCCTAGATCAACTGAAATGAAATATGTGGGAGACAGGGCCCTGGCACTGCTATTTTTTGAAGTTCCCCTGATGATTCTAATTTGCTGCCAGGATGAGAGCTGCTGTGGTAGACCAGAGGTTCTCAAAGTGTGGTTCCCTGGCAAGCAGCATCAGCATTGCCCAGGGAATTATTAGAGATGCAAAATGTCAAACCCCAACCCCAGCCTTCTGAAGGAGAAACTCTGGAATTGGGGTCCAGCAATCTGTGTTTCAACAAGCCTTCCAAGGGATTCTGATGCACACTCAAGTCTGAGAACTGCTTGGTACACCCATGATGTAAAGAGAGGAAGCATGTAGGAGTCTGTGCGGAAAGAGGTACATAGAGGCTCCAAACTTTCGTGTCCCCTCGAGTCACTACATCCTATCATGTCTGGGCCTTTATGTACTCCTGCTGCTTATTTCAGTCACTTAGAATGCTTTATGCATATGTAGAAACACAGGTACTCACTCTCTAGAGAGGGAAGACAAGGAATGCACTCTCTACCCTCCAGTGCCCCTCAGATGGAGCCTGTCACTCCCTTTGTGCACCTGAACACAGCATCGGGCCTGTATTAGTGTAACAGCCTGCTAATGAGTCTTTCTCAGACCACAAGACCCTGAGCCTCTCAAGGGTAGAGATAGCATCTTACATATCTTTGTTTTCTCAGCACTTGGCAAGGATCTGGCATAAAACAAAAAGGGGATCAGTAAGTGAATAATGAGTAAAGCTGTCTAATATAAACAATTATAATCATTATTTTCTTGTATTGACTACCTTTTCAGAGAGGAACACTTTAATCACAATAACCTTACATATACAGTCATTCTGTATATGTGCATGTCAGAAACCCCCTCAGATACCAAGCTCTGCAGTTGCCGAGGTTGCTTATATAAAATGCCATAGTATTTGCATATAACCTGTGCACATCCTTTTGTATACCTTAAAGCATCTCTTCTCTAGATTACTGATAATACCTAATACAATGCTGACACATCACTTCATTCACCCGGATTCAATGCAGTACTCAGCGCACAGCAAATTCAAGTTTTCTTTTTGAAACTGTGTGAATTTTTTTCTGAATATTTTTAAGCCACAGTTGGTTGAATCCACAGATGCAGAACCCACAGATAGGAAGGCTGACTATTACCTATTTAAACTTCCCAGGGACACCGAGGTACTATTGTCCCCTTTTCACAAAGAGGGAAAGACAGAGATTTAGACAAGTTACTAAAGGCCACATGACAAGTAAGCGGCAGAGCTGGGAGTTTGGAGTCAAGTATCTACACTGCCTGTTTTAACCACTGCACTGTACTGTTGTAGGTATTAGAAGAATTAGAATCCAGTCATGGCTAAGTAATCACTCTCTTGGTGATCTTGGACAAGTCAATTATCTCTGGGTCTCAATTTTGCAATTTGCTAAGTAAGTTTGTCTAACCACACCAATGCCTTTAATCCACAGGCCCCAAATTCTTGGAAGTCATGGAATTACTATAGGAAATCAACAAGTCCATCTGTATACCAAGCACTGTCTAGGACTTATACCTATATGCAGTACTTTTTTAATGTATGTAGAGGATGTTGTAAATCATTCAGTCCTCAACAAATGTTTACTGAGTACATATATATATAATGCATATATATACACATTATATATACATATACACATATATGTATATACGTATACATACATATACATGTATATATATATACATTATATATATAATATATATTTTATATATATATATTTTTATACAGAGTCTCGCTCTGTCTCCCAGGCTGGCACCATCTCGGCTCACTGCAACCTCCACCTCCTGGGTTCAAGCAATTCTCCTGCCTCAGCCTCCAAGTAGCTGGGACTACAAGCGCCTGCCACCATGCATGGCTAATTTTTTTTGTATTTTTAGTAGAGATGGGGTTTCACTATGTTGGCCAGGCTGGTCTTGAACTCCTGACTTTGTGATTCACCCACCTTGGCCTCCCAAAGTGCTGGGATTACAGACGTGAGCCACTGCGCCTGGCCGCCTATCCATATATTTTTCAGGGTAAGTAATATTAGTTCCTGTAATAAACAAGCCCAAATCTCAGTGGCTCAACACTGAGTTTATTTCTTGCTTCTATCATAGTTCATCGTAAATGGATACAAGGGCTTCGGCTCCATGTAGTAACTCAGGAACCCAGGGTCTTTCCAGCATGCGGCTCCTCTGTATTTCAGGACACATCCTTAACCATCTCAACCGGGAAGTGATACATATTTCCTCTGCTCTCATTCAATTGATAAGCAACAGCCACTTGACCCCACTTAGAAGCAAAAGACCTAGAAAATGCAGTCAAGCACACTATTAGAAATGCATAATCCAGGTATTAGGGAGCACGAGCAGAATCTGCTTCAACATGTAGCTGGCAATTTGCACACAAAATACAAATGGTCAATGAGTATATGAGAAATGTTTAGCCAAATTAGAAATCATGGAAATGTGTATTAAGATAGAAATAACATTATTTTCTCATTTATCAAATGGACCAATTTTTTAAAAATATTAGAAATTGTGAATATATAGGAGCTAAATGTCCATTAATAAGGAGTAGTTTTAAAAGATTGTGACACATTTTTTCTTTAAATACTATGTGATCGTTCAAAAGAATCAAGATGAATCATGTCTACACTGACATAAGTAGACTCATCTTGATTCTTTTGAACAAGAGTGGTACTTATTGTCATGGAAAGATGTTTGTGATATATTGTGAGGTGAAAAAAGAAAAGTGAGCAATATAGTGTGTGTGTGTGTGTATGTGTGTGTGTGTGCACATGTGTGTATACATAGTCTGATTCCATTTATGACCAAGTACATGCAATCTAAATGCATAGAGTTGTTCTAGAAGGATGCTCACCAAATTTTAACAGAGGTCCCTCTTGGTAGAGAAACTGGATGGGAAGATCAGGGAAAGAGATACACAGAAAGAAGGAGATTTTATCCTCTTTTTTTTCTATATAATTCTTCATTATTGGTTTGTTTTTTGATTTTCTTTTTTAGTATGAGCATTATTGTTTTTGGAATTAAAGGAAAAAGAAAGAAAGAAAGGATAGCCCCGAGTTGAGATCAGTGAAAGGAAATAGGCGTTATCACATCCCCCTGGTGGACATATAAATTGGCACAATGTTTCTGGGGGGAAATTTAGAAATGTATGTAGCGAAAGCTTTAAAAGCTTGCATACAACCTCTAGGAATTTAATCTGAGGAAATACTACATATGCACGCACAAGTTGAGCCCCAAAGACTATGGAGCAGTTTTGAAAGATTATGGCACATCCATTTTGTAAAAAACTATGTAACTGTCCAGAAGAATCATCTATACATACTGTCATGAAAGATGTTTGAGATACATTGCTAGGAACAAAAAGGAAAGTAAGCCATGAAGCATGCTGTTTGTAATAGAGAAACATTGGGAATAACTGCAACATCCAACAATAACCTATCAATGGAATCAAATACTATCTAGGTATTTAATGTTGTAGAATTTCTAGTGATATATTGTTTCCATTAATTGAGTAGGTTTTAAATTAAAATCTCATTTTTGTTTAAATATCACTGTATAGGATATACATATAAGGCATATTTAATATACTGTATCTAATGAAACATACATATATGTGTACTTCGCATGTACATACATACATATATGTTTTATATGTATATATACATAGATGTATATATGTGAGTGTGTTTCTGTGTGTGTATATGTGTGTGTATATATATTAGTGTATATGTGTGCATGTGTAGATAATCCCCTTTGTCTATACTGACATGAGTAGACTCATGTCAAAAAGACTAGACAGAGACCAAATATGGAGATTGGTCAAAGATAGGTAATGGGTATAGTAACAGCCACTTCACCTAAAACCAGTTTTCCTAAAGATCACTTCTCCAAATATCTACTAATAATTTGCTAAGATCATCCGCCTTTCAAATGTGTCTTATTATTTATAAAACATTGCAATTTTGACAAATCCTAATTTGATAGACAAAAATAAGTTAGAATTGCTTTTAAGTTAGAAGTGCCTTTTTTGTTAGGAATACTTACATGCCAAAAAGATGCAAGGACAAAGAGTAAGCTCCAAAAAGATGCACAAGAGGATTTAATTTTAGAAAAATGTAAATTGGCAAATGATTCATAGACAAACTTGTTTTAGCCAAACCAGATTTAGGTAAATTGATCTAGATACAGTAAGCCTATAAATGGCTTTTTCCCCCTTTTAAAAATTCTTCTTTCTACTCTTCTCTTCATTACTTTTTTCTTCCCTTTCATTCTTTCTCTCTTTTGTTCTTTTTGCTAATCTATGACTTTTAATTTTTCTGCAGATCTATAACTCTTATAATAAAAGTTAAAAAAGGAAAGTTATTTTTTAAATAATACTGGGAGATTTTGACACTAATTAAAAGTGGGCAAACCTGCACTGTAAGATCTATTCCAAGTGTGACATCCTTTGATGAATTCGACACGCAAGCTCCATCTAGTACCTACTATGTGCTAATGTCCAAGGTGGATGTCATCTAAGCATGCCCTCATTGCCAACAGCCAACAGTGAATACCAACAAGTATGGAAAATCCCTGTCCCAATTCTGCCCAAGTCCAGGCTTGGTGACCAGCCCTGGGGAGTACTAACTCTGCCCAGAGAATCCATTTGGTTGACAGCAGCTGACTTCTACAGCTTCTATTAGGAATCTGGGAGTCATTATACACCCCTCATTAGCATTGAAAAACCATCTGGTGGCCATTAGGAAGCAAACATTACCTATTATGCATTAGGCCCTAAAAACAATTTAATTACCATCAAGGTCTAGTCAAAATCCTTCAAATAAGGGGGATTCCCAGATAAGGGACAACCTTGCTTCCCCCTTTATAACTTGAGTAGATGAAGAATTATGTCAGGCTACAGTCCTGCTGGCTCCAGGCAATGCCTAGTGCAGATTCAATCAGCTCAATTCAGAGGTCACTGGCCAAACCACCATTTCTTTTAGGAGTCTGCAAAGTTGAATTTTTTCAATCTTTGACAGTTCTGTTTGTGAGGGGAACAATGCTATTTCCCAGATACTCTGAAAATGCTGCAATAGGGGACAAAAACCACATTCCCCCTGCCTGGCACACAATAGTTTTTTGTTTTGTTTTGTTTTTTACTCTGGGATTTGGTGTGTTGTAGCTGAAAGAGCTCTAATTAGGAATCATACAATTGTATTCAGCCCTGTCCAGCTTACTCTCTGTGTGATCTTGGACAAGTTGCTTAACTTCTCAGAGTGTTTCCCCACTTCTGTTGAATAGGCCATCTCACGGAGGCATTGTTGATTCTACCTAACACAAATCAAGTCAATACTGAATTTATCAATAGGCCAGTTTGGAATTACAGAATCTAAATAGCCCACGATCCCTTTGGCTTCCACAAAGCAGCATCTTGGAGTGTGAGGACCAGTCCTGAGAAAATAGTTTTCACTCTAGTGTTTTTAAATGACAAAATCCAGGGTGCATTTCCCAACATCCATTTTTCCAGAAGATTTGAATGAGGTTAATGCATTCCATTTCAGACCCACGCGCTCCCTCTGGTCACACGTGCCAGTGATCTCTTTAGGGGCATAACATCAAACTCGACTCAAAAATCCTTACCCCAATTCCTTACTCATTCCACACAAAAATCTTTAGTCAACTGGTCTTTAGTTACTGGTCCTGGCTGGTCCTCAAGCACAAATCTGGGCCCCTCTTAACGAATTCTACTCTCTTTTCTTCTCGCCCAAAGGGAATCTTTTGAACACCTAATTTGTGCTGGGCGTCCTATTAATATTGGGAATACAGGTGCTTCGGATACAGTTCCATTCTTTGGGGAATTCACGGGTTAGTGGGGGAAATCAACACACAGGAAATTACAATCAAGTGCAATGATCACCGACACAGAGAAAGCAAAGCGTGCCCCAATCCTTTGCCACTCAAACTGTGGTCCTGACACCAGCAGGACCATAGCAGCAACAGCACCTGGGAGCTGGTTAAAAATGCAAAATCTCAGGCCTCACTGTCCCTACCGAAGCAAAGTCTGCATTTTCAGATCCTTCGTGACTCGAATTCACATTCGAATTTGAGGGACACTACTACAGAAGACTAAAGTAGGGTTAAAAAAAAACATCCTGTTTATGTGAGAGTGAGGTGTTTCCTGGAATATGGGGCTTGCAGTGGTAAAACTGGGGCAGCCTCAGGCAAACCGGAACAGTTCATCATCCTAAACAGAGGGTTCACTGAGCTATGACTTGAGGGGTCAGGAGCAACTTCCAGGATCACATGAAGCCCGAGATGGCCATGGAGGAGTTAGACAGTGAAAAAAGGCTGATGAGGGAGGATGGTCTAAAGGTAGCAAATGTGACTGGAGTGGGTTTCCAGCCTTGTTTCCAAAGATCTAGCTTGGCATGATGAAGCTTCAGAGGCTGTCAAGTCAATATTGGATTTATCAATAGACCAATTTGGAATTACAGAATCCAAATAGCCCAGGCTCCATTTAGCTTCCACAAAACAGCATCTTGGAGTGTGAGGACCGGTCCTGAGAAAATAGTTTCACTCTAGTGTTTTTCAATGACACAATCCAGGGTGCATTTCCCAACATCCGTTTTTCCAGAGGATTCTAATGAGGTTAATGCATTCCATTTCAGGGATAGGAGGTGGGCCAAATGACATGTGGCCACCATCCACCCACACTTCAACAAAAATACTGTATTGTTCTACTTCTTAATTTGCATATTGGGAATCTTGTTACCTTTTTTTGTATACCCAACCCAAAACATTATGCTGCTAAAAAGAAAAAATTAGTTTGAAAACCTCTGTTGCAGAGATAAAAGTGAGGCTGTATAGCCAGGAAGACGTAGGTTTCAACCCTGGTTCTTTTGTTTACTGGTTGTGTGATCATAAGCTAGTCACATAGATCCTCTGAGCTTTAGTTCATATGTAAAGTGGAGTTCTGTGGGAGGTCTTTAAGACCACCTTCAGATTCAATGATTCACTAGAAGGACTAAAAAAATTCAGGAAAAAAACCTTTTATACTCACAGTTATGGTTTGTTACAGTGAAAGGATACAGATCAAAATCACCAAAGGAAAAGGTACATAGGGAAGAGTCCCAGAGAGACAAGTACAAGGTTCCTATTGTCCTCTCCCAGTGGAATCATACTGACAGCACTTAATTCTCCCAGAAATGATGTGTGACAACACATACAAAGCTTTGCCAAAACCAGAGATGCTCAGCCAAGCCTTGGTGTCCAGGGTTTTTATTTGGGGTCAGTTATGTCAGCATGGAGTACCCATGTGACTGATCTTAACTACTCAGTGTTCAGCATCCCCAGAGGTCAAACTTGATGCAAGCTAGGCCTCAGGTGAACAAAAACAGGTGTTCACTTTAAATCACATTGTCAGCGTAAGCAACCTAAACTATCTGGTATGGGGCTAAAGCTTCAGTCATACGAAGACACTTTTACTAGGCAGGATATTCCAATGGTGCAGAGATTACCCCTCCGGAGCTGGTCAAGGGCCAGTCCTTTCTTTGGAACGTACAGGGTTCGAACACACCAAGTCTGCTGAATTAACCCTTTACTACATATGGGGATAATAGCCTTTACCTTGCGAGAGACAGATACTTGTAGTCTGGCACATAATGGGTGATGAATATAAGGAGGCTTTCTTTACTCCTTGAATAAGAAGTATCTTTGCCCTGGCTTTCCCTATGTGGTTCTACATCTTCACATATTTTTTCTTTCCTTAGGCCCATCCAGGTATTTCCCAATGGGAAATGCTCTCCTTAAAGCCCCTCTTCCAAGAAGTCTTCCTCAGTAATATTTTTTCTCACTCCTTCTGGGAGCCACTCACAAGCAATGTCTCATGATTACTTTTAAATATATATATAATATTATTTTTGTAAATAAAATATACACTTATTGTGAACTCAAGCAATGCAGAAAAGCATAAACAAAAAAATTCCCAACAAATTAAAAATCATTTCAAATGATCTCACCCAAAACTAACCATCAATATTCCAGATAAACATTGTTCCACATATTTTTCTATCTATATATACAGATAGATAATAGATTGATACATACATTTCTAAAAATAGAATCATGCTATAAGCAGTATTTTTATTGAATGTTTACTTGAATTTACCAAAACAAAAAAAAATTAAAATGAAATGGAAGGAATTGCTAATCTTAAAATGTTTCTTTACTATAATAGATATTTAAAAACACTTCTGATGTTAGGTAATAAAATTATGATGATCATCATTAGAGACATTAGATGTTTTTAAACTAATAAGTTTCAATTTTATGCAGCATTGATTGACTCCCGTGAGCAAAGAAGCCATTAGCACTCTCACACTTCTTCCCTCCAAACCTCCCGCCACCTCCCAGTTTTCGTTAGCTAGAGCATCATTTTACTCTGTCAGGACTGTAGTATTTGCATTCTGCTTTGTAGCAATAATTCTCAACAATTTTTTAGTATTAAGTCTATATTTAAATGGATTCAATGTTCACTCTTACCACATCCTCCATTCCTCACTGCTACGCTTTGATTCATCTCTTAAGTGGCCTGATTTCATTTTTAAGTGATTTTTTCCCAGTAAGAGCTCGAGGGTGCAATATTTCCTGAGTTCTATGAGTTATTTAAGAATATCTGCCTGTCGTCCTATTCTTGAACAACATCTTGGTTATAACTGATATTACTGAATCACAATTTCCTCCAAAAAATGTAGACATTGGGCTGGGTATGGTGGCTCACACCTGTAATTCCAGCACTTTGGGAGGCTGAGATGGGGATATCACAAGGTCAGGAGATGGAGGCCATCCTGGCTAACTCGGTGAAACCCATCTCTACTAAAAATACAAAAAATTAGCCAGGCGTGGTGGCACTTGCCTGTAGTCCCAGCTACTTGGGAGGCTGAGGCAAGAGAATTGCTTGAACCCAGGAGGCAGAGGTTGCAGTGAGCCAAGATTGTGCCACTGCACTCTAGCCTGGGCAACAGAGCAAGACTCTATCTCAAAAAAAAAAAAAAAAATGTAGACATTGGTCTATTACCTTCAACTACTGAATAATGCTGTGATCAGTCTTCTTGTCTCCTGCTTCTGTGACTTACTTATTCTTCCGGGATGCCTGAAGAGCTCATTATTTTTCTTGGAAGTTCAGCAACGAAACCAGGATATGTCTCCACATTGCATGCCCTCTCTGCTTAGGGGCTCTCCATTAAATTGTTTTGAAGCAGAGCTAGTTCTGTTAATCTGCAGAGTCATGAATTTTTTATTTCATTATATCTTTGAATATTTTTTCTGTTCTATTTGCTGAGTTCTCCACTTCAAAGACTTCAGTTATGCACTGATAACACACACATTTATATCTTTAAGCCAGAGCATTTCTCAAAATTCCAGAATTGTACATCTAACCACCTCCCGTATCTTCACTTGAATTATGTGCAAATTTAACACACCCAAATCCAGACTTTGGCTCCCATCGCAAACCTGCTACTACCAGAATCTCCCCAGTTTCATAAATGGGGGCTTTAACCTTCCAAATTCTAAGGCCAAAACCTTTGCAGTTACCCTTGGTTCCTCTCCTTCTTTCAGACTCCATATCTGATCCTACAAATCTTCTGATCTCTCCCTTCAATAGATCCAGAATCTGACTGCTTCTCACCAACCTCCCCTTGGCCCTGCTCTATCCCACCATCATCTCTTGCTTCATTTACTGCAACAATCTCCAAACTGCTCTCTCCGCACACCCCCTCACTTCACAACAGTCTCATCTCAACAATTCATCCACAGTGACCCTGTCCTTTTCCATTCAAAGCATTCTATGGAATTCATACCCAATCCCTGCCACGGCCTACAAGGCAATGCTCATCTGGCCCCTTCCACTTCTCTGGCCTCATCTCCTAGCACCTTCCCCATTCTCTGTTCCCTTCGCAATGGCCCCCATGAAGCTCCCAAATGTATCAGGCATGTTCTCACCCAGGCCTTTGCATTTGCGTTCCTTTTTCCTGGAACTCACTTTCCCTAAATAACCTCGGGCTGGTTCCCTCACTTCATTCAGGTCTCACCTCCAGAGTTGCCCCATGAAGCCTTCTCTGAACATCCTGTATAAAATAGCTACAGCCCCACCACTGCCCTCTCCAATTTTCCTTTGCTTTCTGTTTCTCCTTGTTGCTTATCACCATGTGACATGTTGGCCTGTTTATGTTTATTGTCTGTAAACTCATTGGTGTCACAGATGGACTCTATAATACTTGCTAAATGAATTGAATAATGGTTAGATTTATCTTTTTCTGCCCTATCAGCAGTTACTTTTCTTGGTCTTTTTAATCCACCTTCATTGGTACTGTTTTCAAGCCTTTTTGTATTTTCAATAATTAAATTTTCAGCAATGTCTCTTCCCTTCTTTAGTTTTTTAATTTTATTTTTTAGTTCTGTACTGAAAGCATGTTATTCTACCATTTTTCTTCCATAGGGCGGCAATGTCCCTCTGCATCGTGTTCTATTGCTTTAGTAGCTCATCTTTGAGCATTTGTTTTTATTGAATTCACACTCTCACCCAGTTGCTCAATAACTAGAAACACATGGGGAATTGCCTTTGGTTCCTTGGGTTATGTTTTCTTCTAGACTGAATTCTCTATGTTTTGGATGAAATTTTCTTTTTCTTTACTTTTTCTTGTGGTTTATTTCTATAGTTGTCACACTCTTTTTTTAAATTCTTTTCTTTTTTTCATCTTGCTCTTACTGACTAGTTCTTAAAAGTGCTTCTCTTTGTTCCAGTGTGACTTTTAAGACTAATAATTTCTTCCTCAACATGCATTTTTGAGGATAGCTACTATGTGTTCCTTTTGGTGTATCTTTTCAGGATGGTGATGGTTGGAGGAGAGGGTCAGGGAAGCTCAGCTGACCAAAGTGCAAGATTCTATTAGATGTGACACCCTTGGGATCCCTGGCGGCTCCTCTCTCTTCTGACACTGTGTTAAATGCCCTCTTCCAGTGTTTACTTACTTGGGGGGCCTGGGGGAATTAAGCTATTCCCAGCAGGGAGAGGACTGCCTCTGGCTTCATTGCTTTGATTCAGCATGGAGCCTCAGAGTCCTCACTGCATCAGAGCATATCACTCTTTGGGACCTCTTTGCCTTCCATTTGTCATTAGACTTGTCCTTGCAGCTTTTCTCACTGTTCCAATTATAAGAAGAAAAATACATTAAGTTTGCTTCTCTCCAGGTTTGGATGGTCTGTGTGAATATTCTTATAGAAGTTGCTAGGGCTGCCATAACAAAATACCACAGACTGGCTGGCTAAAATAACAGAAATGTATTGGTTAACATTTCTGGAGCCTGGAAGTTCAAGATCTCAAGGCCAGCAGGTTGGTTTCTCCTGAAGCCTCTCTTCTTAGCTTGCAGATGGCCGACTTCTTGCCATGTCCTCAGATGGCCTTTCTTCTGTGCTTATATCCCTGGAGTCTATTCATCCTCCTCTAAGGATACGAGTCTTAGTATATTAGGGATCTCACCCTAATAGCCTCATCTTAACCTAATCATCTCTTTAAATACCTTCTCTCCAAAAATAGTCACATTCTGAGGCACTGAGAGTTGGAGGGGGCTTCAACATATGAATGTGAAGGAAGAGGTTACAATTCAGCCTGTAACAATTCTCAACATGTAGTTGACTTCCTGGTTACCATGCCTGGGGTGAGAGCTCCTTTAGGGGCCTCCCCAAGGTCCTCCCTGCACCCAGCTGTGCTCCTGTGCTTCTCTTTTTATTCTCCTGGATTCACGTCATTGGGCCATGATTGAATTGCTTTGACTATCTGTTCATTTTGTTAGGAACCTATGGTGAGTGCAGAAGAAGACCGGGCATGGAGAGTTCTGATTCAACAGATTTGTTTTCTGTTATGAATCCACTTTGAGCACACTCTAAGGACCAGGCATAAGGTTGTTGTGCTAGGCTCTGGGCCACCACTTTAAGAGGGTAGCACATCCTGAGCCCTATTGCCCATACTTCCTGCCTGTCTTCTTCTCTCCCCAGCCTGATTATGACCTCCTGGGGGGAAATGGTCTCATCTTTCTTCCTCTGATCTGCCGCTGTCTAGCCCAGCTCTTTGCCTGAAGTTGGGGATATTCAATAAAAATCAATTAGAAAAAAGAAATGGACATGAGAACTCTAAAAGATACTGTCACTGTGTTATTTGTTCTTAGCCCCAAAGAAAGAAAGAAAAAAACCTGCCCAGTTTTCTTCTGATTTCAAAGAAGGGGTCAAGAAAAGAAAGACTCACATCTGGCCAAGTATTAACTATGAACATTTTGCATAATCAGTTAGAAACCCTTTGTTAGCAGGCCAGATGGTTGCTACACCCCAAAAGGAAATTAAGTACGTAGGCAGTGGCAGTTGACGGGAGAAATTAGAAATTCCTTTCTAAAGAGAAAGGACTTCATCTGGAGCGGGCTGGTAGGTGTGGTTAATAGTGGCCATTGGTTTCCAAGCAACCAAGCCCTTTCCCTTTCAGAAATATTTCAGCACCCAATCTTTAAAGGATTGCCATAGACACTGGAGGATGCACCCACCACCCATAATGCCTTTCAGAAGAACTGGAAAAGCCCAGACCAATAAAGATAGGCCAACCCAGCCTACCTGCTGCCACCGATATCCCCATCAATGGGATTACCCCTTGCACATTTGATCATGAGTCCTTTGCCTAGACAGGCTACAGTGTCCAAGATTCAGAACTCTGAAATTATTCTTGACACATAAAGGGTTTCTAAGGCAAATCCAGCATACTTTTCTGCCCATAATTCAGAGTGTACACTCATCACACTTTTTCAACCTTCAACATCCTGGATTATTGCAGCCACTCCCTGACTGATCTCCTGCTGCTAAGCCATTCTCCCTCCAGTCTATCCTGCTCATGCAGCTGGAGTCATCTTTGCAAAAGGAAATTCTATTCATTTCTGTCTCACAAGACCTTTTGTGATATGGCTTTTGCTTAAATCCCCAGCCCTTTCATTCTTCCATATGCAACCTTTGCTTAGGACAGATTATACTATTCATAGTCCCTTGGATACTAGGTGGTTTCCCATCTCTGTGACACAGGACATGCTTTTCCTTCTGCAAGTTACACCCTAACCTAAACTTCTAAAATTGCTCAATTCCTCTGGGAAATGTCTCCTCACTCTCTTTCTATGCCTACTCTACTTCATGTTTCCCCTCTTTGCTCCTACAGAACTCTGGGTTTACATCTGTCTTAACACTAAGAAAGATGTACTCTTATTTATCTGTGTTCCCAACTTGATGTCACTTTTCCCCACATTCTCCTTACCGAGCACAGGGTCTAGTACAAATTAGATGCTGAGTAACTCCATTGAATGAATGAGTAAATAATGAAGTAGTCAGTATGACTTGGCTCCTTCCTAAAGTTTCTCATATATGTTTCTGGGTTTTCTCTAGACTAGAATTCTGCTTTTATGAGAAGTCAGCTGAATGCTATGGAAAGGAGTATAGAGAGTGGCTTAAAAGTTTCAGGCAAGTTCACACCAAAACTTGCATTCTAACCTCCCTGAACCTGTGGTCTAGAAGGGACCTATCAGCAAGATGATAACCAAAAATGTCTAGAATCTGAGATTGTTCTAAAAAACCTAAGATATTACCTGAAATAATCTCTTATCTAATAGAAGAGTGGCCTCTTTATAAATGATTCCAGAGATGTGTTTTAACCGCCTTCCATATCCTTGAGCCCAGGACCCACTCAGGGGACCCATTCTGTTCTTCAGCATGTCTAATTAAAGTCTTAACAAAACAGTTTCTATCTTATTATAAAATCCAGTCAGTTTCTCTGCATTAGTCACAGTTCTTTGCAGGTGAGGTGCATATCTCCTTCCCAGTTGGCTGAAATCTGCTTCCATATGTCTTCCACATATTGGCTTGAACTTTGGCTTTTGTAGCAGCCCAAAGAGCATTCATTTCTTCCATGTTACTCTTAAAAGACTAGAAGGCTGAATTCATGTTCTCTCTTGGGCTGTTGTTCTTTAGGATGAATTCTTTGGGTTCCTTCAACTGCTCCTCATGAGATATAGCTTTCAGATATTTCCTCATTTTATCACCAGACTTTATATTTTTATCACAGGTATCCTGCCCAATCAACAAGAAATTACCAAACTCCAATTGTCAAGACTGTAAAGGTCTGAGATTTTACACTCATTGCAAGTTAACAACTTAACCTGCCAAAGTTTTATGGATGCTGGCAGAAGATACAAGACTCCTGGGTCACAAACAAGGACAAAACAGCCACAGCAATAGCTGAAATATCACCAATGTTTGTGCCAGCTCCCCAAGCCTCAATTCCCACAGAGAGATGTGAAGAGGACCAGGTAACACCTGCACAGTGGATTGCATTATAGACGAAGGGCACTGAGTTTAAGGAATTCCATCTATTATGAAGATTGGGCAACCCTGCCCAACCTTTCTCCTAAAGGGAGACATTATCTTTATCTTCCAAGGCTCTTTGCTGTGCAAACTTAAGCAAAAAGATAATTCAGAAAAGGTTTCCAATACCCCTACTCACAGGATGTGCAGAAGTGTGAGAGCTCCATGGAGAACACCAGCATTCAGGAGATGAAACAGTTCTTTGGCTATTAAGTGGACCATACAACAGAGACAAATTGGAAACAGCTCTGGTCTCTGGAAACAGTAGCATGAGCATCATCTTCAGGTTCATGGAGCAAAAAGACCACCTCAGAAAAGCTGTGGTCTTGAGTTATGGAGGCAGCAGACAGTGGGCTTATATCCACTCATTTATTATTTATGTGCGCTTCTCCTTCCTCTATTTAAGTGTCTATTTAGTAAAACAGGGGTCAGAAACCATGGGATGCCCTTGGGAGTGAATTCTGCGTCCCATGTGGCTAGTGGCACTTTTATTTATTGCTTTAATTATGCTTATTGTATCCAGCCCACAAGACCAAGCAAAGGGCATGTGTCCATGAAAAGTGAGTTTATTATGGAAATTGTTAGTGACTTTTTATGAACATAACAGTCTAGAGCTAGCTTAATCCTAGGCAGAACAGTCATGAAATATGACAACAGTTTTGTCAGAATTTTCAGGTCCATTCAGTTTTTTATACATCTGTGGATTTGAGAATAACTTGGGTTTTATTCATTGATTCATTCAACAAATGGATATTGAACTGTATCAGGTACTACGTGAAGTGCTAAAGATAGAGCAATGAAAAAGACAAAGCCCTTAACCACTCACATGGAGATTACATCCTAGTGTGGGAGACATAAAACTAACAGGTAATTACATAGAGAAATAATCTCAGGTAGAACGGGTCTGGAGAGTGATGCCAGCAAGATGGCAGGATAGGAGTTTCTAGTGCTTATCCAATTGCAGAAACATTAATTTGAATAACTATGCATGCATAAAAGCAACTTCATAAGAGTTAAGAAATCCAGGTGAGAGATTATATCATCCAAATGTAGCACAGAAATAAGAAAAACATTGAAGATGATAGGAAGGACAATTTCACATTACCCACTTCACCTCTTCCCTTCCCCAAGCTCACACAGCACAGTGTGGTGAGAGATGCCTTCCAAGTGGGGGAAGGAGAACAAAGTGAGCACCCAACTTCACTGTGGACCCAGCACCAGCCCTGCCAGTGACTCATGGTACCAAACTGACCACTGTGAACCAGGCTTCAGGCCCACCCCAGGGCCAAGCTGGCCCCTAAGGCCCCAAGCTCCAAGGCAATCCCTGCAGACCCGGGCACCAGTCTAGCCCCACCAACCCAGACTATAGGCCCACTCTAGCACCAGGCTGGCCACCATAGTGTGAGGTTCCTGGCCCACCCTATTGCCAGGCCATCCCCTACTGACCCAGACCCCCAAGCCAACCCCATGGACCCAGACAACAGACTGACCCTCAGATACCTAGCTTCCAGACCAGCCTCTGCAGACCTAAACTCTAGAACTATTCCAGTACCAGACCAGGCTTGGAATCCCCACATGCCAGAATGGCACCCACAGACCAATGCTCCAGGCCCACTCCAGTGGACCTCATCACTAGGTTGACCCCTGAGTACCCAGGGCTCTATGCCCACCCTCATGGACTCAGGCACTAAACCAGCTCACCTTAAGAAACATAACTGCAAGCCCACCCACAGACCCTGCCATCCAGCCCACCCAGAGTCTCTGGATGGGCTGGCTGGTGAAGGACTTTCGTTGCCAAAACTAGTCTGTAAAGATTGGAAGAGGTGCCTACTCCTTCTAACACAGAGATAACAATACAAGGCCATAAGGATCACAAATAATCAAGGAAACATGCCCCCACCAAAACTAACAAACAAACAAAAAATAAATAAATAAAGCACTGGTAACCAAACCTGAAGAAATGGAGATTACCTAACAAAGAATTAAATATGATCAACCTGAAGCTCAGTGAGCTATAGAGAACGCAGATATGCACCTATATGAAGTCAGAGAAACTATATATAAATAAAATGAGAAGTTTAACAAAGAGATAGAAACCATAAAAAAGAACCAAACGGAAATTCTGGAGTTGAAGAACACAATCACTGACCTGAAAATTTCCACAGAGAACTTCAACAGCCTAATAATATATTTGGCAGGGTGAATTAATGAATGAATGCATGAATATCCTAAGTTTACATATATTCTTTATCAGCAATAAGCATTTGAATACATTCCTCTGGCCCACTATAGCAGCTGCTATAATCATACTGAAAACATTTACTTCTAGTACTCTCAGAATATAATACAATAAATTGTTTTAAAGCTACAATGCATTAATCAACCAGATTTCAAAATTTCACACTGCTACTATCCTCTAATAATTTCAGAATCATTGGAAACAATCTTATTGTCTCCCCTTTTCTTCCTGGGCTCACAAATAGTGATACCAAGAATGATTTTGCATTTTATGGTCTGAAAACCCCACTTAACAGGAGTTAGCAGACCTTGAAATCCCTAAAGAAATATAACCCTTCCTTAGGTATAATTGGTCTTTACAGAGAACTCAAATCTTTGGTGTCTTTATAAGTGTTTAAAATAAAACTCAAAGTCCTTAGCCAATGTAGCTCACAGTAGAGTATGTTAAATAGTTGAATGGAATACTCCTGAGTTACTGCTGCTGGAACAATGTGTAATGTTTATTTTAATTTGGGTCTTCTCAGAAACAGAACTAGAGACAAGAATTTGAGTAAGACATTTATTTGGAATGTGCTGGGAACCCCAGTAGGGGACCAGGGGAAATCATACAAGGAAGAGAAGGCAGTTGATAAAGGGTGTGCTATTAAGCCAATTACCCTGGTGGGTGGCTAGAACTTCATCCCAGGGAAAACTCTGGGAAGTGATGCAAAACACACTCTTCACAAATATCCCCCTCAAAAAGTGAGGCACCTGGGGTATGTATACAGCCATACAAGTGTCATTGATTCAAGGTGGCTTAGGAATTGTTAATCTCCAAATACTTCATACTTGCCTCTTGCTCCTATAGGTACACTTAGAAGGAGAATGGTAAAGGTCCTAGACACAGAGATGCATACACTGGCAGGCAGGATGTATAGATAAGACACTGACAGTGTCTGCTGTAGGCACTTACTCAGCAAGTCTCTTTCTTGCCTCTGAACAATATGGAGGTCCATGTTAAGCTCACATCTCAATGAGCTCTCCTGCCTAACAAATAAGAACAAATGTTCACCCTCCTCAGCCTTACTTGATAGTGGACTCAGATAAGATCCAGCACTCAGGTTACTGTTGCAGGAAGTCAGGGACCCCAAATGGAGGGACCGGCTGGAGCCGTGGCAGAGGAACATAAATTGCCAAGATTTCATGGACATTTATCAGTTCCCAAATAAAACTTTTATAATTTCTTATGCTCGTCTTTACTTTAATGTCTTAATCCTGTTATCTTCATAAGCTGAGGATGTACATCACCTCAGGACCACTGTGATGATTGTGTTAACTGTACAAATTGATTGTAAAACATGTGTGTTTGAACCATATGAAATCAGTGCACCTTGAAAAAAAACAGAATAACAGCAATTTTTAGGGAACAAGGGAAGACAACCATAAGGTGTGACTCCCTGTGGGGTCAGGCAAAAAAAGCCATATTTTTCTTCTTGTAGAGAGCCTATAAACAGACGTGCAAGTGGGGAAGGTATCACTAAATTCTTTTCCTAGCAAGGAATATTGATATTAATACCCTGGGGAAGGAATGCTTTCCTGGGGGGAGGTCTATAAATGGCTGCTCTGGGAATGTCTGTCTTGTGCAGTTGAGATAAGGACTGAGATATGCCCTGGTCTCCTGCAGTACCCTCAGGCTTACTAGGGTGGGGAAAAACTCCACCCTGGTAAATTTGTGGTCAGAATGGTTCTCTGCTCTCGAATCCTGTTTTCTGTTGTTTAAGATGTTTATCAAGACAATATGTGCACCACTGAACATAGACCCTTATCAGTGGTTCTGCTTTTGCCCTTTGCCCTGTGATCTTTGTTAGACCCTTATTAGTAGTTCTGCTTTTTGTCCTTTAAGCATGTGATCTTTGTACCTACTCCCTGTTCTTACACCCCCTTCCCTTTTGAAACCCTTAATAAAAACTTGCTGGGCTGAGACTCAGGTGGGCATCACAGTACTACTGATATGTGATGTCACCCCCAGTGGCCCAGCTGTAAAATTTCTCTCCTTGTACTGTCTCTTTTTATTTCTCAGCCGGCCAACACTTATGGAAAATAGAAAGAACCTATGTTGAAATATTGGGGGTGGGTTCCCCTAATAGGTTACAAAGAGGGCAACAGCATGAAGCAAAAAAACAAAAGCCTTCTTCAGAGTTGGAAAAATAAGCAAACAAACAAAGAGTAGGCACTTATAATTTTACAGAGCATATCAAAGACAAGCAAAACTGAAATAAATAAATAAATAAACTGATGAAGACTGCTTAGCTAAGTGCAGTGGCTCATGCCTGTAATCTCAGCACTTTGAGAGGCCAAGGTGGGAGGACTGCTTCAGGTCAGGAGTTAGAGACCAGACTGAGTAACATAGTGAGACCCTATTTCTATCAAAAAAATAAATAAATAAATTAGCCAGGCATGGTGGCCCTTGCCTATAGTCCCAGCTACCCAGGAGGCTGAGGCTGGAGGGTCACTTGAGCCCAGGAATTCACATTTACAGTGAGTTATGATCATGCCACTGCACTTCAGCCTGGGTGACAGAGCAAAACCCTGTCTCAAAAAAAAAAAAAAAAAAAAGACACTGATTACAGTGAACAGTGATTAATCACTAGAAGTAATGACTGAGAAAAAAAAAATAAGTGGGACGAGGCAATATAGGGCATTCACCTGGAAATCAAATGGAAGGAGAAAAAGGCTGAGAATCCAGGCCTGGATAAGAGATGCTTTATTTGTCCAGCTGGATTTGGGTTATCTTTAGTTCCTTGCAGAAAAGGACCTGGATATTGATATTAGAACATCACTGTGTTCATGGCTGTTATAAGCATTTCTGTCTAATCACCTGTATAGTATCTCTTTCCAGAGTAAAGGATTAGTCTTGCTCAACTAATCCTTTTATCATCTTTAAAAAATCCTGGAGTAAAGAACCTATCAAGATATTGCTGTATTAAGATATCAAGCCTGGGAGGGCACTATTTGATTTTTGCTAGGTCAAAACTCTAGCACCCAGAAGGTACAAACCACGAAAGCACCTTTTAAATACACACACACACACACACACACACACACACACACACACACACACACGGATTTCTGCTGGGCATGCTGGCTGCATGTCACAAAATGTCTCCTGAACAGCAGGAATTTTAATTAAATCAGGGGAGATCTAATTTGGCCTAAATTGGCTTGCTACAAAAGGTGCTAAGGAGAACAAAAATTGTTCTGCAATATGGATGTTTGTGAAAGGGTTGGGCTGTATCCATTGACAATGGTAATGCAAAGTGATGTGGAAAATATGAAGCCCACTGAAGATGCTAGAAAGCCTGAGAATGCTAATCTGTGATAAGCTGATTACAGAAGAAAATATATTACATGCATGAACTCCTGGAACTAAATTCATCTGAAGGTACAACCAACATTGAAGGCTGATCTCTGGTAGCCCTCAAAGAAAATAAGGGAGAAAGATGAGGGAAAGAGAAGTATAAACCACTATTATTGTGTAGACTGGAATAGGAAGTGGAAGAGTATCACTGCTTGGACAGAGATAATGATAAGTATCATATTCCTTCATGCTTTCAAGAGAAGAAGACCTTTGATAGCAGGAATGAAAGAATGACCAAGCAGAACTGGACAGGTCTAACAAAAGAATAAGAGGGTGAGAAATGTGAGGACACCAGCAATAAAGTTGTTGAAGTTGCATGCCATGGGATTTAGACTGAATGAAGAAAGAAAAGTATTGGAAAGGGCATGGTGGGCCATGTGGCAGAGGAAGTTTGAAAGTACAGCAGTCTTGATGTGGTTAAAAATCAGAAGCATTGTAAGGAAGTGAGTAAGCTGAAAGGAGGGAAATTTAGGTCATTGTGGGGTATGGAAATTTACATTCTTTAGGTTTAGGATTCCTGGCAATAACCATGGGTGTAGGTGGTTGAAGGGGAGTAAGTGTAAGAATCATGGGAGTCACAGAGAAAAAGGAGCTTGGAGGTCTGGCTGTTGGGTGACTCATCTACATAGATGCTGCCCATGATAATTGAAGGAACTGGGGTGGAGACAAAAATAGCTATGCAATTGCCAAAGGCTTCAGTGTGCAAGAGGAAGAAGCCAAGAGTTAAGCAATTAAAGGCAATGAGAAGTAGTAAAGAGTGGTATAGATGAGTGTCATTAGCCTCAAAGGAAGAGGGCTTTTATGCCCACAAAGATGAAAGGGTAATGGTCCGGAAGCAGCTGGGAGAACTTCTCCCATGCTTAGGTCTCCATGAGATGTGAAGTCTGGGACAAAACCCAGGTCCAGCTGCTATTTAGGTAAAGTGATGTTCCCCAGTTGTGTTCTGTACAACGGTAGCTTGCCCAGATGTTACAGATGAACAACCAAATAATGTAAAATAAAGGTTTCATGATTATATGCATTTAAGAAATATTGCACAGTAAACCTTCTTCTGGAAGCATCATAATACAAACTAAAATATTAGAGCAATACTGTGCAGTAGAATCATATTTTACCATAATCTTTTCATCTATACTTGACTACTAAAGCATTGCTCTGGGGGGATACCTAGTAACACCACAACATAGGTATCCTGTAGAGAATGGGGAAAGCTAAGTTAACATAAGAAAAAAAAAAAGAGGCTTCCATAAAAGGTAAAGAGGTTGAAGATAGAGAGGTATAGTGTGGGGTCTAGAGGAGCCTGGCTGGTTTTAAATCCCTGATCAGGTACTTCCCAGCTCTATAACCTTGTGAAAACTGCCTCAGTTTACTTATCTGTAGAAGAAGGAGGAGGAGGAGGATAAGAACACATGTCATAGGGTGGTGATAAGGATGAAGTTAATTGACACAGGAATGCCTAGAAAAACACCAGGTACATGATATGTGCCCCACAAATGAAAGCTGTTATTATTGCAGAATTTATTTGCAATGGAAAGAGAGTTCTAGATGACAAACTGTTTTCCAAGCACTCAGAGTTGCTAGAAAGAGCAATCCCGGCTCCAAAGGAAGGGAGTAGGTGAGGTAACTCTCAGATGAACCTGAATCGGGAAGAAATGTGGATACCAGGGGCAGTTTTTTGAGAAACATGATTAAACATCCCAATTGTGTTTGTACAGTCTAGGAGCTTGCAGTTTAACCATTTCATACCCACCATTGTATGGGCTACCTAAGACAAGATGAACACTTTCTAGTGTGTTTATTATTTAACTTTCCTCTGGTGTAAACTTTCATTCATTTCCTTTGCCCATGTACATATCAAGGTCTTAAATGACTTTTCATCCAAATGTAAATGTAGGTAGTTCTTTCCACCCTCTCTTTCTGCCCCTTTCTCTTTACATGACTGTAAGAGCTGCTTCCATTCACACCAGTTGTGTTAATGATCTTCTCATTTCAAATATTAATCACTTCATTTTTTAAGGATAGTGTGTGAGAAATACAGAGATCTTTCTGATCACAGAATCTGTCTTTAGGTCTTGCAACTATTTTCTTCCTTTCACTTAATATCTTTTCAAATTACTAACCCAAGACTTCAGTCCCCTCTTTTTAGCTGACAGTTTTGAATCAGGAATATTGTACCGTGTCTACGTCTCCGAAATCTAATAAGACAGAACATGCTTTTCCTGCTCTGTGGAAACGAAGGAAAGCAACTGGAGAATGCTCTAGGCCACCGTCAATGAGCCCTAACCCTTTTCAGACATCTACCATACCCCACCCCTCTCCAGGAGATGCCAGAGATATTAGCTGATTATTCAGGGCCCAGCCTGAAAAAGCGTGGTGAACCAGATGGGATAGAAAAAGCAAATCCAAATCCTCAAAAAAATTCCTTGCTGGTACCTTATACCCATGCAAAACTTTACTAGTCACAAAACCCTGTCATGTTCATCATCTTCCCCTTGGATAATCAAATAATTCTGCCCCAATGGGCAATTCTAGGCTGGCCAGGCAACACTTATTTTTGGTATTTCTGTAAATATCAAAATATCTGAAATGGAATTATTCATACCTCAAAAAATACACAGGGAATTATACACTGTGTGAAGATAGCTCATCAAAAAGGTGTTCTTGTTTATTTGGCAATCTGACCTTTAACAACTTCCAAGGCAACTTATTATAGCATTAATTGCCTTTTATTTAACTATATTGAAGTAGAGCATCATTCCTTATGTTTATTAGCCATCTATACTTCCTCTGAGGTACTCAATATGGGCCTTTTTAGAATGGGCCCATTCTAGAGGAAAACCACAATGAGAAGAGAAGGAGGGTGAGATAGAGGATCAGGGAAGGAGAGAGGAAGAAAAGGAAGGTTTACAGGCTGTAGAACAGAAAAGATAAATTTCCTCAACCATCATAAGATTCATGGCTGACACCCCTGTAAAAAAAGGCAGAGCAACAAGAGAAAAGCACAACACATGTATTTAATATAAGTTTTACATGACATGGGAACCTTCACAATGAAGACCCAAAGACTCAGGAAAAACTGGATTATTTTTATAAACTGTCATACAGAAGTATGATGGGAGGACAAAGGTATAATGTAATGTTAATAACCTGGGGGGAACTTAGCAAGGCCCATTTGTTCAGATTCTGCTTGGCCTCTCTATGTGACATTCACTCCCTGCTGGTGTAGGGCAGGACACCTGTCAGATGAGTCTCCAGAAAAGAAAGGACAGTAAAAGTCCGAGAGCAACTGTGATCGTTAATATTGAGTGTCAACTTGACTGGATTGACGGAAGCAAAGTATTGCTGTTCCTGGGTGTACCTGTGAGGGTGTTGTCAAAGGAGATTAACATTTCAGTCCATAGACTGGGAGAGGCAGACCCATTCTCAATCTGGCAGGCACCATCTAATCAGCTGCCAGCACGGCTAGGATAAAAGCAGGCAGAGAAACGTGGAAGGACCAGACTGGCTGAGTCTTCTGGCCTATATCTTTCTCCCATACTGGATGCTTCCTGCCCTCAAACATCTGACTCCAACTTCTTCAGCTTTTGGACTCTCGGACATTTGACCACAGACCGAAGGCTGCACTGTTGGCTTCCCTGCCTTTGAAGTTTTGGGACTCAGACTGGCTTCCGTGCTCCTCAGCTTGCAGGCGGCCTACTGTGGGACTTCACCTTGTGATCATGTGCGTCAATACTCCTTAATAAACTCCCCTTCATATATACATCTAGCCTATTAGTTCTGTCCCTCTAGAGAACCCTGACTAATACGGCAACCTTCCTGCTTCTGTGGTTTCCTCAGTTTCCTTCAGATTAAAATCCTTAGCAGACCAAGGTGCCAAATTTGGGGTTATCATGTTTTGAGCTCCAACAAGGTCAGATCCCACACTTCTAGTGAAGACTTCCCCAATCTACTTCTCTCCCCTTTATTACATCTAAGGTCAAATTAGCTCTTTGGGGCCTATACCTCCTCTCAAGGATAATGTGCTTAAAAATCTAAATCCCCTTTGTCAGTTTTTCTTAGAAGACCCTTGGTCCTAGATCCTGGATCTCTCTGATATCTCATGATATTTGAGGACAAAAAGTACAAAACAGTGGAGACGTTGTTTCCCTTTAAAACATAAAACAGCAGTATTAATGCCAGTTTTTCCGTATTGTCTGTTTACCTCCACTTTGTAAACAAGTGTATTTTGAGAATGAGCTGGTTGAAGGTCACCAGGTTGAAAGTGACACAACCAAGATCTTTGCTAAGGTTTTCAGAAGGACTCAAAGCCAGTTCTTTTGACTCCTAGACTCCTGTAGCAATGTGGGCATGGGACACAGAGACTAGAAGTGAGGCATTCTGGGTTCCCCTCCCAATTTTAGCCACAGCAGCACAGTTCTGATGTTGAATATCTATTGGGGTTCTATAATATCTTATTGCCAAAAGGGTACCATTGCTGAAATAGAACTTTGGAAACCATAGCACTACACTAGGCTAGGAAGATGAGAGTAACAAATTCTACCTCTCCAGAAAGTTATGATCAAGAGAAAGCAATTGTCATTATCATCATCAAAATCGGAATATATTTGAGCTCTTCCTCTTTTAGGGCATTATATTTTTCCAGCTGCTAGAGACAAAACGGCTTTAAGACATGGCCTCATTACTTAGGAGCTAATAACTTAGTTGATAATGAGGACATTTCTAAAATGTTAAGATGTGCACTAAAAACTGGTATTTCCCAAAACAGTAATGTCCACCCAGAGTTCACTGGAAGAAGAGATCCTCCTAAAAGTTACAGTTCAAAGATGGGCTCTCTAGGATTTCAAAAATGGAAATAGTCTACAAGTATTATCCAGGGCAAATTAGAGACTGTCAATCATATGCAAAAGCACACTGGGGATCTCTGACTAATGACCCAGGAAGAGGAAGGATGTTTTAATAATATCCATCTTTATTATGCTAAGTGTTGTATATGAACTGCCTTATTTGATCCTTACCTAAACTCAGTGGTACAGGTATTATTTTTCTCATTTGGAATAAAAGGAAACTGATGTTTAGAGGGTAAAGTGCACAAATCAAACATCAGCACTTCTCAAACCTAAATGTGCTTCAGAATTAAATACCTATGGATCTTGCTAAATGATAGATTCAATTCAATAGGTCTGGAGTGAGGCCAATATTCCCTATTTCTAACAAGCTCCCAAGGGGATGCCAAAGCTTCTGTGGCCCAGATTATTCTTTGAGTAGCCAGGTTCTACACTATCATGCTTCTTACTGTGCCATTCCAGAATGAACTGGAGCTCCTGGCATATGGGCATTGAGGAGGGGAAGGGTAGGCAGGGGATACTGGGGGCAAGGGTGATAAAGAATAATGCAGAACTGAAGGGATCTTTGGAAGATGATTTTTAGATACAGAGATAGAGTAGATAATGAAAATTTAAGATGAATATGAAAATTCTGAGTAGAAGACATTCATTTGTTTTGTCAAGAAATATTTATTGAGCATCTGTGATGTGCCAGGTCCTATGTGATGCGCTGGGGCTACAACTCTTCAGGTGGCTTAAACTTTAATGAGAAACGAGTAGACAGCCAATTAGGATAAACATGGGAGTGGGAGAAAGAAATGAGATGCTATGGGGTTCACAGTAGAAGCAACCCCCTAGGACTGCAGAGTCAGAAAAGACTTCCCAGAAAAGTGATGTCTATGTGAAAACCTAACTTTGAATTAGAGGTAGCAAAATGAAGGTGGCAGGGTGGGAGGGAGGATTTTTCTGACCAAGGGAAGAAAACTCATGAATGCCAGGAGGTAAGCAAACCATGGCCCTGGAGGAACGGAGGAACATTTAGGATGGCTGGAGTCCAGAGGTCAATGGAGAATCCCCAAGAAGGAAGTAGAGCAGAAAATAGAGAGGATTCATTCTTAGAAGCATGACCCACACACAGCAGCCAAACCAGTAAGCAAAGATGGGGCAAGAAGGAGGGATGTTGCTTATTCTTTCCCTCTCAGCTGTTTGGCCAACAGAAGATTGCTTGGGGACACACATGCTGAAACATGGAACTATGTCCCCAGCACTTTGTCCTTTTGGTAAGCCTTCATTTTAGAAGATAAAATTCCTACCCTCTAAACCTCAAGGAAAAGATTATTAGATGAAGATTTTCGGGCATATTGTCAGGTCATCCCACATCTGCCAGACTTTGTGATAATGGCTAAACTGTGACTTATAAAGAAAGAACTTGGGAAATAGGAAACTGACCCTGATCTGGGGAAGAAATGGGAAGACTACTAACAACCAGCTTTTATTGAGCATGTACCATGTGACAGCACATCTTCCCAGGCATATTACTCACTTTTCTCATTTTACCTTCTCAGCAGTCCCGTACGTAAGTGCTATTACCATTTCCATTCCGTAAGTAAGGAAATCAAGGTTTTAGAGAGATTAAGCCACTTTCTCATTTTTTTCCATTTTCTTGGCTAGAAATAACTGAGACTAGATTTGCGCCTAAGCTCATCTGAATCTGAAGCCCATTTTCTTAACTACTTTAGATAATAAAGGTTAGGTTGGAGGGAAGAAAGGACCCATCTGAAAAGTGTGGCATGGCAACTGCTTCCTCAGAGCAGTTTATCGGGTCAAGGATCTTAAAGATAGGATCTTGTCCTGTGGTGGATAAGATGGCTTGGAAGACCCAGTGCTAAATAAACAGCTATAGCGTGGTCAGCACTCAGCAATGGCCCAAGTTGAGACCAGATCAGAGAGGACATAAAGCCAGACTGGGGTCCAGCCTGAAAATGGATTAGAACCAGTGTACAGAGTAAATTAGTCAGAATAGACTAATTTTTGCCATGGTAACAAATAGCCCCCAAATATGAGTAGGTTACCACCACAAAGATGCATTTCTCAGTCATGTAATGTCAGCTACTGGTCCAGGTATCTCTCCAGGGCAACCATCCTGATATGGTTTGGTTTTGTCCCCACCCAAATCTCATCTTGAATTCCCACGTGTTGTGGGAGAGACCCAGTGGGAGGTAATTGAATCATGGGGCAGGTCTTTCCCATGCTATTCTCATGATAGGGAGTAATTCTCACAAGATCTGATAGTTTTAAAAAGGGGAGGTTCCCTCCCCTGCACAAGCTCTCTCTTTGCCTGAGGCCATCCATGTAAGATGTGACTTGGTCTTCCTTGCCTTCCACCATGATTGTGAGGCCTCCCCAGCCATGCGGAACTGTTAAGTCTATTAAACCTCTTTTTCTTCCTAGTCTCAGGTATGTCTGTATCAGTAGAGTGAAAATGGACTAATACACCTTCACTGTGGGGTAACCTCAAATTCTAAACTGTTGGAGACACCACTGCCATTCTATGCCTCCTCCTTGGCTGATTCGGCAGGAATGAGCAAGACTGGAAAGACATATGCTCCTTTTACTATCTCAGCTCAGAGGTGATATCTTTCACTTCCATTCATCCTTCATTGGCCAGAATAAGTCACACGGCACCCACTTAACTGCAAGGGAGCTAAAGAAGGTAAGTATATTCCTTGCACCATGAATGGGGAAGAAATTGGACATTGATGGACACTGGTATGCCCAACCACGAGAGACTCTTAAGAGTTCCCAACATACCTCTCTTTATAGCGAATTACTAGAAATCCACAATCACCCTTCACCGACCACTGCCTCACACCATCCATTGGGAAGTCATCAGTTAATACAATTTAATTCCTTACATTGTCACAAGGCTGTAACTTATTTGACTTGGGAGTCTTAAATCCCCTAATCCAAGATACACCATTCTGATTATCTTTCCCAGAATTGGAACACAGGTTTTGGGTGTTTCTGCATATGTCCTTAAATTTAAGGATACTACTTTTCCGCTTAAGTGAGCTCAAGTTTATTTCTATTCCTTCATGGCCTTCATATTTACATTTACAAATGTAAATAGCCAGCTCAGAATGAAGGACTGACAGGCATAGACATTCCTCAGGTAAATTAAATAGGGTTTGTTTATTTTAAAGATTCAGAAGAAAGTTAATAAAGTCAGAATTCATAGCAAACAGATTAGCAACATTCTCCGGGAGACACTGGGATGCAAACTTCTAGATCCTAAAGTCCTCCTTCTGGAGCCTCACATCTGAAGGAGAGTGAGGATCTCATCAGAACTTGTAGAAGTCCAAATACATCTCTCTAAAGACTCTGCTTTATCACAAAAGCTGTCCTGTGTGCAGCCTGGTTTGGATGCTTTCTGGAGATCCCCTCATCTAAGGCAGATTCATCTAATTAATCTCAATACCATATAATAGACACCATGCTTACCCAGAGTGCAGTGCAATTCTTTAAGCTCAGGGAAATGTTTAAGCAGCTTCTGAAGGGACACTGCTCAGATGGAGTCACAGGCTACGGAGGCCTCAGTCAAGCAGGACTTTCGCCTTCACCATTACAGACACTTGAATTCTAAGGGGCAAGAATGAAATAGAAAACAAGGTTAAAATTCAACCTTCAAAGTTTTTTGCTAAGCCAAATGGGGTCGAGTGCTGATATTCAAAATGCACAAGGCTTTCTTTTTTTTTTCTAAGAACACTTGTGGTCGAGAATAAAAGGTCATATCTTAAATCTCTTTAGTGACAATTGCTCGCATGCCATCAGAATACACTTAACTCCAACTGTCCTTTCATTGTATCTTCCTTAAGAGGAGTAATGCTATTTTAATCACAATTCAGTCACAGGAGTTGAGCACCATCTTACTGAAATGGGATGGAAATTAACGACAATCATCTCAAACAGAAGTTTAACAACAATTTATTCTGCTTAGGGACCTGAGCGAAGTAGTAGACAGAAGAGATAGAAATAATCAAAAATGGCAAAGGGTAAAATTTAAAGGACTTTACTTTCTTAAAAGACTCATAAAATTTGAATTTCAAACAGTTATAAACATATTATGTACCTTTTTTCTTAATATTATAACTTGATTTCTTATTATAGTAACATTTGCTTATTGCAAAAATACTTTAAAAATACAGATAAGAGGCCAGGCGTGGTGGCTCACACCTGTAATCCCAGCACTTTGGGAGACCCAGACGGGAGGATCACCTGAGGTCAGGAGTTCAAGACCAGCCTGGCCAATATGGCAAAACCCCATCTCTACTAAATATCCAAAAAAAAAAAATTAGCTGGGCATGGCGGCGGGCACCTGTAATTCTAGCTATTCAGGAGGCTGAGGCAGGAGAATCGCTTGAACCCAGGAGGCGGAGGTTGCAGTGAGCCAAGATTGCGCCATTGCACTCCAGCCTAGGTGATAAGAGCGAAACTCCGTCTCAAAAAAAAAAAATATGGATAAGAAAAAGGAGAAAATAAAAATCATCTATCGTCCTGCTAACCAGAGAGATTCTGTTGACCCTATATGTGCGTATGTATCTGTCCACATCCACATCTATCTTATCTATATCTCTATGCAAACAGATATACACAGAGACACACATACAAACACATATTTACACGCAATTTTTACAAGCTGTATTGTCATTTTAAACTCTTAACAGAACATGTTAATTGTAAGAATACTACTATTCATTGATATCTTGTTCTCTTCTCCTTGCAAGACTTACTTCCCTGTCCTTTGAGGTGCGATGTAGCCATTGACTTTGTCAAATTAAAATTTAAGTTGAAGTGACATATGTCACTTTGAAGTAGAAGCATTTTAGTAGTAGTGACTATCTGATTTGCCTTTTTCCTGCTGTGACATGGAGATGGAAATATAAGAGATTTTCCCATAAGAAGGAGATATCTTGAAATGCTAAACCAACATGTGGAGGGATGAGAACTGCCCTTAAGGGTCACCCAGTTTCGGGCCATTGTGTAAGGCACTGAGAACTTTGGAATTCTTCTCACACTAGATTATGCCTATCTCCATTTATCTAGTTTATTCTAACCAGTAAAATTTTTAGCATTGTTCTGATATTAAATATTCTACAAAATCACTCAAATGGCTAAATTATACATCATAATGTGCAAGTGGCATAATTTATTCAGCCAATTTTTTAGTGTTGCATATTTATTTCCATTTTATAAGTTTTTATAAACAATATGGTAAGAAATATATTTTAGTTAAATTTTTGCTCATATTTATGTTATTTTCTTAAGCTGCAATCATAAATTGAGGAAAGTCGTTGTTCAAAAGATACACAAAACCATCAGTTTTCTTATGTATAGCGTCAAATCACCCTCAAAAAGACTGTTGACAGCATCATCAATGGCATAAAGAATACATGATTTCTCTGTTTGGTATAAATATTCTATTTACCTACCTACCCTACTTTTGCCAAATTTAAAGGTGAAAATGGTGCCTTATTTTTTTAATTGTAATTCCATGAGTCAAATATTTTTTCATAGTTGTATAAGTTATTTGTATTTCTTCTCTTGTGAATTGTGTTTTCATTATTTTCTCATTGATTTCCTAATATCATTTATTGAATAATACTTTTCTTAAATGCTTATTCATGCCTCGAGTTTGCAAAAAGGCCTGACAGTGGGCTTTAATTCTGCCCTACTGATCAGTCCATCCATTCCCATATCATCACCAGGCTGTTTTAATTATTGCATCTTTAGACTTGTCAATATCTTATATAATATCTTGCTATTGTTTTTGACATTTTTTTGCCTATTTTTAAATATTTATTTTTCAATTTAAACTTTTAAAAATTCTACTGGGATTTTCATCTTTTCCAGGAACATTATTCAAGTCTTATTTAATAACATGTCCTTCATTAATTCATTCAACAAATGTTTATTGAGCACTTAATATGAGCCAGGAATTATTTTAGGTACTGAATATAAAGAACAAATAGAATTC
This sequence comes from Homo sapiens, assembly GCF_000001405.40. Taxonomy (NCBI): domain Eukaryota; kingdom Metazoa; phylum Chordata; class Mammalia; order Primates; family Hominidae; genus Homo; species Homo sapiens. Next base: position 17,152,779 of record NC_000004.12, read on the forward strand.
CTTGCCCTTATGGAGCTTATATTCTAGTGAGATAGAGATTAAGACAATGAATAAGATAAGTAAGTGCAACAGAGAATGTTAAATAGTAGACAGAGCTAAATAAAAAAAATAAAGTTGGAAGGGGGCTTTTGAAATAGCATTGTTGGTGGGTTTCAATTCAAGTTCTCCAGGAAGCCAAAGTTAGAACAGAATCAGACATGTAAGAGATGCGTTGTGGGGTGTGAAAGTTGTAGATAACAAGATGAAATCACTTTTATCAGACCCAGACAAAATAAGGCTGGGAAGGCATGAAGGAGAGGAAGCGCATGCTTACATGCCTGAGATAAAAACCTTTCACAGGACTTTCTAAAAACCCCCGTAGAAACCCTTTCACCTTCACGTATCTCCTGCTTTGATAAGATTTATTACCAGACATTCTTTAGGACTGCAGTAAATCAGGTAAGATTCTCTCAGAACACGTGCCCAGTAAATGGGAAATCCACCAATGAACTGACAGCAATCCTGGCTTTGAATCTCTGGAAACAATAAACTTTGTTTCTAAGCATCTTATTTAAATTCCTTTTTGCTAATGCAAGCTTCCTTTACCCTTCCCTGGTGGTTTGCCATTCCATGCATTCCAGATTATAATCCTGATTTCTTATTCCTGAGTAAACCCAACACATTTAAAGATAATTTTCTCTAGTGTCTTTTTTAGGTTGTGGGGTAGGTGGCGGGGGAGCCTGAGAAAAATATAGGAGAGAACACAGGAAAAGGCAGGAACACCGTCAGCCACTGATGAAATCTGACATTCATAAAGAAGGAAAGGAATAAACCTCAAATGTCTTATTGAGAAAAAGAGGGGAGAGGGAAAGGACAAGAAATGGGTTGGGGGAGGAAATGGGTAAAAATAGCCTCACACTGCTGTGCAGCCGAGAAAATCTCACCCAGCTGATGGGGAGCCTAGGCCAAAGATTTCGCAATGGAGGATTTCCACCTCTGGTAGAAATAGCCATGTGCTGGTACCCAGTCGCTCTTGCTCATTGACTGGGAGCATCCCGGGGAGGGCGTGGCCTTTACATGGTAGGCGGTATTGGAGCCAAGCAGGTTCTCTTTCCATGGCCACCACAATGGGATAAAGTTTTGAAATTTTAAATAGGTTGATTTTGAAATGTAGTACACATACTTGCCCATTTATTATTTAATTATAATTATTCCATAATATTGACTGATGTTATAAAGAGGGTGGGACTTTTCCATGTCATTTGAAAATTAATTATTGCTAGTAGGCAGGAAACCTACATTTTGGATATTTATTTTTTCTAAACTGCCACCTTCCTGAACTCTTATTAATTTATTTGCTTCTTTGGTTGAGATTTTCATATTTTTAAGAACATCATCACACATAGTTTTGTCTCCCGTTTTGAATTATTCTGCTTTATTTCTTATCTTTTTGCCAAATCAGGGTTGATGACTGTGGATATGTTCATGTTCATGGGAATCCCTTTCAGTTTTATCATTAAAGGATATTACGCTGGATGTCCTATGCCAACACATGAGAAAAAAATATACATATATATTCTTTGGTCAATTTCCTAAGAAATTCTAAATTACCAAAATTAACTTAGGAAATTGATCTGGGAACATTTTTTCACATCTTGCTATAGAACTGTAGATAATGTATTCACACATTTTCCACCTCCTCTCTAATACATGATATATCTTATCATTTCTAGTGTTTGTGGTTGTGCTTTTACTTGTTTTTTTTTTTTTTTCATTAGACTTCAAGAAGTTTCTTTCTTTTACGGGATGTTTTTTTCAAAGAATCAGCTCTTGAAAGTGTCTATCATTTCTGCATCTTTCTCTTTTATAATTTATTAATTTCTGCTTTTATCTTCAACAATCCTTGATTCATTCTCTGCATAATTGAATTTTATTTTTCACAGGCTTTTAAAAGAGAAAAAGTGAGAACTGTTGTGCCTTTTCTAGCCACATCTCTAATCATAGTTATAATCATCACATATTGCAGGTAACATGGGGTTACAGTCGAGGATGTAGATTGTCTGCTATGTATTTCCTGGGTTCATATCCCAGATATACTTTTGTCAACTGTGGGACATGGACCAGCAGTTTCCGCATGTGTAAAATAAGGATTATTATTGTAATAAAATTTAGCTCATAGGGTTACTGTGAAGATTACTTGAGCTAATATTTGTAAAGCTTTCAAAACAGGGGTTGGCACACAGTAACTGCTATGTAATACATGCATAAATTACATTTATGCAGTACTTTATTCTTTACAAAACATCTTCACATTAATTTTCTCCCTTAGTTATAACAATCCCATGAGACAAACAATACTCATCATTACTTTTCCTATGATAAAACTGGAATGCCAATGAGTCAACTTAAATTAGTGGATGGAAGAGACAGCTCTTATGATTCTGGGATCAGCATGTGGCTTGAAGCCCAAATGACCTCTTTAGTTTAGGGTTTGTTGGGACACAGACAGAAAAGTCCGTGTTTAGCTCAGCTTTAGGCACTGGCAACAGTCACAGATTTTGAGACCCTCAGCTGGATGGTCAACAGCTCAAGACTGGGACCAGCAGCTGGAACAACTGTCAAGAAGAGCTTTAAGGTGCCAGGCTCCTGGACAAGTGAAGCCACCCTCGGCAGGAAGGTGGGACAGGACCTGGTTGAAGTGCAGGAGATGTGGGTTCTTATCCTGGTCTTGCCTCTGTCTTACTGAGTAAGTGTAAACAAGGCACTTTGCCCTGCCACATCTCCATTTTCTCAAATACAAAACAGGGAAAATAATTTCTGCCCAGCCTCCTCCACATGGCCCCTACAGGATTCAGAGGATGCTGCTGGCAGTGCAGCACTTTGAAAGTTTATGAAGTTTTCCACATAGGCAAGATGCTGTACATGTCTAAGATCTCTCCCCTCCCACTTTCTTTGCTTACACAACCAGGAAGTGAAAAGCAGATGTGGAAACCACTCTCAAACTTTGTGCCAGACCCTCAAATCTTGTGCCTAGGAAATGTCCTCCAACTTTCCCTCACACCAACAGCATCATTATCTTGGCATAGAAGAAAAAAAATCTATACATCTCTTCAAATAGACATCTAATTTCCAATTGGCTTCACCTGGAATGTGAACCATAGGAAACAGACCACAACCAAATTTTCCACAAGCACTGTTTTCCATGCACACCCAAAACCAAGCAGGAAAGAGAGGAAATGGAAAATTCCCCTGGGCACTTAGCTCTTCATTACATTGTAAGAGTGTGAACTACCTGGGGAAAATAATCAAATTTAGGGGAGAAGGAGATTAATCCAATTCTGGTTCACATTACCAGAACTGTTTCTATAACTATATATTTCTCCAGATTCTAGGAACTGTCCACTGAAATCATTTTACATTTTAAATCCATTGTATTTAGGTTTTGTCTTTCCCCTACAAGAACTGAATCTATCTATAAACTAACTACCTAGTATTTTCTTGGTGAGTAGCCACTTTTATTTTCCTAAAGTGTACAGGATGGAAATTTGAAGAAGATGTGCAAATCACAACTACAAGGCAGGCAAGTGAGTAGGGGAGGCTTCTACCCTTTCTTCTGTTCCTAATAGAACCCCCTTAAAGCTCAAGAAAGAGATGTAAGCAGCTAGACATTAGAGTTCTTCCTTCTTTTGCAAGGAAAAAAGGGGGAGGGGAAGAGAGAGAGAGACTGATTTTCTGAGCACTGACAGGCTTTGTCCTTGATGAATTTCATTCTTCCTTTGTTCTATGTGTGTAAGAAGGAGGGAGAGAATTAGAAGAAAGAGTGACAAAGAAATTGACATCCAATGGGTATGCAAAAGAGACCCTGGCTGAACTTACCATTTGAGGGCAGGGCGCCAATGATCTGTGGCCACCCGTAGATGCCAGTTATACCCTACTCAGGCTAGGAAAGGACCCACAGAGCAAAAGAACTATCTCCCAAGAGTTCCTGTGAATTAAGGTTGCTCTTAGCCAAATTTAGTACATGTCCCTAACAAAGGAAGGTTATTATCAGGCCCAGCTGCTCTGCCCTCATCAGACATAGAGAAGTATGTAGAGTTCAGGGCCAGCAAGCGATGAAAGGGAACCAGTGATTAGTGGGTAGCCACCAAGTGTCAGATACTTGTTAATAGACACACACAGACACACATAAAATCTCATTTAACCCAGTAGAAAGTTAGTTTCGGGATGGTAAAGGATTTTGCCTATTTTGTTCACTGTTATAGCCCTAGTGCATTGACACATAGCAAGTGCACAAGAAATATTTGTGAAATGAATAAATGGATTGTCACAACCCTATAGATATAAAATAATTACCAATCTTGTTTTAAGATGAGGCAGCTAAGTTTCAGAAATGTTGGGGAGTAGATGAGCTAGGATTCAAACCTAGCTATGTCTGGAATCCACAGCCAATGCCTCTCAGGACCCCTTGCTGTTCTCACATAACAAACTGAAATGTATACAGAACAAAGTGTGGCCAGGGTCTTAAAATCACATTCCATAAAGAATCATTGGAGAACTGAAGCATTTATCTGTGAAAAGGAACATCATAAACTAACAAGTCATGGAGAGGCTCCTCCCCTTTCTGGAGTTTTGTTCCTCATTCGTGAGATGAAGGTTTTGGACTAGATCAGAGAACAAATAATTGACATATGTACCATGACTCTGCCCTCCTATGACAGACATTACTCGTTGATTACAGTACTCTTTCCCACCGAATTTGGATGCAATTTCATAAATATTCTCAACAGCACTCCATGCAACCCCACCCATGATTAAAATTGGCATGCATAATAAAGGCTGTTTGATTTCTCTAGACTAGATCATCTCTAATGTCCCTCGAATTTATTTATTTTTTAGGAGTTTTTTATTACTTTATTTTTCAAATGGTTTCTAATGTTAGCCTCATGAGTTATTCCATATACAGTCACTCTCTACATAACAACATTAATGTCAATGAAGACCACATATACAGCAGGGGTCCCATAAGATTATAATACCATATTTTTACTGCACCTTTTCCGTGTTTATTTTTTATCTCCATTTATAATTTTTTTTAATTTCCATAGGTTATTGGGGAACAGGTGGTGTTTGGTTACATAAGTTCTTTAGTGGTGATTTGTGAGATTTTGGTGCACCCATCACCTGAGCAGTACACATTGCACCCTATTTGTAGGTTTTTATCCCACACCCCCCTTCCACCCTTTTCTCCCAAGTCTCCAAAGTCCATTGTATCATTCTTATGCCTTTGCGTCCTCATAGCTTAGTTCCCACATATCAGTGAGAACATACAATGTTTGGCTTTCCATTCCTGAGTTACTCTACTTAGAATAATAATCTCCAATTTCATCCAGGTCACTGTGCATGCCATTAATTCATTCCTTTTTATGGCTGAGCACTAGTCCGTCATATATATATACATATACATACACGCACACACAGAGTATATATATGTGTATATATACACCATAAGTGTAATACATACAGAAATCGTATATATACTGTTTCTTTATCCACTTGATGGGCATTTGAGTTTATTCCACGTTTTTGCAATTGCAAATTGTGCTGCTATAAACATGCATATGCAAGTGTCTTTTTCATATAATGACTTCTTTTCCTCTGTGTAGATACCCAGTAGTGAGATTGCTGGATCAAATGGTAGTTCTACTTTTAGTTCTTTAAGGAATCTCCACACTGTTTTCCATAGCGGTTGCACTAGTTTACATTCCCACCAGCAGTATAGAAGCGTTCCCTGATCACCGCATCCATGCCAACATCTACTGTTTTTTGATTTTTTTAAATTATGGCCATTCTTGTAGGAGTTATGTGGTATTACATTGTGGCTTTGATTTGCATTTCCCTGATCATTAGTGATGTTGAGCATTTTTTCATATGTTTGTTGGCCATTTGGATATCTTCTTTTGAGAATTGTCTATTCATGTCCTTAGCCCACTTTTTGATGTAATTGTTTGTTTTTTTCTTGCTGATTTGTTTGAGTTCATTGTAGATTCTGGATGTTAGTCCTTTGTCCCATGTATAGATTATGAAGATTTTCTCCCACTCTGTGTGTTGTCTGTTTACTCTGCTGACTGTTCCTTTTGCTGCGCAAAAGCTCTTTAGTTTAATTAAGTCCCAGCTATTTATATTTGTTTTATTGTATTTGCTTTTGGGTTCTCAGTCAAGAAATCCTTACCTAAGCCAATTTCTAGAAGGGTTTTTCCAATGTTATCTTCTAGAGTTTTTATAGTTTCAGGTCTTAGATTTAAGTCCGTAATCTATCTCGAGTTGATTTTTACATAAGGTGAGAAATGAGGATCCAGTTTTATTCTCCTACATGCAGCTAGCCAATTATCCCAGCACTATTTGTTGAAAAGAGTGCCCTTTCCCCACTTACGTTTTTGTTTGCTTTGTCAAAGATCAGTTGGCTGTAAGTATTTGGGTTTATTTCTGGGTTCTCTACTCTGCTCCATTGGTCAATGTGCATATTTTTATTCCAGTACCATGCTATTTTGTTGACTATGGCCTTATAGTATAGTTTGAAATCAGGTAATATGATGCCTCCAGATTTGTTCTTTTAGCTTAGTCTTGCTTTGGCTATGCAGGCTCTTTTTAGATTCCATATGAATTTTAGAATTGTTTTTTCTAATTCTGTGAAGAATGATAGTGGTATTTTGATGGGAATTGTGTTGAATTTGTAGATTTCTTTTGGCAGTATGGTCATTTTCACAATATTGATTCTACCCTTCCATGAGCATGGGATGTGTTTCCGTTTGTTTGTTCATCTAGGATTTCTCTCAGCAGTGTTTTGTAGTTTTCCTTGTAGAGGTCTTCCACCCCCTTGGTTAGGTATATTTCTAAGTATTGTATTTTATTTTATTTTTTGCAGCTATTTTACGAGGGATTGAATTCTTGATTTGATTCTCTGCTTGGTTGTTCTTGGTGCATAGAAGAGGTACTGATTTGTGTACATTAATTTTGTATCCAGAAATTTTGCTGAATTCTTTTATCAGTTCTAGGGGCTTTCTGGAGGAGTCTTTAGGGTTTTTGAGGTAGAGGATCATATCATCAGCAAACAATGACAATTTGACTTCCTCTACCAATTTGGATGCCCTTTATTTCTTTCTCTTGTCTGATTGCTCTGGATAGGACTTCTAGTACTATGTTGAAGAGGAGTGGTGAGAGTGAGCATCCTTGTCTTTTTCCAGTTCTTAGAGGGAACACTTTCAACTTTTCCCCATTCAGTATTATGCTGGCTGTGGGTTTGTCATAGATGGCTTTTATTACATTGAAGTGTGTCCCTTGTATGCCAATTTTGCTGAGAGTTTTAATCATAAAGGGATGCTGAATTTTGTTGAATGCTTTTTCTCCATCTATTGAGGTGATCATGTGATTTTTGTTTTTAATTCTGTTTATGTGGTGTATCACACTTATTGACTTGCATATGTTTAACCATCCCTGGTATGAAACCCATTTGAACATGGTTGATTATCTTTTTGATATGTTGTTGGATTCAGTCAGCTAGTATTTGTTTAAGGAGTTTAGCATCTATGTTCATTGGGAATATTGGTCTGTAGTTTTCTTTTTTTGGTTATGTCCTTTCTTAGTTTTGGTATAGGGGTGATACTGGCTTCATAGAATGATTTAGGGACGGTTCCCTCTTTCTCTATCTCATGAAATAGTGTCAATAGCATTGGCACCAATACTTCTTTGAATGTCTAGTAGAATTCTGCTATGAATCCATCTGGTCCTGGATTTTTTTTTTTTTGGTTGGTAGTTTTTAAATTACCATTACAATCTCACTGCTTGTTATTGGTCTGTTCAGGGTATCTAATTCTTTCTGATTTAAGCTAGGAGGGTTGGGTTGTATTTTTCCAGGAATTTATCCATCTCTTCTAGGTTTTTCTAGTTTATGCATGTAAAGGTGTTCATAGTAATCTTGCATGATCTTTCATATTTTTGTGGTATCAGTTGTAATATCTCCTGTTTTGTTTCTTATTGAGCTTATCTGGATTTTCTCTCTTGTTTTCTTGGTTAATCTTGCTAACGGTCTATCAGTTTTATTTATCTTTTCAAAGAACCAGCTTTTTGTTTCATTTATCTTTTGTATTTTTTTGTTTCAATTTCATTTAGTTCTGCTTTGATCTTGGTTATTTCCTTTCTTCTGCTGGGTTTGGGTTTGGTTTGTTCATGTTTCTCTAGTTCCTTGAGGTGTGACCTTAGATTGTCTGTTTGTGCTCTTTCAGTCTTTTTGATGTAGGCGTTTAGGGCTATGCACTCTCCATTAGCATCACTTTTGCTGTGTCCCAGGGGTTTTGATAGGTTTTATCACTATTGCTATTCAGTTCAAATAATTTTTTTATTTCCATCTTGACTTCATTTTTGACCCAATGCTCATTCAGGAGCAGGTTGTTTAATTTTCATGTATTTGCATGGTTTTGAAGGTTTTTTTTGGAGTTGATTTCCTTTTTTATTCCACTGTGGTCTGAGAGAGTACTTGATACAATTCCAACTATCTTACATTTATTGAGGCTCATTTTGTGGTCTATTACATGGTCTATCTTGGGGAAAATTCCATGTGCCATTGAATAGAATGTATATTCTGCAGTTGTTTGATGGAATGTTCTGTATATATCTGTTAAGTCCATTTGTCCCAGGGTATAGTTTAAATCTATTGTTTCTTTGTTGACTTTCTGTCTTGATGACCTGTCCAGTGCTGTCAGTGGAGTATTTAAGTCCCCATTATTACTATGTTGCTGTCTATCTCATTTCTCAAGTCTATTAGCAATTGTTTTATAAATTTGAGAGCTTCAGTGTAGATGCAAATATGTTTAGGATTGTGATATTTTCCTGTTGGACAAGGCCTTTTACCAATAATGTCCCTCTTTGTCTTTTTAAACTGGTGTTGCTTTACAGTTTGTTTTGTCTGATATAAAAATAGCTATTCCTGCTCACTTTTGGTGTTCACTTGCATGAAATGTCTTTTTCCACCCCTTTACCTTAGGTTTATGTGAGTCATTATGTGTTAGGTGAGTCTCTTGAAGGCAGCAGATAGTTGGTTGGTTAATTCTTATCCATTCTGCAGTTCTGTATCTTTTAAGCGGAGCATTTAGGCCATTTATATTCAATGTTAGTATTGAGATATGAGATACCATTCCACTCATAGTGCTATCTGTTGCCTGTCATTTTTTGTTTTTGTTTTTTAAATTGTATTTTTGTTGTAAAAGTCCTGTGAGATTTATGCTTTAAAGAGGTTCTGTTGTGATATGCTTCCAGGATTTGTTTCAAGATATAGAGCCCCTTTTAGCAGTCCTTGCAGTGGCGGCTTTGTAGTGGCGAATTCTCTCAGCATTTGTTTGTCTGAAAACGACTGTATGTTTCCTTCATATATGAAGCTTAGTTTTGCTGGATACAAAATTCTTGGCTGATAATTGTTTTGTTTGAGGAAGCAGAAGGTAGGGTCACAATCTCTTCTAGTTTATAGGGCATCTGCTGAGAAATCTGTGATAATCTGAAAGGTTTTCCTTTATAGGTTACCTGGTGCCTTTGCCTCTTAAGATTCTTTCCTTCATCTTAACTTTAGATAACCTGATGACAATGTGCCTAGGTGATGATCTTTTTGCAACGAATTTCCCAGGTGTTCTTTGTGCTTCTTTATTTGCATGCCTAGGTGTCTAGCAAGGCCAAGGAAGTTTTCCTCAATTATTCCCCTAAATATGTTTTCCAAACTTTTAGATTTCTCTTCTTCCTCAGGAACACCAATTATTCCTAGGTTTGGTCATTTAACATAATCCCAGATTTCTTGGAGGATTTGTTCACATTTTCTTTTTCTTTTTTCCTTGTTTTTGTTAGATTGGGTTAATTCAAAGACCTTGTCTTTAAGCTATGAATTTCTTTCTTCTACTTGTTCAGTTCTATTGCTGAGACTTTCCAGAGCATTTTCCATTTCTGTGTGTCCATTATTTCCTGAAGTTTTGATTGTTTTTTATTTATGTTATCTATTTCATTGAATATTTCTCCCTTCACCTCGTATCATTTTCTTGATTTCTTTACATTGGGCTTCACCTTTCTCTGGTGCCTCCCTGATTATCTTAATAACTAACCTCCTGAATTCTTTTTCAGGTAAATCAGGGATTTTTTCTTGGTTAGGATCCACTGCTGGTGAGCTAGTGTGATTTTTTTGGGGTGGGGGGAGGGGTTAAAAGCCCTGTTTTGTCACATTACCAGAGTTGGTTTTCTGGTTCCTTCTCATTTGGGTAGGCTCTGTCAGAGGGAAGGTCTAGGGCTGAAGGCTGTTGTTCAGATTCTTTTGTCCCATGGGGTGTTCCTTGATGTAGTACTCTCCCCCTTTTCCTATGAATGTGCTTCCTGGGAGCTGAGCTGTAGTGATTGTTATCTTTCTTCTGGATCTAGCCACCCAGGGAGTCTACCAGGCTCTGGGCTACTACTGGGGGCTGTCTGCACAGAGTCCTGTGATGTGAACCATCTGTGGGTCTCTCAGCCATGGATACCAGCACCTGTTCCAGTGTGGGTGGCAGGGTGGTCAAATGGACTCTGTGTGGGTTCTTAGCTTTGGTGGTTTAATGCACTATTTTTGTGCTGATTGGCTTCCTGCCGGGAGGTGGCGTTTTCCAGAGAGCATCAGCTGTGGTAGTATGGAGAAAAACATGGTGGGTGGGGCCCTAGAACTTCCAAGAGTATATGCCCTTTGTCTTAGTTACCAGGATGAGTACGAAAGGACCATTGGGTGGGGGCAGGCCTAGGCATGTCTGAGCTCACACTCTCCTTGGGTGGGTCTTGCTGCAGCTGCTGTAGGGGATGGGGGTGAGGTTCCCAGATCAACAGAGTTATGTTCCTAGGAGGACTGTGGCTATCTCTACTGTGTCATGCAGGTTGTCAGGGAAGTGGGGGATAGCCAGCAGTTACAGACCTCACCCAGCTCCTGTACAACCCAGAGTGCCAGTCTTACTCCCAACAGCACCAATCCTGTTTCCAGGCAGTGGGTGAGCAGGGCTAAGAACTTGCCCCAGGCTACCTGCCTCCCAGCTGCGAAAGCAAGTATGGATTTCCTTCTTCCCCAGTCAGTGGAATCTGCACACTGGATTCACACCCTTCCCCAAGTTCTGACCAGGAGGCTTCTTGATCAGTTCAAATTGTTACAATGTTCAGCTGGAAATTTCCTTCTCCCTGTGGCCTTTTCCCAGTGCCTCTGGCAGCCCTCCCAAAGGATTCCTGTGAAGCCAGGTAGGAATGACCAGCTTGGGGACCCAGCGAGCTCACAGGGCCTTTTCCACTGCTTCCTCTACTTCTGTACCTCGCTTGGCTCTCTAAATTGGCTGAGCTCCAGATAAAGCCAAAATCTTCTCCCGTAATCTAGACCTTCAGTTTCCCCAGTGGGGATGTGTGTTTAGAGGTAAACAATCTCCCTTCCCCACTCCTGCAGTTTGGGCACTCAGCATATTTGGGGTATCTCCTGGGTCCTGCAGGAGCAATCTGCTTCCTTCGGAGGGTCTGTGGCCCCCTCGGGTTTCCTAGTTTATTCCTGCAGTCGTTCTGTAGCTAAAATTCATGATGCGAGCCTCCATACACTGCTCTGTCCATCTGAGTCAGAGCTGCAATCTAGTCCTGCCCCTTGTCTGCCATGATTCCCCTTTTTCTCGTCTCAAATTTGTTTAATTTGTTTTTGTCCATGAATTCATCACTGTTTCTATCTTGCTCTGTATATTGTTTATCACAGAAGAGATGATGAGCAATGGAAGCCTCCAATCTTCCCTGAGAGCAGTAGCATAAAAACCATGTAGCCTCTGGACTCTGGGTTTATTCAAATAGAATCTTCTATTAAAATCACATTCCAGATAGGAAAAAAAAAAGTTTTAACTACAACTGATCTAAATATTGTTGACAGAAGACCCCCTCCTCTAAAACTGAGACAATGCCTATTACAAAGACTACATTTCAAAAGTTAAAAGTAAGCTAAAGTAAAAAGTTGGGACAGAGTTTAGATTTAAGGCTTTGGCCCATGGATTGGCTTGTAGTCAATATTTTCTTGAGTTACACATACAGTGAAGATTGCCACGAATAAGATGACACATTGAAAATAACATTATCTGAGCAGCGTCATGTCTGGATTTTAGCCAAGCTCAAGAAATATAAAATAAGGTTATTTCTATATGGTAGCCTCACTGCTGGGTATCTGGCTTTTAATGGTTTAGTGAGAAGATTTCATATTGATTTTTTTTCAAGTTTACTTTTTAATAACACAAATAACCTTCAGTAACTCATGAGGTATTCCATTAATGCCATAAAAGTACAAAATTTGAATTTCTGGTTTAGAAGTTCTCACATTTCATAGAATGCAAATGTTAGATGCATTTATGCAATCACAAATGCAACTAAGGTCATTGGTGGCAAACAACAGAAAGCAACTCTGGTTGATTTACACAGGAAGGGAATGAATAAATGGTGTTGGGATGTTCAAGGAATGGATCTGAAGGCAGAGGAACTAGGCTCAAGAGTCTGTGAGCAGAGCCAGGATCCTGCCCCATCACTACCGGCCATGTGCTCCCTCCCAACCCATTCCATGCTGCTAGACTCATTTGCCCTGGACATTCACTCTACACCAGTGATCTCCTGAGTCCAGCACAGATGCCATGGATAATGTCTCTTCACATCATTCTCTCATTATTCAAAGTCCTAGACAGAAGCTTCTTCTTACTCACACTCAAGTTTTGGCCCTGGATCTAGCTGTTAGCCAGTAGAGACAGGAAATACTTGCCCCCTCCTTGGGCTTCTGCTCAAATAGGAAAGTATCCAGAAGCTGGGGAATCAAAATGACTAAAGTTTGTTAAAATAAAATACCCAAATGAATACAAAGTGAATATTTCATGTCAGTGAAATACCCAAATAACAAAGAACTGTAATTTATTGAGGTGACTTTCTTCCAGGCAATGCACTATGTGCAATATATAATATATTGCGTACTTCTAGGCAATACACTATGTATAGTATATAATATATATAATTTCCATCTCATTTAATCCCTCATAGCACCCCTAATGAGACAGGTATTATCATATTAAGGACAAGGAAAGAGTAACATGCTCAGGGTCACAGAGCTATTGAGCATCAGAGCCAGAATTTAAAGGAAAGCCTTTCTGAAACAAACACCAGTTCCTCTAACCACTGAACTACACAGTCTCTCCATGAGTATTGCCACTGTGGGTTGGCTCAGGGTTTGCACTTACAAGGCATATGATGCATGTTTATTTTGGCATTTCCTTTCAGTAGACATTCAGTGAGTTTCCACCACCTATAAGCCACCATCTTAAGCACCATGGGTGGATATAAACATGAGTAAAGTACACATCGGTCACTAACTGCAATATGGAGAATGACAAAATCCCTGCAAGTGACAAATAAAAGATAAGTCATACCCTGAGGGCAAGGATTGTGTCTTTCTTGCTTACTGTCTATCCTTAGTACTTAGCATGGTGCCTGGACATAGCAGACTCTCAGTAAGTATTTAATAAATGAATAAAAATAATTAACATTTATTATGCACTTACTATGAGCCACGCACCCTGCCAAACCTCCTGTGAGGTACTTACAATGATTAATCTCCACTGTGTATCCTACCTAGGATCACATGTGAGTAAGGGGCATACAAAACCATGCAGACTGTACTTTACTGGGGGTGAGAGCTTCAGCTTGAGGTCGGCAACCAGACAGCATGCTGGCTATAGCAATCTGGGCTCCACATCTGTACCCCTTGGCTTTCATAAGAAGAAAAGGCATCTTGTTCAATGGCTCTGTTAAGAGAAAAGAAATTGCTTTCCCAGAATTTTCCCACAGATCCCCCCTTTGCATCTAACTGCCAGGAATTGGTCATATACTTATTCCTAAATTGGGTCCTGTAGCCAAAGTGAAGTCATGAGCTGATTGGCCTCGGCCAAAATGGCCAGTCCAATCAGGTCCAGAGAAGTATTAAGAGGGCTATTAAATAGTATTAAGAGGGTTCTGATGATTCTTAATAGGGTCAAGCCCTGCAGCTGGAGGTTGGTTCAACTTCCCCTGGAGCATATGGGCTATTGGGAGATGGGTAGCTACCTGAAAATAAGTGGAACTACTCTCAGGAAGGGGAAATGGACAGATGGATGCTCTATCGGTAACTGAATATGTCCACTATGACCTCCCTCTTTAAATTCCTACAGGCCCCCGCAGCTCTCAGAATGAAGTCTGAATGCGTCAGCAAAGCACACAACGTTCTTCACCACTTGCCTTCAGCCTGATTTTCCAGGCTTACTTCCAAACCTTGCAGGTCTCCTCCCCTGGTTTCCTAGAACTATTCACTCTCCTCTGAAAGCATGCCCTGCCCTTCCCCTTGCCTTTGCCCATGTGGTCTTGTGCCCGGAAAACTTTTCAGCTCTCAGATAACATGGCAGCTCCTCCTCTCAGCACCACGTCCTGCCTACTCCTTTGGGTGAACTGCTACCCAGTGTCTCAGGGGCCCCCAGGAGACAGTCTGCAAGGGCAAGCCTCCCTCACCAGGCTGCAGTGGTGCCTTCCTTGTCTTTGAATAAAGCAAGAAAATGAAAAGTCATCTGAATGAGTGAATGAATCCTAATGCAATATACTGTCTCAATTTCTTGAGCTTTTCCTTCCCAACCCTTATCACAATTGAAATTACATATTCATTGACATAATCATTTGTTTGGTATCTGTTTCCCCCCATAAAAATATAAGCTGTCTGGGGGCAGGAACCATGTCTCTTGTTCACTCCTGTACCTACCACAGTGTCTGACACATCTCAAGGGTTTAATAAATATCTGTTGAATGAATATAACATCCAGAATATAAAGCTGCCTAAAAACTGCACACACTATTTTTTCCATTGTATCTTTTCTTCAACAAGGAAATAATATGGCTCATAGGAATGAAGAAGAAACCTAAGCTTTATTCCAGACAGCTTTTCACGGCTTTGATTGCTGGAAAGAGGCAAAACCCCAAGTCACATGATTTTGTATTTAGAATATTAATTTTCCCTAGGTCATGCAGAAACAGCGATACTTTCCTTAATGAAATGCTCTTGTACTAGTTTCTATTTGTATGCAAAACACATCATTGGTTTAACATATTGAGACAATCTCCCCTACCCATGCACACCCATATCTGCCTAGCCGAAGAAGGGGAAAGGCTTCTGATTTATTACACATAAACAAAATGAATAAGATAACATTTTATTAGTTAGAAACCATTATAAAAACAGCAATAAAATGGGGCAGTACAAGTGGAAGACGCCCTTATCAATAAATCCTCAGAAGTTTAGGACCCTGGTGCATGTTGTAATAATAAAAAAGATAATTAAAAGGATCGAATTGCACAGCTGTATCATTTTATCAAGAAGCAGCCCTCTAACAATAGAAAACATCAGGGCAGTAACAGTTGGTGAGTCTCTAACCTTTTTAAAAAGGAAAGGTATTTGAGATTCAAGTTGTTTTAGCTATTGTGAGAAGAATCCATGTTTACGTTGTGTCGCATTGAAACATGCAAATCCAGGCAAGAAATGGCTTTCCTTTAAAATCAGTATCTTTATGAGTCTTGTTTCTTGTGCTGAGCAGTAACTGGCTTTATTAAATTAGCCATATCCATCCTATCAATTATAGCTGATATTATAACTAACAACTGTAGGTGAGAAAGACAGTTTCCTTACTTTTTGTCTAAGAAAGTCTTGGGTTTTCTTCCCTTGACTGAGAATCTTCATTTTGTCTTAGAAAATCCTTATGACACATTGCAAATACTTTTTATACAAAGACATCACAAGGAAACACAGAAACCTCAGAGCTTTTTCATTTCCCAGAGAGCTGTAGTCAGTTTTTAGAAAGTAAATTGTGTCCTCTACCCTCCCCTCAACTCCCTCCAGGTCAATGTTTCCCCTCCCCCATCCTGGTCAGTTTAATATGAGTCACTGCCTGGGCTTTGTTGTATGGAATAAAATAACATATTCTCCTGGGAGTCAGTTCATGCAAAACACTCCCTGCTGAGAGTGGAAATTTACCCATAAGACATTCTTCCAGCAGCAAGCCCCTGGAGGAAACCTGACCAGAATGTTTAAAGACTTGAGGAGCTCGGTCTCCTTAACTCCCTCAAAATTTCTCAGAGAAAAAAAAAAACACACACACACACATATTTAAGGTTTATAACACCTGGTGACAAAAGACACAGTGAGATATGATGTTATTTAGAAAGAAAACTGAAAATGAGTAGATTATTTCCAATATTTCGTCTGCCACTCTGTCTTCTACCACGATTTCTATTCTTTCTATTCTCCCTTCCCATTTTGGTTTATGGTCACTCTGCAGTCGTTCCATTGATCAATGCATGAACTCTTTCTTTTAACAACTGCCACATACTCAATAAGTTACTTTAAGCCAAGTAGCTATTATTTTGCAACATATTTATAAACTCTGATATATTTTCTGTAGTGTAAATGACATCGATTTACCACTAAAATAATACATGTGTTCATAAATGCATAAATCACAAGAAAGCTTAGTTGGGACTTATAAAAAGTCTTGAAACAAGCCCATCTTTGTAAAACATACACATATACATAATATAATTAATAATGTAATATACACACATACTATAGATACAGATACTTTTTTTTTTAATAGTAAAGCTAAGGATCATGAAAGAACATGGAAATGGAAGCCCAGCCCAAGAACTTTGCCTCTCCTTCATCAACATTTACCAAATGGTGATGCAAACAAATCAGAAGAAATATAAATTTCACCGAAGGCAGCTCCCATCTTACAGAGGGCCTAGACAAAGCTGGTAAGAACCGGCTGTCTTGAAAAGGCATCAGAAGAGATTTACTTGATGGCCCCTGGGCTAGACATTGTGTCATCTTTTCTTTTTATTAAGAACTTGTTATCTAGGTTTTCAAAAGTGTACTTATAATACACTTTACTAAATAGTTTGTAGAGTTGCACAATGTATGCCTGTATAAAAACCCTGTTAAAAATTTCAAAGTTTGCAAACTGGAAGAATAAGTGAGTGGCTCATTTAATTTATTTTAATCAGTTATATCAGGAAAATGCAATTATATTGAAGGGAACCCTTTGCAGAAGCAGAGAGCAATTAGGTTTTGCGTGCAGAGTACTTTTTTTTTTAAAGCCCATGTCTGCAGCATTAAAGAAAAGCATAATGTCAATCATCTTGATTTCAAATTCCTTTAGTGCAGTCCTTAAACAGTGCAAAAATTATAGAAAGCTAAAGCTATTTTTGTCAAGATTGTGTGCAGCTGTTTTCTGCAATTCTTGAACATTCTTGATATAAATGTGTTTCCAAAGGTACCCGTTTTTAAAAGTAAAAATTACTGCAGTAATGCTCTTAACCTTATTTTAAATAGACATTTTCACATCATCTCTTAAAGAGAAAAACTTACCAAAGAGGCCCCTTGAGTGAGCTAAAGTTTCACTAAATTTAAGTAATGGGATTTCCCTGCTCATTAACATCATCTTATGCAAAAGAGTAGCTTAAAACTTGACAAGTAGATGGCAACAGTGCAAAATGGCAGCCTATTTAAAGGGAATTTGTTAAATTGTCGAAGATGTGGGTGGGAGACAGGTTAAGAAAATTTTATAACAAGTACTGCACTTCCAAAGACAAGTCTAAAATTCTAACCTCAGGAAGGGCAGGGATCTCTCTCTCTCTTTCTCTCTCTGCTTTCAGGGCTTTGGGCAGCTTTAAAGTGAAGCCAATGCATTTCACAAGTAAAAACAATCATGTTTCCTTTCTGCCTAATGTAAATAAATCAACTTTGAGCTCAATATTGAGTTGAAATCTCTTAAGATATAGTGACTTATAACCTGTCCAGATATGATTAACAAAGACCTTTGATTAAAAATGGGAATATAGGTGGCAAGTGACAGGTAGATCCCTGGAGCTCACTGTGCAACTTCTCATTGTTTCATGTATTCTTAGATTTGGGTCATTTTCCGTTCTGTAACATGGGAACTTGTGTAAATTTCATTATTATTAGAAATTCAACCAGTGGCTTGAAACTTTGAGCAAATACTTCAAGTCTCATGGAAGAAATGAATCACCTAAAAGTACAGTGTCAGCTTCATAACACATGCAACCCCTAGCTTAGAAAGGTACTGCATTTTCCAGAAGTTCATTGGTAAGCTGATAGTTTAGTATTCAGAATGCATTTTTTTGATAGAAACAATTTCATACGTTATGACTGGTTTTCTAAATTAACAAACAAGCCTATTTAACTCATAATGAACCAGAAGTAGGTGTTAACACTAATGTGGCAGTATTATAAATACATCGTTTGACCACTTATGATACTGTAACTGGGGAGAAATATATTTTAATTTTTAAGTCAGGCTACTGAGAGCAGATATCCTACTCTGCTTCAGAAAGACACTGCAAATACACCTGGACATGAATTTTTAACTCTCGACAGCTCTATGATTGCAGAAAGAAAGGCATTGTTTCCCATTCTTTGATTCATATAATAAAACAACTGTATATCTGACCATGCATTGGCTGTATGACCTTGGGCAATTTACCTATTCTCTCTGTGCCTCACTTATTGTGAAATTAAGTGAGGTCACTTTTCTGCAAGTAGACATTTGCTGTTTGCCTCACCCACCTTCTACCCCTCTCACAGCTGTTCCCCTGGTTTTCACTGGGTGATAGTCTCTCTCTACCCAGCTCTCATCCACATGGTATGACTGGTGCTCCATTCCCATCCCTAGAGTGGAACACATGGCTTGGGCCTGCCAATCTCAGCTGGCTTCAGGGGTGATTTTAGGGCAACTGCTTTGAGGGTGGTCCACCTTCCTGAGTAGCTCCAGTAGGAGTGAATCTCATAATGTTTTTCCCTGAGAATTCTGGGACAGAAGTCTTTCTCTGCTTGGTCTGCATCAGGAAAGATACAGCTTCAAGAGCACCTGGCGCCATGTTAATTTATTCCAGTGGTTCTGGTGGCTGTCAATGACCTGCAGGGGACATTTGGCAATATGTGGGAACATTTTTGGTTGTCATAACTCTGGGAAAGCTGCTCTTCTCATCTAATGGATAGAGGCTGGGGTGCTGCTAAACATTCTACAACGCATAGGATGGCCCCCCACAACAAAGAATTTTCTGTCCCAAAATGTCAATAGTGCCGAGGTTAAGAAACACTGCTCTGACTGCAGGATTACATCTAACAACCCAAAGAAACAGCTGAGAAGTGGAGGAACGTCAACTCCAGGTGATATTGTTTGAATCCTGGATAGAGTCAATACCTATTTGATTTTTCTGTCACTTACACCCAAAAAAATCTTACCTGACCAAATTGGTAAATATGCAAC
Organism: Homo sapiens; assembly: GCF_000001405.40. NCBI lineage: Eukaryota > Metazoa > Chordata > Mammalia > Primates > Hominidae > Homo > Homo sapiens. Next base: position 17,172,158 of record NC_000004.12, read on the forward strand.
ATACAGTAGACACCCCGTAAGTGGTGGCCTTTTTCATTAAAGGTTATCATCCACGTGATATCCAGGATCAGGGGACTTCGGAATCACAAATGTTAAGGGATCAGATGCTGTCTACATAAGAATTGCATGTTTTAGCTCCCTGCAGCACACATCTGTGCCCTCTACTGTGTCCTCAACACATTCTGCATTTCTGATTTGTACTCAGAAAAAACAAAGATTCCAAAGATAACGCCATTTTTGTATGGAATTTGCAATTTTTCTCTAGTTTATAGCTATCATCAAAAATTTAATGCATCTGATAGGAGATTAAAAAGTTAAAGAAAAGGTTGCAAGATTTCCACAAAATTACTAAATATTTTTCTTAAGTAACTGCCAGGCACTAGTCTCTGGAGAGCTTGATTTACCATAAATGTTTAAAATGAAAATAAAGGAGTTCTGAAAAAAAAAGAGAAACGGCTATTTAAAAATTGCTTCATAAATTAACACATAGGAGTGAAAGAATCTCATTGATATTTATATTCCATATTTTCCTTTCAGCTCTTGCGTGTTTGATTATGTCATGGAAGGGGACTGGATGGTATTGTATTCTAAATTGATTGACAAGAAATTTTAAGATCTTTTTATTTGTTTTTAAGGTTGCCCATTCCCCTAAAGGTGGTTAAAACACATATACAGTATATGCCATTTCACCAACACAAACTAATTATCACATTTTTTGATTTCATAATTCTATAGTCTTAAGGTCATAATTTTCACAGTATTCTCACTCTTTTAACAGTTTGTACATTTTCATTCCTTGGTAAGATATGATATAAATAAGACCATTATTCAGAATGAGAATTTTCTCTACTAACATCATCACCATTTGCAGCATAGAAGACTAAATAAATATCTCCCATGAGTGACTAAATGCAAAATAAAAAGTAACCACTCAACTTTAATAGTTTAAAAAATGTTATTAAACATAATGGCTCCTTGACATTTAAGTAGCACTGTGTTTTAGGTGATCTTCATTTTTGAAGAACTACTTTATTTTCATCTTAAATATTGATGGCAAATCAAGTTCTCCAGAGTGAGAAACCACAGGAGAAAGCTCTTCGGAGAAAATAAATTACCGTGGACTCTGGAGTTCCAAGGTGCTATTTTTTAATTTTGTTTTTGTTTGGTTTTATTTTTGTTTTCTCCTGAGGCTGTGTAATAAAATCATATAAATTAACAACTTGAAAAACTGACAAAACAATCTCATTTCTCAAGATCTTCAATCCTTGCTGGATGCAGTTTTGACCACATTGCCCTGTTCCTCGCTTTAACCTTCAGGGGGAGCCCTGATGTCTGTCAGGGACACCAGAGGAACAAAATGGCCCAGTGGGACCATCACAGAATGAAACTCCCTGAAAGGGAGGAGACAGGCAGGGTAGGGAGGAAGTGGGCAAGTGAAGCCTTCAAAGGAAGCAGTGATCCCGTCGCTTTCTTATCCCTCCGCAGGAGATTAGCACTAGAGTCGAGCTCTGAGGGAAAAGAAAGCATTAGGGAGGCACCAAGTTGCCCAGTCCTAATTCCAGCCCAGAAGTATATGAAGGGCACTTTCAAGGTCTGTCTCTTATCGCACTCCAATTCATCAGGTTAAAAGGGAAACTCCCTGGCTATTACCTATGTGTAGCTGACATCCCAGGTGCTGTATCACAAGAACATGGTGATACATACATGACCAGCAAGGACTCAGGGTGAGTGAAGACATGAGCATAGCTTTAAAATGAGTAACATGGGCAGGGCTCCGTGGCCCACGCCTGTAATCCCAGCACTTTGGGAGGCCGAGGTGGGCGGATCACAAGGTCAGGAGATCAAGACCATCCTGGCTAACATGGTGAAACCCTATCTCTACTAAAAATACAAAAACTGAGCCGAGCGTGGTGGCGGGTGCCTGTAGTCCCAGCTACTCGGGAGGCTGAGGCAGGATAATCACTTGAACCCGGGAGGCAGAGGTTGCAGTGAGCCGAGATGGCACCACTGCTCTCCAGCCTGGGCAACAGTGTGAGATTTCGTCTCAAAAATAATAATAATAATAATAACATGTTTAGTTGATTATTGAATGATGCTAAAAGAAAGATTCTAACCTCTGACTTCACATATTAAGCTCTTCGAGCGCAGGGCCTGGGTCTATCTCATTCTCTACAGTACAAATATAATTCCCAGAGCAGCTACAAAACTCAGCAATCACTTATCTCCAGGAAACAAAATGAAACCACTACTTGCTTAAAGGCTTTGAGCAAAGTAATCCAGCCTTCCTAGGTTTTAGTCTCCTTACTACAAAGAATGTAAGGGATGTAGTAAAGGATTTATCTAGTTCCTAGTAGCCCAATGGGTCTTTAAACTATGCCCTGCTAAGGTTTAAGCCTGGTAATCACAAAACCTGCAGATGTCTGTCCCATGATACGACAACCAACCACCTGGTATATATATCACTTGAGATATATATCTCTCGATATATATATATATATATATATCACTTGATGTCACAATTAGGAAAAATTTAAAAAATGAAGACATTTGTCAAATTAACTATTCCTGTCATAATCAAGAGGAATGCCAAAGCCCACCCCATACCACCTTTAAAGAGAGCTCCATTCTGGCTACCATTCAGGTGGGCTATTTTCATCTTCTTGTAGTCAACAGTATTATTGGTCCTGAGCTCTCAAAGGTTTCATTCTTGACTCACTGAACAGCCATATTTGATATTAAGCAACAGAAATAAACTTACCAAACCATCAAATTCCCACAGAGGATAGTCTCTGTTGAGTAACATGACAGCACAGCCAAAAGATTATGGATTTTGGAGGCTCATCTACAGAGCCTGAGTCCACTAGAATGTTTGACCTTGTTGAACCACAGTCTTCTCTCCTGTAATATGGTGATAGTTCCTGCCTCACTGAACTGTGAAGATAGAATGAAATAATATATGTGAAATGTGTGTCCATAGTTAACAATAAACAGTAGCAACTGTTATTGTTTAAGGCCCGTCACTTACTCTCACATAGAAAAAAAAGAAATTACTTAAGGGATTTTAAAAAGTGTATGATGAGCTCTCTTTGGAAGACAGGAAATAGGAAGATCTGAGAAAAGACTGAATTTAGAATCAGAAAATGTGGAATACCTCCTCTACTTATGGAATATATGATCTTGGGCAAGTCACTTTATCTCTCAGAACAGTTTCCTCATCTGGAAAACAAGATTGATCATGTGTCCCTAGAAAGCATTCTGTAAGTTCTAAAGCACTATTCAAATGTTTGGTGCTAATATCATTATTATAGTGGACAAAACTCAAGGCCATACTTACAACACAGGCTGACAACACTGTGACATTGCTGTTGACAAATGGGAAGGAGTAGCTAAAGATTTGCTACGTTGACATTCTGGAACTGGAGAGAGCGTGTTCATGTTTTAAATTAAGTCTCTCTTTTGGCAATTAAGAAGCAAAGAATCACAATTAAAATTGCAACCAGTTGTAGATTTTCCAGCAGTCTTAGCCTCACCGAGATGGGGTGAAGGAAACTTAACTTGCTTGTATTGTGCTATACGTATTCAGAACCATTTCCTTACATGCAGCCATCAACATCTTTGACTTCAAAAGAGGCTTTTTTTCTGTGATTTCAAAGCATTTTATGTCCATACATGGGTTTAAGAAAATCACATAGCAGAAGACAAAAGAACAAAGCTTCGACAGCAGAAAAATTCATTGTAAGCCCCTTTAAACCATCACACTGAAATGTTCAGTGGAGGAAAGCGAGCTCTTGTGTATACACTGAGTGTATCAAAGGCCACCTCTGAGGTTAGTCAGGAACCTGTCTTCTTCGCAGATGTCAATATTGCCAGAGAGTTTCCAAGAATCCACAAATCACTATTCACAAACCAATCCCCACCAGCTTTGACAAATACTGACATTCCTTAACAAACCAGAGGGAGCTGTGTGGTGCTTTTCAGTGGATGAACGACAAGTGGGGAGGAGTTGATTGTCCACAGGAGAAGCAGTCCGGGCCATAAAGCCTAACCAGTCATTAATCTCCAGGAAATGCCCACAGCCAACGTTGTTATTGCTATTATAAACCAAAAATTAAAAGAAAAAGAGAAAGCATGTCGCTGTTTTTTATGGGTGATACAGTTTCAATTGGCACATATTGAGCATTTCTAGACATTTAATTAAGCAATCAGATTGCTTGAGTGGTCTCAACATTCAGTGCCTTTTATAGAGTTCTTTAATGGCTATGCATAGAATTATTCTGGATACTTCATGGAGCATAGCAAGTGAAGTTTTATGTCTTCCCAAGAATAGAGTGAACTTTTCCACTGCTACTCTAGCTTAAACAAAGACTGTTGTTGTTGTTGTTGTTGTTGTTATTGTTGTTTTGGGGTAGAGTGATTTCAGATTCATGTCTAGAAAAGTATATCCAGAGAATTAGAATAAAGATAATTTACTTAAACCAAAAAGCATTTCACTTTACCTCTTTATAACTTCTTTCACTGAAATGCAATACCAACATCTCTTAAAATAAGGAGAGGCAGCATATTCAGTACTGTTTTCATTTATTCACTCATGCATTTCCTGGATCATAAGGATATAAACAATATCCTTTTAGAACCAAAATATGGTAGCGAACAGAATCCATAAGATCCACATCCACACATCGAGCAGCACAGCACAGTGATTAAGAGGACTGAGACCTTGGACAAATTACTCAACCCCTCTCTACTTCAGATCTTTCCTCATGGGCTCTTGTAAAGACTAAGTGGGCAATACACATGAAAGCACTTAGAACAATGGCCGGCATGTAATGGGAGCTATGTGTTAGCCATCATTACATTCTTATACACAGAAATAAGACAGTATACAAGGGAATAAATCAATAAACATCTTGTTTATAAATAGTGATAAGTGGCACCAAAAATCATTGGAGTAGGGGTGAATTTATCAGGAATTTCTCCTCTGAGAAGTGGCATTTTTGCTTAGCCCTGAATTATCAGAATGTCTCATGATGCAAACTGAGCAGAGGGAGGCAGGGAGCATCCCAGAGAAAGGGAACACCCAGTGCAAAAGGCCTGACAGGGGGATTGAGTTTGGTGTGTTTGAGATAAAAGAAGAAGAGGGTGCTGGAATGTGGTGAGGAAGTGGGGAGTGGCCCAGATAAAGTAACAGAAGTCAGGAACCAAGTCATGTAGGACTTTGTAGATCAAACTAAGGAGGTAAATTTGGTCATGTACAAATTATCACCTGTATTTTCTATAATGCCTTGATAAATATGTCTAGCCATGTACATACAGCTATGAGACTGGCAAAAGTTTAGATATGAACATTCCTAACTAATAAGGAGTTAGATTTTATTTGAAATATAATAAAACCATTGTTAATAGAGGAAGAGAGAGATGTCTGAAAATCAGGTTTTTTTTTTAAAACTGGCTTCAGGGGGTAGGAAGGGAATAAACTGAGTGTGAGGAGAAGCAGAGAAGGAGGAAGAATGAGAACTGGTCTGACCTGTCAAAACTTGTGGATTGTGTGATAATGGCCAGTCCAATTCATGTCACCTTAACTAATTGAACATGCATTTACTGTGTGCCTACAATGTGTGAGGGCCTTGTGCTGGGAAGGTGTCTTAGTCCATTTGAGCTGCTATAACAAAATACCATAGACTTAGTGGCTTGTAAACAGCAGACATTCATTTCTCATTTCTGGAGGCTGGGAAGTCCAAGATCAAGGTGTCAGCCAATCTGATGTCTGGTAAGAGCTCATTCTCCATAGATAGTGCCTTCTCACTGTGTCCTCACATGGAGGAAGGGGCAAGGCAGCTGTCTGGAGTCTCTTCTAAAAGGGGACTAATCCGAATCATGGGGACTCTACCCTCATGACTGAATCACATCTCAAAAGGCTCCACCTCCTAAAACCATCACCTTGGGGGTTAGGATTTTATCTTATGCACTTTAAGGGAGACACATTTACACCATAGGAATGGGAAAAATACAGAGATAAATAAAATAGACATCTGAACTAATAGGGCCTAGATCCAGTGTGGACACTGACAAGGAAGAGTAATAAATGGTTTTACAAGTCCTGTCAATAGAGTCCCCCATAGTAGTCACTACAGAAAATGGTCAAATCTGCTTGAGGGAGAAGAGGACAAGAGGCTTTAGAAAGGATGTGACACTATAGGTGAGCCTTGAAATGCAAACAAGTGGCAATGGAAATTCTCTTCAGAAGTTACAGAGTGAACAGGGAAATGGAGGTGTGAACCCACCTGTTGAGTCGGGAACTGCAGGTTGATGAGTGTAGTCGAGACATAGGCAACTTGATCAGGGTGATAAGAGGTCCCAAAGGAGAGGAGAGCATGGGTTAAATCTGGAAGGGTCTTGAATAACCCATGAAAGCGTGTGTTCTCCACCCTGTCTGTCTTACCATGTGCATTGGGAGCTAGTGAAAGGAATCATGTTTAGAAAGATTGTCCTTGGCCAGCTCCATGATGGATTAGAATAAGGAAGACTGGCAGAGGGATAAAGAAGAGAAGAGTTACTGAAAGCCAGATGAAGGCAGTAGCTGTGGAGACAGAGAGATGGAAATAGAGCACAGAGATGTTAAGGGAAGAGAACCAGTGGACTTAATCTGTAACTGGATTTGCAAGAAATCTCATTGGCTCCTATGTAAACTTATTTCTGAATGAATGAATATCTCCAATTGAATGATTGAGTAGGTGATTCTGCCACTTATCAAGCATTATGCAAGCCATGGAAAAGTGGACAATAATATATAGAGGAGACAGCTACAGATAGATGTGTGTGAGAGACAGAAAGTCTATATAGGAGATATAATCCTTCCCTCAACTGCCACCTATCATCTTTTGAGGTTCTGGAGGGATCCATATGTATAACAGAGGTATTGATGTCAAAGTTTTAGTTAGATTGGCAGACTTTGGAAGGTGAGACAGATGGTGCAGAATCAGGAAGATTTCTTCAGCCTAGACGAGGCAGAACAACAGCCTCTCTCTGATTTCCTTGCATAGGAAGGAAGGGCTCCTCTCCCCATGCAGGAAGATGCATCTAGCCACCACCATATGACCTCCTCAGATATTTGGAAAGGACCAGTCAGAAAGCAGAAAAGGGTGTGGAGGTCACAGCCAAAAAAGAGAGATGGCCAGGTCTTCCCCTAAGCAGGAACAGTCCCAGTCCCCCAGCACTGTCTTGGCCGCTGGTAGGAAGAGGATCTAAAATAAAGGGAATCCAAATATGGACACCAAAACAATAACCTCACCCCTTGGAACTATAGAGCATTGAAAAGAACTTTGAGCCAGATATAGCTATAATAATATTACTAATATTACCTAATGATACTATTCTAGGGCATTCCCTGGAGTTAGAAGGGGTGGGACAAAGGACTGGGTAAAATGGCCAAGAGAGATATGTGAGTTTCCTTTAGGTAACAACAAATAACTTGGGCATATTTTGAAGGGAAAATAACCTTTCATCTTCACCTTTTTAACAATAAACATGTTTGTAAATAGTGATAAATAGTATCAAAAAATAAAACAGTGTAATGTGATTGGAGTAGTAATTATATTTTAATGTAATCATCTGTGAAATGAATGGGTTTTCCTGCATGACTTCTAAGTTTCTGGGTCTCTACATTTCCATGATTCCAAGGGGCTTTATATTTTACTGGACACAAAATTCACAACAGAGAACTCAAAACCAGAGAAATCTGGTCACATGCAAAGTTGCAACTGTGATTTCTACTTTGCCTCAGCCTTTATGAATATGTCTGACCATGTATGTACAACTACGTAACTATGAAGCTTAGATTTCAACATTCTCAATGTCTAAAGATGACTATTTGTATTTTAAAAAGAAGATAACTATGTTTCCAGACTCAACAAAAATTATTAAGTGCTCTAGTCTTCTAGGCAATCAAGCCAAGAAATCGGGAGTGAAAAATTCTTTGCTACTTCCTGTGTGAAAACACTTAGTTCAATGCCCTGCATGAGTAGACGCTCCACACATGTGTTAGTAGTGAAAGAATGAACCACTCTTTCTTCTTTGTTCCTGCAGAGATTTGCTTGATTCTGTTTTAAATGCTTATTCCATTCTTCCTGGTAATAAAATGGGTTGTCTCCATGTATCTAATAGACTGTAAGATTCTTGAGGAACAAGGGGTATGCATAAGTAATCTTTGCTCTTTCACAGCACCTTGTAGCAAAATTGACTTTTGAAAAAATTCTCCTTCTTCAATAAAATAAAAGTGGGTCCTCCTGTGTTGTCCCTGGAATGAGGGGGGGCAGCTGCACACTGAGAGAGACTGTGGTCTGCATTGATCACTGAGTCCCTCCAGGAGCCACTTCTCTGTGGCTAAGAGCACTTGGTGTAAGCTCTGAGGTCTCAGAAGGAACTAGAGCTTGGGGTCGCTGTTGATCAAAACTCCATATTTGCTAATCTTGGGGAGAAGAGGGTAGAGGAGGAGGAAGGCTGTTGCCATTATCACTGTGGACCTTTGGTCAAATCAGAGGCAGCCATAGTTTTACTCCCGTGTCCCTCATAACAACATTTTGGTCAATGATGGACCGCATATAAGACGGTGGTTCCATAAGATTATAATGGAGAAATGGAGATAAAAAATTCTTATTGCCTAGTGACACTGCAGCCACTGTATATCATTACTCATGTGTTTGTGGTGATGTTGATGTAAACAAACCAGTCATATGAAAGGCTAACACGTACAGTTTTGTACAGTACATATTACTTGATAATGATAAAAAATAACTATGTTACTGGTTTATGTATTTACTACGTTATACTTTTTTTTTTTTTTTTGAGACAGAGTCTTGTTCTGTTGCCCAGGCTGGAGTGCTGTGGTGCGATCTCAGCTCACTGCAAGCTCCGCCTCCCGGGTTCACGCCATTCTCCTGCCTCAGCCTCCCGAGTAGCTGGGACTACAGGCGCCCGCCACCACGCCCAGTTAATTTTTTGTATTTTTAGTAGAGACGGGGTTTCACTGTGTTAGCCAGGATGGCCTCGATCTCCTGAGCTCGTGATTCACCCACCTCGGCCTCCCAAAGTGCTGGGATTACAGGCGTGAGCCACCACACCCGGCCTGTTATACTTTTTATTATTATTTTAGAGTGTACTCCTTCTACTTATTAAAAAAAAGGGGGGGGACTGTAAAATAGCCTCTGGCGGTCCATCAGGAAGTCTTCCAGAAGAAGGCATTGTTATCATAGGAGATGACAGCTCCATGTGTGTTACTGCTCCGGAGAACTGTCCAGTAGGACAAGATATGGAGGTGGGAGACCTTGATATTGATGATCCTGACCCTGTGGAGGTCTAGGCTAATGTGTGTGTTTGTGTCTTCGTTTTTAAAAACTTTTTAGTAATAAAAAATTAAAAAATAGAAAAAAGCTTATAGAATAAGAATATAAAGAAAGAAAATGTATTTGTACATCTATACGATGTGTGTTTTAAGTTATTTTGTGTATTACCAATGAGTCAAAATGTTTTTAAAAATTAAAAGTTTCTAAGGTAAAAAAAGGTAAGGTTAATTTATTATTAAAGAAAATGCTTCTATAAATTTAGTGTAGCTTAGGTGTACAGTGTTTATAAAGTCTATAGTACTGTCTAGAAATGTCCTAAACTTTACCCTTCACTCAGCACTCATTTACTGACTCACCCAGAGCAACTTCCAGTCCTTCAAGCTCCATTCATGGTAAGCACCCTATAAAGGCATACCATTTTTTATTAATATCTTTTATACCATTTTTTTACTGTACTTTTATGTTTATGTTTAGATACACACATACTTATCATTGCATTGCAGTTCCCTGCAGCATTCAGTACAGTGACATACTGAACATGTTTGTAGCCTATAAGCAACAGGTTATGCCTAGATGAATAGTAGGCTATACCACTTAGGTTTGTGAAAGTACTCTATGATGTCTGCACAATGATGAACTTGCCTAACTATACATTTCTCAGAACATATCCCTATTGTCAAGAAGTGCATAACTATACATGAGAGGTTCTAGAGTTCTGTTTTTTTTTGTTGTTGTTGTTGTTTTGTTTTTTTTTTTTGGTTTTTTTTTTTGAGATAGAGTCTCACTCTGTTGCCCAGGCTGGAGTGCTGTGGCGCGATCTCAGCTCACTGCAAGCTCCGCCTCCCGGGTTCACGCCATTCTCCTGCCTCAGCCTCCCGAGTAGCTGGGACTACAGGCACCCGCCACAACGCCCAGCTAATTTTTTGTATTTTTAGTAGAGACGGGGTTTCACCGTGTTAGCCAGGATGGTCTCGATCTCCTTACCTTGTGATCTGCCCGCCTCGGCCTCCCAAAGTGCTGGGATTACAGGTGTGAGCCACCGTGCCCAGCCTAGAGTTCTGTTTTAACATGAGGACACCAATAAAGTCCAGAGACAAGATGGCTTAGTATTAGAGATCCAAAGACTCATTTAAATCCAGCTATGCCAGTGAGTGACCTTGGGAAAGTCACCGCCACCCATTCTGGCCCTGGGCTTCGGTTTGTGCTTCTGTAAAATGAGGGGATTGAATCAGTCAGAGGTTTTCAAATTTCTTCCTGAGCAGCAGAATCCTTGATATACACCATTGACTCAAGTGGAGTCTCTCAGGTTGAGTTGGTGGGCCCTTAATTCTTCCCCCCAATTAGGCTGCTTTCTCACCTCCAAGGCAATCTGGGGCTCCAAGGAAGGGAGTTTTGGTGCCCCTCCAACCATGGCATTTCCAACATGCCTTCGGGGACACTGATACAATAAGCCCCTTGCTTGCACAGCTGCACACCATTTACAAAGAGCTTTCCCCCAACCCCCTTTCGCTTAATCTGACATCCGATCATTTAAAGTAGATCAAAAGTGAGAAGCAGTTACATTTCCAGCTTTTAATGCCACAGAGTGTGGACAGCACAGAAGGTTCAGCAGCCAGCATGTTCTAAAACATTAAGATGAATTTTGGAATCCTCAAGCCAGCCAGGCTGCTGGCACTTTACAAATGTTTAAACAAATTCACTTGTCTGTTCTTGTTTCCTACTAACGTAAGAATAAATGCCTTTTTTTTAACATTACTATGCAAATTAGATCAGAGATCATTGTGGCTAGATAACTATAATAGTAGCAGCTAATACACATAGTCTAGAAAAAGTTTATTCAATGAGACCACATTTTTCATATTCTAAAATAACTTGCATTTTCATATAAGTAATACATGTTAATGATAGACCAAAGACAAAAATTAGCAAAAAAAAAAAAAATTATTCATAATTGCACAAACCAGAGATAACTGCTCTTCACATGTGAGTGCACACATCCTTATCTTCATGTAAAATGTAAATGTTTTCACTAAAATAGTGAAATACACAATATTGTGTATATACTTTTTAATCTGCTTTTTTCACTCAGCAGAATATTTATGATCATCACATCAGGTCAAAGAGTACATTGCAGCAACACCAATTGTTTGCTTGTTTTTTAATAGGAATATGGTTTTCCACCTATTGAATTCATGATAACTGTCATGTAGTCAAATAATCACCTATTGTTGAAAATACTGGTGATTTCCAGTTTTTTCCTGTTGCTATATGCTTGCAGCCAAATCTTTGCCTTACTTGAGGAAATGCTGGATCACAGTGTATGCAAATTTCTTTTAAAAATTTCAATACATTGAGTATTAAAGTGTTGTACCAATTTTATCCTCACCATCAATATGAAAGTAACCATTTCCCTTCACTCTCTTAAAAATTGGATAGTGTCACTCTCTGTATTTTTTTAAACCAGGCTTTAATGTCAAAGGAAAAAAAAAAACTTCTAGGAGATATACCTAATGCTAAATGACGAATTAATGGGTGCAGCACACCAACATGGCACATGTATACATATGTAACAAACCTGCACATTGTGCACACGTACACTAAAACTTAAAGTATAATATAAATAAAAAGAAAAAAAAAACTTCAGCTTTTGCATTCTTCCAAACTCAAAACCAAGGCTGCTTAGTCTTCACGTCTTTTCTTTGGGTTCTATGCTCCTTTACTAGTCTGTAGCAATGTAAGGGACACTAGGCCAATGGCTCAAGGATTTAACACCAAATCCAGTTGTGCTGATGATCTTATTTGCCTCCTACCACTCTCTGCAATTGAGCTATGAGCTTAAGCATTCATCTGAGATCCAACTTTGACCAATGGCTCCCTTAGCTTATTTCCTGGTGGCAAATCCTCTGAGGATCTATGTGGGTTGAATAGTGGTCCCTCAAAACATACGTTTATGCAAAACCATGAATGTGACATTATTTGGAAAACAGTCTTTGCAGATATAATAAAGCTAAGAATCTTGAGATGAGATCATCCTGGATTAGGATGGACCCTAAGTCCAATGACAAGTATAGAGAAAAGAAGGAGAGAAGACACAGAACGAAGAGGAGAACACACAGAGCTGAAATCCAGGGAAGACAGGCAGAGATTAGATTTTTGCAGCCAGAAGCCAAGGAACACCTGGAACCACAGAATCTGGAAGAGGTAAGGAAGGACTTACGAGAAAAAAATTACTGTTGTTTTTAGCCACCAAGTTTCTGGTGATACTGCAGCCCTATGAAAGTAATGTAAGACCCTACAAAAAAGTTCTATTCTGAGTGTTTCTCAGTCACTTAAAAATCCTGGTGACCAGCTCTATGACACTTGCCTATAAAGAGGATTTTTAAGTGACTAAGAAACACTCAGAATAGAACCTACTTAGACTTTATCCTATTCATTAGGCAAACATTTATTGAGCACCTACAATATAGCAGGCCTTCTTGTGGGTACTGGGTAAAAACAAAACTGAAGAAGACATAATCCTGTAACAGACAAACAAATACCTACTGTGCAACCTACAGGGCGACTGTAGGCAGAGAGAGTGGGTTGTGGCCATGTCATAGAGTACCATATTGACAGAGTTAAAATCTTCGCCTTTATCCTGTATATAATGGAGTACTTTAGAGGGTTTTAGGCAATTATTACCCACATCCCCAGGCTCCTCTGATACTAAACTTCTCTGACATCTACTCCAGGGCCAGCCTGGACATCTGCCTGTGACCTGCAGTGGGACTCTCCTGGTTTTACATCTGCCTGCCCTGACTTGCTCTATGACCACACTAAGTTCCTGCTACTGTTCATTCTCCAGGCCTCCATAGTCACAGTCACTGCCCCAGAGTAAACAGCTAGTCCGGTTCTGGCCTCACCTGATTCACCAACTGAGCCCAGGTGCACTACATTATTATTTATTTATTTTTTGAGATGGAGTCTCGCCCTGTTGCCCAGGCTAGAGTGCAATGCCGCAATCTCGGCTCACTGCAACCTCTGCCTCCTGGGTTCAAGCGATTCTCCTGCCTCAGCCTCCTGAGTAGCTGGGATTACAGGCGCCTGCCGCCACACCCAGCTAAGTTTTGTATTTTTAGTAGAGACAGGGTTTCACCACATTGGCCAGGCTGCTCTCGAACTCCTGACCTCGCGATCCACCCACCTCGGCCTCCCCAAGTGCTAGGATTATAGGCATGAGCCACCATGCCTGACCAGTGTGCTACATTATTAATTTATTCATTCATTCGAGAATTATATGCTTACTATCTACTATTTTCCAGTCCCTGCTTGTACAAAAATGGGTAATATTCAGTCTTTGCCCTTAAGATGCTTACCATCAAAATGTCTACCTAATAGTCTCCTCAGGCTGCCATCACAAAATGCCACAAACTTGGTAACCTAAACGACAGAAATTTATCTTTTCACACTTCTGAAAGTCAGAAGTCTAAGATAACAGTGCCAGAAGAGTTAGTGTCTGATGAGGTCTTGAGTTGTAGATGGCTGCCTTCTCCCTGGGCCCCTATATGGCCTTTTTTGTGCACTCAAACTCCAGTTCTCTTCCCCTCCTTATAAGGACATTAGTTCTATTGGATTAGGGTTCTACCCTTATGACCTCATTTAACCTTAATTACCACCTTAAAGGCTGTGTCTCCAAACATAATTCCATTGAGGATTAGGGCTTCAACGTATGAATTTAGGGGTTTGGGAGCATGGTGGGGACACAATTCATTCCATAACACCATCTAAGTGGAAAAGGCAAATATGTACACATAATTGCCATGTGATGAAACAAATAACATAAAGGTATTGGGTATTTCTGTGGTGAAGCATCTAACCTATCTAGATGGATCTTTAAAGAAGACATAGTTACTTAGGTGGACCAGATGGAGCAGGGAAACCCAGGCAGAGAGAACAGTTTTTGTAAAATGCAAACATGAAACAACATGATCTGTTGAGTAGATGGCAAGTAATTCAGGATGGCTGAGATAGACAGAGAGTGGCTTAGGGTATCATGAAGACAAGACTCAAAAAGCATGCCATGTCCTCATGGAAGCCCACCCCACTCTTCTCATCTTCTGCCACAACCTTTTTTCCCATGCTGTAGTCACTGTGTGTTCCTTCCTCACCCCAATCAAAATATTATATCCTCTGCCTCAGTCCTAGACACATTTAAAATAATAGCCTCTTATATTTTGCATAGTACTTTACAGTTTACAAAACACCTTTACTATATCATTTGACCCTCATAGCTGCCCAGTAGAGAACAAATATTATATCAATATATACAGTGAAACCAATATTCAAATAGTAATCATAATAATAGACTTGCCCAAGATCAGAGGACTGTGCTATGGTTATTTTATGGGTAGAACCCAGACCTCTGCCTGGCGATCTAGTGTTCTCTCTTTGACACTACCTGCATTTTTCTCTGCTGTTTGCTTCTTGTGCTGTAATTCTCCGGTAACGCTTCTACATTTTGACAGAGCTTTCTGGAAATAATGTGTTAACCAACAGAAAAAGCTCAGAGTGGGAATGTTGGGCCTGGCAAGATATTTTTTTGGCCTGGCAGGCCTGTCAAAGCCCATCGAATCACACATTTGCCTCACAAAGGGCCAACCCAGAGCAAAGCCCATGGGGACACTTCGCCGAGAGGAGCAAATTAAAGCACTTCCAAGTCAGGAAATGCCAAGCTAGACTTTTCTATGGTGTTAACTTGCTGGCCCAAAGTACACCAAACAGTAATTTACCTACAGCCTAGCTGCAGAAAATTCCTACCCAGCCTAGCTGGAGGTAAATCCTTCTCTGACTGTACTTTTGTCAGCGTTGCCAAGGCAACAACTCTCACCACTCTCTGGTCATTTTTAGTTTCAATGACAAAGTTTGCGTTGACTTAGCTGTAAGTCTGATGCAGAAAACTTTTACTCACTGGAATGCATGAGGAATGGGTTCCCTAAGTTTTCAACAAATCTGAGACTACATTGTCCCTTAAAAATATTTGTCCACCATTTTGGATAGTAACTTCTCTAAGATTCTTCTCTCATATCTATGTCTTCCTCATACAATCTATAGAGCATAATTTAATTGATTTTTGAGAAGATCCTTTTGAAGAGTGGCCTTTTGAAAACACAAATTTTATTCCAACGTGAAGTTTAAATTCTTATAAGTTTGGGAAAGTGCCTTTCACCATTCACCCGTCTACCTTTCCAATCTCATATGTTGTTGGTCTCTTCCCATTCACTAGAGGAACACCGAATTAACCATTATTTTTGGAAGATTCACAGAACACACCACACTCTTTCTTATGTCTGAGTATTTATACACAAGGTAGCCCTTCATTCTTTTCTCTGCTAAGAAAATTCTTATGCAGCCTTGACTATCCAGCTCGACAACCACATACACAAAATCTTTCAAATGCTCCTCCTAGCCACAGTCCCAGAGCATTTTGTACATAGGCCTTTATTGCAAGAATTTATGTGCCTGACTCCCTTACCTCATCTTTGTACCCTAATGTCTAGTTAGCACAGCCCTGGCCTCATATAGGTGCTAAATACATAGTTAACATTATTACCAAATAAACAAGTACTAAACTCCATCAAAAATACCATTGACTTGGTGTTTACTATGTGTCAGACACTATGATAGGAACTTTCCATGTGTTTCTCACTAGTTCTCCTAACAGCCCAGTAAGTGCAGAGCCTGAAATCAGACTCAGCTCTCCTATTCCCCAAAGGCAGGCTTTTCCTCTATCCTACGTGGCACAGCACATTCTGAACAAATCAATGTACTAAACTAAAAGCACGGGGGTTGTTAATCAATTGAAGAGTGACTTGTGGCATCCATGCCATGCAGCAGTTAAACAGCCAAGGGTCAGAGCAGGCTGCAGGAGGTCAGGACCCAGGGTTTGAATAGGCAGAGGGTTTGAGCAGGAATCAGATGCAATATGCAGAGTCAAAGGAGAAGCTGTCGCTGGAAAAGTCAAACAAATCTAAAACACACTTGGAGTCACATATGCAAATGTTTACAGGGCTAGGAAAACAAGGGAGAGGATTAAAGCAAGCCACATCACTTCCGCTCAGAAATCTTTTTCCTTTTCACTGAATCCCATGGCCCTCTGGGTCTTTCATTTGACCACTTTGGATAGTAATCTACGTACAAGACGTAATTTACATTCACCTTCCTTCCACTCCAGGAAAAACAATAATGCCTGCATATGGAAAATGGCAGCTGACACTGGATCACCATGCGGAGATTATCACTGGGAGATATTGACAGGCTTGATTCCAGGAGGGAGGTGAAGTCTGGAAAATTATTTCCAGATGGTGGAATTTTTAAAAAGAAGCTGGAAAGTTGCATTATTATGAAAGACCTAATTTTTAAAAATCAGAGCCATATGCAAAAATGTTTAAAATATTATGTGGGATCCAGCCAAATCTTCAACTTTATTGGACCTAAACATCAACTGGGGAGCTTGTTAAAACACAGATTATGGGGCCCTATGCCAAGAGATTCTGGTTCAGTTAAGTCTTGGTGGGGCCTGAAAATGTGCATTTTTAACAGGCTCCCAGGTGAACTGATGCTGCCAGCCCAGAGATCACACCTGGAATAGCACAGGGCTAGACACAAGTAGTACCAGCTCCAGTATTCTGGCAGCCCATTTGGCATCTCTGGTCTAGAGATTTAGAGAAGGAAACTAGGAGCAGGAGACAGCCAAGTAAACCCTGGTCCTGGGATAGAAGTTGTGTTATATACACTTTGATGCTTCTCTTAGAAAAGGTGTCTTTAAGTAATATGGGTAAGATAGCAGACCTCCAAAAAACTTCTACACCTTGGCCTTGGACTAGGAAGAATTCAAGGATCCACAAGGTGCATGTAGAAATTTGTTGGGAATCAGACAGTCACAAACATAATTGGTAAATGGGATGGAAGAGGAGAGAGCTAAGGACCCAACATAATTTGGCTTAGAAAAACAAAGACCAAGTGGTGACTCACTAACAATCTTCAAGCACGAGTGGGGAATTTAGGGGAAGACGGTGAACAGCTGTTTCTGCTTCTGCTGGGGCTTGGCTAATATAACCGGAGTTTCCAGAACAGCAGGAAGGGCTGAAGTAGAAAAAGAACTCCAGTACCTGACAGCTGTGAAAGATAGTCATTGATTGCCATGGGGGTTCCATCTTTCAGGTCTTTAAAATCGGATAAATGATAGCTTCTTAAAACATTCAAAGACCCCCCTCTCCCTGTCAGTGTTTCTCAAAGTGCAGGACGCAGGCCACAGCTGGTAGAGAAGACATTTGGGTGCTGCACAGATAATGAATTAAGTGACTTTGGCTCATAAAAGGAAAGAGGTATTCCCTTTTCAATTGCCTTTCATTACTAGAGTGTGTCAAGGAGAAAGTCTACATGAAGTGCTGTCTTTCCCAACTCTCTAACACTTGCTGGTCTCCCTTTTAACAGACAGGAGGAGGTCTTAGCTGCATCATGTTACACAGGCAACAGCATGTGTGAGGACTGACTGTCATTGTTTTGTTTCACGGTATTTAACGGTTTTCTCCCTGCAAAGTAATGCTGGTTTTCCATTTAAGGTAGCAGTAGAAAGTTTCCTCTTTCCAAATCTGTGCACCCTTGCAATGAGACTTTGCAAACTTGCCTACCAAGAGGAGACTCTGAGAGCAATCAATAAATTAGAAAATCAATAAATTTAGGAAGGCAAAGTCCACGAAATTATAGAGAGATATCAAGCCAAGGATACTGTATTAGTTTGTTTTCATGCTGCTGATAAAGATATACCTGAGACTGGGCAATTTACGAAAGAAAGAGGTTTAATTGGACTTATGGTTCCACATGGCTGAGAAAGCTTCATAATTATAGAAGAAAGTGAGAAGGAGCAAGTCATGTCTTACATGGATGGCAACAGGCAAAGAGAGAGCTTGTGCAGGAAAACTCCCCCTTATAATAACCATCGGCTCTCATGAGACTGTCACAAGAGTGGCACTGGAAAGATCTGCCCCCATGACTCAGTTACCTCCCACCAGGTGTTTCCTACAACACGTTGAGCATTCAAGATGAGATTTGGGTGGGGACAAGCCAAACCATATCATATACTGATGGATGATGGCCATGGCAAAAATTGGCATATGGTAGGTGGAAGAATGATGTTTTAGAAACACGAATCAAATCGAAGCCTCCCTTTTATGAACAAGAAAACTGAAGTTCAGAAAGTCAAAGGACATTCTCAGTTCCATGCAGCATTTGCAGGTGAAGCTGAGACTAGAGACAAGCTTGGTCAGGAGAGAGGAAGCGGGGAGGTGGAGGCTTCCATCAGCAGCACCTGCAGCATCCTTCTCTATAGCACAGCTCCTCATCCACTCCACCTGTGGTACATGAAGCCCTGAATGAAACGGACCAGTTTTCACTCCAGTGCTGTGGCCATCTCTCTGTGTGACTTCACCTGTGTGAGCATCTCTGTCAACAAAGTGAGACTCTAATTCAGGTATCACTTGGGCAAAAAGTGAAGTACCACACACTAACATCCCTAAGTAAACTCTAAAAGGTCTCAAAATGGAAAGTGCAAGAAATAGAAAAGCATATTCTACTGCTACTTCTCAAAATCTGATATTAATATGTCCTGATAATGGTAATATGTTAGTGGCTGAATATCAATTTTCTCATTAACTTTATCCTGCTTTGAACAGAAAGAAAAAAATAAACATAGCTTGCAAACATTTTATTTCTTCCTGAATTGACTCTCATGCATAAACTATTATTCAGCAGTGGCCTAAATTATATAATATTTTCACAGAACTGTAGGTTTATTTCTTTCAAGCATATCTCGAGGCTTTCCTCATTCAGAAGGCAAGAACGTTTCATAATTAGCACACAAACATGCGTTTCAACAGAAATAACCTTTCATTATGTTGTCTGGAGTGAAATAGGTGTTTCTAAGGACTTAAGAGCAGACTTTATTGTTTAAAAGATATATATTCTCCTTGAAATTGGGTTCAAACTATTTTTTTGTTTATTAATCCATCTTTTAGATATTGCTAATAGATGAACTTTACCCCAGGCCTTCTCCAAATAATCACAGATTCCTAACGAACATGACCAAATTAGCAAGTTTTTACTATAAATATATTTAATGAGATTTGGTTGATTTGAATACAGTATTTTTTAAAATTAAGATTAATAAACTCTCAATTTCAGTTTAATAAAGAAAAAAATGCATTTAATATCAGCTTGCCAGAGATATTGCAGAAATGAGTGATTTCTATCCTCTGATAATGCAAATCTGTAACATCCATCCTATTGCACAAATACATCATTCAGAAAGGTAAAGGTTGCTTCCAGAAATAATAGTTGTATAAAGGTGTTCCAACCCTCAGTAAATTAAAGATGCTGCCTCACTCCTACTCTCCATGCTGAACAGAACACTGGAGGAACCTATTAATAGCATCGTTAGTTTCAAGGAGGCAGTTTACATGGAATTTGGATCTTAATGTACAGAAATAGATACTCATCTACTCTCCCAGCAATGCAACAATCTTAATGGAATAATATTTTCAAAATGAAAACTCTGCCCTAATGAAAGTCCCCTTTTTCATGAAAATAAGGAAGAGATATAACAATGTCAAGGCTCTTCATTTACTTGAATGATCTCATAGCCTCACCAAAAATGTATACTTAAGCCCAAGGATTATTTTTTAGAAATAATAATGCTAAACTAACTGCAGAATATATTTAGCTGTAGATAATACAAACCAATAGACACTCAAACATTTTTTCTAAAAATGAAACTTATAAATATTTATTTTAAAGGGTCAACAGTGTAAGTTTTTGTAGCTTAAGCAAGTTTAATGCCACCATGTAAAATAGCTGAAGTAAAGAGATTCTGTATATTTAAACCTGTAATATGTTAACATCATTAGCTGAATTTTAGAATAGCAGACTTTGTTTTCATGTCCCAGAAACCAATTTGGTAGTAAACTAAGTTGCCCTTGGGAAGGGTGTGTGTGTGTGTGTGTGTGTGTGTGTGTGTGTGTGCGCGCGCGCATGTGTGTGTGTGTATGTAGTGAGTGAATAGCTCTCTTCAAGTATCTGAAGAGCATCTTAAGAAAGACTGATGGGATTTATTCCTTGTGGAACAGAATTAGAATGTGACTCACACTCCCTGGAACTGTGTAATATGAAGCCTGTACAACTAAATGTGGTGACCCTGGTCCAAGAAATGAAAGGGATGAAAGCTTGATGGTTCCAAATATGGAAATTGACCTCTCCTCCCAGAATCTGTGCACCTTTGCAATGAGACTTTGCAAACTTTCCCACCAACTGGAGGGACCTTTTTCCTCAGTCTTTGAACCTGGAATGACCCTGTGACTCACAGAGTCTCAGAGTGATATTGTGCCAGGTCCAAGCCTAAGCCTCAAAAGCCTTTGCACACCTTTCCTCTTGTTCCTAGAACGCTGCTGCTGTGACATGAATGAGTTCAAACCACCCTGGTAGAGAATAAGGGACCACAGCAAGGACAGACCAGCCATTCCAACTGATGCCATCCCAGACCAGCCAGACCCCAGCTGATCTTCCAGCTGCCCACAGATACATGACAGAGCCCAGCCACAATCAGCCTATCCTGGCCTGGTTCAGCAGAACCCACCCAGCCCATTGACTCAAGAGCAGTAACTAATGGTTGTTATCTTAAGCTAGTAAGAGTTGGGGTGGTTGTTTATGCAGCAAAATCTGTTATCTTCCATGATGAATTCAAAGCTAGAACAAGTGTTGCACTTTGAGTTTTACAACAGGTAGATGGATGGATTTGGGGCATTGAACCTTAGAAGAAACAGGGCTAACTGTGAAAGAACAGAGTGCATCCCTGAGGAAGTAGAGATGCTTTCCTTCAAATGGTCATCTGGCTTGTGCTGGTAGCTGGGCTAGTGAGATACAGTAGCAGCCAGCATGAAAGAGACTTTCCTCCGTGTGGTCCAGCTATGTCGGCAGGACAGAGAAAGGCCTGTGCTTGCTGCACAACAGTGAGAAGTCACTGTAGAGAGGAGGTACAGGAAGTGGGCTCTCCTTGCTTTGGGGTTGGAGTTGGATGGACATCCTCTGTAGGCTGCTTAGGCTCTCAATGATCTCAGGAAGGGTCACGAGGGCCCCAATTCCCCAAGAGAGCCCACTGTTCTTCTTGTCAATCAGATAGATGAAATTAAAGAAAGTTCCAAAGTAATTTGGATTCATAGAAATGCTCACATCTCAAATATTAAAGACCTATCCATATATGCTACATCAAAATTAAACATCACTTTGTGTGTCATTTAATACACACACTGTATCTTGAATCTGTCTTGAGTAATATTCATATTATTATTCTGCCTTTCTTTTGTTTTGATTTGCCTGATATAAATTCATTAATCTTGTTTAAAAAGTCTGTAATGTAATATGCATTTTAAAAAACATGATAACCAGGCACCACTGCCAGAGTTTAGGTCCAAGGTGGGGCCTGAATGTCAGCACTTAATGTACCACGTAATGTTAACGTACAGCCAGGGCTGAGAACTGCTGATCTAGAACTTTCCCGTTTATCCTACCCAATGCACAAAATCTTTAGCACAGATTTACTTCTCCGCTGCACCACCATATCCCCCAGGTTTTCTTGAAAACACCTGGAATTTTATTTCTTCAAGATTTGTTCTTTTTTTTTTTTTTTTAACATTGTGCTTCTCACCTTCTGGGAATACTTTCCCTTTCATTTCAGCCTCAATAATAACAATTATTTAGGCCTAATTATGAGTTCAGCTGGCTCCTTTGCTCATCAGTGTGTCTTCTATTCAACCTCCCCTTCCATGGAGTTTATGAGTCAATCAAGATACTTTCAGCCGCCAGGAACAGACCTCACTGTCCTCCCTCCCCATCTCACCCTACAGCAGTGGTTTGTAGAGTGGGGGCATTTGGTATTTCACAACTAGAAGCCTGGCCATAGTCCCTGTTGGTTAATCTAGCAGCTCTACCATGTCATCAAGGCACCAGGTGTTCATCTTTCTGTTCTGCCAGGCTCAGCATACCAATGAGCCCTCTTATGGTTTTAAAATGGTGACAGTGTTTCCCAGTGTTATTTGCAGACAAATAGCATCTGAGACAGAAAAAGATATTTCCTCCCATAGGGCTTAAGGAAAACTTTTTCCAGAAGCACGCAGTGTTTTCTAGAACCTAGAGATAGATTCTCCTCTCCCATCACTGGCAAGGAGAATAAGATCACCATGCCTGGCTTAGTCTAACCATGATTCATTCCTTGTGGCTGAAGAGGGGCCAGCCTCTCCTGTACACGTCTATCTGGTACTTAGACAAAATTCTGAATTCTATTAGCAAGAAAGAAGGGGCTGTTAAAATAATGATGTTTCTTATAATACATGTAAAAAATTTTAAATTTATTTTGTTGTGTTTTCTCAAAAGAGATGCATAGATGGTAAACTTTTTTTTTTTTTTCCTGAGACGGAGTTTCGCTCTGTTGCCCAGGCTGGAGTGCAGTGGCACGATCTCGGCTCACTGCAACTTCTGCCTCCCTGATTCAAGCAATTCTCCTGCCTCAGCCCCCCAAGTAGCTGGCATTACAGGTGCCTGCCATCACACCTGGCTAATTTTTTAATATTTTTAGTAGAGACAGGGTTTCATCATGTTGGCCAGGCTGGTCTCAAACTCTTGACCTCATGATCCACCCACCTCAGCCGCTCAAAGTGCTGGGATTACAGGGTGAGCCACCGTGCCCGGCCTCATAGATGGTAAACTTATAGGGTTTATTTATTCAAAAAAATGTCTTAACCCTCAAACTTGAATAATACTTTGGATAGAATGTTAGTCTAGGTTACAAATACTTGCTCATGATATACTTTTAATCATTTATCAAATTTAGCCAGAATCTTAAAATTAGTTTTAAATGATTTTAAAAGTCTACACGAACGCAAAAATAAGTACGGAATAAAAACATTATAAGCAACATAAAAGACAAATAATAAAGCAAGGAAGAAAGTTGCAACTTAGAGACTAAAGGCTAATTTTCTGAATATATAGTTTAAAAAAAAATAGGAGGGGAAAAACAGTGCATATTGTGGTTTCTAACCACCATTTCCCACTACCAGGAAACCAAAGATGCCTGGAGAAATAGCTCACTGTTAGTCTGGGACAGAAATGTAAAGAACTGGCCTTAAGAATAACTTGAAGAGGTTCCTACTAGCCAAATATGAAATAATGTGAACATGAAGAAGAGTATTTAATGCATTGGCTTAAAACATCAATATATTAAAATCTGTCAGTTCACAATGATGCTTCAAAACAAAAAGAAATAAGTGAACACAAACACTTTGGTTAATCCTTGGAAGTAGCTAAGGCACAGATCATTTAGTCTAAAAATTAATTTTAAAAAAAAGCATTTATTTTGTCTTTTTGGCACAAACTGTACCTCAGGGTAACCAAAAGGCTGATGAGGGGAAGTTTCTATTTACAGAAATATTTTAGCTAGTAAATGAAGAAAGAATGATCAAGCGGGTGCATCATCATTTTACAACCCCGAGGAAGTAATGCATCTTGACATTGACTGTCAACGGCTGCCTCACATCATGGAATGAGAACCAGACCTAATGTCTCATCACAGAAAGACTTAATGACAGATCACAAGAAGGGTGAAGACAGTAAAATGAAATATTGAGAAAGAGAGAGAGAGATCACATTCACATAACTTTTATTACAGTATATTGTTATAATTTATTATTGTTATTAATCTATTACTGTGCTTAATTTATAAATTAAACTTTATCATAGCCTGTTTATCTAGGAAAAAACATAGTGTATTCAGTACTTAGTATAGCGGATTCTATACAGTCCACAATTTCAGGCATCCACTGGGGGTCTTGGAATGTATCCCTATGGATAAGGGGGACTACTGTATGTGGAAAAGACTTTAAATGAAATGCTCAATTATGATTAGCTTTCAGAGAATCCATTTTATTTTTTATATTTGAAATGCTCTCAAGCCTCTGAACATACTAACTCAAATTTTCAAAACTTTATATCTTTTCCATCTCATTAACTCTGCTTCCTTGGATTTTTTTCCTCAATTTTTTTCAGACTGATTTGCTATTTCATGTTGTTTTCTTACAAAGTTTAGTGATTCCTGGCTGCCTGTTTACACTTACAAAGAAGACATAGAATTATTAATATTCATAGTAAGCATGGCACCATTATAACTTTCATGGGCCCCTTTCTCCATACAAAAATATTAAAAATTATATTTGGTAGCTGCATTGGTATAAAGATGAATGTATTTCATGCTAAAGTGTATTCATTTTTTAAAATTCTGATTTCAAAAGAAATTAGAACATTTTATTGGGCCCCTAACAGTGTCATGGGCCCCAGGCACAGGCACTGTGCCCATTATGCCTAGTGGAGAGGCCTGGCAGTGGAAGGAGGTTGTTCTCAGTGCATGGGATTGTGGATTATAATTACAGGGAGCCATGCAAAAGAGGCATAGGCCTCTTTTCAGGGTTTACAAAGAGTCTGTGTGCCTTTAGGGTACAGGGACTCCAGCCACCTGGCAGCAGCTAGACCTTCCCTCGGGCACGATCGTATACTTGTTTTCACCTCTAAGGCACAAGTTCAGAAAACTCAGAGGCAAATCAACCATTCTACCAGGAATGTGTTCTCTTGAATTCATGCTAAGGGCAAACCCTAAGCCCATCCACACTGAAGGTGCTGGGCAGGCTCAGTGATTTGGCAGCCTTTTAACTAGCAACCCTGCCAACTCTGGCGAGGCTTCTTCCCATTTGCCAGCCATTGCCACATATTGTAATTGTTCACCCAGAGTCCTTTTGGGAAACTTCACTTTTTCAGGGGCCTCCTTCTTTGTATTGTGTTGTGGATTCCCCCACAACTGCTGTTACTGATTTGATCCCCTTTTCTGTTTATGCCCTAGAAATACCTCAGTGTTGCTGATCTACTGAAGTCTTTGTTCCTGACTTGCCAGGACTGCCTTGGAATCTGTCTTGTTTTTATATTACTTCTGTTATTTCAGTACAATTTGGAGATGAACAAAAATTGTCATATGTGCTTTAATAACCATTTTAGACTGATGTGTAAAATATTAAATTTGTTGTAGATAATGTTGTAAGTATAAATAAAGAAATGTAATAGTAACTTATGTCAGCCACCTGGGTATCTCCCAGTCCTCTGGCTTGCACTAGCAAAACATATTTTTGTTGTTCAAAATATGAATGGGAAATTTATCTTTCAGCTCATCATCTCTTTAAGTTAGCTTTCCTGTTTCTTCAGAATATTTAACCTATTTTGCATCTCACTTCCTAGTGATGCTGATTTCTCTCCACCCCATTACATCCAATGATTGTTATAGCTTTCTATTACATCTCAAAATCAGGAAGTATGATTCATCTAACTTTATTCTTCTTTTTCAAAATTATTTTGGCTATTACAGGTCATTTGTCTTTTTATATAAATTTTTAAATCAGTGTGTATATATGTTTAAAAGGCTGTTTGGATTTTAATTGGAATTGTATTAAATCTATAGATCACTTTGGAGAGAATTTACATCTTTGCTAAATTAAGTCTTCCAACTCATTAATATATGTCTGTCCATTTATTTAGGTTTTCTTTTATTGCTTTCAGCAGTATTTTGTTGTCAGCACACACATTTTGTAAATGTTATATTAAATATTTTCCTAAGTATTCAGTTTTCTTTGAAGCAATTATAAATGGCATTGCCTTTTAAATTTTGGTTTCCATGTGCTCATTGTTAGTTTATAGAAATGAGATTGATTTTTAAATCTTATATTTATGACCTTGCTGAACTCATTAATTCTAAAAGTATTTTTGTATATTCCTTGATATTTTCTATGTAGACAGTCATGTCATCTACAAATAAGAATAGTCGGCCAGGCACTGTGGCTCACACCTGTAATTCCAGCACTTTGGGAGGCCGAGGCAGGTGGATCATGAGGTCAGGAGATCGAGACCATCCTGGCCAACATGGTGAAACCCCATCTCTACTAAAAATACAAAAATTAGCCAGGTGTGGTGGTGGGTGCCTGTAATCCCAGCTACTCGGGAGGCTGAGGCAGGAGAATCGCTTGAACCCAGGAGGCAGAGGTTGCAGTGAGCTGAGATCGCTCCACTGCACTTCAGCCTGGCAACAGAGTGAGACTGTCTCAAAAAAAAAAAAAAAAGAATAGTCTTATTTCTTTTTTCCTAGCCTACATGAATTTTATGTCTTTTTGCTTGCTTTATTGCTCTGGCTAAGATTTTGAATCTGATGTTGAATAAAAGGGTTTAGTGTGAACAATTATGCCTGTTCCCCATTTTAGAGAGAAAGCATTCAGTCTTTCACCACTAATAATAATGTTACCTGTAGGTTTCCTGTAGATGTTTATGATTAGGTTGAAGAAGTTCTATCTGTATTAGTCTGTTCTCACACTGTTAATAAAGACATACCTGGGACTGGGTAACTTACAAAGGAAAGAGATTTAATGGACTCACAGTTACAAATGCTTGGGGAGGCTTCACAATCATGGCAAAAGGCAAAGGAGGAGCAAAGTCACATCTTATATGGCAGCAGGCAAAAGAGAGCATGTGCAGGGGAACTCCCCTTTATAAAAACCATTAGCTCTTGTGAGACTTATTTACTATCATGAGAATAGCATGGGACAAACCTGCCCCCCATGATTCAGTTACTTCCCACCAGGCCCCTCCCTCAACATGTGGGAATTATGGGAGCTACAATTCAAGGTGAGATTTGGGTGGTAACACAGCAAAACCATATCAATCTTCAGTGAGAGATTTTATCTTGGATGGATGTAAACTTTGTCAAATTATTTTTCTGCACCAATAGATAGAGTCCTGTGTTTTTTCTTCTATAGACTGTTAATATGGTGGGCTACTGGATGACTCAAAGTTCTTTGGAGAAACAGAATGAATAAAATGTATATGCATATATACATTTTATACATATACATACATATGTGTGTGATATTTATTATAAGGAATTGGTTTGTGTGATTATGGAGGCTGGCAAATCCAAAATCTGCAGAGCTCATGTCCCAGTTTGAATCCAAAGGCTGGCAGGCTACTGTACAAGGAAGATCCTATGCCCCAGTGTGAAAGCCATCAGGCAGGAAGAGCCTGTGTTCTAGCCTGAAGGCTATCAGGCAGGAGAATTCTCTCTCTCTCCTGCTAAAGGGTCATTTTGTTCCATTTGAGCTTTCAACTGATTGGATGAGATCCACCCAAGTTAGAGAGGGCAATGTGCTTTACTCATTCTACTGATTTACATGTTAATCTCATCCAAAAACACCCTCATAGAAACAGATGGGATAAATATCTGGGCACCCCATGGCTCAGTCAAGTTGTCACATAAAATTACTTATCACAACTACAGTGGTCGATTTTCAAATATCAAAGCAGCTTTACATTCTCAGGATAAACCCACTTGGTAATGGATTCCATTGTATAAAATTTTTGTTGAGGTTTTTGTGTTATGTTCATGAGGGATATTGGTCTGTAGTTTTCTTTTTGTACTGTGTTTCTCTGGTGTTGATTTAGGGTAATGCTGGCCTTGTAAAATGAATTGGGGAGTACTCTCTCCACTTTTATTTTCCAAAGAGATTGTATAGCATTGTTATTTCTTCCTTAAATGTTTGTAGAATTAGACAGTGAAACCATCAAAGCAAGTGGATTTTATTTCAGAAGATGTTTAACAATAAATTCAATTTATTTGGTCAACTTCAGGAAATTTTCAGTCATTATTCCTTTACCTATTTTACTAGCACTAGACCCTTTATCTTCTCCTTCTTTAACTTTAGAGACACAAATATCAGGCTTCTTGCTATTGTCCTCCTCTACTGTTCAGGCTGGATAATTTCTATTGTTCAATCTTTAAGTTCATTTACTTTCTCCTCTGTCATATCCATTCTGTTATTTAGTCCATCTAGTTAATTTTTTAATTTTTATTATATACCTCACAGTTCCAAATTTCCATTTGCTTCTTATCTTACACTTTTCACTGTGACTTTCTATTCTTCCATCCACTTTAGCGGTGTTTGCAAACTTTCTTGAAGCATTTTTACAATTGCTGCATTCAAATCTTTGTCTGATAATACAAACATTTGTGTTGCCATGGTTATAGGGGTCTTTTCATTGTTCTTTTCTACGCAAGTTAAGATTTCACTGGTCCTCTGAATGCTAACGAAGTTTGCATTGGATAGGTACCCAGGAATGAAATGTATATTAAAAACACAATTTTGAAGGAAAGAAAAAAAACTTTTCTGCTTCAAAATTAATACCTATTTATTATAGAAGAAATGTTTTTGAAACTAATAAACAAAAAAGAAAATAAAATTACCTATAACTTAACTATATACAGATGATTTTTTTTCCTCCACTTATATATAATCTCTCTCTGTCTCAGAATGCATCTGAAGTTTAATTTCCACATAATTAATTTGATTTACTAAGGTCTACTCTTTACTTCCTCAAATACAGATTTTAATTCTCTGATTGCAATATTAGCTTTCTTTTAATCATCCCTTTCCTCATCCTGATCCCTCCTTATTTCATTTTGTTGCCTTTATGTCTTATCCTTTTTTTTTTTTTTTTTTTTGAGACGGAGTCCCGCTGTTTTAGCCCAGGCCGGATTGCAGTGGCGCAATCTCGGCTCACTGCAAGCTCCGCCTCCCAGGTTCACGCCATTCTCCTGCCTCAGCCTCCCGAGTAGCTGGGACTACAGGCGCCCGCCACCGCGCCCGGCTAATTTTTTTTTGTATTTTTAGTAGAGACGGGGTTTCACCGTGTTAGCCAAGATGGTCTCGATCTCCTGACCTTGTGATCCGCCCGCCTCGGCCTCCCAAAGTGCTGGGATTACAGGCGTGAGCCACCGCGCCCAGCCTATCCTTTTGCCTTTTGAATTTATAATGTCATATTATTTCCCATCCTATTACCTCTCTAATCAGTTCCTGATCTCCTGTGAAGGCCATGTTCTCCTGACATTATTGAGGATTCCAAAACATTTCTAGTGTTCTTTTGGGTCCAGTGGAAGTCATTTTCCAACAACTGTGCTTCTGCTGAATTTTGAGGTGTTATTAAGTTTGCAACAATATTCATAGGTTGTTGTCACTTTACACCTTTTTCCCACTCAAGTGATAATGACGTTTGTAGAATTAATATTCCTGATTTTCCCAATATAGAAAGAATAAGCGGTATGAGATAGCCTCTAAACGTCTCACTAATGATAATGAACTTTGTAGAATTAATATTCCTGAATTTCCCAATATAGAAAGAATAGGTGATATGAAGTGCCTCTAAACTATTCCCAGCATCCATTAGACCTTTATATATTTAGATACATAAATCTATTGGACTTATGGAGTGAGGATTATGCCAGCTAGGGTGCTTTGGGTACAAGTAACATAATAACAAAGACAGGGTCGGGTTTCAGGTTTAGTAGGACCACATCTCTAAACACCTCTGTTTCCACTTTGTTTTCAGTTGGATTTTGTTTGCAGCTGTGGAAGTTCTATGCACTTCACTATCCAGAAAAATCTCTGAGATTTTATTCTATTCTCAAAATAATCAAGAGTCTCAGGTTGCATGCATTTTGGATCAACTTAAATTATGTGCTCATGCTCTAAGCTACTAGGGGCTGTCATAAGAACCTCCCAGATTTCATTTTTCATATGGTAGTAAGCAGTCTGCATCCCACCAAATCTATACACATCGTGTGAGCTATCCCTAAAGAGGAAGAGGTTGGATATTAAATATCATTCCCCCAACGTACACACACACAATGCCTACTACAAGGAAGATGTCCACACCTAGACCACTGGCACTATGAGTCAATGGAATAAATGTTCTCCCAGCCACAGCTCCTACATTCAGCACTTATTTATGGAGATGAATCTCTAAGAATGTGACAGCGAATTATAATTTATCAGCCAGGCAGAGCCCGTTGGTTTTATTTAATGATTCATGGGTATATCTCTAATTTTTTTAATCCAACATAATCAATCTTATAGCTGGCAGAAATTTCATCCCAAATTCTAACAGTAAGATATCTGTTAGGATCAATTTCAATTTTGTTCTGCATTTTTTATAAGATGGGCCAGGTGCTAGCCATTTCCACCATAGATACTTAAATTTCTCAAAATGTTATTTTATATTCAGCTATCTTAAGTATCAAGTTAATTTTTTTGTTCCACAAGTAATTTGAGAAACATTCAATGAAACAATTTAAAAATATCTCCCATGAATGTGAAATTCCATAGTAGATAAAAGCATAGTTTAAAAAATAAATCAAGACGATGTAATACAAAAGCACAAATACTGCAAACCAAAAAGAATAATCAGATCAATTATCCTTATTGTTTTTGGTGGAAAATTGTATTTTCTCTAATTGAGCCTCAAATTTGATTCTGAGCTTACCAGCAGCCAAAGGAAAAATGGAGACATAGTTAGATCATTCCCAAATATCAAACTGTAATAGTTCTTTAAAAATTTAATTTTTTCATGACACTAGATATATAATGAGTATATAGGGAGTTCTGAGCATCATAGTAGAATATCTTCCTTGTCAACATTCCTTTAAGTAATACATTTGCAAGATCCTTTTAACTGTTTTTATAGTATATTTCAATATACACCAAAATAACTGAAAAGTTATAATTAACAATAGTTTCATTAAAGACATTCTGTGAGAGGCTGAGTAATATGTTGCAAGTACATGGCCTTTCTATGATTCAATTTGATCCTAGGACAAAGTTTTAAATATCTTGATAAATTCTTAGACTATGAATTCTTCAGATAATCTGTTTATTTCTTCTCTCAGGCTTTTGACAGTGTTTCATGGTCTTTCATTCAATTCTTTCAACAACCTGAGGTAATACTCTTATTTTCACTAAGTTACATGTAAGGAAGTAGAAGCTCAGGGAATGAAATGTTTCACTGATGGTCAAACAGCAAGTAAATGTCTTGGAAGAGACTTAAACACAGGTGCTCTGATTCCAGATTTTAAAACTGCATTTATTAAGCACCTATTGTGATTAGGCAGTGCTCTAGGGGATGGGGGTAGTTGACTAAAATATAATTCCTGCTCTCAAAGAACTAGTAGAAAAAACAGATACACAAAAATATCATTTTATACAATTCAGCCAATGCTCTTTGCTTTCATTATACCAAGGATGCAAAACCAGTACTCATGGAGTAGTAATTTTGGCCATATAAGATTGTTGGATAGGAACAAACATTTCCGAACAACTCTCTCAGATCATGGTCTAAATTGTGTGATACACTATTGCTAAAAACTCCATAAATATTGAAAGAAACACAGATGAAAAGGACGGGAGGAGTGATTGCTTCATGCAGTTACTGAGCCTCTTTTGGAAAAATCAGAAGGAAGAGGGAAAAACATTCCATTTATTCCCAGGATGATCATAACTAATTTGTATGGTTATTCTTGGCCATACTAAGAAAATAGCATTTGGTGACAAAATGTGGTTCTGAGGATGAAAAGCTTTCAAAGTCAGATGAGACTATCTTGGTTCAAATATTTCAAATTCTGAGAAGTAAACCATTTGGTTGGTGGTGGTGCTAGTGGTGACTTTACTTAAAATGACAAATTCCTGAATGCCCTACCCTAGAAGTGGCTCAGTAGGACCTGGATGACCATCTGTGAGGAAAGTCAGAAAGGTTGACTTGGCATTAATCATGTTTCACTCATAGATAATGAAATTATCTTGGAAATCAAATCTCACATAAACTCAACATATAAAATAGATGAAAGGGGAGTTACTCTAGTTGACTGAATCCAGGGTAAGGGGAGGAGGTCCACCCACACCGTGCCTTGTCACTTTCTCACTGACCACACCTCCAGGTGATCAGTGGAAGCACTATTCGAAAAAAAAAAAAAAATGGTGGGACTGGTCCTCCCAGTTCAAAGGGTCACAGATCCTAGGATGTTACAAAATAATAGACAATGGTGACTTTCCCTCAAATGGCTGCTGCAGATGTTAGCAGCCTTTAGGGAAGTAATAATAATTTACATTTCTGGGTCTTTTCTAGCTGGCCACTTCAGTGGTTCAAACTCAGACAAAGTAGACAGACTCTGGGAGCAATGATTAAAAAGAAAATAAAAAAACAGCTCACAGTAATGACTCCTCCCAAGAAAATACCTAGCAATCTTTCAGCTACAGTAACAGTAATCCCAAACCCACTACAGCATCTAATTGAAATATTGATTCTTCAGTTAGATCTCTAACTTAAAATTCCAGAGCAGAGAGCTCCCCACCACATACACCCCTTCACAGAATCACCGCACAGAGCACATAGTGTTTCCTTCACATTAAGCTTCCCCAGGCTTTCATTTCAATTAGTCATAAAAAAAAATCAAGAAGTAAAGTATTGTCGGAAAGATTCCAGTCAGTATTTTATTGCCTGAAACAGTTCTCAAGATTAACCATTTCATAGCAGAACGGGAGTTCTGCAAAAAGAGCAATGCCTTTGTTTACAGGTAGGACACTAAGGATAAAGTAAACAAAGTCTACTTTCCTGTCAGTGACTTATCCAACATGTTTGCATTACACAATCTCATCTGTGACATTAAAATTTAAACAAGCACTCAATTTGTGCCAAGAAATTACCACAAATCCAGCTTTTGCTATCCTTGTATTTTCATTTAGATTCTAAGAGCAACAAAACCCCTTGATGTTATTATCTCCTATGAATACTAATTATCTCACTACAACTGTGTGTCTGCTAATCTTCCAGAAATAATGTGAGAATTACTGGGATGCGATAGGAGCAGAATGGAATTAGAAACCTATTTTGTGAATTTGTCAAAACTACCAGCTTTCTAAGAGTGGTAAAAGCACACATCCAGAAATTCTTTCATAAAAGGACAAATTACCGCAATGAAGATAAATGATGATTCTTAATGGCTCACTTTGAGTACAGATGAGTTGCTAGGTCAGGGCCAGCATTCTGTGAGTTCTTTTATCCTTACAATAAGTTTATTTCACAGAACCTAGTATTTTCATCTCAGAGCACCAGCTTCAACTCCAGATAAGACCTGGTTTTAATCATGCCTAATGGTTCTGGTTCCTAGGAGAATAAGCATGAAGGTGAAAATCTCCTCTCCAGCAGGGAGGGGAATAAGCTTGTTCTGGGGACGAGGACCTAATCTGCCCCTCTAAAAGCAGGAAAATATTTATCACAGCACAGTGTCTGACACGTTGTTGGTCTCAAATATTTGTAATTAGAAATTCTGAATGAAGGTGTTACTGTGCTTTGCTTATCCAGAGCTGAAAACAATATACTCATGAACTGTTGTGCTTGAAGGAACCTTTGCTGTCTTCTCCTTAGGTTGCCCCATTTTGCAGTGGTAACTGAGACTGCAAGCAAGTAAGAAACTGAGGCATAGTAGGTGAATGGGTCTGCCACAGGAATACATGTGGTCACATCGGGCAAACCAGAATGATACTGTGTTTATTTCCTGAAACTCTGATCAATGCTCTTTCCTCTACTGCAAAATCCAAAATCCTACAGCATCTCTGTATTAGTCCATTCTCAGGCTACTATGAAGAAATACCCAAGACTGGGAAATTTCTAACGAAAAGAGGTTTAATTGATTCATAGTTCCTCATGGCTGGGAAGGCCTCAGGAAACTTGCAGTCATGGCAGAAAGGGAAGCAAACATGTCCTTCTTCACAAAGCAGCAGGAGAGAGCAGTGCCAATCAAAGGGAGAAAAGCCTCTTATAAAACCATCAGATCTCGTGAGGACTCACTCACTATCATGAGAACAGCATGGAGGTAACTGCCCCATGATGTAATTACCTCCCACCACTTCCCTCCCATGACACGTGGGGATTATGGGAACTACAATTCAAGATGAGATTTGGGTGTGGACACAGCTGAATCATATCACCTTCAAAACCAAGTGTCAGGCATTTCTCTAAGTCATTTTCTTTCCCTACCCTTGGTTCACTGCAGTGGTCTGGGTACTGTCACCTTTTTCTGGACCCTGACCACAGGCAGGGTTTCTCTAATCCCAGTCTTGCCCACTCTGATCTCTTCAAATGACTCTCAACTTCAACTAGGCTCTAAAGACCATTTTATCTATTTCATCACTGAAACCTTTCCTCATATTTTTGATCTACAGAACTGCTGAACTGCTCACGGTGTAAAGGTGTATACATACACACGCGTTCACACACACACGCGTTCACACACACACACACACATTCTATGTCAGTTCACCCATGACTTTATCTTTGTGGTCTCCCTTTCCTGGACCCTCCCTCCCATCCATCTGACTGGTTCCATTCCGTGCCTTTGCAGGCACCTCTCAAGCCTGCTCCTCTTCCTCCACACTCCACAGCAGGCTTGGATTAGGAACCTCTACTCTCTGATCTCATGTTCCCAGGTATCTGTTGGTATCTGCACTAAATTTAGATATATTACATAAAACCCTCACGTGATTTTCCAGATTCAGTTGGGCTTTGTTTCTCCCAATTACTTTAACCAATGAACATGCAGGCATTGCGTGAAAACCATGTCTGTTGACTTATAAATATTGACACGAATAGATGACAGGTAGTTAGGAAGTGTTTACACAGCCTTCGTGTAATTTCTAGGCATCTATTACTCCATCTCTTTTTCAGTTCAGTGAATTATTTTGAATATAGCACCTGTGCTCCTTCTGATTCTCACAGAATTAGAACAGAAACTTCTGAAATAATTTTACTTCTGCCTTTCAAAACCTGATATTAGTGGTGAGCAACCATGTGTTTTTCTTTAAAGAGTTCTATCATTGGGCCCATAAAATGCTGTATCTGAGAAGAATGAAATTCTTAATTGTGTTTGTGGTGAGATATATGAATAAATAAATAGAATGCATTAATATTTTATTAATAGTTATGGCTATCTTCTAGAATGGTGTGTGCTATGCCAAGTGCAGCTGGTTGTATTTTAAGTATCTTTTTATATGTCTGTTTCCCACACTTAGTTCCAGGCTAATTGCCTGATTCAGATTGTGTGGCCAGAACCCAGCACAGTATCTGGCACATGATAAAAACTCAATACTTTTTGAATGAAACATTTATGTAGTCCTAAATTCTCTGTGGAACCTTGGCTAGCTTTCACCACTTTCCCTAATATTCCTTAAAAAAAAAGTCAGTTCACGCTTAAATTCTAGTCATACTATATCACGAAAAGAGGTTTGCCCCCTATAACTTCTACTCATTGCCTATATCTGCCCTCTAATATTAAAACAGACCAACCGTGACCTCTACTTTAGATCTTTTAAAACCATGATTGCATCTCTGCCAAATTTGCATTCCTCCAAGCTAACATTTACTTGTTCTTCAATCATTTTCAGACACTATCATCAGGGCTTAACTCCTCTAAGTAAACCCTCCAGGTGGTCAATCTCCCACTGAAGATGTGCCATCCAAACTGCACACAGCATTGCCCAGAACATCTGGCCAGATCACAGTTTAGTGAGGTTGTCACCTCCTTTGACGTTGATGGCATACCTTTGTTAATGAGGCCCAAGTGTGTTACTATTACTAATAGCTAAAACTATAATCATGATGACTCCACACCAACTCTTTCTCTGTTCCCTGTTTAAGAAGATGCATCCCTCCTATTCTTGAAAATTTAGGGTTAATTCCTCCCACTTGGACTCCTAATCCTGTCTCACTGTGCCTTTTTGAGGATCTTACACCATCACCTATAACCCCTCTTACTTTCAATGTAATCTCTCTCTTAACTACAGTTGCTTCCTGGTAGCTTCAAACATGCTTGATATGGTTTGGCTGTGTCCCCACCCAAATCTTATCTTGAACTGTAGCTCCCATAATCCCAACCTGTCATGGGAGGGACCCTGTGGGAGGTAATTGAATAATGGGGGTGGGTGTTTCCCATGTTGTTCTCATGACAGTGAATAAGTCTCATGAGATCTGATGGTTTTATAAAGGGCAGTTCTCCTGCACATGCTCTCTTGCCTGCTGTCATGTAAGATGTGCCTTTGCTCCTCCTTCACCTTCTGCCATGATTGTGAGGCCTCCCCAGCCATGTGGAACTGTGAGTCCATTAAACCTCTTTTTCTTTATAAATTACCCAGTCTTGGATATGTCCTCATAGCAGTGTGAGAATGAACTAACACAGTGCTCAAGTTCCTCTCATCTTAAAAACTACATATCAACCCTCAATATTGTGTTTCCACCCTCTCCACTTCTCTCACAGTCTCATACCAAGGTCATGAATAACTTTACTTTTACCAAATCCAAAGCCTTCAGTTTTTACTTATTTGCTCCATTCGACACTATTCACAACTCCTCCTCTTTAAAACATTTTCTTTTCCCAGGTCCTGTGACATTTCTCCTTCTGGTTTTTCTTCTATCTCTGGCCACACATTCCCATCTTCCAGTATGGGTTGCTCTTCATTCACCCTTCAAATGTCTCCATCTCTCAGGCCTGTATCTTCAGCCTCTTCTCTTCTCACCTACGTATTCTCTCTGAAATTTGCCATCACCTTTCATGATTTCAATTACCATGGAAAACAGAATGTCTCTTTCAAATTCTACTTCCATTGCAAACTTTTCTCCTAAGCTTTAGAGTTAAAGGAGAAAGTGAAAGTGTACTCCCTACTCATCATTTGCGAGTAGGACTATCCCTACTGGTGGATATTCCACACATCTCTCAAACTCAACATTGGCAAACTGAACTCCACATTCTCTGCTTCTCCCTCCTCCACGTGTCCTTCTTACCTCTCTGAATGCCAAGATCAACCACCTGGTGTGCTGCAGGATGCACACAGGTGAGATGAGTTGTAGACAAATGAACTGATTTGTTGAGTGTGTGGAACTCATGGCCATTAGGCAAGAGTTTTCTTTTTCCTACATCACTGCCGTCAACCGCTCCTGGTTAGGCCTCCCGTGCTTGCCCTTGGACCACATTTCATGGCATACTGCATGTATTCCGAAAGACTTTTTAGTTAGAAGAGCAATCTCCTGGAGTTCTCTGTGATTCACTTTCACATATTTAAAAGTCTAGTCTTTTTAAAATCAAAACTTTACCATTATCTGTAGCAAACTAACACAGGAACAGAAAACCAAATACCGCATGTTCTCACATTCAAGTGGGAGCTGAATGAAGAGAATGCATGGATAAAGAGGGGAACAACACACATAGGACCCTTCAAAGGGTTGGGGGTGGGAGGAGGGAGAGGATCTGAAAAAACAACCTATGAGTAGTAGGCTTAATATCTGGGTGATAAAATAATTGGTACAACAAACCTCCATGACACAAGTTTATCTATGTAATAAACCTGTACTTGTACCCCTGAACTTAATATAAAAGTTAACAATTAAAATTTAAAAAATTAAATGAAAACTCCAACTTCTCACTCAGTGTAAATCTTCTCCCTGCCCTGAATCATGCCTCACATCAAGCCTGACCTGTGGACCAGAGACCTATCCCCAGGGAGAGAGACAAGGCATGGTCTTCTCTTTTTTTATTTTGTCGGTCTCTTGCTCTGTGGCTTCTGTGTTTCACTCTCTTCATCTGGAAGAAGTGCCTTTAAGTCACAGAGTGACTCCAAGCCAGTAACTACCATGATTTGGCCTCCCTTTTTTTTAAAAAAATGAAGCAGTTGCAGGAAATTAAATCTAAGGGCCCTTCCAAATCTAATACTGCAAGATTCTAAGATTCTCTTTCTCTGGTGAATAACAATTCATTTGTCCACATTGCCTTGATTATTTTTGAATTCCTAGATTTCCTGCTCATCTAAAAGCTGAGTTTAAAAAACTGGGGCTGTATTAGGCATGTTTTTAAGTAAAAGCAATATATGAAGAGGCTGTGTTTCCAAAGAGTAACATCAGCAAAATGTCTTATTAACATTCTCATCTCTTCCAACGTGGCTGAGGCTAATGCAACATTTTTCATTTCATGTCACAAGTGGGCCATATATATATTTTAAATCATGATCACACTTCAGGCAAGTAGGTCTACAGCCTTACAATGCCCAGTAAGTGCTTCATTTACCCCTGAAGTGATAATCCACAGTTGCATCAAAACACTTTTTTTCAAATTTCTTGACTGTCATGTAATAGTCTAGTTGTTTTGAAACCATCCTCTAGTCTATAATATATGTATGCTTTTGGCTTACAAACATGAGAGTGATGTCGTTGATCAAACTTTTGTCAGCAGCTGTATGGTTTCAGATGAAACTCTTGCTATCTTGGTGTTTTCTCTAATACCTTAAATCACAATTTTCTATGTTGGAACATAATTCACTCAAGGTGACAGCAATCACAAATTATAAAATTGTGTATTAATCTGTGTGGGAAATATTTTTAATGTAATTTTCATGGGAATAATGTATGTACATAGTTTAAAAGCACAAATAACTGGTTCCCTATTCTATCTCTCCCTACAAATTTAAGACTTCCCTGTGGCAACATTTTTTTAAGTCTTCTAAGTATTTCTTCTGGTATTTAATGAAATATTTCTAAATAATATCTTATACCACTCATTCTTGATTGTTCGACTTCATACGTTACTTTTTCGCTTCTGACTTAGGATATAGGTTTGGATACTGTAACAGACAATAAAATGACAGTGCCTTAAAATAAAGAATGGTTTTTCTTCGTAACAGATGGCAGAGCATCAAGTTAGAAGGACCCTTAATCACCTGATCTAAGGCAGGCTATCACCATGACCACAATTCATCCAATGGGATGGGGAGACGAGAATGGGAGCTTGTTGCTTCCCTTTAAGAATATAACCCAGGTACTTGGGAGGCTGAGGCAGGAGAATGGTGTGAGCTCGGGAGGCGGAGCTTGCAGTGAGCCGAGATCGCGCCACTGCACTCCAGCCTGGGCGACAGACCGAGACTCCATCTCAAAAAAAAAAAAAGAATATAACTCAGGAAATGTATGGATTATTTCCACTTATATCTTATTGTTTAGAACTTAGTGTAATGGCCCCATCTCACTGCAGGTGAGGTTGGGAACTCTGGTCCTTACAGTGAGAAGCCATACTATTAGCTAAGATTCTCTTACTATGAAAGAAAAAAACATATATTACTGAGAAACTATTTTTCTTCACAATTTTCTATTTTGAAAAAAGAGTATTTTACCCTTGTAAATAATCCCCACTAGCGTGTGCATGCACACACACACACACATCAACTCACTTTGCATCCCTGTCCTCCTAACATAACTATTGTATCTCAATTTTGGTTAAATCAGTATTTGATGTTTACATTACAAAATACTATTTACAAGTGGATCACATAATGTATTTCCTCCTTGCACATCAGGAGATGTATAGTATCTCCATCATATCTCTACTCGTATTGGTTAGCTATTTCTTCAGTAAAGCTCAATTGCCTTAAAAGGTTACCATTAATTTCATGGATCTGCAGGCTTGACTCTGCACCATGTGTATCTCATTTTCCTCCCAGGACCAGCCAGCTAGTGGGCTTTACATGGTGATTATAGAAGCAAGAGAAAGAAATAAGAAACACAAATCCCTTGAGACCTAGAATGAGAGCTGGCAACTCCTACTTCAACCCGCATGCCATATGCCCAAGGAAGTCGCATGGGCAAGCTCAAAGCCAAGCTCCCCCACCATAAGAGTGTGCCAATGATGTGTCTGCAAAAAGGGGAGGAGAATTCGAGACAAATAATTTAATCTATCACACCGAGAAGGTTCGATTCTGCTGCTCAATCCAATGGCTGCTCTTCAGGTCTGCTATGTACTGCTCATGATGAATTTTCCGATACTTACTAAGGAAATGTCTTCACATTCAACCTGTTTCCAGAATCCCATGTCTTCCTTTTCCAAAGATTACTCCCTTTTTTATGGGTGCCTATATATCCTTGGCTGTCTTTCATATTTAAAACTGAAGTGAGAAATGCTATTGTCAGCTCTGTGGGTATTGAAGGTTTCACATGAGGGCACAGGGCAAAAGACTCAGCCCTTTGACAGGGGCACTCCCAAATGTCATTATTCATAAGTACTTTTCTCTTAAGTTATCAATTTACCTCAAAGAATAATTTTTCAAACTTTAATCTGGGGGAAGGTGATAGCTGGCAACATTTTCAAAGCTGAGATGGGAAACTGTGATGTCTTCATTAAGTAACTTATTATTTTTGAGACCAATTCTCACTCTGTCACCCAGGCTGGAGTGCAATGGTGCCATCTCAGCTCACTGAAACCTCCACCTCCCAGGTTCAAGTGATTATCATGCCTCAGCCTCCCAAGTAGCTGGGATTATAGGTGCGTGCCACCACACTTGGCTAATTTATGTATTTTTTAGTAGAGATGGGGTTTCACCATGGTGGCTAGGCTGGTCTCGAATTCCTGGCCTCAAATGGTCCACCTGCCTCGGTCTCCCAAAGTGCTGGGATTACAAGTGTGAGCCACTGTGTATGGCCTCACTTAGTAACTTCTAAAGGATGATTTAGGGAAAGGAAAATGATTCCAGAAGGGAGGTCTAAGATGCAAAAAAAGAATAGTAGGTAGGCATATCTAAAATGTAAAGATGAAATACAATGGTAAATAGTTTTCGGCAATGCCCCAGTTCTTCTATTCTTAAGTATACAACCTAGATGACATGAATCGATATGGTTTGGCTGTGTGCCCCCCGATATCTCATCTTGAATTGTAATCCCCATAATATCCACATGTCGAGGGAGAAACTGGGTGGGAGGTGATTAGATCATGGGGCTGTTCCCCCATGTTGTACTCATGATAGTGAGTGAGCTCTCACAAGATCTGATGCTTTTATAAGTGTTTGACAGTTCCTCCTTCACATGTTCACACTCTCTTGCCACCTTGTGAAGAAGGTGCCTGCTTCCCCTTTTGCCATGATTATAACTTTCCTGAGTCCTCCCTAGCCATGTGGAACTGTAAGTCAATTAAGCCTCTTTCTTTCATAAATTACCCAGTCTCTGGCAGTTCTTCATAGCAGTGTGAAAACTAATACATGAATCCTCCCAAAAGCATTGTTCATAATAGAAAAACTGGAGAAACTACCTATTGGCAAGAAAATAGATAACAAATCATGATCTCACTCAATGGAATATTATATAGCCATGGATAGGAATAAAATGCAGCTACAAAAAGCAATGTGTTTTCTGGAAAATATAATGTTGAGTTTTTTTAAAAAGCAAGTCCTAAAGCAGTATAACATTATTAAATATATCCACAAAGTTAGTTAACCTTTGTTAAAAATTTTTAAATTTAAAATGTTTCTATTGTTGCTGCAATCCAACAAATTTTTCTATTTTTCTATTGTTGCTGCAATTCAACAAATTTTTCTGTTTTTCTATTGTTGCTGCAATTCAACAAAGTTTTCAGATAAAAACAAGTAACAAACAAAAAACATCAGAAGTGGTTCCCTCTGAGGAGGAAATAGAGGAGAAGAGGATAGAGAAAAAGTACGTAACAATTTACAGGTAATGCAAAAGCCATACACTTGATGATGGGTATATGGATGTTCATCAATTGTCATGTTTTATAACATGGTGTATTATTCTGTTTTCATGATGCCAAAAAAGACATATCTGAGACTGGGCAATTTACAAAAGAGGTTTAATGCACTTACAGTTTCACATGGCTGCGAAGGCCTCAGAATCATGGTGGAAGGCAATGAGGAGCAATTAACATCTTATGTGCATGGCAGCAGGCAAAGAGAGAGCTTGTGCAGGGAACCCCCCATTTTTAAAACCCTCAGATCTTGTGAGACCCATTCACCATCACAAGAATAGCACAGGAAAGACCTGTCCCCATAATTCAGTCATCTCCCACCAGGTTCCTCCCACAACATGTGGGAATTATGGGAGCCACCAGGTGAGATTTGGGTTAGGACACAGAGCCAAACCATATAATTCCACCCTTGGCCCCTCCCAAATCTCATATCTTTACATTTTAAAACCAATTATGCCTTCCCAACAGTCCCCAAAGTCTCAACTCATTTCAGCATTAACTCAAAAGTCCAGAGTTCAAAGTCTCATCTAAGACAAGGCAAGTCCCTTCTGCCTATAAACCTGTAAAATCAAAAACAAGTTAGTTACTTCCTAGATACAATAGGGGTACAGGAATTGGGTAAATACAGCAATTCCAAATGGGAGAAACTGACGAAAACAAAGGAGCTACAGGCCCCCAAGAAGGGACAGGCCCT
Organism: Homo sapiens; assembly: GCF_000001405.40. Taxonomy (NCBI): domain Eukaryota; kingdom Metazoa; phylum Chordata; class Mammalia; order Primates; family Hominidae; genus Homo; species Homo sapiens. Next base: position 17,214,741 of record NC_000004.12, read on the forward strand.
GCAAGTCCAAACTCCAGCAGGGCAGTCAAATCTTAAAGCTCCAAAATGATCTCCTTGAATCCACGTCTCACATCCAGATCACCCTGATGCAAGAGGAGGGTTCCCATGGTCCTGGGCAGCTCTATCCCTATGGCTTTGCAGGGTACAGCCTCCCTTCTGGCTGTCTTCAAGCCCTGGCATTGAGTGTCTGTGGCTTTTCCAGGCACACGGTGCAAACTGTTGGTGGATCTACCATTCTGGGATCTGAAGGATGGTGGCCATCTTCTCACAGCTCTACTAGGCAGTGCTGCAGCAGGGACTCTGTGTGGGGGCTCTGACTCCACATTTCCCTTCTGTACTGCCCTATCAAAGGTTCTCCATGAGGGCCCCACCCCTGCAGCAAACTTCTGCCTGGGCATTCACGTGTTTCCATACATCTTCTGAAATCTAGGTGGAGGTTCCCAAACCTCAATTCTTGACTTTTGTGCACTCACAGGCTCAACACTACAAGCTGACAAGGGTTGAGGCTTGCACCCTCCAAAGCCACAGCCTGAGCTCTGCATTGGCCCCTTTCAGCCACGGCTGGAGAGGCTAAGATGCAGGGCACCAAGTCCCTAGGCTGCACCCAACATGGGTACCCTGGGCCCGGCCCATGAAACCACTTTTTCCTCCTAGGCCTCCAGGCCTGTGATGGGAGGGGCTGCTGTGAAGACCTCTGACATGCCCTGGAGATATTTTCTCCATTGTCTTGGGGAAGAACATTTGGCTTCTCGTTACTTATGCATATGTCTGCAACGGGCTTGAATTTCTCCTCAGAAAATGGGATTTTTTTTTTCTATCACATTGTCAGGCTGCAAATCTTCTGAACTTTTATGCTCTGCTTCCCTTATAAAACTGAATGCCTTTAACAGCACCAAAGTCTTGAATGCTTTGCTGCTTAGAAATTTCTTCCATCAGATACCCTAAATCATCTCTCTCAAGTTCAAACTTCCACAAATCTCTGAGACAGGGGCAAAATGCCACCACTCTCTTTGTTAAGAGATAACAAGAGTCACCTTTGCTGCAGTTCCCAACAAGTTCCACATTTCCATCTGAGACCACCTCAGCCTGGACTTTGTTGTTCATATCACTATCAGCATTTTGGGCAAAGCCATTCAACAAGTTTCTAGAAAGTTTCAAAATTTCCCACATTTTTCTGTCTTTTTTTTTTTTGAGACAGAGTCTCGCTCTGTTGCCCAGGCTGGAGTGCAGTGGTGGTGTGATCTTGGCTCGTGGCAAGCTCCACCTCCCAAGTTCATGCCATTCTCCTGCCTCAGCCTCCCAAGTAGCTGGGACTACAGGCGCCCACCACCATGCCCGGCTAATTTTGTTGTATTTTTAGTAGAGACGGGGTTTCACCGTGTTAGCCAGGATGGTCTCAATCTCCTGACCTCATGATCCGCCTGCCTTGGCCTTCCAAAGTGCTGGGAGCCACCGCACCCGGCCTTTTCTGTCTTCTTCTAAGCCCTACAAATTGTTCCAACATCTGCCTGTTACCCATTTCTACTCCACTCTACCGGTATCAATTTTCTATATTAGTCCACTTTCATGCTACTGATAAAGACATACCTGAGACTGGGCAATTTACAAAAGAAAGAGGTTTAATGCACTTATGGTTCCACATGGCTGGGGAGGCCTCACAATCATGGCAGAAGGCAAGGAGGAGCAAGTCACATCTTATGTGGATGGCAGGAGGCAAAGAGAGAGCTTGTGCAGGGCAATTCCCATTTTTAAAACTATTGGATCTCATGAGACCCATTCACTATCACAACAACAGCACAGGATGCCTCCAATATTCAGTCATCTCCCACCAGGCCCCTCCCACAACATGTGGGAATTATGGGAGCTACAAGATGAGATTTTGGTGGGGACACACAGCCAAACCATATCACTTGGAAAAATTATTTTATATGTATCAAATATGTTGAATAGATTATAGAAAAGAAAAAGCAAGATAGGAATAAAATACTAGAAAATAATAGCATGTTAAGCCAGAGGCAGGTTATCAGAACTGAGGTGTTTTTAGGTTCCTTGCAATGTTCTGAATGAGTGTGGAAATATTGATAATTTGGGGCTTTAAGCTAGATAGGCATGTTAAAATTTTAAGGGTAACAAGGAGAGGAAAAAAACAGTAAAGAACTTTCAAATCAGAAGAAAATTAGGGGAAAGAAGCATAAAAAGAGAGAAAAAATTAAAAACACCAAGTAAAAGGTAAAAATAAAACTAAATACATCAGCAACCACAATGAATATAAATGGATTTTTCACCAATTAAAAAACAGAGATGTTTAGATAAGACTTTAAAAAAATCTAGCCAAATGCTTATATGCAACACACTTAAAAGAACACAGAAAGGTAACAAGTACAGAAAACTATATATCAGGAAAATACCAAATGAAGGAAAGTTGGTTTTATGATATCAGAAAAATACTTCAAGTCCAAAAGCATTATTAGACTTGAAAAGGATCACTATATAGTGGCAATTTTTTAAAGTTTACTTCAAAAATGTAACAATTATAAACTACTTCAATATAATAACATAGTTTCAAAATATACCAGGGTAAAAATCTATGATAGACAACTAAGCTGCCTCCCATCTAACCTCCAGAGAAATGTGATTTCAATCCTAGACCCATTTACTTGGAATCTGTCTCCCTCCCCAACTTCACCCCACCACTCCCCACCCTGTGCTGTGCAGGCTGTGTTTCTGAGGTTCCCATGTCAGCCAGATTTTCACTGTGTTTGCCCAATGGGAAGCCATTTTTCTCTTTCCATACCTAATGTTGCATCTCTAGCAACAGCAGCATCTCCACACTGGTTCCAAATTTTGCCTATTAATCCTCCCCTTGGTTCCAGTCATCCAAACTCCCCCTTTTGTTCCTAGAGCCTAGGAGCAGTCATCATTCCCTGTTAGTACCAATCTCTAGGTTTTCTCTGTTTTGTCTTTGACTTTTCAGCTCATCCACCACCAGGATAACAGAGTGGATGAATTACGTTTCCCTTTTTTCAGTAACTAAGATTTACTCCTGTTTCTACTTGAAACCTGTATTAGTTTTCCACAGTTTCAATAACAAATTACCACACATTTAGTGGCTTAAGACAATAAAAATCTATTACCTTACAGATGTGTAGGCCAAAAGTCTGGTGGATCTTTCTGGTTTCTGTGCTTCGAGTCTCATAAGGCCAAAATCAAGGTGTTGGCTAGGCTGCATTCCTTTCTGGAGACAAGAATTTGTGTACAGTGACATTCAGGTTACTAGCAGAATTTAGTTCCATGTGGTTGTAGGGCTAAGGTTCCTGATCCCTTGCTGGCCATCATCTGGGAACTGCTTTCAACTCCTAGATGCTGCCTGCCTTATGGCCTCCATCCTTCATCTTTAAAGCCAGGAAGTGTGTCAAGTCCTCATGATTCTGCATCTTTTCTATCTCTTCTGCCTCCTCCTCTTTTGCCATCTCTCTCTCATTGACTCTTTCGCCTTCCTCTTCTGACTTTACATGCCCATGCAATAATATTGGGCCTATTTGAATAATCCAGAATAATGTCCTGACTTCATGCCAGCTGATTAGCAACCTTAATTCCAACTGCAAAGTGTATTTTCCCATGCAACATCACATATTCACAAGCCTAATACCAGTGAGCAAAAATTACGGGAGACAAAAATATTGTCTCCAATAATTTTGGAGACACTATATTGTTCCTAAGAATTTTTGGTTTCCTCCAGCTTGAGACTGACTTGACCTATAAGGGATGACTCCCAACAAGACCTGGTGTGAAAAGGAAAATTATTCTGAAGGTGTAGGCTTAGGCCTTGCATTGTTCTCCCAGTCCTCTGTGCTTACCCTCAGCACAGAGGGTAAGCTAAGTGATTAGGACTACATGCCTCCTTCCTTTTCTCATCAGCATTTTACATGTAGGAAGCAAAGGCTTAGAGAGACCAAGCCATTGCCTAAGGTCATTAAATTAGTTAATGGCAAAGCAATGAAAATATTTTATATTCATTCATTCATTTATCTATCAAGTAACACTTGATAAGCTGCAGCATGCTGAATGCACTGGGGAAACAAACATGAAATAAACCTCGTCCATCCACCTCGCAGAGATTCTTGTTTATCTAGGACACAAATGCAATAAACATGTTTGCATGCTTGATGCTGGTTCCTTGAAATTTCCCACACATTTTTACATAGAAATTTGATTTGCTCTAGGAACATCTGCTTTAGCTCAAATGCAGCTGTCAGAGTGGTGGGACCTGATTCAAATCTAGGCTGTGTGTTCTCAGGCAATTTGCTCAGTAATAGTGCTTACCTAACAGGGTTTTTTTGTGTGCAGGATTGAGTTGCTGCATGTAAATCATTTAAAACTGGCGTGTAACAAGCATTTAACACATGATAGCTGTCATCATTATCATTATTATTTAACCTCCTTGAGCCTTCATTTTATTGTTTCTAAAGTGAGAATAATAATCATCTCAAAGGGTGATTTAAGAATTAAATGACATAGTATATGTATATATAACATCCAGTTTGCACACGCCCTCACTCCCTCCTCAGCAACCTCACTAACAAACTTATTAATTGTGTAGCTTATACCATTAAAAAGCACTTCAGGGAGGGTCTTTGGTGAAGAAGGTAAGCATCAGGCTGAGGATTTTAGGATTCTTTAATGGATCTCAAATTAGGCAAGGGGCTTGGCCTTCCAATCCTGTTTCCTCATTCATGAAGAACAGGTTGCTAAGATGTCAGATCTCAGAACCCAGAATTCTTCTGTTGCATTAGAAATGAAACCAGAATATAGTCTTCTTCTCCTGTTGAGTTTTCAGATTAACCAGAGAATTAAACCATTCTCTGGAAACGTAAACTTCCAAAATGCATTAGATTTGCACATCTCATTCAACACAAAGTTTTGGGAGTCAGTCTCCCTGCTCATCTAGTTCTCCTTTTGTTGATGTGGCTGGTCTTCCTGGGGAGCTCTTGGATAATCCAATAGATGAGACAAAGGGAGAAATCTTGCTGGTTAGGCTCATTCCCTTGTCCCCCATCACTTTTCAGGCTGGGCTTGGCTTCCCTATAGCTCAGTAGCCAGCATAGGAATCAGCTGCCCTCAAGTCCAATATTCACTACTAATTCAGGAATAACAAATAGCAACTCTTCATTCAAGAAAATATCTAGGGTCACTTTTTGTCAATGGGGCTGTTACCCTTTGAAGGGGGTGGTGAACTGGCCGTCTCTGTGATGTGCATGTCTAGTGAATATCCATCTTTGTCCATATAACAAACATTAACTAAGAGTCTAGTTAACGGACCTGTGCCTACCAAGCCCTGGGTACTCAGGATGGGTCCATTCCTGGCCCACAAGATCCAATCAGTGGCAGTACCTGGAAGGAAGAAGTTCCAACCTAGGAATGCATATCTCAGGGACTGGATATCCTGGCCTTATGTGTGACAGGAGGAGAAGCCAAGGAGGAAGAAGATGGCAGGTCTTGAGAGGGTGCAGTTCCAGCAGTTGTCCTGGGTGGATTTTTGCCACAGCCTTATGGGTTGTCCTTGACATAGTCACTGGTATCACAGCCCCTCCACCCAGGTGCATTACTTCTTGTCTGTGTTCCAGATTGTAATGCTAAAAATAATGCTCATACCTATAGGTTCATTTTTTTGGGAATCAGACAGACTTGGGGTCTATCTCTGGCACTTCTCTGTGTTCTTGATAAACTCACTTAATGTCTCCAGGCTTCAGTGTCCTCATCTACAAAACTATGCTAAGAAAATCTTCCTCGTATATTCCTTATACATGACCACTGTATTTGGGACACTATTTTTATAATTATTGATATGTGATTTGAAGAAAGTTTGACTCTTAAAAGCAGTGTCATTCATTCTGCAATGGGGAACAGATGAGGACTTGGAACAGAGAGAAGGAAGGACTTCCAGGGTAGCAATGTGAAGATGGAAGGGGGATGGTTTGAGGGTTCCTGAGGTCATGGGCTCCAGAGCCTGTTTCTTACATAGCACTCCCAGGGGCTTGTTGTTGCCCTGGTATGAAGGAATCAAGAGTTATAATGTCAGAGTCTAGGCCATTGTTGACTCAGGGAATCCTTGGCTGATGTGACTCTGAGAGGGGCAGGAAGGGCCTTCCCCAAAACACCACTGGAAGGCCCTATCCAGTCTCCTGTTAAATTGCTGGGATTTGAGAAGCCCAGAGAACACTGCAGGGAGAGGTCTCTCCTTTCTCCCTCCACTTGCCCTGTCAGCAGATGAAATGGTTGAATGCCCAGAGCAGCACCCAGGCATCCAGAAAGAAACATGTGATCCATGGAGGGCAAACAACTAGGCATATCTTCTGTTTTTAAGACCTGGGCCATGTGACAGTTACAGAAGCAACAATAGAAGAAAATAGAGACTAAAAATGGGTTTACCACATTGCCAAGTTTTTCCTCCAAGAACTATTTTGAGCCAAGACTGGATCTTTTGGACTAAGAAAACCTGGGGGTTCTTGGATAATTCAGAATAGGAGAGGAGGAGATATGGGCTAGTCTGCTAATATGTGTATGTGGGTGCTGCAGATAGCTTTAATCTGGAAAATCAAAGTGACACAAATCTTATACATGTCCACAGTAGGAAAAGGGGTCATACAGGCTATTGTGTTATTATTCTGGGAGTGCTACAAGGATGTAGGCCTGGAAGAGATGATCTTTCATGCTTTGTCTATAGCTCTCCAATGATTGGAGGTCTGTCCAAAGATTCATAGAGGTTCAGGTGTGTTTGGCACACTTAGAGAGAGAGTGACCAATTAACCTGCTGCACTTCAGCTATGATTACTCTGAAGTAGACTGGCCCAGGTGTCTCAGTACTGTCAGAATCTAGAGTAGAGACTGCAGAGCCAGGTCCATGACCGCCTCTGGAAGCTTGAAGTTAACATGCAGCTTTTGTCTACAACAAAACACAACAGAGCATGCTCAGAGCAGTAGGGCTGAGTGAGCTGTAAACAAAAGATGGTTTCCATTCAGTCTGGAAGCTAGCAACTTGTCCCACTTGTTATAATCTTACCCTAATACCTAATTCATCATTTACTCTACATCTAAAGGTTCATCCTCCTCAAATCCTTTGCCCAAACTTAAGATACAATATTCAGTCTCCAAAAAGCAAAGTCATAACGGAGTTAAAGCTCAAATTCTGCTCTCTGCACAACTGTGCTATTAATTTTGGCATTTAAGCTTTACTCATGAACCACTTAACACACCACATACCGGGATGTTTTGGGTAACTATAATGAAATTTATATAAAGAAAATAATTTAAGTATCAGTCTAATTCACATAGATTAATTTAGCTCAAATATAATTTAGTTTTTTCTGAATTTGCAATGCTCAATGAGTTATTATTTTTTAGTAAAATGCAAAAAGGGTCTTTTCTCACCCTTCCCTAGCTGTACATGGAGATGAACAAGATATGGTCATCTAGAACTTCCATTTCCATCAATGAAAATTCTAGAAGCTGTTAATGAAATAGTTCCAAGTGAATGAGTTATTGAATAAAGAAGGAATTGCCTTTTGGGGATGTATTTTGGAAGGTAAAGAGTTTAAATCTGAACTGGGAACCTGAGTGACAAAAATCATGACCCTAGAATATTACCTGTGTTAGTGTTTGGTTGAATGCATCATGTTGTTTGTGATTCTACTGAACAATATGTAAAGATACAAGAAAAAAAGAACAAACATACATTTGTACTTAACTATATGCCGGACACTGTGCTTGGTACTATGAATACATTATTTTATTGAAGATTGTCCTTAAAGTTAACCTCTGTGTTTCCTCATTTATACACTTCAGCATAATAACAGTACTTGTACTACAGAGTGGTGAGATAATGTGTGTAAAAGCTCAATAAATATTGCCTGTTGTTTCTGTGGCTACTGCAAGTAATGATAGAGTTAATCCTGCAAGGTAGGTACTGCATGTTTTGCACCCAATTAAACAGGCAGAAAGCAATAAATCCTGCCCGTAGACCAGATTTCCTGACTCCAGACCCTCTGCTGTTTCTACGCTGCTTGGTAAGAACGTATAATCACATTTTCACTCTAAATCAACTAGCAAAACATTTTTCTAATACATAGATATGAAAGGAAGGAAAACTAGATAGTGATTCTGATACATGCTTTTGAGTAAGAGAATTCTGGTTTTAAAAATGCAGGCATCACCACCTATTAGCTGTGTCACCTTGGACACATTCTTTAACTTATCTGACCCTTACTTATTTTGTCTGTAAAATTTAAAACTCCTCTGAGCTTTAATATTGCATTAGTTAAGGTAATACTGATTTTATAACAAATAAATCCTAAAATTTCATTAGCATGGGGAAAAGAAGTTTATCTCTTATTCATGTGAAGTAGAAGCTGCAGCAAGGCAAATGGAGGAGAGTGTTGGGGAACTGTTCCATGCAGTGATTCAGGGATTTAGGCTGATGGACTCTTCACCATTTTCAACAAAAAGATTGTAAGCTTGTTTTGTTTTGTTTTTATTTATCTCTATCTCTAATAGAGTTTTTCACTGCCACCCAGGCTAGAGTACAGTGGTGTGATCATAGCTCATTGCAGCCTCCACCTTCTGTGCTGAAGGCATCCTCTCACCTCAGCCTCCCAAGTAGCTGGGACTACAGGCACGCACCACCACATTCAGTTTTTTTTTTTTTTTAATTTTTTAAAAGTACTTTTAGTAGAGACAGGGTCTTGCTATGTTGCCCAGGCTGGTCTCAAATTCCTGGCCTCAAATGATTGTCCTGCCTCAGCCTCCTAAAGTGCTGGGATTACAAGCATACACACTCAGTTGGCAGAGAAGAGAGAGGATGGAGAATTCCTTAGAGGATTTCTATTAGCCAAGCCCAGTGGTGGTATATATCATTTCCACCCATATTCTATTGGCCAGAACTCAGACACATAGGTACACCCAAATGCAAGGGAGGCTGAGAAAGGTAGTCTAGCTGGATGTTGTGAAGGAAGAAAAAACTAACACCCTTAGATTATCTGTGCAATGAAGATATTACATAATTTCAACTTAAATCAAACATACCTCATAAAGTTTGTTGGAATCATTAAATGAAACAACATATATAAAGCATTTAACATGATGCCTACACATGGTAGGTATTCATAATTGGTAGTTATTTTATTAGTATAATTGTTAAATAAAGAGCTAAATAAATTAACTGAGCTTCAGAGACCTATGGGACAATATCAAACAGTCTAACATAAACATCACATAAGTCCTAGAAGAACAGAAAAGTGAGAACAGGGCAAAATAATTCAAGAAATAATGGTCAAAATTTTCCCAGATTTGATTTTTAAAAAGATTAGCTTATAGATCCAGAAGGCTAGAGAACCTCAGGCTAAATAAATACAAAAAACACCATGCCTAGGACATCATAATGAAGCTATCAAAAGTCAAAGATAAAGAGAAAATTTGAAAGCAGCCAGAATAAAAAGACACATTACATTCAGGGGAACAATAATACAATTATTACTTATCATCATAAACATAAAAGACCAACAGATAATGGAACTCCTTCCTAAAGGTGTTGGAAGGGTAAATATGTCAACCTAGAATATCAATAGCTAGTATAACTATTATTCAAAAGCAAGGATGAAATATAGATAATTTCAGATAAGGAACAGCTGAGAGCATCTGTTGCCAGCCAATATGCATTGTAAGAAAAGAAAAAGCATACTTTTCAGGTTGAAGGAAAATGACACCGGATTGAAACTCTGAAGAAAGTGTTAAAGAGCATGAGAAGTGATAAGTGTTAAATATAACGAATATACTTTATATATTTTTTAACTTTTATTTTAGGTTCAGGGTACATGTGCAGGTTTGTCCTATAGGTAACCTCATGTCATGGGGGTTTGTTGTACAGATTATTTCATCAGGCAGGTACTAGGCCTAATACCCAATAGTTACTTTTTATGCTTCTCTTCCTCCTCCCATCCTCCACCCTCAAAGAGGTCCCAGTGTCTGTTGTTCGCTTCTTTGTGTCCATGTGTTACCATTTAGCTCCCACTTGTAAGTGATAACATGCGGTATTTGGTTTTGTGTTCCTGTGTGAGTTTCCTAAGGATAATGGCCTCCAGCTTCATCCATTTTCCCGCAAAAGACATGACCTCGTCCTTTATAATGTCTGCATAGTATTCCATGTTGTATATGCACTACATTTTCTTTATCCAATCTGTCACTGACAGGCATTTACGTTGATTCCACGTCTTTGCTATTGTGAATAGTGTTATAGTGAACATTCATGTGCATGTGTCTCTGTGGTAGAATGATTTCTATTCCTCTGGGTATATACCCAGTAATGGGACTGCTGAGTTGAATCGTAGTTCTGTTTTTAGCTCTTTGAGGAATCGCCGCACTGCTTCCCACAATGGTTGAACTAATTTACACTCCCACCAACAGTGTATAAATGTTCTCTTTTCTCCGGAACCTCACCAGCATCTGTTATTTTTTGACTTTTTAATAACAGCAATTCTGACTGGAGTGAGATGGTATCTCACTGGAGATCCCAGTTGAGAGATTCCACACAGTGAAGAGAAACAGGATTCAGGATCCAGGTGAATAAGCAGTCTGACTGGTTCTCTGTAGAGCTACTGGGCTGTGCTGGGGGGCTGCTCCAGTCCCTAGTTCCCTCTGACTCCTAGAGCCCTAAGGCAACAATGACTAGGGCTGTGAAACAGCAAAGATGGTGGCCCACCCCTCCTCCTGGGAACCATGTCTCAAGGAGGTGTAATGCTGCTACCTTTGGCTGGTTGGAGTTCCACGCCAGTGGGTCTTACCCTGCAAGGTGCGGTGGAAGCGGGACCTACAGGCCGTCACTGCTCAGCCCCCTGGAGTCAGCCCCTTTCCTAGGTGTATGTACAGGAATCTAACCTCCCACTTTGCTGGAGTTTCAGCTGGTTTTTCCAGGAAGCCTGAGAATCTAAGTCTCCCAGGACTACCTGGGCAGCGGCTCTGCTGAGACTCCATGTAGGTCTGCATGTCAGACTGAAGGCCCTGGTGGAATGGGTTCACGAGATGATCTCCTGACCTTAGGGCTGCAAAGATCCACGGGAGAAGCATGGGTTCCCAGGGTCACTCACTCACTTGCCACTTCCCTGAGCAGGGGAGGTTCCCCTGGCTTCATGTCACTCCTGGGTGGGTGGTCATCCTGCCTTACTTGTCTCCATTCTCTGTGGGTCGAGTTTTCTCCATGATTAGTCCTGATGTGTATACCCGAATGTTTCAATTAGAGGTGCTGTATTCACTTACCCCTGCTGTTCCTCTTCCTGAGAATAGTGCATACTACCTGTTTCTAGGTGGCCATCTTGGCCAACCCCCATATTTCATATTTTTATTATCCTTAAAAGACAACTTTTAAAACAAATGATTAAAGTAAAAAATTATTTTAAATGTATTTAATTAATATTATATATTAGTATTAAGAATATTATTCAAAACATATATATATATATTTATGCATGGTAGAAGCAAAAATATGGCAACAATAGCACAAAGGGATGCGGAGTAAGTGTTTTAAAGTAATTACAGTTTTGAAGTGGGGAATGGAAAGTGCCAAGTGAAAAGTTTTAAGGGGAATTTTAAGGGTACACTATGGACTCTAAACAGACTTTGATAAATTAAGGATACATAATGTTAGCCCTAGATCAAACACTAAAGCATAATCTTTTTATTATACTTTAAGTTCTGGGATACACGTGCAGAACGTGCAGGTTTGTTCCATAGGTATATACGTGCCATGGTGGTTTGCTGCACCCATCAACCCATCATCTACATTAGGTATTTCTCATAATGTAATGCTATCCCTCCCCTAGCCCCCAACCCCCTGACAGGCCCTGGTGTAATGTTCCCCCACCGTGTCCATGTGTTCTCATTGTTCAACTCCCACTTATGAGTGAGAACATGTGGTGTTTGGTTTTCTGTTCCTTTGTTAGTTTCCTGAGAATGATGGTTTCCAGCTTCATCCATGTCCCTGCAAAGGATATGAACTCAGCCTTTTTTAATGGCTGCATAATATTCCATGGTGTATATGTGCCACATTTTCTTAATCCAATCTATCATTGATGGACATTTGGGTTGGTTCCAAGTCTTTGCTATTGTGAATAGTGCCACAACAAACATATGTGTGCATGTGTCTTTATAGTACAATGATTTGTAATCCTTTCACTATATACCCAGTAATGAGATGTCTGGGTCAAATGGTATTTCTGGTTCTAGATTCTTGAGGAATTGCCACACTGTCTTCCACAATAGTTGAACTAATTTACACTCCCAACAACAGTGTAAAAGCTTTCCTATTTCTCCACATCCTCTCCAGCATCTGTTGTTTCCTGACCTTGTAATGATTGCCATTCTAACTGGCGTGAGATGCTATCTCACTGTGGTTTTGACTTGCATTTCTCTAATGACCAGTGATGATGGGCTTTTTTTTCATATGCTTGTTGGCTGCATAAATGTCTTCTTTTGAGAAGTGTCTGTTCATATCCTTTGCCCACTTTTTGATGAGGTTGTTTGTTTTTTTTCTTGCAAATTTAAGTTCTTTGTAGATTCTGGATATTAGCCCTTTGTCAGATGGATAGATTGCAAAAATTTTCTCCCATTCTGTAGGTTGCCTGCTCACTCTGATGATAGTTTCTTTTGCTGTGCAGAGGTTCTTTAGCTTAATTAGATCCCATTTGTCAATTTTGGCTTTTGTTGCCATTACTTCTGGTGTTTTACTCGTGAACTCTTTGCCCATGCCTATGTCCTGAATGGTATTGCCTAGGTTTTATTCTAGGGTTTTTATGGTTTTAGGTCTTACATTTAATTCTTCAATCCATCTTGAGTTAATTTTTGTATAAGGTGTAAGGAAGGGGTCCAGTTTCAAGTCTTCTGCATATGGCTAGCCAGTTTTCCTAACACCATTTATTAAATAGGGAAACTTTTCCCCATTGCTTGTTTTTGTCAGGTTTGTCAAAGAGCAGATGGTTGTAGATGTGTGGCATTATTTCTGAGGCCTCTGTTCAGTTCCATTGATCTATGTATCTGTTTTGATACCAGTACCATGCTGTTTTGGTTACTATAGCCTTGTAGTATAGTTTGAAGTCAGGTAGTGTGATGCCTCCAGTTTTGTTCTTTTTGCTTAGGATTGTCTTGGCTCTACAGGCTCTTTTTTGGTTCCATTTGAAATTTAAAGTAGTTTTTTCTAATTCTGTAAAGAAAGTCAATGGTAGCTTGATGGGGATAGCATGGAATCTATAAATTACTTTGGGCAGTATGGCCATATTCACGATATTGAATCTTCCTATCCATGAGCATGGAATGTTTTTCCATTTGTTTGTGTCTTCTCTTATTTTCTTGAGCAGTGGTTTGTAGTTCTCCTTGAAGAAGTCCTTCGCATCCCTTGTAAGTTGTATTCCTAGGCATTTTATTCTCTTTGTAGAAACTGTGAATGGGAGCTCACTCATGATTTGGCTCTCTATTTGTGTCTATTATTGGTGTGTAGGAATGCTTGTGATTTTTGCACATTGATTTTGTATCCTGAGACTTTGCTGAAGTTGGTTATCAGCTTACGGAGATTTTCGGCTGAGACAATGGGGTTTTCTAAATATACAATCATATAATCTGCAAACAGAGACAATTTGACTTCCTCTCTTACTATCTGAATACCCTTTATTTCTCTCTCTTTCCTGATTGCCCTGGCGAGAACTTCCAATACTATGTTGAATAGGAGTGGTGAGGGAGGGCATCCTGTCTTGTGTCAGTTTTCAGAGGGAATGCCTTCAGCTTTTGCCCATTCAGTATGATATTGGCTGTGTGTTTGTCATAAATAGTGCTTATTAAAGCATAATTTTAAAAGATATTAATAAGAAGCCAATACAAAAAACAAAATAGAATTTTTGTTCTAAAAAAATAACTGATTAATCCAAAAGAAGGCAGGAAATTAGCATGAGAAAAAAACAGAAGGAACAAATGAATGATAAGGAGCAAAATAATAAGTTTAAACTCTAAGATGTTAGTAGTACATTAAATATAAATTAACTATCTAATTGAAAGGCAGAAGGTGTATAACTGGACTTTAAAAAGCAAAAAATATATATGCTACACAAGATATAATTTAAATAGTAAGGTAAAAATAAGTTGAAAACTAAAATTACTCTCTGTCCTGAGTTGTCCCCATAAAATATTAAAATATTAATATGTTTTTCAAAGAAAATTAAAGTAGGACAAGAACAGAAGTCAATAAAATAGTAAAACAACAGACAATAGGAAAATTAACAGTTAAAAGTTGGGTCTTTGAAAATTAATAAAATTGATAAACTGCAGTAAGACTAACCATGAACTAAAAAATACACAAATGACTAATATCAACAAAAAGGGGAACAGGGGAGGAATATCACTACAAACCTTTCAAACATTAAAAGGGTAATAAAGAAATAAAAACAAGTGTATTTCCAAAAATCCTGAAACAGATGAAATGGACAAATTGCTTGAGAACACAACTTACAAAAACTAAAGCAGACTCAAAAAGAAATGGAAAATCTAAATGGTCCTATAGCTGTCTAAAAAATTGAATTCAAACACAAATAGCCACATAGAAAACCACAGGTACAGATGATTTTACTAGTCAATTCTATTAAATATTTACAAAGGAACAAATACCAATATTACCCAAAATCTTTCAGAAAATAGAGAAAAGAACACTTCTCAGCTCACTTTTTGAGGTTAATGTAATCCTGCTATCAAAACCAGACAAAGACATTACAAGGGAAAAAAATAACAGCCAATATCTCTCACGTGCATAGACACAAATGTCATTTTAAAAGCAGCAAACCACAATATATAAAAAGAATAAAAGTTATGACCAAATGAGCTTTTACCCAGGAATGCAAGGTTCATTCAATATTTGAAAATCAGTCCATATAATTCGCCACATTAACCAAATAAAGGAAAAAAAAATGTGATCTGAATAGATGCAGGAAAAACATTTAACAAAGTGCAGCACACATTCCTGATAAAACCCTTAAAAAACCAGGAATAGAAGAAAATTTTCACAATTTGATAAAGAACACCTACAAAAAAACTACACTGATCATAAATCAAGTACCCAGTAAGCCCCAATAGCTAGATCCTGTATGAGAGATCACCAAGACTAAGCAGATCAAACTTCCATACCTGAAATATTCTGACAGCATTGTCAATCTCAGGATTTTGTCTTGCTTCCCTGTCTTCCAGCAGCAGTGCTATACTGTGCTGATGAGGTGTTCATAGATCACCTGAAATATGTTTAAAGACAGCTCACATGTGCCTGCTGCAAAGCGTTGTAGGAGTAATCCTTTTCCAATGGCTGGGGAAAATTCAGGGGGCAAAGAAAAAAAAATAGCTGAAAAAAAAAATATGATTCTTAGGCTGGGCACGGTGGCTCAGGCCTGTAATCCCAGCACTTTGGGAGGTCAAGGCGAGCAGGTTGCTTGAAGTCAAGAGTTCAAGAGCAGCCTGGCCAACATGGGAAAACCCCATCTCTACAAAAATTACAAAAATTAGCCAGGTGTACTGGCACACACCTGTAATTCCAGCTACTCGGGAGGCCAAGGCACGAGAATTGCTTGAACCTGGGAAGCAGAGGTTTCAGTGAGCTGAGATCGTGCCACTGCACTCTAGCCTGGGCGACGGAGTGAGACTCTGTCTCAAACATATATATATATATGATTCTTAGGGTCCTTCGAGTCTGTTTATAGATTAGCATTCTCCTCTTTCCTCTTCTCTTCTTAACATTAATATATATTAACCGAATGTGCATTAAAAACACTCAGCAAAAGACAATATCTTATTTAAATAATGGTATTTAAGTAAAGTGCTGTTTTATAAATTATTATACGTTTCCGCCCAGCCCTCTCATTTCATGGTTTAAAAAAAAAAAAGGAAGATTCACCATCACAGTTTGAAAAATAATAAAGAGCTTGGCAGCATTTCTTCAACAGTTACTTCCTATTATGCCAAACACTCTCCTTTTAAGCTAGCAAGATGCAACTGAAAGTTGTAAAATAATTGCCCAAAATAAACATAACTATACTATTGTATATCAAAGGACCTCATAGGTTAAGAATAAAATGGTGACTCAAGCTCATAAACGCTAGAAAAGACTAAGTATAAAAGTCTGACCTAGAGTCTGAACATCATTCATTTGGCATCTTGCCAAGCATCATAATAAAATTTTTAAAATCATCAAACATTGCCTTCAAATCATCCTTCCAAAGAAAAGTCAGCTCAGGCTCAAATCAAACTCTTGGAATGCTGTAATTCACCAGTATTGCTGAGCAGAGGGGACTCTAAATCATGGTCAAGGGGAGCTGGGTCTAGAACCATCTCTGATGCCAACTTGCTCTGTTGTGCCTCTCTCTGGGCCCATTTCTTCACCTGCAGATGAACTTGTACAACTCTTGGGCAATGCTAAAATTCTCAACACTAAGGGAAGATGATTGGCAGTATGAAAGAGAGTGGAAGCTGAGGAGGACAGAATCAAGCTTCTTGATACAAGCAGGGGAGCTCTCTGGGGAGATGGGATTTAAGATGAAAGGAAACTCACTCCCCCCAGGGAGGGAGGCCAGGCATGTGTGGAGTGGACCTACGAAGAGCATGAAATATAAAGCCTTATCTGAAGAGGAGGATCTGGAAGGAAGTAAAGAGAGGAAATGTCTGAAGAATTTTAAAAGAGAGCAGCAGATTCAGGAGCAGAGTGTAGGACAAAGTCAGAGAATCCCTTGACCCTCTCTTCCAATTCACTCTCTACAAAGGCTACAGATACATTTTTCTGCCACCCAATTAAAATTATATCCTTTTCCTGTGCAGAATCTTTTAATAACCACCTATTACCCTCAGGACTAAAATAAAAGCGAAATCCTACTATGCTCCCGTAACTCCTTACCCTTACATTCAAAATTCAACAAGCTCTGAAATCTAAAGTTTCTTTATACGTAGTTGAGGAAAATTGACCTAAACGGACTCGAGGATCATTATGTTCTTTCTTTCTTTCTCGGGTGTGACTATTTGGTGTCAGAAATATTAACAGAATATTTACAGGATGCTGCCCCAAGCCCCACTGGGATAGGATGTATACAATACAATGAAAATAATTATGTTTCTAAAATCTGAAAAATTCTAATTCTAAAACTACATCTGGCACGAAGGTTTCTGGATCAGGGATTGTGATTTGTACTTTCTTTCTTTCTCTTTTTTTTTTTTTTTTTTGAGACAGAATCTTGCTCTGTCACCCAGGCTGGAGTGCAATGGTGCAATCTCAGCTCACTGCAATCTCTGCCTCCTGGGTTCAAGTGATTCTCGTGCCTCAGCCTTCTGAGTAGCTGGGATTACAGGAGCCTGGCACCATGCCCGGCTAATTTTTTGTATTTTTAGTAGAGACGAGGTTTTGCCATGTTGGCCAGCCTGGTCTGGAACTCCTGACCTCAGGTAACCCACCCGCCTCAGCCTCCCAAAGTGCTGGCATTACAGGCAGGAGCCACCGTGCCCGGCCCGTGATTTGTGCTTTCTTATCATAACAAGGATGGTCCCCAGTGGCCAAGCCCTTGCCAACCTCACTCTCTCCTACCTCATACTCATTTATCTCCACCATGCTGTGTTCCAGATATAGAGTCCTTATCACGGCCTTATGCTACAGTTTTGTCCCCAACTATGGCTTTATACAAGCTTTCCCCACTGCATGAAATAGCTCTACTCCATCTTTTCACTTGGAAAAATACCTTGCACATTTCAAAGCCCATTTCAAAGTCTGCTTTTTCTATAAGGCCATCCTTTCCCTGTGCAGAACATTTTAATGCCCCTGTCCCCAGCCCTCTCTGTGGTCTGCACAGGGCTGGCTACTCACTTTTCTGTGCACTTAATCATCTACACACAATAGCATGGGCTGTTTATTATAACCACCTCTTTACAGGACAGTGTTCCTCCTCTGGTCTGTAGGCTCCTGACAGGCAGCGCCTGCCCTACTTATCTCTGACCTCAGCATCTGGCAGAGTTCCTAGTACTAGAGAATGCCTGCTGGATTATGGGAGGCATTCAGCAAAGAGCAGTCCACCAATTCATTACTCCAGGAAGAAATGAACTAAACAGCCACCACCACAGTCATTACTGACCCAAAACAAATAAGGAGACTTAGGAGCAAAGGCAGAGAGCTCTCCAACCTCCTTCTCCCAACAGATCCTCTGGTCCTGCACTATCTCTGTCTCTACTCACACCAACAGGAACAGAGTGTCCTACCAAGGTCTCCTAAAAGCTGCAGAGCTAAAACATTCTCCTTCCCAGGCCCTCCCGAATAAGGACAAAGGCTAAGTTGTCTCCTACCAATGGTGGCTGAGTATGCAAACGAGACAGTCATCAGGAGGCCTGGACAGAGAACACTCAGCTACCTTTAGCACCATAATTCTGATTCCAATATAGATGGAATAAATAATAGTAATCAGAACAACAATGATACTGGCAAAGAGCTTCAAGCTTCAAGGCTTACAAAGCACTTTTACTTACCTTTTCTCACTTAATCAAATTCGCACACTCTGTATAGCAGATATTGTTATGGTGCCCAATTAATAGATGAGAAAACTGAAGCTCAGAGAGAATCAGCATTAGTAATAAAGGCTCAAAAGCTAATAAAAAGGAGCTGGGGTTACAAGCAGATTGATGTGGGCTGGGCACGGTGGCTCACACCTCTAATCCCAGCACTCTGGGAGGCCAAGGCGGGTGGATCACTTGAGGTCAGGAGTTAGAGACCAGCCTGTATAACATGGTGAAACCCCATCTCAATTGAAAACACAAAAATTATCTGGGCATATGGGCAGGTGCCTGGATCCAAGCTACTAGGGAGGCTGGAGCATGAGAATCACTTGAACCCGGGAGGCAGAGGTAGCAGTGAGCTGAGATCAGGCCACTGCACTCCAGCCTGGGCGACAGAGCAAGACTCTGTCTCAAAAATAAAAAATAAAAAAGTAGATTGATATGGAAGCTCAGATTTGAAGGACAGCATATTGGTCAAAGCCACAGGAAAAAGAGAGGACATAAATTTGGTGGAATAGGCTGACATAGTACTGCTGGGAAAGGCAGAAAAGGAGGTTATGGTTCTATGTGTAGAAAAGTGCAGAGCTTTAATACCAGGGAAGAGAAAATGTTGTGACTACAATAAGAACTGGAATTAGAAGAAAAATCTGCTGGCTAAGGGATCAAGGGTACCACAAAACTGAGATGAGTGGGGCCAAGGATCTACTTCTGATTAAAAGCAATATATAATTATTACAGAGAATTTAGAAAAACTAGAAAAAAGAAAGAAAAAAATTTATTTAAGAACATTTTAAAAACATGCTAAGATTCCATTATATAAAGTAAAGCTCCCAATTGTTTGCTATACCCTATTTTAATTTAATGGAGTATTTTTATTAACATGGATAGTCTCTTGCTTTTACCTTCCTTACCTTACCACTGGATGAGAGTAAATATTTTACTTACCCTCATCAACTTTCAATATTATTATTTCATTTTAAATATCAGATAATTGTGGGGAAATTTTGGAAGAAGGGCTGTAACATCCTATTATTGTTTTAATTTACATTTAATTGGTTAATAAGGCAAATTAAATTTTTTTTCAGTTTTTACCAATATATTTCATATTTGTCTTTTGCCTATTTTTGTTCTTTTTCCATTTGTTTACTGAGGTCCTGGTATTACTGAATGTATATGAGTTTTATATTTATTTAAAAGAGTTACCCTTTGTTGAATTCTCTACAACATTATTCCAAGTTTTATTGATTGCTTTTTAATCTTGGTGATTTTTTTGATGTATGAAAGTTTTAAATTTTTATGTAGTCAGATCTGTCATTCACATCTTTAGTGATTTATTCTGTCAACTTTAAGCTGAGAAACCCTCCCCCTGAGGAGGTTTCATAAATATTCACATCTATTTTCTTCTAGAATTTCTAACAGTTTAGGTTTTTAAATATTTAACTCTTTAAACCATCTGGAATTTATTTTGATGTTCTGAGTGAGGTTAAAAGATGTTCAAAATGCTTTTAAAAAATAATAAAACACTTAGCACCTCATATTTTTAGCTGATTTGGCATAAACCTTAAAGTCCAAGTGGAACCCCCATTAAACGCTACAAATTTCTTAATAGTGTTTATTATTTTCTTTCTAATAGCACAGGATACAAAATACACCTACTTGCCAGTCACTGCTCCAAGTGAGTTTATCAGCAAGCCACACACCCAACACATGGTCTCTCTTTTATTATTAAGAAAAGTAGGTAATACATAAGAAGCGGGGCTCCCACCAATCATTAGCAAATCCTCCAAAGAAAATCCAGCATATATCGGATGAAGTCTTTTCCCTAGTGGACTTGTGAAATTTCTCTGACTGAATCATTTAAGCAAAGAAAACTTTCCTCCCTTCCAATCATGGTCTCTCCTTCATAGTATGTGGTGCTCATTCAAAAGAGTACATGCAGAAGAAACCAGAATATATATGTTTGCTCTCTCTCCATGCGGGGTAAACAGTCCTGCCTTTCTCTGCCTTCCAACCCAAAGGTGGCCACGCTAGGTGCTGCACTGAAAAAGATTTGTGGCTTATTGTCCTGATGGATGCCAGAGTAATGGAATAGCTCTGTAGTATGTCCTGGAAAGGCAGGCCAACAAAGCATTGTGCTATTGATGGCTCACATTATAATGGAGAAATATTAGGGGGATATTTCAATAGCCACCCAGAGGAGAAACAGCAGCTATAAGAATGCCACAGACTGTTTCCAAGGAGAATAAAAGTGACATAAAAAAGGGGGAGGGGGCTGAAAAGGGGGTAAAAATGCTTCAGGGGGAAAAAAGTCCACTCCAAGAATATACGCGAATGCACAAGCTGTTTGCTAGCTTGGTTCTCTAGAGAAGGGGAGTAACAATCCCCAATATGTGAACTCCACAATTACAGCATTATTAATTTATACAGCACCAGAGACCACACATGAGACCTCATGGTAATTAAGTTACAGATAAAGCCAGGTTACTTTTCCTCTGAATATAAACAACTGTGTTCTGTTTAACATACACTCAAAAGAAAAACTGGTGGATTTTAAACTAAAGAACAGTGTCTGGTAAACCTATACTCAATGAAGATCTGTCAGTAATATAATGTTTAAAAAAAAAAAAAAAAAAAGAACTGCCCAGCAATAGATTCAGGAGAGAAGTAGAATGATGAAGATTTAGTCAGTAAGCTACTCTCTTAGAGAGTAGGCAAATTGGAGGCAGGAGGTTTAATGAGTCTCTCCTATAAGGCCTGAATTAGAAATGTGCAAATGTTCAAGCAAATGCTGGACACGGGGATAAAATCTATTGCCATAGTCCCCTGGAATGGCAAGAATTAGGCTACAACATAACCTTTACAAGTGGGGTAGACTTTGATCCAGCAATTTTACTTCTAAAAACCCATTCTAAGCAAATAATCCTGGACATGTGCAACGATTTTGCTCCAAAGATGTTCATCATAGCATCACCTATAATAGCAAAACTCTGCAGTCGATTTACCCTTTTCATCTCACATTTTACTGTAAGCAAATCTCCATGTCTATAGGTATATTTGTGGACTCTCATCTTAAATAACTACATAGTCTTCCACTTATGAATACATCATAGTTTAATCGATATATATAGGAATTTAAGAATGATATTACATTAACCCTTTATCATGTTCACAACATTGAAAAGAGTGCACTGAATAGACATTATACATTTTAATTTCCTGTTTGCAGAACCTCTCAGGAGTACCCTCACCAGCAATTTCAACAAGATTCTAATAAATTTATTTGTTTTATTTCCAATAAAATTCCTACTTACAAGACATTTTTATTGTATCTAGTTTGCCATTTAAATGACCTAATTTTATGTCAGACTCTCTAATTCATGTCTCTGAGCAATGCACATATCAGATACATGCTCAAGTTACCATTTATTTTCAAGATTGCAAAAACTGTACACAGAAGTAAAGCCATTAGAGGATAGTGGAATTGCATCCAAAGAAAATGTTAAGACAGTGTGTTACTCATCTATTGCTGCATAGTAAATTACCCCAAAATTTAGTGACTTAAAGTGTCAAACATTTATTATCTCATAGTTTCTGAGAGTCAGAAATGCAGGCATGACTCAGCTGGGGCCTCTGGCTCTGATCTTCTATGAGGCCACCATCAAGGTGTGGGCCAGATCTGCAGTAATCTTAAAACTCAACTGGGAGTCGAACCACTTTTAAGTCCATTCAAGTGGTTGTTGACAGGAGTCAGTTCCTCATGGATTGTTAGACTGAGACCTCCTTTGGTACTTGTTCAACATCTACAGGGCATCTCACAGCATGGCAGCTGGTTTGGCCAGAGTGAGAAAGGAAGAAGGCAACAGAGGGAGTACAAACAAAACAGAAATCACCATCTTTTAGAGCTAGGGTTGCCATATTTAGCAAATAAAAATACAGGACACTCAAAGCAATGTAAAGAGGGAAATTTACAGCTGCAAATGCATATGGTAAAAAAGAAGAAATAAATAAAATGAATACGAACTAGAAAAATGAGAACTAACTAAAGCCAAAACTAGCAGAAGGAAGGAAATTAGAGAGAGATAAATGGATTGGAGAACGAAAAATAGTAGAGAAAATCAACAAAACCTAGAGTTTGTTCTTCGAAAAGCTTAACAAAATTAACAAACCTTTAACTAAATTAACGAAGAAAAGGCGACAGGACTCAAATGTAATGAAACAGGGGACATTTCAACCAATTTTACAGAAATAAGAAGGATAAGAGAATATTACAAGTAATTATATGCCAACAAATTCAATAACCTAAATGAAATTGATAAGTCCTAGGAACACAAACCCTATCAAGACTGAATCATAAAGAAATACAAAATGGGAACAGACCAATAGCTAGTAAGGAGATATTTGCACACCACTCTTCATAGCAGAACTATTCACAATAGCCAAGAGATGGAAGCAACCCAAGTGTCCATCAACAGATCAATGGATAAACAAAATATGGCATATAGATACAACAGAATATTCAGCCTTGAAAAGAAAGGAAATTCTGACACAGGCTACAAGATGAACCCTGAGGATATTATTCTAAGTGAAAAAACCCGTCACACACAGACACAAAAAAACGAAAATGCTGTGTGACTCCACTTTTATAAAGTATCTAGAGGAGTCAAATTCATAGAAACAAAAAGTAGAATGGTGGTTGATGGAGCTAGACAAAGGGGAAAATGGTGAGCGGGTTTTTAATAAGTTTGGGGTTTCAACTTTTCGAGATGAGAAAATGTGGCAATTGCACAACAATGTGAATACACTTAACACCACTGAACTGAACACTTTAAAATAGTTAAGATGGTAAATTTTATGTTATGTGTTTTGGTGTTTTCTACTTTTATTAAAAATAAAAGTAAAAAAAAATGTAGACCACCTAATTAAATTTGAATTTCAAATAAACAGTGAATACTTTTTTAGTATAAATATCTCCCAAATATTGCATGGGACATTCTACACCAAAAAATTATTCAATGTTTATCTGAAGTTTACATTCAAGTTGGCATTCTATATTTTTGCTGGCAGTTTTATTTACAGCCTAATCTCAGAAGTGAAATATCATAAGTTTTACTAAATTTCATTAATTAGAAGCAAGTCACTAGGTTCAACCCCACTCTAAGGGAAGCGATTACACAAAGACATGAATACAAGGAGACAGAGATCACTGGGAGCCATTACAGGAGCTGCCTACCAAAGACAGAAAGAGATTAGTGAATATTTCTAAATATTTATATTTTTTCTCTCACCAGTGAGTTTGCAAGCCTCTTGAAGGTCTACCACAGGTAAGGTGACCGTATAATTTATCATCCAAACCAGAACTCTTTTGAGATCATGAAAAGGGTGGCGGCGGGGGTACTACAATTAACTACAGCAGGGCAACAAAGATAAACAGAACTGTCCTAGGCAAACCCAGAAGTATGGTCACCTGAGCCAAAGATCATATTGCTGGGTGTCTTCCTCAACCATTGGCACAATGCCAACATATAAGGAGTAATTAATATATCTTGCTTATGGAATGGCAAAATGATTCCAAGACACACAAAGGTACTCGGGCCACTCGTTGGCTGAGTACAGTCGTTCTCAATAATTTTTCATCAGAGTCTAATTAGGGAGGGCAAAAACCCCTCTTAATCCATTGAATCCTACTTTTCAATCAAAAAGCAAATCCCTAACAACATGGAGACATCACTCTAGGAAGTCTCTTAAATCCCAACAGAGGGATGAGTTTATTATATAGCCATTGGCTTTAGCATTTGATCTCAACAATCCCAGTGTTATGGTGAAGAGCTCGCGGGGTCTCTGGCATTGGAGACTCCTGGACTCCAACCCAGCTCTGAGACTAAGTAAGCACAAAACCATGGGCAAATAACCTGACCCCTTTAAACCTCAGCATGCTCATTTAAAAATGTTTTTTGATTGAATGTGACAATATGCAGAAAGCACTTAGCACATTTATTCAACACATCAACAAATATTTGAGCATTTACTATGTGCCAATACATAATTCCTGGAAAGCTATAGTCCAAGAATATTCTTGATAGAAATGTATATCACTACACAATCTGGGATTTACCAAAGAGTCCTCAACAAACTAAATTAGAATCCCTAAACTTACAGTAATTTATTATTTTAACAGTCAATCATACCAGCACCTATAAACTATAACCAGTTTAGCACAATGCTGATCCCCATGGATGAAGAAATTTGCTCCTTCCAAATCACAAACATTTCAATTATTGACATAAACTCTTTCACTGAAAAAACTTTAAATTTTGTACCCAGACGGTGTGGTGGAATAATGAGTTCAAGTTTTCAGTAAACTAAAAATGTTGCCATTTCTAGTTTATGAAAAACAAATTTTTGTAACCCTTCATAACTCACAGTTACTAATTAGTCCTTCTTTATACATAAAAATGAAATTTTATGTGATTTTGCCTCTTATGCCTGTAAAAATGAAATAAGATATGGTTTTTAGGGATCAGGTTACAGCCAACCAGGAAAACCATTCCACCTCACCATAAAGACATGAATATAAATAATTATGAATATGAATTATTCCCAGGCTTGAGTGGGAGCACAGTAGATGTGCAGCTTGTGACATTAGGACTGTTGTATTAATTTTCTATTGCTGCTATAACAAATTACCACAAACCTAGCGGCTTGAAACAACACAAATTTATTAGCCTCTCATTTTAGAGATCAGAAGTGTGACACAGTTTTCACTGGGTTAAAATCAAAGTGTTGGCAGAGCTCCATTCCTTTCTCAAGGCTCTGGGGGAGAATTTACTTCTTAGCCTTTTCCAGCTTCTAAAGGTCACGTGCACACTTTGGCTTATGGCCTCTCCTCCATCTTCAAAGCCAACAGCAGCAGGTTGAGTCTTTCCACGTTGTATCACTCTGACCTCCTCTCCTGCTTCCCCCTTCTACTTTTAAGGGCCTGACCACAGTTGGCCACCCAGATAGTTCACAATCAACTATTCATTTAAAGGTCAACTCATTGCCAACCTTAATTCTACCTACAACCTAATTCCCCTGTGCTATGTAATAGAACATAATCACAGATTCTGGAGATGAGGTCTTGGACATCTTTGTGTGGCAAGGATGTGGGGGAATTCTTCTGCGTAGCACAACTGTGTTTTCCAAAACCTATTTTGGTGAATATCAGTTCTGTAAGATGGCATACAAGGGAAGGGTTCCATGAAGAAATGTTTGGGAAATGCTGCAGCCTCTATCTCATTCTTAGAACTTCACAAGACAGTTATACATTAAAGAGATGTGCCCAACTAATTTGAAGATGTAATGTATTTTTTTCTTAAAGTAACTGTTAATATCCAAGCAACTAGTGTTCTGTAGAATGTTACGTCCTTGAACTGGTCCAGGACTTATGAATTCTGGCCTCTGCTTACCAATAGCTCACAGTATGACCCCGAGCAAGCCTCATAACCCTGTCTACTAACTGAGGGGAGCATATGGCTTGGATGTAATCTGTGCCACTATTCTACATTTCCTAAAGTGACCAAAAAGTTTCCTTTTAAACCTGAGATTCTATGAATCACTTCGGCAAACATTTATGGAACAATACTGTACAGGCAGGAAATGAGCTAAACTCTGGGCATAAATTGATAGAAAGACCAGGCCCTTTTCTTAAGGACCTAACTCTCCAGTTAGGGACACAAGCATGAAAACAAAAATCTGTAACATGTCTGGTAAATTCCCTAACAGAAGTAAATGTAGAGTGCAGAGGCAGCATGGAGAATAGGTAGTTGACTCCATCAAATACGGTGGGAGGGGGCAAAGTTTGCATTTAAAGGACAGCTGGAGTCTACCTGGTCAAGTGAGAGGGGGAGAAGGGTGTTTAAGTATTCATTTTGAAATATGGGTCAAAGATGGGAGGATCTAAATAAAGGAATTTTTACTGTATTCATAAACTGTTTGTAACATGCCAGTGGAATCTATTGAATCATTGAAGCATTGCTAGAGAATAACTCCAATGTTTCCATCATAGAAGACAAATATTTAAGGCGATAGATATCCCAGTTACACTGATTTGATCTTTACAAACTACATGAATGCATTAAATGATCACATGTAACCCCAAACTATGTGCATCTATTATGTATCAATAAAAATAAAAACAGAAAAAACAAGTGACTAGACTGAGATCCGTAAAAAATTATCCTTTCCCATAGTTCATATCTACTGGACAATTTCTGCCTGGCTGTATCACCAAGATACTACCTTCTAACATCATCAAGGCCCTTTGGGGGACAAGATAAAAGACTTGTCCCCATTCCAGAAACAGTCTTGCCTTTCTTTGGCACTAAGGACATAACAGATGTGATTTATTCAGGCTAAAAAATTTACACCAAATTATAGACCTTGCTTTGCATGTCTTAAGGGCTTTTTCATGTTTATTTTCAACAGAGGTGTATTATATTTTTTCTGCAAGCCTTTTGTCAACAGCATGACAAAGAGAGCATGAGTGTTTCTAAATTACCCTTGCCTCTTGCATGACTAGAAGAGAAAGTCATGCAGGTTGGATATCTGTTCATTAACAAGAACACAGGAATATATTTATCGTCTTTATCTGGACACATTTTTTTTTCCAGTTCCACTTGTGGGATGTTATTGGAAGGCCACCCATGTTCAGTTGTTATTGCCACTGTTGCTAAGAACAGGGGAAAGGAATCAAAAGGGCAATAGAGGAATGTTTTCCTGTATAGAAAAGTCAGCAAAATAAATAAACCAATATACATAACAATGTACTACTTACCCAAAGAGTTAGACCTCAGAAGAAGACCTTATATATCTCCATAGAAATGAGGATAAAAATAAAACACAAGGGAGCTAAGGATGGTTAAACTGCTGCATCGTGCCAAGTATTGTGTTCAATGTTTTCTTTATTTAATCTTCAGGAAAACTCTTTGCAGTAGGCCAAACTCCTACAAATCAATCTCCAGAAAGACCACAACAAAAAGTCTATAAATGCAAATAAACCAATACCAGCCTTTGTACCTTAAATCCTGTGGGGCCTGTGTCCTCTTTCTACAGGATCTCTAGGGTGCTGGAGGTATTTTATCTGAGCTCACAACCACCTTTTTCAAGCTCTGGGCTATCCAGGAGGAGTTGCTCATGAAAACCTTTGAAGTTGGCATCTTACTTTAGCCCCCGTCTACAAATCTCTGGGAGAAAATTGGTATTTTGCCAAGTGTTCACCAGTGGTGCTCTCAAAGTTATCAGCTTTTAAATTGCCAAAATAGGTCTTGTTTTCTGCCATCCTTGCCACACCACACCATGCTGAGATCCATGCAGAAGTGGAGGGAAAGTCTACCTACTTTGTGTCTCACTTTAACCCCTGGGCACCAAAGGTAAACCTTCAGGACCATTATGAAAACATCTCATTTAGCTTCTAGTCAGCACCCCCTCCAGATTAGACACTGCCTTAAGGCTGATCTTAAAGACCACTGTCTGACACGGATTCCATGTAAGCCTCCCCTTTTCCTCCCCACACTCAGGCATCTGCAAAGACCTCTGATCTCATTTTCCCTGGGCCAAAATTCCTCATGCCAACTGATTTCTAGCAGGACAGACCTATGATTTTATCAGATACACAAAGACATCTCTGGATTCCAACTTTTGCTCAAACAAGACTCCAGCTATAAACAAGTGAAAAAACAGAGCTTTAGAAAAGTTAATAAATTGACCCAGTTGTTAAAGGTCAGAGCCAGAATGGGAACCCCAGATCTGCCTAACTCCAAGTTACACCATCTTGAGAACTCACTACAAAGCTTAAGTGGCATTGCTACAAAGAACCTTGATTTTACTTCTTATTTTACTTTGATGTTTAGGGTGCATCAGTTCCATCACAGGGTTTAATTTAGGCTATCCATTTAAGATTTAGAGGTCTAGGTGGGCAAGGTGGCTCACGCCTGTAATCCCAGCACTTTGGGAGGCCGAGGCGGGTGGATTGCCTGAGGTCGAGTTTGAGACCAGCCTGGCCAACATGGTGAAACTCCGTCTCTACTAAAAATACAAAAAAAATTAGCCGGGTGTGGTGGCATGCGCCTGTAATCCCAGCTACACAGGAGGCTGAGGAAGGGGAATTGCTTGAACCAGGGAGATGGAGGTTGCAGTGAGCCAAGATTGCACCACTGCACTTCAGCCTGGGTGACAGAGCGAGACTCTGTCTCAAAAAAAAAAAAAAAAGATTTAGGGGTCTAAAGTCAAAATATTCCAGAAATAAATGTATTCACTGATTTCTTGCTTGCATATTGTCCATTCAGTGGAATCATCTGCTAAACCAATATCCTGCATGCCCACTATCTCAGAGAGAGCTTTTTACCTTCTCTCTTAGTTGTTCTATGCAAGCTCTGAAACATTGGAATTCACATCATCATGGACCAGAGCCCTGATTGTCTATAAATTTTCACATCTTTTGGAGCTTGTCTTCAGAGTGTGGCAAGATACCTGTAACTCATAGGGGGGATACAAGAAGACATCTCCCAGTTAACAGCAAAGGCTACAGCATCTCCTGAGAATGATTTAACCCGTATCTCCTGAAAATGTTGCTAACACACCCGCAGTGATATATCAAAGTTAAGAGTTCAATTTGGAGAAGGAAGTTGTTCTAAAGGGAGATAATTTTTTATCATATACGTTAGCCTTGTTGAAAAGAATGTATACTTTCAAGATATTCTGGAGGCAGTGCACTGCCTGTTTTCCTTTGAGATTCTTTGCCTCTCAAGAGAAAAAGGAAATCTTTCAAATTTCATGAGCTAGCTTAACTTTGTTTTCCTCAGAAGCTGTGGCTTATTGAAAAGAAAAGCCTGATCTAACAATGCTGAGAAACACTTTTCTCTAGCCCAAATTAAGGCTGATGTAAGGAAAACCCAGTAAGACACTGAAAGCAAGAAGCCAGGGTGCCAAACCTTTGGGACTTAGACCACGCCTTTGTCAAGATCAGCCCTCAGAAAATTCTTCTATCTAGAATAATATCAGCTAGTAAATGGAGAAAGATGTATAGAATTAGGAAATTACCATTTTATAGCTACTAATGAAAAAGTGATTAAGGCAGGGATTATCAACACCACCAAGACCCTTAGATGAAAATTTGATAGGGAACTGGATATTTACATGATGTCTCCTACAGCCAAAGGCCAATCACAGGAGAAATATAAGATCACAGGGCTAGAGCCAAGCTGCCAGAGCATTACTTGCCTACTGAAGTAATTAAATATGAAGGACACAGCATCATGCATGAAGAGTTTTACCAAAATGTTTACCCTGGATCTAATCAAATGTTTAGATCGAACGTTTAGTTCATGTGGGAATTAAAGAGGAACCAAAACACTAGCAGCAGGAGGAGGCAATCTGGCAATTCAGAAAGAAGGAATTTCTCTAGGACAATTAGCCCAGTTCCTTCAAAATCTTCAACAAGTCAATGTCATGAAGAAAAGTATAGTATTAGATGAAAAGAGACTTAATAGACGTAACAACCAAGAGTGATGTTGACTGGATCCTCATTTAAACAACTCAGCTGTAACATTTTGGGGGCAATTGGGGAAATTTGAGCATGAACTGGTCATTGAGGATTTAAAAAAATTATTATTAATTATATTAGGCATGGAAATTGTATGGCTTTTCTGTTAAAAAAAAATGGCCTTTGCTTTTTAGAGATGTACACTGAAGCTAATTCACAACTGCAAAGATATGGAACCAACCTACGTGTCCATTGACCAATGAAGTGGATAAAGAAAATGTGGTATATATACACCATGGAATACTACTCAGCCATAAAAAGGAATGAAATAATATCTTTTGCAGCAACTTGGATGGAGCTGGAGACCATTATTCTAAGTGAAGTAACTCAGGAATGGAAAACCAAATACTGCATGTTCTCACTTACAAGTGGGAGCTAAGCTATGTGTACACAAAGGCAAACAGACTGAGACAATGAACTTTGGAGACTCAGAAGCAGGAAGATGAGGTGGGTGTGAAAAAAAACGTATATATTGGATACAGTGTTCACTACTTAGGTGACAGGTGCACTAAAAGTCTCAGATTTCACCACTACATATAATAATTCATCCACATAACCAAAACCATTTGTACCACAAAAGCTATTGAAATAAAAATAGTTTTAAAAAGATGCACGCTGAAGGATTCATTCGTGAAATGCCATTAGATAAATAATATGCTTTAAATTTCAGCACAAAAATAGATACAACCAATATGGAAAAATGCAAACAACTGTTATATCTACATGATGTGTATATGAGAGTCCCTTATACTGTATACTAGTCTCCCTACTATTTGGCATTTGTCAGAATTATTTTTTTAAATATGAGTGGTCAGCATGGCTTTGGGCAATGGCGGGGAGGAAGCATGAGTGTTCCGAGACGACCCTCCCTGCTTCCACAGTTGCTTTGAAAGTCTGATGACACCATCAGGAAATACTGGAATATTGCTGCTGTAAGAGCCTCCAATGTTAAATCTACCTCCCCTTTATTTAACAGAGAATAAATGGAACTCCAGCGAGACACAGTGAATTTCTCCAAATCACATAATTAATAGGAATGTGGTCTAGGGGCAGAAATCAGATTTGTTGACTGCACGTCTACCCCGTTCCACTGTACCCAGGCCCTCAGCAGCCCTACAGCCTCTACGCTTTTGATGAAAGGAAGAAGTGGAGTCAGATCTGGAGAAGCTGTAATTGCCATCAGGATTCAAGGAATGCAGTCAGGCCCGGAATGTGTTCCCCTCGGTCTCACTTAGACTTGCTGGTTCAAGGCAGAACTAGGGGCAAGCATTTGCCAAGAAGGTGTATAACAGCACAAAGTGACACACACAACTTAGAGCATATACACGAAAGAGGAAAAGCAATTCCAAAAGCCTCTCCACCCTCGCCTTGGATTTCTCCTCCAAATGGCAGAGTGAAAGAAGTAGGCATTGGGGTCAGAGAGCATTTCGTCCTCATTCTACCACTTATAATCCGAGAGTCACTTAACTCACCTGATCCCCAGCTTCTTCACCTATAAAATGGAAACGGAAATACGAGAAGGGATCTAGGAGAAACTGCCTGTCACAAAAGATGGCACACAGACATAACAGTTTAAAAACTTCCATTTCTGTCCCTTTCCCTTTCCCTTAACCAAATGATAATGATTGACTTACAATGAAAAACCACACAGACCACTGCATTATCTATCAGGAGACCATTTAATAACTCCTGCTCTCCTGCTATCAGAGTTTGTTCAGATTTTCTCACATTTTCTTTGCCTAAAGAAACATTTGGTTATCAAAATATGTACTTCATATTAGCTCAGGAAACCAAAAAGGGGGGAAAAAGACCTTCATTCTGTTGCTGCAATAAAGGTTTCCTTCTCTAGCAATAATCAACGATAATTAAAATCGTTCAGACTGCTGAACTAATTTTCAGACTGGAGGTTTCTTCCTGTAGCAACACTTACAAGCAAAGTTTCTACTGTGAATGAATTTAATCATAGTCTAATTACAATTTTAATGAATATCCCTGGCCCTGCATGTAAACTTGCACTCAAAGGCTTTGCTATCTGTTAGGGTATTTTAAGGTCTTTTCATTTTTAATATAAAGGAATGTGTTGGCAAAATGACAGTGTAGAAAAGAAATCTTCCTTCTGGTTTAGTTTGGTTTGGTTTTGATAATCACGTGAGAAAATGTAAACGGTCTGATATTTTAAAGAGCTTTTTCAGTTTGGGCATTTCACCTTCAGATTTTGTTAAGTGCTGTTTCCTTAGGGATTGAGAGCAGCTTTCCTTAGGGATTGAGAGCACACTTGCATTCCATTTGCAATTTGGTGTGTGTTATCTGGTTTCATGAATGTCCAAAAAATCAGAGTTCCAGTTTACCTTAGAGCTCCATCTATTCTGGAAATTCAAGAACATTTTATAAAAGAAGTACAAAAGTGGGCCAGGCACAGTGGCTCATGCCTGTAATCCCAGCATTTTGGGAGGCCAAGGCAGATGGATCAACTGAGGTCAGGAGTTCGAGACCAGCATGGCCAACATGGTGAAACCCCATCTCTACAAAGATTAGCCAGGCGTGACGGCACATGCCTGTAATCCCAGCTGCTAGGGAGGCTGAGGCAGGAGAATTGCTTGAACCCAGGAGGTGGAGGTTGCAGTGAGCCAAGATCCCGCCACTGCACCCCAGCCTGGGAGACAGAGCAGGACTCCGTCTCAAAAAAAAAGTACAGAAGAGGAAATGTCAAAAATTTCTTCTTTAAAAATATATTTAAAAGGCAAACACAAAAATAGCCACACTAAGCCACTCAAGTAATTAAAGATGACTTTCTAACAGAAAACAAATAAAACCTTATTTGATTAATGCCAGCATTTTTATAATAGGGAATATAATATAATAAAACTGGAAACCACCTACTAGCTAACAATAGACAATAGGTGAAATAAAATTGTCATATGTTTGAAGGCTATTTAGTGACACAATGTTTTTCTCTTTTTTAATATTATTTTTATTACGCAAATAATACACGCTCGGTTAAGAAAAATATATAGGTAAACAATTTAAGTAATTTTAAGATTTAAAAAAAAACTCACTTGTGATCTCACAACCTAAAATTTAGTACTGTTAAGATTGATGTATGTTCTTACAGATTTTCATGTGTGTATGGATAGACACATAATCCACACATGCATATATACAACATGCATACACGTCTACAACAAAATGGCATCATATTGCATTTACTGCTCTGTATCCTGCTATTATCACTTAATAATATATTGTAAACAACTTTCCATGTCAATAATTATGTTTATGCCACTTCAAAACAGAGTGCAAATGCAGAAAGGCAAGCGTGCTCCAAGCTCTCTAGCAAGACCGACTGCATTCCCATTTCTCTCATTTCTCATAGCCAAACAGTTTAGAGCCCTATCTTTTGCTCCCGTAGCTCCCTCTACCTAGAAGTCGCTTCCCTGCCCTTTTCTCCTCACTTCTTAGGCTGGAGGAAACTCTTCGTGTCACCATAGAATTGGGGAGTCACATTTGGTAGAGTCTTGTCTGCTCAGTTCAGAGCCCTCAAATTCCTAAGACAACTAGCACATGACCCCGGAGGGAGAAATGAAACACAGGGAAAGGAAGGAAGGAAATGGACATTCATTGTAATTGGAGGAACCAAGTGTCTTCACATACATTATCATTTCATCTTCACAGAGATTCTGTGAGGCTGGTGTTAGTAACACTCTTTTCACAGATGTGAAAACCAAGAGTAAAGGCAACGCAGCCAGGAAAGATCTCAAATCACTTTGTAAAACTGCTGCAGCCAAGATGCTGTTGCTGCCCAGGTGAACGAGCATTGCAGTTTGCAGCACAGACCTCTAGCCCCAGACACCACTTGAAGGCCCTCTCTCCCACAGCCTCTGGATCCTGGGTATATCTGGCCATCCTTGCAGCGTGGATTCTCTGTGATCCCACCTTTCTGACATCACTAGCTTCAAACTGAGAGTCAGGCTATCAACAGATCTTGCTCACATACCTGTACCAAAGCTGTTAAGGAGACTAGGAAAGGGACTTCTGATTTCTACCTTAGGAGTAGTGAACTCTAGAGTGGAATTTTCCAAATGGGTGTTCAAAGGCACTGTATGTCTACACAGAGTATAAGCAGACTGGGTGTAGTGGCTCACATCTGTAATCCCAGCTACTCAGAAGGCTAGGCTAAAGAGGGAGGTTCTCTTGAGGACAGGAGTTCCAGACCACCCTGGGCAACATAGTGAGACCCTGCCTCTACAATAAAAAAAAAAAAAATTAAATTAGCTGGGCATGGTTACACATGCCTGTAGTTCTACCTACTCAGGAGACTGAGGAGGGGGGGATCATTTAAGCCAAGGAGTTCAAGGTCACAGTGAGTTATGATAGCGCCACTGCACTCCAGCCTGGGCAACAGAGTGAGACCCTGTCTCTAAAATAAATAAATAAATAAATAAGCTAATGTCTACCATCACGCACTTAGATAGTTCATTTTACAGAAAAGACTTCTCTGGGTTTCTGAGACACAGCTGAGCGAACCCCAAATGGTTTAGGCTCTCTAAACTGCCTATGTACTTAAATTCAGGGGAATTTGATTATAGAAAAATCAAGACTTTTAACTTTAAACTTTATCTACCTCTCTTCTGGACTTCAGGCATACCAAAATCCTGCTCATTGCCTTCTTTGTATAACATGACTATGGGCTGTTGAGACAAATCTTTTCCAAATCTCCCACTTCTTCCTCCTAATGTTTATCTTGACCCCAACTTCCCCTCACCACTCCCCATCATAGCCATATGTGAGAGATTATTCTAAAACATAAGAAGAAATGCAGACCACCCTAAACCCATGGAAAGCGCATGAGAAATTCTTTCCTAGAAAGATCTGTTTTTTTAGGACCCTAAAAATGCACAACATGAAAAAGGAGATGGGGATTCAAACCGAGGTCTGCTGGCTTCATGCTATAGTTTGAGAGAGAAAAAAACCCAATTCCATCTTGGACAATGGAAAATGGAAACAGAAATTGGCAATAGGGAGGAAAATCCCACTTTCAAAAAGAACTCATATTTCATTGAATCAGTTTGCTGCTCTCCTAAAATCATAAATTCTATGAAGATACTAGCAAGTTGTTTCTGCATGAAATTTTGATTGTTTTAAGGGTGAAAATCAGTGTACTAAAATGGGGAAAGGAATAAAGTTAAGCTTTTTAAATTTAGGAAGGCTGAGGAAAGCAAATAATGCAACAAAAATGCAGAATAATTTGACCCCAGCCAACAATGTAGAAACCTAGATGGGATATATATATACACACACACACACACACACATATATATATCTCAAGACAAAAGTACCAAACATTACTAAAGGTACAAATTTTCCACTAATTTTAACTAGTCCAAGCTACTGAAATCCTTTTGTATGTATATATTAAAAGGCTGGAATTGTAATATATAGGACAATAAGAGTTGCCTAGTAATTTATTTCAGCTGTGGCTTAAAAGAGGCAAGAGGCTTCACGGAGAAACTGAACAGAGACCAATCAGGAAGTCCAGCTGGCATAAATCTTTGGGTCTTGAGGAGTTAGGTAATAAACTTACTAAATCATTGCCCTTATTTTTATAAGTCAAATAGCAGGAGAGTTGCTAAATGCCTTTTATTTGAAGGGGTTTATTTTTTTCCTTTCCTCTTGTCTTTTAATACAGGTTGAATCAGGTTATGAGGAAAATTTCACCCGAATGAAATACAGTACTTGCCAATAACCAACATCAATCTAAGAGTCAGATCCAGAAAAATTATACAACTTAAAATGCAGTCAGGGTAATGCTTCAAAAAGTGATAATAAGATTCCTCCAAGTTGGACCCGTTTCTAAGTTCTTACAGACAGCTGCTTTACCATGCGGTGTGATGCTGGATCGCACAGAGGTCCATGAAGACTATGCACATAAAAACAGTGGTTGGAAAGAACCAGGCTTGGTGTCAGGAGAATGGAGTCAGTCCCCTCTCCCCATCATGAGCTAGGTGACCATGGGTGAGTAAATTAACCTCTCTGAGCCTTGTAATCCTGAAATATCTATAAAACTGGGAAAATAAGGCCTGTTATGCCACTCTCGACGAATTTAAAAGCTAAAAATGCATGAAAATATAAGCTAGTGTTATTATTTTGAACTGCTGCTATGCTGAGAAAATTCCTAAAAATTCTGGGAGCATCGACAATGATTTTTAGCCCATGCCAAGCAATCTGAAACTTAGGCTGGAAAAATATTTTGAAATTATAAAAGACTGTGCCAATTACATTTATGATAAATTTAAGGCATCTCAGTGGGGAAAACTGTCATTTATTGAGTGTTTATTATGGGTCTGACCCTGTGCTCAGGGCTTTACATACATTACTCGAATTTTAATCCAGTGAAGTTGGGTGATATTCCAGCCCCATTCTTCTCAAGGGAGAAGTCAGGCTCAGAGAGGCTGGATTGCACATCCATGATCTTCTTGGTGGGAGACAGAAGAGCTAGGATCTAACCCAGGAAGTCAGGATCCAGAAACTGCTCACTTCACTGACACTAGGCTCTTACATGAAAGACGAAGATAAACAATAGCAACAGAAGACAATGGCTGCAGAAGCCTTATGCAAACCCTCACGACCAGTGTTGATCACATAAATAAAAAAATCACTTGAGGCAGTGAATCATAAAAACGATACACATAAACTTTAACTGTTTTATTTAAAATATATAAATATCCACTCGTTTCATAGAACCATTATTTGAAAGTTAAGAAAAAGAACATGGTTTTTGAAGTGTACTTTTGAAGCATGTACATTTGTTATGCTGTAATATAGTTGGCTGCTGATTCAATAAAACAAAACTCTACCCAGGGCAGCTTTGGCTTCTAAATGTGAAGATTTGGGCTCTGGACTTGGTATATCACACTTCCTTTCCCCTCTTTTCTTTATTTTTTGATTTATGTATTTCTATCATGGCCTTAATGAATCTTCCCTGGCCCTTAGTATATATTGCATAAATAGGAATCATTAGTTCATTGTCATATATTATCTTTTTTTAAATCACTGGAAACTCCAATTTTGTCTGGGTTCAGTTACCAAACTGATTTAACTCTTAATCAATCTCTTGTAGTCCAAAATGTTTCTAATGTTGTCAACTTCAGGCAATATTTTTTTTTTCTCTAAGACTTAGTAAATGTCAAACTGGGAATTTCACTCCCCACTAAACGCTACATGAAAAGAAAATAACCTTTTAATGTTAATTATTTTTAATGTATGGTGCCTATATATTCTTATCTTCTATTTTTTCCTAAAATGAAACTCCAAAATTATTTTTAAAACATTTTATAGCTCATTGATCCATAACTTGGAACAAGGACGTTGCATTCTGTTATAAAAACCTGGCATTTATTTAAATCACTTTCTTTACATTATTCATAACCAAAACATGGAGCATTATTTTAGACCAAAGGCCTTCAAAGTTTTTGCCAGAAATACAAGACAAATTTTACATGACAGCTAGGAATTTTATATCATGTATACGTACATACATACATGCTCACACACATACACACAAAAATGTATAATAAAACAATTTTCATAAAATACCTTTACAGCATATAATGCACACTGACATTTTCTATTCTGTTTTATTCAATTTCATTTCATTTTTGAAAATCCTTTATCCCAACTCAGTAGATTTATTTCATGACCCACCAAAGAATCAAAATCTACAATTTGAAAAACATTGATAAAGAAAGCACAGGCTTTTCAGACGGCTATTTTCTTCAAGTGCTTCTTCACAACATGTATACATTCATGGGAAAGAAATCAACTTATAGAATAACTCAGTGTCTGTCCATGCTGATTTTTACGAAGAATACTTATCTTGTAAAAACAAAAAATTCATATCTCTTAAATCTTGAAGACATTTTTGTTGGCCAATAATAAAAGTCAAAATTTGAAATTCCGCTTGTATTGCTACAGGCAGCTGCTGCACATCTTTGCCTGGATTTTGTGTAAACTGGTAGCACTTGCTTTACCTTTGCACCATGCTTTTCTAGAAAATATCTTGTAATTTAGAACTGCTTTCATTCTATTGGAGAGTTATTCCCTAATCAATTTTTTCCTTTTGATAAGTGACTTTAACTCCTCTGTAAATTTTTAAGCAGCAGATTGATTTGAGGGCAGAGGCAACTTCTGCCCTCCAAGACCCAATACCTGGACACCCTGGCTTTTCCTATATTCAAGCCATCCATCGGTTGCTACAGAGCTGTCAGTGCTTCCCATCTTTTGATGCAGGGCCAAGGCCTTTTTTGTAACTATCCAACTACTGATTGGCATTCTGTGTATTCTTTCTTGCATAAGCCACATCAATAATATATCAGTCCTAGTCATTAGTTTCAGTTTCTTTAAAGTAGAGCAAGAATTTAAAGACACTTGGAAAGCCATGAAATTATAGAAACTTTCTAGATGACTATATGTTCCCCCAAAACTTTTACAATTAACTCACCGTAGTTCTTCTCTTTTTTTAGCAACATTCCTTTAAATCCAAATTATTCAATGTAGTTTTTTTCTCAACTTTTATTTTAAGTTCCAGGGTACATGTGCAGGATGTGCAGGTGTGTTACATAGATGATCTGCACAGCAAACCACCATGGCACATGTTTGCCTCTCCCCATCTCTACTAAAAATACAAGGAATTAGCCGGGTGCACTGGCACATGCCTATAATCCCAGCTACTTGGGAGGCTGAGGCAGAATTGCTTGAACCGAGGAGGCGGAGGTTGCAGTGAACCTAGATCACACCATTGCACTCCAGCCTCAGCAACAGGAGCGAAACTCCATCTCAAAAAAAAAAAAAAGTCGGGGGAGATGGGTTAAGAGAGCTTCCACTGTCCCATAGCAGAGGTCAAAGTCCAGCGGGAAGCTGTCAGGAAAGTATCACGGTCTGGGGCCTCCTGAAAGTAGACCCCAAGGCAAGAATTACAGTGCTGTCACTTCAATTATTACGTACAAGCCCGGGGTGCTGAGGGCTAAGGGGAAAGGTGAAATGAGGTAAGGAAAGAGACTGAGCAACACAGTTCAATGCAACAGCTACCACATCACAATTAGCAACAAAGAGATACGGCTGGCAATTCAAGAGACATGTTTACTCACCACACAAGATCTCTCTGGGATGTTTGGAAACAGGAACTGCACAATCTCACCACAACCCAAAAGGGGCAAAAAGAGTTGGAATTTATGGACCTAGCTTCCCCTTCCATCTCCTGATTCCTGTTGTGAAAAGATCACCCTACAGCGAGTTGATTGCCCCACACTTCAGATTACACCTTCCAGTCTCTTGGCATCCAATCAAGGACTCAGATACCATATCCCATGGTGGGACTTTTAAGTTCTAATCTTAAAAGTCTGGAAGCAGAGGGGCTTGCTTGTAGGGCATGGAGACAATGCAGTTCAGAGCTCTAACTGTGAGTGCCAGCCAGCTCAGGGAGTTCATAAGGATGCCAGAAAATGAGGTGACAGCATTCTCCAGAAGGTGTGCAGAAGCATTAGAATAAGAGTGGTTGAGATAATCTGAGAAGGTGAACAAGGTTTGTGTTCAACATAGCTTAAAACCGAAAACACTGGGAAAGTAAGGACATTCCAGGAAGAATAATGATGCATTTCAACACTCAGTAGGTAATATCTGCACCCCCAGTTGCAGCATTGTGCACATCAGCCAACATAGGGAAACTGCCCAAATGCCCACTGGCAAATGAATGGATAAAGAAAATGTAATATATACATGCAATGGAATATTAATCAGCCTTTAAAATAAAGAAGGAAATTCTACCATTTCTGACAACATGAATGAACCTGGAGGAAGTTATGCAAAGTGAAATAAGCCAGACACAGAAGGACAAATACTGCATGATTCCACTTATATGTAGTATCTAAAATTGTCAGGCTCATAGAAGCAGGAAATAGAATGGTAGTTGCCAGGGGCTGGAAAGAAGGGGAAATGGCGAATTGTTGCTCAGTGGGTATAAAGTTTCAGTTATCCAAGATGAATAAGTCCTAGAGATCTGCTGTACAATATAATTTAGCCTATAGTTCATCGTACGGTATTTTGCACTTTAAAGGATGTTAAGAGGATAGAGCTCATGTTAAATGTTCTTATCACAAAAAAATGAAATAACAGTAACAACAAAATTTATAAAAGAACACAAGGAAATGTTTGTAGGTAATGGATATGTTTAGTACCTTGATGATGGCAATGGTATCACAGGTGTATGAATATGTCCAAATCCATCAAAATGTATACATTAACTATGTAAAATTTTTGTATATCAATTGTACCTCAATAAAGCTTTAATAAAATACTCGATGAAAGGAAATAGTGTGGTTTTTTCTGCAGTGTAAAGAGTAACTTGTGGACGGTGTGCGGAGGCATTCTAGAGTAGGATGGGAGCAAGCTCATCTCATTTCACTATGGCAGCCCTGTTACACTACTGACTTACAAAAAACTTAGAGTCAACTAAAACCCCCTACATTGTCTTTTTCACACATTCAGACCAGATTAGCACTCAGGTGTCCTGATTCCTGATTCTCAGCCACCACACTGCATGCCCACTAGAAAATATCCTTCTCATGAGAGCGGGGTCTTAGGGAAAATATGGAGTACAGACAAGGCTTGAAGAAAGTAAAACTGCTTATTTCTTTCAAATAATGCAGTCTACATATTTCACAGAACTAATATTGACAGAATTCACAGAGTTTAGGGAAAAGCAAGAGCCAGCGCACACGTGATTTCTTCCAGCCATTTCAAAGCTCACAATTTCTCTGCCATTGGTAACCTACCATGGAGAATTCATTTCATGCCTGTCTACTCTGGTAAAACCTTGGAATGAATTGAATTGTTACAAAAAGGTGAAAATTAAGAATGCCAAGAGTCATTTGCTGCAGCTAATTAAGAGTCGTCATCTCTGCAGTTTTGCACGTGTTCCTGACTTGCTTTACTCGTACTTTCTGAAGTTTTATCTGATAAAAGAATTGTGAGAAACCCCTTCGTCTGTTGCCAGAGAGAAGGTCTTATCTCTTTACGCTGAGGCATTGGAGAAAAATATTCACTTTCAAGCGATCTTTCTACTATTGGAATTATTTTGATCAAACTAAAAACCTCTGAGCCAAAATGTAGTTCAATTATGTGCTGGGTGTAGGAGATGGGGAAATGAAAGAAATGAAACTGTCCCCTCCAATGACTTGTACTGCATTTAGATGAAAATCCGAGCCCCTTTACCTGGGTTGGCAATGCCGTAACCCTCTGACCTCACCTTCATTTATGTTCCCATCACTGCCAGCACCACCACAGCAACCTCTTCTCTTCCTCAAACACATCATGCTTGTTCCCATCTCAGGCCTCTGGACTTGCTGCCCCTACTGCCTATGGTACTCTTCCTCCAATCCCTTGGCATACCTTGCCTCCCTCTTGACTTTTTTTTTTTCTTTTTTCTTTTTTTTTTTTTTTGAGATGGAGTCTCTCCTTGTTGCCCAGGCTGGAGTGCAGTGGAGCGATCTCGGTTCACTGCAACCTCTGCCTCCCGGGTTCAAGTGATTGTCCTGCCTCGGCCTCCTGAGTAGCTGGGACTACAGGTGCGTGCCACCATGCTCGGCTAATTTTTTTGTATTTTTAGTAGAGACGGGGTTTCACCATGTTAGCCAGGATGGTCTTGATCTCCTGACCTCGTGATCCGCCCGCCTCGGCCTCCCAAAGTGTTGG
Source organism: Homo sapiens (assembly GCF_000001405.40). Taxonomy (NCBI): domain Eukaryota; kingdom Metazoa; phylum Chordata; class Mammalia; order Primates; family Hominidae; genus Homo; species Homo sapiens. The sequence goes on from NC_000004.12 coordinate 17,256,658, forward strand.
GATTACAGGCGTGAGCCACTGTGCCCGGCCTCCCCCTTGACTTTCACATATCAGCTTGAAAGCCCCACATGTATCAGTTAGGATGCTTTCAGCAAAAGGTAACAAAGAAGACCCAACCAGAAATAGCAAAAAAATAAATAAATAAATAAAAAGGCTTCAGCAATGCACACATATAACATAGAGAGGCAGGGTAGTTCTGAGGGTTGGATGATTCAGCAGTAGGACTCCATCAAAGCCTCAGGTCCTTCCCAGCTTTCCACTCTGCCATCTTCAGCAGATCAGCAATGCTCCCTTCATGGTCACAACGTGACCACAACTGCTCCTGACTTCACATGAGGACACAATGGTGATCAGTGAAAAAAACAGGCACCTCCTTTCACGCAGCTCTTTCTGTTAGCAGGAAAAGCATTTACCAGAGGTCCTCCAATCAGTAACCCTCTGATTCCATTGACCAGTAACTGATGTACCTAAACTGATCACTGGCAAGAAGACCACCATGATTGATGTTGGTGAGGGATCTGGGCAAGGGTCACATTCCCTAAGGTGACCAGAGGGTAAGAAATTTGAGGCCATGCCAAGCCAGTACAAGGAGTGAGGCCAGGGTTGGGGCAGGAATGGCTACTAAAAACAAGCAGAAGCAACAACTACAATATCCAATTCAAAATTGCCCCAGTCACTCTCTTCCATAATGTATGTTTACATCTCTGCAAAGAACTGAGTTTAGCCTCCTATTTCCCTTGCTTATTTATTTGTTCATTGTCTGATACCCCAATGCAAATGTAAACTCCATAAGGGCAAGGACCCTATCCATTGCTTCACCAGGGCATTCCCCAGCACCAGAATAGTACCTGGCACATAGTAGCACATAGTGAATATTTTTGGGTAAATGCATGCAGGACTCTGCCTACATATATGCCCATTCTGACACTGAACCCTTTGTGGTAGCCTGTTATTGAACTTAAAAAGCAGGAAAATTCACCAAACTAAGCCATGACTTCAATGACCATAGCCTTGGGAGAAGGCCACTGAGTTCATGAACACTCATGATTTCAGAAAACGTTTTATGTAACGTTTATGTAATGCATAAACGCTTATGCATTATGTAACACAAAACATAATGCAATACTTTTCCCCAGGTTGTTCTCCTTCTCCAGTGTTTCTGATTCCATGATTACACCATTACCCACCCAGTTGACCAAGACAGAACCTCAGATATTTTCTTCACTCCTCTCTCTTCCTTACCCACCCCACATCCAACAGTCAAGTTTTGAAGAATTCAAAAATCTGTCTTCTCCTCTTGATTTTGACATTAGTATTTAGTTAGGTTGTGTTCAATAAACTATTATCTTTGTCAACTCCAATATTCTATGATACTTTGACGTATATGTCCTTATTTTCCAGGACCCCACATTAAAACACAGCTATCAGAAAAGGTTCAAATTCACTATTATTTTGTGTTACCAACATACATATCAAGAATATTTCTCCTTTTTCCTTCCTCAGCAAAGTTACATTTGAGAGGAAAGGGAGGGAGAAAAGGCACTTTAAGTTGTTACTTTAAATGGTCATTTCTTAACAGTGGAAGAAACACTAGAGCACTCAGGATTTTTAGTTTGGTACTCAGCCAGTTGTGCAGAGTCCAATCTTGTAAAAAACCATCAATATATAAAATAAATGAAATAAAGATAGTCCAACATCTTTTATAATTCTGGGATGTTAGCCATGGAGAACTTTTTGCTTTCGAACACATATCATAATTGTTGAGATGACATTAAAGAAAATTTATAGACAACATGTGACGCTTCCTTCCTCCCCCAATCAGAAAAGTCCATCTCTCCTCTGAATTCCCAGAGTCCTTTATATGATACATTTATTCTCATCCTTTCTAACATGTGTTATTTCTGATCTTATTATATCTCCACTACTCACCTATGAGCTCACTGAAGGCAAAACCTAAGTGTATTAGGAAGTCTTAACGCATTGGGGTCGTATACGTGAAACGATCATTGTCTTTTCCAATGACTGCTTTCAACCATTCTCTGTTGAATCCCTCTCTTCAATCTCTTGATGACACTTAGGCATAATACATAACTTCATGGCTACCTTGAGGTATTAAAAGTCCCTTTTATTTTAAAACTTCAATTTTATCTGTGATACGAACTTAACCACTTCTGCCTTGTGGGCTGGACACATAGTTTGGGAAAATCTGAATGGGAGGGTGTTAGGTCTAATTTTTCACTTCCTCCTCCCCCTTCAGGATAGGCTCTTTGCCTGTCGATAGTTGGGCATGGAGAGGATGGATCAGGGAGAAGGGAATTCTCCTTACATTTGCTGCCATGAACCGCTGAGGCCCTCCCTGTGTGGTGGGCATCTGAACACTGCCTCTCCTGTGTGGCTTCCTCCAGGGCCCTGTGCAGTCTTCCCAAAGCACAGATGCCTTCCTTGGGAAATCTTTTTCTTTTTTTTTTTTTTATTTTATTATTATTATACTTTAAGTTTTAGGGTACATGGGCACAATGTGCAGGTTTGTTACATATGTATACATGTGCCATGTTGGTGTGCTGCACCCACTAACTCGTCATTTAGCATTAGGTATATCTCCCAATGCCATCCCCCCTCCCCCCACCCCCACAACAGTCTCCGGAGTGTGATGTTCCCCTTCCTGTGTCCATGTGTTCTCACTGTTCAATTCCCACCTATGAGTGAGAACAAGCAGTGTTTGGTTTTTTGTCCTTGCGATAGTTTGCTGCGAATGATGGTTTCCAGTTTCATCCATGTCCCTACAAAGGACATGAACTCATCATTTTTTATGGCTGCATAGTATTCCATGGTGTATATGTGCCACATTTTCTTAATCCAGTCTATCATTGTTGACTGTAAACTAGTTCAACCATTGTGGAAGTCAGTGTGGCGATTCCTCAGGGATCTAGAACTAGAAATACCATTTGACCCAGCCATCCCATTACTGGGTATATACCCAAAGGGAAATCTTAATTGACCTCTGCAGTCTCTCATTTGGCTCCCATGGGTGTTGCAGTTTCCCCAGCTAGTAAACAGCCTGAATTGACCCTGTGACATACTCTTAACCTCTAGAAAAATCATGGTTTCTGACATGCCAAGTGATGAGAGTGCTGACTGCCTGATTGCCAGCCTTTTCTAGGCTTTGCCAACTCACTGTCATTCACTTTTTCTACTCAAGAGGCAGATCTTCTACCTAAATACAGATGTAACTAATGGCTAAGATGATCATCACTCTTCCTGTGACTGGCTCCAATCTTCCAGGGGTTCTCTGATCATCCCTATCACTTGACTTTGAGGGGAGAAGGGATAAGGTAATCACTTTTCACCTGAACATTTCCCATCAGCACACCAACCCCAAAGGATCTCTCTTGTCTTCCTCCTTGGTCCTCTCCTTTATAGAATGAGTGAGGGGGCAAGGAATGATGATGGCAAGGCTCTCTCTTGCTCCCTTTGGGGAATGTTGACTGCTCATGTTAGATGGCAGCTCACAGATTAAGAGGCTTCTCTGCCTCCCACTCTGGACTTCAGTATCTTATTCTGCAGCCACAGAAAAAATTACTATGAACATAGAGCTTAAAACATCATCCACTCATCATCTCAGTTTCCAGGGATCAGGAGTCCAGGCCTGACTCAGCATGGTCCTACTCAGGGTCTCCCAAGACTGTAATCAAGGGGTCATCTGAGCCAATTTCCTATCTGGAGGCTTGACTGAGAAGAATTCACTTCCAAGCCCACTCATGGTTGTTGGCAGAATTCATTTCCTTGCAGATGCATGGCTGAGGCCCATGTTTTTTTGTTTGCTGTCAGCCAGCGATCACTCTTAGTTCTAAAGCCACCCTCAGTTCCTTGCCATGTGGCCCCGTCCATAGGCCCTCCTACAAATTGGCAGATCACTTCTTCAAAGCCAGCAGGTTTATCTCTCACTCCTGTCTGCTAGGGCAGAGTCCAGTGTAATGTAGCACAACAATGGGAGTGACTGTCATATCTCCTTTGTCATATTCTATGGTCTAGAAGCTAGTCACAGGCTCCAACCACACTCAAGGGGAGGTATGACTCATTGGGGGCAACCTTAGAGTGTGTCCACCACACACGGTTTCTTTCCTTTCTCCCTCCCTCCCTTCTTTCTTTACTTCCTTTCTTCCACATGTAGATGGTCTGCTATGTGCAAATCATATTACCTTAAGTCAAACAAAAATGATTAAAGCAAGCCCCTTGTCTTGGCGCAGGCTGCTACAACAGACTATCATACCCTGGGTGGCTTAAACAACAGACATTTATTTCTCACAGTTCTGGAGGCCAGAAATTGAGGTCAGGATGCCTACATGGTCAGGTTCAGGTGAGGACTCTCTCTAGTGTTCAGACAGCCGTCTTCTCAGTGTATCCTCACATGATAGAGAACAAAGCAGAGAGAATCATTAACCTCTCCTGTTTTTCTTCTAAGGGCACTAATCCCATTCACGAAGTCTCCACTCTTGTGACCTAATTATTTCCCAAAGGCCCCACCTCCTGGTACCATTGCATTCGGTGTTGGGATTTCAACATATGAATTTGGGGGAGACACAAAAATTCAGTCCATAGCACCCCTATGTTTCAAAAGCTCATACACTAGTGGAAGAGACAGTCCTGTAAACAGCTACAGTATAGCTTGTAATCAACAATGGCCTATAGTCATGTACAAGCCCCAGCCCAGGACCAGGAGCCCTAATTTTCCACGACAAAGGCAGGAAAATTCATGGAGGAGGTGCCATTTGATAGGCTTTTGAAAGAGGAGTGGAAGCCCCACATGTTTCCACAGTGCTTTACCTGTGTCAGGCATTCAGCAAATGTGTGTGTAATAAAAAGCTCAAGAATGTGATCGAAGAACTAATTTTACAAATGAGCAGAGTAAAGCCTTGGGGAAAACACCTGACATCACAGCAATTTCAACATAATAATTAGTGCATGGTCACATGTTGAGTGGCCAAGAACTTGAAATTCTTCAAAAATCAATCACTTCATTCCGTACCTAAGAAGCAGCTGAGATGACCAAAAAGGACAGGACAGGAGAATGCAGTCTCAGAGCCAAGAAAAGGTGAGTGGAAGGACCAGAGTTCACTGCAACAGATTGGAGAAGAAAGAAGACAGAGCTGTCTGATGGCTGCACTCAGACAGGTGGTTCTGGACCAGTGAAATGCAGACAGTCATCCACTTCCAAAGTTTCTCCTTTTTTTTTTTTTTTTTTGATATGGAGTCTTGCTCCATCACCCAGGCTGGAATGCGTGGTGCAATCTCGGCTCACTGCAACCTCTGCCTCCCAAGTTCAAGTGATTCTCACACCTCAGCCTCCCTAGAGAAGCTGAATTACAGGTGCATGCCACCATGCCTAATTATTTTTTATTTTTAGTAGATGTGGGGTTTTACCATGTTGGCCAGGCTGGTCTCAAACTCCTGATCACTTCAAGTGATCCATCTGTTCAGCCTCCCAAAGTGCTGGGATTACAGGCATGAGCCATCGTGCCAGCCCACTTCTAAAGTTTCTACTTTCAGACAACCTGCCTTTTCACACATCACATACCAACACCATAAAGTGACTTTCGTATACCCAGGAAAGACTTTCTTCTATGAGCTGACAAATGAACATTTTGAACTATTTAATAGTAGTACCCATCAAGTTCCTTTCTGACAGTGTTATCACCTTGGGCTGTATAATAGTGTTCAATGCAGAATATGAATATATTACTGGAAGGGTCTTTAAACAGGGTTCTGGGGGTCCCAGAGAGATGCCTCTAAGACCTTCGTATTCCTGTCTCAATTTTAATCCAAGTTGGTCTACTTATTTTATTATTTGTATAAATTTAAGGGGTACAGGTGCAATTTTGTTATGTGAATATATTGCATAATGGTGAAATCTGGACTTTCAGTGTAACCATCACCTGAATCATGTACACTGTGCCCATTAAATTTCTCATCCTTCACCTATCCCACCCTTCTACACTTCTGAGTCTCTAATGTCTATTATTCCACACTTTATGTCCATGTATACACATTATTTAGCTCTCACTTATAAGTGAGAACATGTGGCATTTGGTTTTCTGTTCCTGCATTAATTTATTTAGAATAATGGCCTCTAGCTGCATCCATGTTGCTGCAAAGAAAATAATTTCATTCTTTTTATGGCTGAGTAATATTCCATGGTGTGTGAGTATCTATACACCATATTTTCTTTATCTAATCCTCCATCGATGGACACTTGTATTCCATATCTTTGCTATTGTGAATAGCTCTGCAAGAAACATACAAATGCAGGTATCTTTTTGATATAATGATTTCCTTTGGGTAGATGCCCAGTATTGGGATTGTTGAATTGAATCAGCTTGCCCTATTTCCATGTTTTACGTATCAGCATCCCGGTAAGATTCTATTTGGGAAGAACATCACTGTTTAATTTTTTAACCCACTGTTTTATTATATTTTACCTTTTATTTTATAAAAATGAGAAATTTTTAAAAATAGTCTGGACACATGTGATAGGAAGCTAGGTATAAACATGTTACAATCAAAATTAAGATACAAATCTTTAAGCACACTTGGCCGGGCGTGGTGGCTCACGTCTGTAATCCCAGCACTTTGGGAAGCTGAGATGGGCGGATCACGAGGTCAGGAGATTGAGACCATCCTGGCTAACACGATGAAACCCTGCCTCTACTAAAAATACAAAAAAATTAGCCGGGCGTGGTGGTGGGCGCCTGTAGTCCCAGCTACTCAGGAGGCTGAGGCAGGAGAATGGCATGAACCTGGGAGGCAGAGCTTGCAGTGAGCCGAGATTGTGCCACTGCACTCCAGCCTGGGCGACAGAGCGAGACCCTGTCTCAAAAAAAAAAAAAAAAAAAAATCTTTAAGCACACTCAAAGCAGCAAAGCTTTGTTTCAATTCAATGTTTAATGAACTTAGCATGGGTCAACCACACATGTGATTAACTGTCAAGGACAAAAAACAGAAGATAAACATGTACAAAATATCACTAATTATATATGATTGAAAATTGTGACCAAAAATGAAGAAGTAATTGTAGGGATTTTCTAGTATTTTAAGCTTTCTGGAATGAAGCCCCCATCATCCCATGAATATCTGCATCTTTCACACATTTGAGGTTAGCACATACATATTTTTTGGAATGTGTATGTATAAAAACAGGAGAACGCCTTCAAAAATGTTTTCATTAAATAAGGTCATGAGCTAATGACTTCCCCCAGGTAGTGCATCTTTAATATCTTATTCTCAGTGTACACAGTATACAACATACCCTTTATTTGAGTTTCATTTTCACGATCTCTGTCCATCTCACCTAGATTTAACTCTACTCTAATTTTGCTTTCTTTTGTTCCTAATTCTAGCCTTTGCTTTCACTAGGGCTTCTAATCAGTTTGCTCTCATAACAAACCAACAGAAGAAGCTTAAGAAAATCACAGCAAACATTTCTTAGCCTGATCCTGCTCTCTTTCCTGCCCCCTTCATTTTAGAAAATTTGAAGCTTAGAGAGCTTCTGATAACCACAATAACAAGCCAGAACAAGGCACAGCAGGGCCTTGTTATTAGGACATAAATATAATGGAGATCCACTTTGCCTTGGCAGTGACAAAAACGAATATTAAAGCAAATAAAATCGCCATGCAAAAGACCAATTTACCCTTTAGAACATCACTAGAATGAGAAATTTAAGAAGCCCTAATGGGCAAATATTTTGATGGACAGTGTCTTAAACCTACTCTTGTAGATTTTTACTGTCTTGCTAGCTACTATCTTGTTGCATTTTTTGTTTGTTTTCTGAATCAATAGATAGCCTTTGTCTAATACCTATCATGAGCAATACACTGTCTTAAGTTCCATGGAAGATAAACAATTGAGCTTACCTATGAATTTTTAGCTTACCAGGGAAACTAATTCATGTATTCCAACAAAAAAGAAAAACATACAAGTGCTTGAAGAGAGAAAATCTTGCAAAAAGGTTTTGCATGACTGGTCAATGCCATGCAAAACCTTTTTGCAAGGTTTTCTCTTGCAAAATGACTGGTCAATGCCACGCCAACCAGTTACTAAATACTTGTAAAATCACTTGTGGAATTCATACTATAATGCTGTCTGGCTAAGAGATGAGGAAACTGAAGCTAAGAGAGGTGAGGTGACATATCCAAGGTCACAGGGCTGAAGCAGCACCAGCAAGATTCTAGCCCATCCCCTCAATTCACCCCAAACTTCTCTGAGGCTCGGGTCTACTGCAAAGGTTTTCAAGGTTTTTAGGAAAAGGTAGCATTTGAGCTGCTTTTGAAGGCTGGGTATGATTTAGACATGCAAAGATGAAGACAATTGTCTTAGTCTGTTTGGGCTGCTCTAACAAGATACCATAGATTGAGTGGCTTAAACAACAAAAAAATTATTTCTCAAAGCTCTGGCGGCTGAGAATTCCAAGATCAAAGTGCTGGCACATTTGATCTGGTGAGGGCCCACTTCCTGGTTCATCTTTTCACTGCATCCTCACAAGGTGGAAGGGGCAAGGAAGTTCTCTGGAGTCTCTTTTATGAGGACGTGAATCTTATTCAAGAGGGTGGAATTCAGTCCAACTCCCAAAGGCTTCTCCTCCAAATATTATCACATTGCAGATTTAGGTTGCAACATATGAATTTGGGGCAGGGAGACAAACATTTAGTCTATTTCAGCATTCCTGGTAAGGGAACTCATGAATAACCATACCAAAATGATAAAGCATAAAATTGTTCAGAAACTAAAACCTGTATCTTGAGCTGTAGATACCCAAAAACTCAGTTTCAAATCCTAACTGAATATGCCAGTTCAAACTTCGTGGAAGACACAAAGACACTCTTTTCTCTGGGAGGATGCTGAAACATGATATGGAGATATAGACATTACTTTGGTACATTGAGGCAGCACCTTTTCCCCTGCACTGCCCCATTCTTTTCTCCCTTCCACCACCCATTTCATATTATGTCTATGCTCAGTTACTCAGATGTATTACAGATACTCAGTTATTCAGTATGCTCAGTTACTCAGATATATTCAGCCACCTGCTCCAGGGCACATACGTTTCAGAGCCTGGATTTAAACTGCAATCTCGCTCATTTCAGTGTCCCCACTCAGCCAAGATCAGCTGCCTACACCCCTTTGCCTCCTCCACTAGAATCTGTCTCCTCTAGTTTTAACCATCCTGGGAGCCCAGCACACACGCAGCCCACCCACACCTTGCTAGGCAACCAGCAACATTGGAAAAAAGAAGCACAAGCTTAATTCCACCAAATTGACCTCTGTTCTTGTCACTTCTCAGCGCCATTTTAAGTAACAAACAAATTCATAGCCACCATAGGCATTGTCTGGGTCTATGCCTGTCACCGGTGTCAATTTATAATAATGCATAGAAGATGCCAACTGAATGCCCAATGTCTTAGGCGCAATAAACTAAAGAGAGAAAGAAAGACATTTAATATCACAATGATTTATTTTACTATGACACATCAAGGTATTTTCAAGCTCCATTTGGGAAATATCTTCCCAGCCATGGTGAGGAGGAGAAAATGAAGACCCCAGTCAGATCAGAGCCCCTTGCAAATGAGCAGCAAGCTACTCCAGAGTGAGGAAAGTCACCTATGAATACATGTGGCCCCATGAAGACTGGGCCCTTCCTGGGCATCCTTAACCTGCTCTTTACAACAGCTCTGCAGGAAGGTTGTATTTATCTTGTTTACAAGTGAGGACTTACAGCTCAAAGAGGTTGAGTAAGTGTCTGAAGTCACATCACAAATTAGTAGCCAAGCAGTAAGCCAACATTCAAACCCGGACCTATCAGACTGTAAGTCTTAACTTTTGTGCCTATGTGGGGCTTCCCCCAAGTACCAGTCTCCCCTGGGGGGGTTCAGAGGTAGAATTCTCACTTGCTGAGTGCTAACCTATCCCACATTATCTCTCCCTTCTGACTCCTACTTTTTAAAGTTTGCCCTTGTTCCATCCTAAACTCTCCCACATCTCCAATCACTATTGACTGCAATGACCACACTGTGGTGTCACTGCCTGCCTCCTCCATCAAACTCTAAACCTCTCTAGAAGTACCGTGCACTGAGTCTCATTAGCAACTGCCTCCTTTGAAATGCTTACAATGGGCTAGGCACTGTTCTCAGTGATTTACAAACACACTCTCACTTAATTTTCTCAACAACCTGATGAAGTGGGCAGAGCTGCTCCTCACAGTGACCAACCTGGTTGTTTACAGATTGTCCCCATCATAACTGGTCAATGCCATGCCAACCAGTTACTAAATGCTTGTAATATCACTTGTGGAATACACACTATAATGGCATCTGGCTAAGAGATGAGGAAGCTAAAGCTTAGAGAAGTAAGGTGACACATACAAGGTTACAGGGCAGCACCAGCAATATTCTAGCCCATCCCCTCACTTCACTCCAAACTTCTCTGAGGCTTGTGTCTACTGCAAAGGGGGTGGATTTCAAATAGTTTGTCTGCCCGTCAATTACCAACTATGTGCACTTGGATGAGTAATTAACCTCTATGTCCCTAGTTTTCCTCATCTATAAAATGGGGCCATAACATCTAACTCAAATATTTGTCATGAGGTCTAAACTAAACAACTGTGGTCACCAGAACTCCTGGCTTGTGGCAGGCACTGAATTATTATTCTTACTAATTTGTTATTGCTATTAAAGAAAAGCCCCTCCAAAAGGTACTTAAAACCCTCTATGACCTACTCCCCTCATTGTTCCTCATATCTAACGTGTCTCTGCCTGCCTGTCCCCTACCCACAATAATCACATAAATATGAAATGCGTTTTTATTCTTTAAGCTTTTGTTTACACTGGTCTTGGATTGCCTTTCCCATTTCTTCACCTATTAAAAAAAAGTTTCTAAAACAAGTATCTAGGCTTAGCTCCAGTACCACCTTCCAGAAAAGTCTTCTGCAATCTCTCCACCAGATTCAACCATTTTAAACTACCCACGCACGTTTTTTTTACCTCTAGTGAGCAATTTATTCTTTACATTTTTTTCATTATTTATTTATCCATCCATCTCCCTTAAGGGCTAGAACCTCTTTGACTCATGTCTGCACTCCCCACAGTATCTAATCAAATGTATGGAAGGGAGGAAAGAGAAGAGAGGTGGTGAGAAGAAAAAGGGACAGTCCAGAGCTAGTTCAGTAGAGGGTAAGATGGGAGAGCATCTGGGAGAGGTCAGGGAGGAGTTCTGGTTGACCAGGGCTGTTGAATCATCAGTACCCTGGGCATCATGCAACAGGATGAAATGTTCAGGTCCTGATTTCCCATGTGGGCCCCAATTAGCCAAGTGACTTTTATCAAGCTGATTTACCTCTCTGGGCCTCAGTATTCTTCTTTGTAAAATGAAGGTAGTGCACTATGTCTCAAGGAACTCTTCCAACACTGAATTCCATGCTTCTCTCTGCCCCACCTCCAGACACCTTGCCATTACCCCTAAGACTGCAATGACCACGCTGTGGTGTCACTGCCTGCCTCCTCCATCAAACTCTGAACCCCTCTAGAAGTACCATGCACTGAGTCTCATTAGCAACTGCCTCCTTTGCCCTTAGCACGAGACCTGGAACTGTTTTCCCCAAATGAATGAATAAATACATGGCCCGAAAGAATGGAGAGTTCTGAAAACTCCAGAGCAGAAGTGTGGGTTCAGGTAGAGCTGGGAATTTTAGTGGCTTCTGAGGTCAGAGTGAGATGTGATCAGGCCCCTCCATACGTCCTAGTCTGCCTGCGACAGTTCCAGTTATTGCTTGTTGTCCCAGTGTAATTATTACAGTCTCCCCTTTGACTCCCATGTGTCCTCTTTGGACAATAAATTAAATGATCACCATGGAAATGAGGGTGCCTTGTGCTTTAAGTACTGACCATGTACCAGATGCTTCAATCAGCTCTTTCCTTACATGATCTTTACTAATTCACCCCAAACCCTTAATATAGGTATTATTATCCCCACTTTACAGACAAAAAAAACTGAGTCTCAGAAAGTTCATATGAATGACCAAAGACCTCAGAGCCATTAATAAATAGAGGACTGACTGAATTCAAAGTCCCACTCTTTCTACTGGACCATGTGGTTGGATCACGGGGGTAGTGGGAACCAGGAAAGGTCATGGTTCTCTGGGCTCAGGGTCAGATTTCTCTCACTCTTACCTCCCTTGTTACATTCTCTCAATTCCTCATTTTTCTTTGCTGGGTCCTGTCTCCTCTCCAAACCCCAGAATGGCCACAGTGGGCATTTCTCTCCTCTTTCCATCACCTTTCCTTTGCTACTTCCAGAAGTAAGTCTGTAAGAGAGGACTGTGCTTTGTAACTCAAACTCTTTGAGCAGAGTGCATAGCAGGAGTTGACCTTCACAGTGCCAGGGAGGGTCATGCCCAGCGGACTCAGAGGCATACACTGTGGCTTCATGAGACTGCTGTCATGGAGAAGGATGTAGGCTTTTTGAGTCTGCCTGTCTGGGTTTGAGTCTACATCAGCCACCTTCAACTATTTGATGTTGGGATAATTGTTTCATCCCTCACAACCTCTGTTTCTTCATCTGTAGCTGTCCATTGCCTCTGATTGTCACAAGAAGACTTGTTCTCACCAGTTCCTGGTTGAGAGGAACAGTGAAGACTAGGGCTTGGGATTTTACATGTCCTGATGGAAACTCTGCCTCTCCGTAACCTAGATACTGTGGGCAAATCCCTATTTCATCCCCCTAAGCCTCCAAGGCATCACCTAGATAGAACCTAAAATTCCTCCCACCTATGTCCCTCCTCACTCCACACCTACTACCCACTGCAGTCCTCTCAGTCCTGAATTTAAAGCAATAGCCTCCCATTCTGCCCCTTTCCCTTCCTTCCACCAATTTATTCTCCACTCTGATTCCAGATGGATTTCTTTTAAAGTGAAAATCTATTCATATCACTTGCCTACTTAAAATTCTTCAATCGTTTCCTCTTGCCCTCAGAATCAAGTTCAACCTCCTCCTCAGAGAGAATTACATGGCCAGGGCACCATCCTGCCCTCTCCCCCTCGTTTCTTACTCTCTAGCCACAGTGAACTTCTCTTGGTTCTGTTAAGAGGCCATATTCCCTCCCACTGCCAGGCTCTCATGATGCTTTTCTCTGTTTCTAGAATGTTCTTCTCCCCTGCCCATTCCCCACTCCACTCACTCACCCACACCTCATCTAGTTAACTCTTCCTTGTCATGTGAATCTCAGTCTGAACCTTGCTTTAAAGGAAATAAGCCTTTCCTTTCCCCACCTGCCAACCTAGTTCACTCATTTACAGGTGTCAGAGCCCCTTGTACTTCTTCCCTTTTAAAATTCAGTCCACTCAAAGTGACTTAGTCAGTGGCTGTCTTCACTACTAGTCTGTAAGCCCCACAGGAGCCCAGAGCACATCTGACTTGCATCCCACTATATCCCTACACGCTGGTGAATCAGAAGCAAGCCAGAAATGTCACATATTCATTCACTCACTCATTCATTTGTGCATTAATTCTTTCCATTGTAGTGGGTGGGCATTTCTTTTTTTCATCACCTTTTCTCTGCGACTTCCAGAGATTAATCTGTAGAAGAGGACTGTGTTTTGTAATTCACAGAGGAGAAAGACTCACAAAATCTTTGAGCATAATACATTGCAGGCGTCTTTGCAGTATAAGAGGTTAAGTGTCTTTTAGATCGTCTGCCCTGATGCCTGACCCCGGTATGGACCCCTTCCCTTTCCTCTCCTCTAATCTCAAGTTGTGAAGCTCCTCGCTCTGTCTGAAAACCCATCCCAGCAGTGGGATCAGGTAGAGCAGCGAATGACTGACAAATGAAATTTAAGATAAGACACTGAGAGAAGAAGAAGTTTGAAGAAAGAAGCAACAGGATCAAAAATGGCCAAGAGGTGGGTGTGGCATAAGAGAAAAAAAGGGAGCCGGGCACGGTGGCTCACTCCTGTAATCCCAGCACTTTGAGAGGCTGAGGTGGGTGGATCACTTGAGGTCAGGAGTTTGAGACCAGCCTGGCCAACACGGTAAAATCCCATCTCTACTAAAAATATAAAATTAGCTGGGTGTGGTGTCACATGCCTGTAATCCCAGCTACTGGAGAGACTGAGGCAGGAGAATTGCTCAAAACTGGGAGGCAAAAGTTGCAGTGAGCCAAGATCATGCCACTGCACTTCAGCCTAGGTGACAAAGCTAGACTCTATCTCAAAAAAAGAAAAAAAGAGAGAGAGAGAGAGGGAGAAAGGGAGAAATTATGAATGCATCCTGAGAGACTAAGACTAAACTGTCCCACCTAAAATTGGACTAGATAAGCCATCTGAACTTCTAACACCCTGTGGATTCTGGATGATGGAAGCATTTCTTGCTGAAGCCTAAAATAAAGAACTGATCAAATGCTTGCTAAAGTTCCCTGTAAATGCTTATAAATTGTTTATCTTTTTGTGTGAATCCTTTTTCAGCAAACACTGATGGCTATCCACTGGAAGCCATTTCTTCCTTCTTCATTAGGAATAGAATCAAAGCTGGGGTACAGTCAGCTTCAATTATGCCTACATTTCCCCGGCTCCCTTACAACTAGCCATGCATACTAAGTGTATGGTTAGGTTAGATCAACAGGAAGTGAGTGGCAATGAAATGTGCAACTTCTGTGCCATCTCCAGGTTGCTTGCCCAGGAGATCCTCTATATCCCTTCACATGAGGTGCATCTCAGAGGGACCATATAGACAGGACAATGCTCTAAGGAATGGTAGAGTCATAAGACGAAAAGACGGGAACTTGGCCCACGAATGGCCATATGAATCTGAGCCAGCACATCAGCCTCAATTGCTCACTTTGGGAATGTTACATGAGGATGAATAAGCTTCTATCTCCCTTAAGTCAAGGTATTTTGGGGTATCTTCATTATAGCGGGTTAGCCTCTACCCAGATTCATAGAGGGTGTTTCTTTCCAGGTCAGAAGGTATAGAGCTGGGTTTTCAATGATTGGATTTGTGAAACAACAAAGAGCTTCCAGAATGTATGTTGTTTCTTAACAGCATATAGCAATTCTAATGGTACTCCCTTGGGACTTATTTGGCCAAGCAAAGCAAAGCACATTAAATATCATGCACGTTGAATTGAGATGCATTTTGAGGTTCCTATGAAAATATATGCAAATCTTTTATCTATTTTCTATATAGCTCAGTTGGTATGCAAATGCTATTTAAGGTTCAGCTCAATACTGCCTCCCTGAAGAAGGCTTCCCTGAACTCTTCCTGCAGATCCAGTCAGTCTACCCTTTCTTAGGTGTCCCATGTCATTGTACCAGTAAATCTTCTCTACCCAGAGGAGGATCTGTGTGCAATTTCTCTCTTCAATCAAGTTGTAAGCTGCATCACTGCTTTGCATCATCACTTATTTACTTAATAAACATCTATTATGTACCAAGTACCGTGCTGGGTGCTGGGGACAGAGAGTTGAATGAGACACAGTAATGGTCCGCAGAGTCTGATGGATGGAAAGAGACATGTAGATGAAAAATGACCATTTTTTTTTTATTGCCACGTGTAGTGTGGCATGTGCTACTGCAGTATCATGAATCTGGGTAGGCAGCTCCAGAGCTTGGTCTCTCAACTACCATGCTCTCTGATGATCCCCAAATGCTTATCTCTAGGACAGGCTTATCTCCTGACGGTCAGCCGACTGCAACCCCGCTGGGATGATGACACACTCTGACACTTGGGTTTTATCTTTGGGCTTCCCCACAGTCACCACGAACTGCCCTAGGTCCAAACTCACCAGATTGTTCACATTAAATATGTGCAGTTCATTGTATGTCAATTATACCCAAAAAAGATTTTAAAAAAAACTCCCCAGAAATGAAACTGAACAGAGGGCCACTAAAGAGTGCATGGACTTGTCTCTGTCCCAGAGAACTCTAACTGTGCATCAGGAAGTTTTACACGTGGCTGGTTTATAGTGGGCTTGATTTGAGCCTCTGTGGGTATACCTAGAATCTCTGCTATTTGGGCCTCTTCCTTTAGTCTGATTAAGATTTTTAAATAAGAGACTTTCTTGTGAAATGTCTTTGATCTAAAAGCAAATTTTTAAATTGCAGGGTCAGAGAAAACCGAAGTCCCAAGAAAGGAAATCAAACCTACAAATTTAATTAAAATGTAACAAAGAAAGCAACTGATTATGAAGGTCGTGAAGACAATGGGGCCTAGTTATATAATTGTTTTATCTATTTTCTTATTTACAAAGCCATTTTGCCAAATACAGGTTTTAAGGCAGGATCTGGGTATCTGTAAGTGAATCTAGCACAGGCAATAGCATATGGTAGGGGCTCAGCAAATGTTTGCTGAATCCAGATTGATTTCTCATAAGACCCCACTCCTCTCCCTCTTATCCAACTGTAATACATCCTGTATAGTTTGAGCTAAAGGCTCAGGCTTAGCCTGAGGCTGCAGAGAGAACAAGGTCAAGGTTAATTAGGAACAGCCAAAATTCCTCTAATGACAGGATTTGGGACTTTTAAGGACAAGCTCTTAGAGTTCATATGCTCCAAAGTTTTACTCAGTGGAAGAAGGAACAGGAGCCTGTAAGGAAACCCAAACTCTTGCACAATGTTTTGGGCAGAGCTGGGTGGGGAGGGAGATAAATCTAATCAGTAAGAAAATCCAAGGTTTTTTTCAGAACTTGAGTTACATTCCAAAGGGTAGAATATTTACTTGGATTTTAAGATAAGAGCAAATCAGGGAGTAACACTACAAGTGAAGTTTTAATCAGATGCATTGTATTAGACTGAATAAAGAAAATGTAGTACGATACACCACGGAATCCTATGCAGCCATAAAAAGAATGAAATAATGTCCTTTGCAGCAACATGGATGCAGCTAGAGGCCATTATTCTAAGCAAATCAACACAAGAACAAAGAACTAAATGTTGCATGTTTTCCCTTATAAGTGGGAGTTAAACATGGGATACTCATGGACATAAAGATGGGAACAATAAACACCGGGTATTAATAGAGGGGGAAGAGAGGAAGAGAGACAAGGGCTGAAAAACTACCTGTTGGGTAGTATGCTCACTACTTGGGTGACAGGTTCATTCATACCTCAAACCTCAGCATCTCACAGCGTACCCAGGTAAAAAAGCTGCACATGTACTCCATGAATCTAAAATAAAAGTTGAAATTATAAAAATAAAATTTTAAAAATTTAAAATGCAACATGCATCCTGCCTCCTAGTTCTGCATTCCCTTCTCCCACTGGTTTGGCTGCAAAGGAACACAGGACATTGACAATAATCACTCGGACAACTAGCAGGGAGATTTGTCCTGGAAGCAGCTAGGACATGGGCTGCAGAGAAACTGATCCTATCCAGCTAAGATGACTCATTGGATCAATAGCATCATTAACAGGAGTCCCCTGAAGGAAAGTGCCCACCACAAAGCTGACTCCTACTCTATCTCAGATGGTCCTATGTGCACATGTAAAAGAGTCAGATCCAAGGCCAGGTGTGGTGGCTCACGCCTGTAATGCCAGCACTTTGAGAGGCCAAGGCAGGCAGATCACTTGAGCCCAGGAGTTTGAGACCAGCCTAGGCAACATGGTGAGACCTCATCTCTACAAAAAATACAAAAATTAGTGGGGTATGGTGGCATGTGCATATAGTCCCAGCTACTCAGGAGGCTGAGGTGGGAGGATCTCTTGAGCCCAGGAGCACTGAGGCTGCAGTGAGCCGTGATCATGCCACTGCACTCCAGCCTGGGTGACACAGAGCAAAACCCTGTCTCAAAACAAAAAAAAAAAAAGGGCCAGGAAAGGAGAAGAGGGGATAGCCCAGACTGGGTGAGAGGAAGGGTAAGGCCAAGAAGCAACCAGCAAACTGCATGTGGGAGCTAGTACCTAAGCCTTGAAAAAGGACTCTCAGGGCTGTAAGCTAAAGGGAGAGTCCAGACTCTGCCTGCAATAGTGCCCCTGTGATCATCAGCTCTAACCCTATGATAACAACGGCTACCATGTATTGTGTCCCCAGCACTGAGGAGAAGGTGAGAGCCAGCGTAGTCTTGGGGGTGTGAGGGTGGCACTAGGAACAGCTGTGTCCTGGAGAAGTGTAACTTATGAGATAGGACGAGGCGGCAGAGGTAAGCTGTTTTGCACTCTAAGTAGTTTGGACTTTCTCCTAGGACAGTGGGGAGCCATGGCCAGATTCAAAGCATGGTAGTTCCCAGGGTTTAGGTGACTTATCTGGAGGCTGTGTAGAGAACAGGTTAGCACAGCGGCTCTCCAAGCACTGTCCCCAATCAGCAGCATCAGCGACACCGGAAGACTTGTTAGAAATGCACATTCTCAGGCCTCATCTCAGACCAAATGAATCAGAATCTGGGTGGGAGCTTAGAATCTGTGTTTTAATGAGTTTGAGAAGCATCGAGTTAGACACCAGCATAACTGAGAGCACACCAGTTAGGACGCTGCTACTGGTGGCTCTAGAGAATGCTGAGAGAACATGCATGGGGGCAGTGGCAGTCCCTGCGAGGGGAGGATGTGAGTAGCATAAAGAGGCCAGAGGAGCAAGCCTTGGTGACACTCATGAGACAGAAGAAGAGGCCCAAGGAAATTTTACAGATTCCTGGTTAGAAAGAAGTACCATTTGCCAAGAAAGGACACACAGGAAGTGGGGGAGAAGGAGAAACGAGTTAGTGGGGGACAACTGTGCAGGGGTCCTCCCCATCTTTTCCTTCCCTCCCTCCAGCTCACCAGGCCCTCAATCAGCTTCATCCCTGGGCAGTTCTAGAGGACCAGAGGGGAGCATGAAGATGGGATCCAATTCAGGATTATGGTCATCCCAGGAGGTCTGCTGTCAACTACTCTCTAGACAAGCCAGTCCTAGAGATAAACATCTGCGAATCGCCAGTTACTGGTTAGAGCACGGTGGTGAAGAGACCAAGCTCTGGAGCTGCCTGCATGGTGTTAAATAAAATTTATAGGTGGCCATTGATTGGGACTGAGCTCCTCCTGCAGTAGGCCCCCAAAGACCAAATCAAAATGGAGTCATTCATGCTAAAGTTCCACATCACCAAGCCATAATTAAGTTGTTTATATGACCTTCTGAAGAATTAGAAGAGGGAGAAATAGATAACAGCATATCCCCAAACAGGCCAGTTTAAACCTGATTAATAAGGAGGTCCCCTCCACTTTAACCTTTACAAGGAAAGGACTTTGAAACGACCAATTCACTTTCTGTTCCTTGTGTCTACTTTCTTCAGCCTTTTCCTGTCTATAAATACTCACTCCCCACGTTGCAGATCAGAGATCTCCTCTTCTGCTTCTGTGGGTTGCCTGATTCATGAATCATTCTTCACTCACATAAACTCTTAAACTTACCTTGTCTAAAGTTTTTCTTGTATCACTGGTCTCATGCTTTCTGTGCTATGATTTACTTGCTGTGTGACCTTGTGCAAGTTGCTCAGCCTCCATTTCCTCGTCTGTAAAATGGGAAGGGTAATAATAGGATACACATTTTAGGATGATTGTGAGAACAAAATGAGTTAGTACCTGCAAAGCATTTAGAACAGTTCCGGCAATGCTGTATTCATGCCAATGTTTTGCTATTATTATTGTCATTATTACCATTTTTATAACCCATGGAAGTGAAGAGATTTGAGAAATCAACCAGGTCCTCTGAGATGGGAGGTCTAAAGGGCTCCTTTGCTCTGCTTCTATTGTAGTGGCTTGAATTCCAGTCCTGACTGCTGGGACGCATGCTTCTCTCTTCCTTCCAGGCCACTGTTCTTCCTTCCAACCTCCTCTCTGCTTATGCCTCCTCCTCATCATTGCTCTTCTCAGCTTTAATCAGTCGATACCACATTAGCTCTCAGGACATATTCAGTGCCTGGCCAGGCTGGAAAACAAATTTTCAAGAGGGGTAAGAGATCTTTAATCCATACATTTGTTGAACATCTAATGGGCACTGAGGCCTGGGAGATGGAGTCCCTGGCCTCCAGGAGCACTCTGGCTGAAGGGCAGCAAGGAGGGTGCAGAGCCACAGCAAGAGGCCCGAAGTAATAAGCTTTTCTCCCTCACTAGAACCTCCCACCCCCAATCCACTTAACAATTTGTGTTCTCACTCTGGAATCATCAAAGCATAAGAAATCTGCTATTGGAACAGGAAATGCCAAGATAGCACAAGCTCTTTTTTTTTTTTTTTTTTTTTTTCCCCAAATGTCCCATCTTTTCTAATCTGGGCTTTTGAAGCAGAGCCCCTTGGCAGGGGGAGAGAAAGCACAATCCAAGCTCGGAACAGGCAGCGCTCCTGGAGAATGATGGGAAACAGCAGATACCAGCCCACACCCGGAGCAACTCGGGGCAGAGCCGAAGCCTGGGCCTCGGCAGCTGGGACTGATTCAACTTCCTGGTTTTAGCTGTGGTCAGCTGGATAGATGGATAGACTCAAATAGAATCCCAGAATGGGTTTTGAGAATGAAATAGAAAGAGAAAGGCCCTGGGGAACAGAAAGAAATCCCCAGAAATACAAAAGTTGGGGAGAGAGAAGGAGAAACATTGAGAGGAGGAGAAAAAGAGACCAAAACTGGAAAAGCTTCAAAGGAAGAAGGACCTAGGAGAGCGGCAAATGATGGAGAGATCTCATAACTTCTTTTCCAGCCGGTCCAAAGGAGCAGAGAAATTTGATCATGAAAACTGGAAGAAGCAGCTCAGAGAAGGGTCAGCAGAAGATAGCGTATCTGGTGACCCCGCCTTAGGCTTGGAATTACATGATGATTCCCCCAAACATAGCGCAGAGGTGAAGTGACCCACTGATTAGGAAAAATGTGTTCTGTCATCTCTGCAGGGCAAATGGCTTTATATTTTTTTCTTTTTCCAGTCTCTGAAAAAGGATCTCTTCTCCCCCACCATTCCCATCATCCTCACAAGTCTCGTTCACTGCACAGAAAGGCTGTTTTTACTGAGTCACATCTGGGCAAGCCAGAGTCTTTAACGGTATCTCATAATGGCACCAGCTTTTTATGTGTGAGAAATAATGAAACACCTTATTGGTGAAACAAATATCAAAGTGCAAAAGCATTGCTCATGCAGAAAAAAACAGAGGAAAATTGCTTCCTTCTGCATCCAACCCATAAGCACAAGTCCCTTCCAAATTGAGGTGTTTGTGTGTGTGTGTGTGTGTGTCTTTTTTGTTAGTGTGTCTTTTTTGTTTCTGTTTAGAGTTTAATAAAATCCTAAGACAGTTGTTGCATTTCAAGAGGAACATACGGTCCTGTTATTAATGCAGAGTCACTAGTGATTATATCCTCAGACCTTCAAAAGGGACCCTCAGCCTTCATTCCACTCATCTGGAAAGATAAAGTGTTCTATCAAAAAAGTAATAAGTGCACAATATAGGAAAAAAAAAACGAAGAAAAAAGGAACCAATCCTAGTTCTACAACTCAAACAAAATTATTTATATCTTATTATAATTCTTCCCAGTCTTTTTTGTTCCTATATAGCGACTCTTCCATATTAAATTTCCTTTCTTAAAAAATCGGTAATCATAGTAGAGCTCCTTGGAATTTTTTAAAAGGGAGACATGATGGACATATGGAATTCTTGGCTTCCCAGCATCTATGTCACCTTCCTTTGGTAATTGTGGCCATATTCTCCTTTGGGTATTACTTTTCCAGTGATGTACCTGATGGGAATGTCACCTGGAATGTCCTGTGTTCCCCTAACCCTGGGGAGGGCATCTGACTCACATGAGGCCACTCAGATACTTCTATGCTTGGATGTGCACCTTGAATAAAGTGACAGAAAGAGATGAAAATAAAAAGATTTTAAGCTTATAAACCCAGTGCAATTGCCATGTAAGACTATTGCATTGTTCTTGCCACCTTTATACCCCTCCCCCTCCAGAAATGCCTTGGTTCCTAAGCCTGGTTCTCCAAACTTTAGTTAATTCTGTGAACTCTCTCATGCTCTTTCAGGAAGCTTTATTTTTGCTTAAGGCAAAAAGGGTCCATTTCTGTCACTTGCAACCAAAGAATCCCAATGAAAATGTGGCTAAAATGAGGATACGGATCATAAGAGATGCTGTATTATCTGAACAAAATAATAAGAGAATACATTCTGGAAAACATTGTTTAATTACTTGTAGGACAACATATAATCAGTTGAGACTCCCAGAAATGTCGTAAAACACAAGATAGTACTAACGTCTCATTAGATTTGGCACTGTTGATGAGAACATGAGTCCTAGAACCAGAAGGCCTGACTTAAATCCTTATTTTAACACGTACTAGCCTAGCCAGGTGACCTCAAGCAGGTTGCTGAACCTCCCTGTGCCACAGTGTCCTCATCTAAAGAAGATGAAATAAGAGAGCAAATTTCAGGGGTTACATGATAAATACATGCAATGGCTTAAAACAGAAATCATTCAGTGTAATGCTAGTTCTTATAAGAATTTGCTTTTCAGTGTCAGAATGATTGAAACCAATCACAATCTTCTAGTTGGATTCTGTTTCTTTCACTTAATTTGGCAATCTTTCCCTTCTAATGGGAATAGTAGGTTTCATTTAATGTACTATTGAGATAGTTGTGGTTAATTTTACCATCTTCTTGTTTAATATTTCTTTTGGATTCCTGACTTCTTTGGGAGATATTAAATGTCCCATCTCCTTCTCCTTATAGAGAGGTAGATAGATAGATAGATAGATAGATAGATAGATAGATAGATAGAAAGAAAGAAAATAATAGGTCAATAGATAGTAAATTATAGGTAGATAGGTAGGTAGGGAAGCAAGCAGGTAGATAGATGATACATAGGTAGATAAATAGGTAGAAAATAATAGATAGATAGACAGACAGACAGACAGACACAATGTGAGCCCATTCTCATGCTGCTGATAAAGATATGCCCAAGACTAGGTAATTTATAAAGAAAAAGAGGTTTAATTGACTCAGTTTCACATGGCTGGGGAGGACTGACAATCATGGTGGAAGGCAAAAGGCATGTCTCACATGGTGATGGACAGAGAGAGAGCTTGTGCAGGGAAAGTCCCCTTATAAAACCATCAGAGCTTGTGAGATTTATCCACTATCATGAGAACAGCACAGGAAAGACCCATGATTCAATTACCTCCCACCAGGTCCCTCCCATGACAGGTGGCAATTGTGGGAGCTACAGTTCAAGATGAAATTTGGGTGGGGACACAGCCAAACTATATTACTATATGATGCATACGTAGATATATAAGTAGGTAGGTAGGTAGATGATAGATAGATAGATAGATAGATAGATAGATAGATAGATAGATAGATAGATAGATAAAATTGCCATTCTTTCAGTGATTACTCTAAAGACTACAATATACATCCTTAACTTTAATTAAGGTCTAACATAAATTAGCATTTTGCCAGTGAGCCATGTGAGGAACTTAGAATCTTCTGATGCTTGACTCCTTTTATTCCCATCCCACCTTATATGTGATTATTAGTGTACATGTGAGGCTCCCTTAACATTTTCCTGCTCCAGGGAGAATTCGGTTTTGCTTCTGTCAGGTAGCTAGGCTGAAAAACCAATCAGAGATTTTCAGAGATTTAGATGATTTGAAGCCAGGCTTTGGTCTTTGTGAGGGCTGGTTTATTTCCAGGCTTTTACTCCTAGGAAGGGTTTCTTACTAGAGTTTCTCAGCCTCAGCACTATTGACATTTTAGACCAGAAATTCCTTGTTATGGGGGAGCTGCCCTGCACACTGCAGGCCATTTAGCAGAATGCCCTACTTCTCCCCACTAGATGCCAGTAGCATACCCTCAATTGTGGCAGCCAAAAATGTTCCCAGACATTATCAAGTGTCCCTTGAAGGGGCAAAGGTGCCCCATTGAGAACCAGTGTCCCAGGGTGTAGCCCTACAGGATCCCAACCAAAAGTCCTCAGTCCCTGAGACTGTCAAAGCTGCACTTACCTCTCAGCCTCTTTGTTGCCACTTTGGAATGAGGGAAAAAGCTGTTCCCAATAGGGAGCTCACTTCTCTTGACTCCCTCCTCCCAGAGGCCTTAAACTTACACATTTTCCCTGCCTTGTGAACCTGGCCAGCACATTTACACAGGGGTGTGTGTGTCTGTGTGTGCGCATGTGTGTGTATGTGCGCGCGAGTGCGTGCATGCATGCGCATGTGTGTGTGTTTGCTTTTCTAGTTCTCAACAGAAACATTGATCTGAAATGACCTGGCTCATCATCTGAAATGACTAGCTCATCACTGCAGAACTCAAGAGTGACAGTCACTTGGAAGCAAAATCTTAAATAATTTCTTTTGAGTATAGATACAGCAGACTGAATGTTCTCTGCAAAGTTCTTGGGTGCAGGGTACAAAGAGGGAACATGTTAGAACTAATAATAGAACTGTTATTACAGGAGTTTTAGACTGAGTTATTCTTTGTTGTGGGCCATAGCCCTGTGCATTATAGGATGTTTAGTAGCATCCCTGGCCTCTGCTACACACAACAAAAATATCCATCCTTAGAGGAATTTACACTCTAGTTAGTGTACGAGTATATGCACATTTTAAAAGCCAAATTAAAAAGACTTCAGTTGAGCTACAAAGTATATATGCATCTCAAAAAAAAAAAGGCGTACAGTAGAAAACTATGGAAGGAGATGTTTATTACAAGCTAAATTCAACCCCCTACTTTTTATAAGCTGTGTGACCTTGACCAAGTCCAGGCTCAGGGTCTTCCGCAAAACAAGACTGTGGGATGAGAAGATCCACCACCACCGTCGCTTCCAGACCTGACAGACGAGAAGTCTATCAGAAAATAGGTTTGTGATCATTTAGAACACTAAATCCAGCCGAAGAGAAGCCACATGTTTATGAAAAATCAGTCATATCTGATTGACCTATTCCCATTTTGACTGATGTTTCTAATTGAGAAAGTAAAGGAAACTCATCAGATATGGGATAACTGGTTTCCAGACACATCTGATGAGATGCATCAAAATGTTCTGAGGAAATGGAGAAGTATGGGCTGGGCGAACAGACATCTTGGATGGTTTGTAACTAGTTGATTCCAGAAAGCAAAGAATTCTGATTGGCAGGTGGATATGGACGGATAAAGGCCATCTCTGATGTTACGGTCCCATAAAACAGCAGCCTCTTCAGGCCTGTTGCTCTGGATCAATGATTTGGATCCCAATCAAGAAAGCATTTCATCAAATGCATGGGTTTTTTCAAAGGTGAGATAACATAAAGGGAACTCTAGACCAGGCGCGGTGGCTCACACCTGTAATCCTAGCACTTTGGGAGACCAAGACAGATGGATCACTTGAGGTCAGAAGTTCAAGATCAGCCTGGCCAACATGGTGAAACCCCATCTCTACTAAAAATACAAAAAAAAAAGCCAGGCTTGGTGGCAGGCCCCTGTAATCCCAGCTACTTGGGAGGCTGAGGCAGGAGAATCGCTTGAACCCAGAAGGTGGAGGTTGTGATGAACTGAGATCACACCATTGCACTCCAGCCTGGGCAACAAGAGCAAAACTCCATCTCAAAAAAAAAAAAAAAAAAAAAGATAAAGGGAACTCTAAATCATGTTCCTGCCCACTGTCCTTCAAGCGTCGCCTCTCTCTGGTGCAGGAAGTACTACACAGGCTTTCTTCATTCTTGTCCACCTGAGTCAGTACACCCTAATGCCTGCTTCATCACTGCTGCCCGGTGGACCCTCTGGCTCCTGAGGCTCGTGCCCTCTCCCGGTCACTTCCCCATGCACAACACCCCTCTGCATTTATTCCCCAGAGTACCACCAACACAAGACAATCGTGTGCTGCAGATTTCTACTAAAGTTTTGCAGACAGCAGAAGGTATTTAGAGCATAAAGCAGAGAACAGCTTCAAACTAAAAATCAGATATCAAATCCCTAGAAATATATTCTCCACTCCCTGCCACAGAGAGTGCCCGATTGGCTTTGTTATTTCTCCTCTTGTCTAGCAGCATGCAAATTTCCTTGTGTTCTTTCATCTCTTCCTACCCTTGACTCCTGGGTTCTGACAACATTTTGTCTTGCCTGCCATAGATATTCAAACTTTGACCTTATTTTGCTGCACAAGTACATTCCAGACACTTATTGACCTCAACTTTGCCATCCAATGTACACCCAGGGTGGAGCAAGGAAGGGGAAGATAGGGGCTTGTCTTCTTCACCTAAAAGACCTACCAGGGAATGTTCCTACAAATTCATCCACCCAAAAGAAAAATATTGCCTTTTACATACAGGGGAATTTGAAGGTTCTTCTCTAAGCTGAGATTCTATGATTTTGTGGTTTTACTTTTTGTCTTTAAATGGCTAAGTGCTTAAGAAACAATGAGCACTAGTCCCCCACGGTCAAGGATGGGAGGACTAAGGCTCACAAGTTTTGAGGATCAAAGATTCCTAGAATACAGCGAGGATTGCCATGCATTTACAAAGCCCCTTCTTCCTTTGTGCATTCGAACAAACCTGAAAATACTCTCATCCCCATTCAATAAACAGAAGCTTAAAATTCAGTAGAAGCAGGAAGTAGTGACAGAAGATGAAAGAGAGTAAAAATGATTCGGAGGAGAAAAAAAAAATACAAGGGAATGAAATGTCCACACCCAAAAAGTTGTGGACTAAATGAGATGAAGGATTTGGGTCCCCGAAATACCACCCTCTCCTTTTGCCTCCCGGTTTGATGCTGGTGTGGAGCTGCGAGCACTTGGGCAGATATTTGCATGCTCTAAGTGTTCCGCTGGGAAAGTGGCAGATATCGAGACAGATGGCTCTAGGAAGTGTGGGTGAGCCTGACGTCAAGTTTATGAGCCAAATGGTGTTTTCTGAGTTCCACCTCTTCAGATCCCATCCATAACAGACCCACTACCTCAAACCATGCCCCTCCCTGAAGCCTCTCCTGCCCCCTTGATCATAACAATCTTTCTTTCCTCTAATAATAATAAATGCTGGTTAAACATGTACTGTTCTGTCAAATATTGTCATTTAGGCCTCATCCGTCAAGGACCCCCTTGAAGGCCACAACAGGGTCTTCCCTCTGTACCGCACTGGCCTGGAATTCCTCCATTTACTCGACACATCCTTATCAAATACCTACTATGTGCCAAGCGCTGTGCTTCGCATGAGGGAAATCAACAGGGGACCAATGAGAAGGTCCTTATCTTCATAAGGATCTCATTCGAGAAAAAAAGAAACAATAAATACATAAATAAAATGAAGAGTCCAGCTCCTGGTTTAAAAAACCTACGTGTGATTTTTCAGGCCCGACCATAGGCAAGTACAAAGGCTTCACCTGGCTGGCTCCATGGGCAACATCTGCCCTTCCCACAGCAGACTTGGCTCACAGCCACTGCATGGCAGGCTCTGAAGGGAATTGGAAAGGACTCAGGCCCCTCTAGCTGGTCCTGCTCTTCACATATTTGTAACCCTAGGCCCAGAGCCTTCATTCCTGGGTTTCTTTGTCCAAGACCTTGGGCAGAGGTCCTCTGCAGACATCTCTGCCAAGTCCTACTTATGGTGAAAAGAACGGAAAAACCTGGAAGACCATTTTTCCCACTCCGACTCAGTACTCAGTACTTTTCCACTCCTGGCTCTCAGCCCTGATCCTCCCCAACCCCAGAGTCCATAAACTGCTCCCTCTACCCCACACCTGCTCTGACCCACCTGACCTCAGCCTGTGCACTGTGCCATGGGCAGCAGGGGAAATCTTACTGCGTGGGTTTAGCCCCTTGCTTGTACCATAGCAGTTAGTGAATAAAGGCTGTGCTGGTACTTCCATGTCAACCCCCTGATGCTTCATCAGCTACTCCTACACCTGATAGCTCAGCCCTCTCTCCAGCTCAGCTGAGCTCCTGAGAAAAAATAACAAATCGTCACATAGAATAAGATCTTAAATGGAATTTCTGGTGTTGTCTTAGAATTTTGGCTGAAGCCCAAAGCTGAGAACAATAGATGATAAATAAAACCCTCTCATTCCTCCTCCAGCAAACTGTAACTAAATATGGAAAGGTGTAGACTACCCATTCAGGAAGTCCTGTGACCCACAGCCCACCTCCAATACCCTAGTCTGTATGTATGAAGGAAGCCCAGAGATGAAGGAAGAGAGAATCTCAGGCAAGTGGTGAGGGGGGTTCTCTCCCTGGTGCTGCCAGGGGACCAGAACGGAGGGTGACTTTTGAGGGAGTTTTTCAGTCTCCCAGTGCACAGAGACCAGAGAAAGAGTCCGCATGCCAGAGGCTGGCTGCAGCAGCCAGTGAAGGGAGCCAAGGGACAGGGCTGCCTTGGGAGTGGCCAGTTCCCCCAGGAGTACACAGCAAAATACCAAATGTTTCCAGTGAGCAGAGTGGATGCTGTGCAAAGCTGCCCGGCCTGAATTGTCTTGAAAGAGCTGCCCAGGAGAGTGAGGCCACCCTCACAGACAGAGAGGTTGTGAGGTACAGTGCCTGAGATGGAACTGCAGGGCCAAGATTCATGGAAGCGAGTCAGACAGTCCCCCCATTGAGGCTGGGTGGGCAGGATGGAGGCCTCCTGTGTGGGGTCTTCTTCCCAAAGAAGAGCCAGTAATTGTGAATCCACCTTGACAGAGGACATCTGACAGTCACGAGTGAACTGCAAACAGCACCAGCTACCTGGAAAAGATCTTCTTGCCCATTAACCTCTCATTTCTCCCTCATCCCTCCTCTTTCAGCCTGACTCTGAAAATGCCAGGAGGAGTCCAGCGGGGAAGCAGGGAAGGAAAGAAGTGAAGAAGGTGAAAAAAAATGAAAGATAGAACCACAATGCACTTGCGACTGTTGTCAATAGGACCTAAGTCCAGCTTGAGTCTACAAGGCAGGAAAACAAACTGAATGAGGAACTGAAATTATGGCATTGAGTTGGATTAAAACTATTTAATATCTAAAAAACAAGATGATTTTAATACTCAATAATTATCATAAAAGCCATGGGATTTGCTTGCAATATTATTTTTGGCAAATCCTTCCCAAACAGGTTTGAAGCTGCGGTGGGTGAAAAATAGAGTTATTTCCTTATCTTATCTTACCAAATATAGCTTGTTCAAATGCCAGCCATAAAGGCAAAAAAGAAGCTGAGAAAGAGACAAGCAGAGATGAAATCTACTTTTGAAACTGCCACCTGGGAAGGCTGAGGCGGCAAACAGTAGTGAGACAGGCACCATCTCTGTGGAGAGAGGAAGATTGTTCCAGGCCAAGGGAAGATATGTGCAAAGGCCCTGAGGCAGGAAAGAGGAAGCCATGAAACTACAAGGTCCAGAGCAGGGCAGAGCATGAGACATGACGTCAGAGGCAGATTGCACGAGGCAATGTGATCACAGTGAAAGGTCTGGATTGATTCTGAGGGCGTTCCAGAGTTTAAGCAGCAAATTGACATCCAATTTATATGTTTAAGATCACTTTTACTGTTGTTTCAAGAAAGGATTGGGAGAAGGAATAAGAGTGGAGGCCCAGTAGAAGGACACAATGTACTTCTTAGAAATGGTGCAATAAATCCTGAGTGGTTGCCTTTCTCAAATTTAGACTCCAAAAAACCAGAAAGACGGATGGTGATGGGTACTTCAGGCTCCCTATGACTGACAGAACCTACTGGAATTTAACAAAAAAACAAATAAATTTAAAAAACAAACAAACAAAAAAAACAGAAGAAATGGTCTTGCTTGAAAAACAGGCATTCTTCATGAAAGCTACATAGCATATTATACACAGACATATATATATTTCCTCAAGCCACCAAAAAGCTCAGAGCTAAATTTTATGTTCTAGTAATTTTCTCATCTCTTCTTCCTCGCTATAAATATGGTTTCTAATCTCTCCTTTAACAGAATTTCAACATGAAAATGTACTTGTTCATTGTTCATGAGCCACTGCAAATCCATTTTAAAGACTGTTTTGCACAACCTGCCACAAAGGGAAGAATGAGATTTTTTTAACCCGTTTTGAAGACAAGACCAAAAAAAAAAAATACTGCCAATTATCAAAAAATGTTTTGATTTTTTTTTTCTCACCAACAGCTACACTGAGCACTCCCGCTCAGTCCTGACCCTTTCGGACAGTGAACCCCCAACAAACCTACTGCCAGCCCAAGGAGATAAGCTGTGAACACCTCCTAATGTTTGAGACAATTTCTCGGGAAGCCCCACCCCATTCTTATGCATTCTAGCCTTATTTGAATAGCTACTATACATTGAGTACTTGTTCTGTGCCAGGCACCATGCTGAGCACTTTACATATATTATAATAATCCAGCATCACAAAAACTCTTTAAGGCAAGAACTGTAGCCACACCAGACCAATCTGCTTCAACTTTTATGTAATAAAGTTGTAAGTTGTTTTTCAGTTGCTATGGACCCTCAGGTCATACAGCCTGAACGTACCCAGATGAACCAAGCATGCAACCACAGAGGAACCTAAATGCTTGGACCAAGAAGGAGGGGAATGAATCAAGAAGTGGACACCACATGGCAGGATCCAGAATCCAGTGAGTCTGAGCCCCGGCATCGCCCCACGGCAGAAACCAGTCAGATCATGCCTCCCAACATCACCTTGTCACAAAATCCAATTAGATCATGCCTCATTACCCTATGCTTATAAAATCTGACCCAACCCCCAACTCAAAGAGATAGATTCGAGCATTTCCTCCTGTCTCCTTGCCAGTAGACTTGCAATAAACCTTTCTTGCTGAAAAAAAAAAAAAAAAAAAAAAAAAACCTGGTCCTTTGGTGTTTGGCTTCCTTATGCACAGGCAAATGGATCCAGTTCAGTTCAATGACAGAACTATCATTATCTCATTGTATAGCGAAAGCAACTGAAGCATGGAGAGTTTCAGTCACATATCCAAGGTCCCAGATAGTCAGTGGGACCACTAATGTTTCCACTATAAATCTGTCTGCCTCTGGTGATAAACTTTCATGTTTGAGGTCAGCACTTTAATCCCCCTACACCTCCACCTCCAGCTCACTGGACAACGGGATATTTGTTTACATCCTCTCTAGCTCAGGTGCCTTGTCAGCTTGATATGCACTGGCTTGGCCCCTTGCTTCTCACCACCTACCGTGGTGTCCCATGAGAAATATCAGGCCTAACTCGGGCCCCAACTCAGCCACACTATTACCCTGTAGGAGGTAATGGGATCCAAACAGACGGCAGTGTGCTGGTTCTGCTTACACTAATTTATGAGAGTCAGTCATATGCATTACCTCTCTACAATGTATTCAGTGACATCATGTTGCTCACTTGAAATCAGTCACGATGGAAGTATTTACACCATAGAAATTGGCAAACACTGCCAATCAGGGCTTTTTAGGGGGAAAGCCACATTTACCGGCACACCACTTGGGGCAGACAATAGGATAATAACAAAATCATCTCTTAGTCTTTTCTTTATAGTCTTTAATAAACAAACCATTCTTAATTCCCAGAACTCCACCAAGAAAAATCCAGCTGAAATTGTACATGTAGGGACCCGTTCTCCTTGCCCAGAG
Source organism: Homo sapiens (assembly GCF_000001405.40). Classification (NCBI taxonomy): domain Eukaryota; kingdom Metazoa; phylum Chordata; class Mammalia; order Primates; family Hominidae; genus Homo; species Homo sapiens. Next base: position 17,288,196 of record NC_000004.12, read on the forward strand.
TGCAAATGTCCTTCCTCAACCTGTACTGCTTTCCTTGGGGCATTAAGGGAAACAAGCTAGAAATTTTTCATGCTTTCCTACATTCTGTTGAGCTTGCAGTCTTGCTGGAAGGAGGAAGCCAATCTCAGGTGCTGAACAACAAATTGCTTATTGGAACAGCTGCTGCTTTTGGCTGAGTAGGCAGGACACTCAAGGGTGGCATTTTCTTGCCATGATGCTGCAGCCAGTTAAAAATTAGTGTTAGGGACAGAAAATAAGAAGCAAAAGGGAAATCATCAGATGATTTGATATGAGCCACAGCCAGAAACCTCCTTTTAAACACAGCATAGGGTAGAGGAAAGAATGTGAACACAGAAATAAGGCCTGCATCTGAGCCTTTGCTCTATAACTTGCTACATGTTCTCATGGGACAAAAAGGTAGGAGAAGAGAAGGAGATGTAATGAAAGGTGTGATGAGGGAGAGCCATCAGGGCTGAAGAAAAGACTTTTCACCACAACAGCAACTCAGTGATGATTTGGCACATTCCTTGTATATTCAGTATCCACTGGGCACCTACTGTGTGCCATGAGAAATACTAGATATAGCTGTGAACAACAGAGACATAGCTCCTGCCCTCATGAAGCTTACAGTCTAGTGGAGAATAGAAACATTAAATGTGTAGTACTAATGAAGTTTTATTGTTTGTTATGGTAAAGAAAATAAAGGAACCATAGAAACATAACAGGGAGGAGTTGTGGCTGACCTAGTCCAGGGGCCAGAGAGTAAAGTCTCCCCATAAGGCCCTGCTCACAGAGTGAAAGGACAAAGTGACTAGAGAGTAATAGGATGACAGCATGGCTGGACTTTTCTCTCTTGTAAGAGCACTAGAGTGAGCCAGACACTATAGATTTGGAAGCCAGAGACCTGGGTTCGAATCCTGGCTCTACCACTGAGAAGCTGAGCAAGTACCTAACCTCAGTTAGCTCAGTACCTTCATCATATACAGGGACAGTAATAATACTTATCATCTTCCAGTTTTATTCTTTGAATTAAATTAGTGTGGAGAATAGGTCTCAGCATAGCGCATGACTTACAGCAGGTGCTCATTAAATGATAGCTATATATAAAGATTAACAATTTTATTTTAAAAATTAAAGATCTCCTAAACTGGACATGTTGATCACTTTACTTACTTATCAGCAGAAACATTTAATGAGGCTTAGTGGTCCTGTCCTGTAAGATAACTTGAGAGTTTACACAGCAAGAGGCTTTGAACGTGCTTGCATTAAACACATCCGGAATAGTCAGCATTTGTTTCTAGCAGCAGTGAGAACACATGCTGTCCCTTCCAACCTAACTTGTCTTGCTTTACCCAAAGTATGATTCCCACCTGCAGTGACTCTATCTATTCCCAGATTGTCCAAGGTGAATTCCTATTTCTTTTTTTTCTTCCAATAGCAAGAAGATAAATGTGACTTAATTTGTTCACCTTTACAAAACCTTTATTTAAAAAAAAATCATTGTCCATGACATGTGCCAATTTGACATTAGAGAACATATGGTCATTATAAAGACTGTAGCATTCTGAAAGTTTGAGCTGGAATACATTGATTCAATTGCTACCAATAGCTTCCCTGAAATGAACCACCTTGTTTTCCATCCCTCTAGTGATATATGTAAATTTTAACAATCTGCAATACTTCTTTCTATACACTGCATTTGCAGCAGGGGTGATAGGCTGTGACGCTTGTCTCCTTTGCACTTTTGCTCAACTTTAGCATAAATTTATCAAAGAAGGTAGCAAATTGCAAGTTGATCAGTTTCCCCACTTTAACACGACAGGTCATAATGGCTTTGTTCCTTGGCCATACAGGCCACGGAGCTGTTTTTACATATTAATGTGACAGGACATGGAGAATCATTAATAACTATAACAAGATAAAGGGAATTAGTTAAAACTTAATTAAAACCACATGGATAACAAGTAGAACACTGTACGTTTAGTATCTTGAAATCTTTGTTCCTGGTTTGACCAAACAAAAAGATGCTTTGTGGAAAGCACAAGGTCCCCAATTAATCCCTGGTCTAAAATAATCAGATCTAAATCAGAATCAAGAGGAAATGAAATTGGTGATTCTGATACATGTCAGCACCCACCCTGTCCCACCTTGGGTCATGGTAAAATGACAAAAGTGGAGTTCTCATCAGCTCAAAGACTGGAGGCATGAAGTCAGTAGTTACCACATTTTAACATGCTTAAGAATCATCTTGGGACATTTATTAAAAAGCTGATTCTTGGGATCCAATCTCAGACATTCTGATTTGATGAGTCCAGCCTGGCAGGCCTGAAATCTTTATTTTTAGCCAGTGTATTTCAGCTTTAAAGTGACTTCTAGTCAAAATATATTTGGTTACTATAGACAATGAGGGAAGATACTTTGAGATTATGTAAATAACTTGCTCTTCATTAAACTTTTAGTCTCTAGTTTTATTACCCATAGATGAGACTTACCTGAGCCAATTATAACTATCACAGCTGCAAAATGGTGATTTTTCTAACTCCTCCATTTATTAGTTGGCATTTATTATTTGTTTGTTTTCTTGAGACAGAGTCTCACTCAGTCACCCAGGCTGGAGTGCAGTGGCACGATCTTGGCTCACTGCAGCCTCTGCGTCTCAAGTTCAAGCAATTCTGGTGCCTCAGCCTCCAAAGTAGCTGGGATTATGGGCATGCACCATGCCCAGCTAATTTTTGTATTTTTAATAGACTTGGGGTTTCACTATGATGTTGACCAGGCTGGTCTCGAACTCCTAACCCCAGGCGATCCACCCACCTTGGCCTCCCAAAGTGCTGGGATAACAGGCGTGAGCCACCACACTCGCCTGGCATTTATTATTTCTTTCTTCTATGTTTATTAGTTAGGATATATTCTTTCTTCCTATTCTTTTCTACATTTATTAGCCAGAATTCTATTATAACAAGGAAGTGTTCTCTCATTGATTATGAGTATTATGTTATTCAATGGGTAATTGATCCATTACTGTCATTCATTTTTAATACTTGTATTATCCTATATTTGACCACAGATAGCCCCTTCAAGCTGGCTTCCACAACATTCTAAGTAAATCCTCAGTTTCTGGGCAACAAGATGTTCTGGGCTTATCTTATATTTTCACTGCCCTGCCCTGGTCCTTTTAGCAGAGACTGAGGTTTAAAAGTAAATTTCTGAACTAAGAAAGACCCAATATCATTTCTATGATAGTCCTGCCAAAAAATGCATGTCCTAAATCTAACTATGAGCAAACATCAGACAAACTAAAATCTAAGGGTATTCTACCAAACAAGAAACCTGTACTCTTCAAAAATGTCAATGTCCTGAAAGGCAAAGAAAAGCTAAAAAAGTGTTCCAGATGAAAAGAGAGCCAAGAGACATGAAAACCAATGGTAGTGCCTGAAACTCGTTTGGATCTTAATCAGAATTTGGCAGAATTGGTGAGAATTAGCAGATAAAATGCTATATGAAGAACATGTTTGGAACAACAGGCAAAATTGGAATAAGGACTGTAGATTAGATGATAGTATTGTACTATCACTAACTTTTCTGATTTCCAAGGGGAATATGATACAGCAAACACAGTGACATGATGAAAGGTGTATAGAATTATTTGTGCTCTTCTTGAAACTCTTCTGTCCATTTAAATTTATTTCCAAATATAAAGTTTTAAAAGATTGACAATGTGGCATTAAGGCAAATGGTCAATGTATGAATGAATGGCAATTTACTTAAGCAGGTAAATTTTCAGATAATTATAAATCCATTTTAATATGTTTTTAAATATATATAACAAGCACATGTAACCCATAATTTCACAAATATTAGTACTTAGTAGAGGGTAAATTTAAAGGAATCAATGTAAAGAAAAATATTCAGTAAATAACAGCAGAGGTGTTGTGCAGATGCAGGACAAATTTTAAGTACTGAACAAGTATGACTTAGGTTAAGGACCAGGGATATATTGAAGAAAGCACTTACATCAGGGGCCCTGTGCTTCTCTAGATATGGCTTCATACTTAATATCTTAAGTCTCTTACTCTTTGTCCATAAAACGGAGATAAGAATATTTGTCCATACCATTTTCTATAATGATTACCAAAGGTATTACTAGGAAAAGGGTTGTTATTCTATAAAGAATATCACCAGGCCTGGTGCGGTAGCTCACGCCTGTAATCCTAGCACTTTGGGAGGCTGAGGCAGGTGGATCAACTGAGGTCAGGAGTTCAAGACCAGCCTGACCAATATGGTGAAATCCTGTCTCTACTAAAAACACAAAAAATTAGCCAGGCATGGTCGTGTGTGCCTGTAGTCCCAGATACTGGGGAGGCTGAAACAGGAGAATTGCCTAAACCCAGGAGGTGGAGGTTGCAGTGACTTGAGATCATGCCACTGCACTCCAGCCTGGGTGACAGAACGAGACTCTGTCTCAAAAATAAATAAATAAATAAATAACACCAAATCCATGGCCAGGGATGGTGGCTCACACCTGTAATCCTAGCACTTTGGGACGCCAAGGCGGGTGGATCACATGAACCCAGTGAGACCAGCATGGACAATATAATGAGTCCTTACAAAAAATAAATAATTAACTGGGTGCGGTGGTGTATGCCTGTCACCCCAACTACTCAGGAGGCTGAGGTGGATGTATCTCTTGAGCCTGGGAATTCAAGACCACCCTGGGCAACATGACAAAAAGCCATCTCTACAAAAAAATACAAAAAGTAGCTGGGTGTGGTGGCACGCACCTGAGTTACTCAGGAGGTCGAGGCAGGAGGATTGCTTGAGCCTGCGAGGTTGAGGCTGCAGTGAGGCATGATTGTACCACCGCACTTCAGCCTGGGAGAGAGAGCAAGACCCTTCCTCTCTAAAACAACAACAACAACAACAAAAAGAACAGCACTGAATCCAAATGAAGCCATTTGATACCATTTTGTATCCAAGAATGCCCTTCATTTCTCTTTATTTATCACAACACTTGGCAATATTTCATCAGCTGGTGGCCAGCCAGCATCCCTCTTCTTGCCTCCTCCTCCTCCTTCTTCCTAAGTAGAGGCCTTTCCATTCCTTCTTATCACTTCCTGCAATTGGAAGAGTAGGATGTGAAATTTCAACCTCTGAACATGGCTGTTCTGACAACCATGGCCATAATTTGGTTTTATCCATTTGGCTTCATCCCACTCATTCTTCCCCATCCTTACAATAATCCTGAGCTCTCTGGACCTTTGAGCACATGGAGTGTAATGTTTTGAGGAGATCATCATGATGTAAACATTTATTTTTACTGTTTGATTTTAATAAGCTCTTTATTGTGTCTAGGGTTGTAAGAAAAATATAAATAGGTAAAGATATTATTTCACTTTCAGTGCACTGGCATTTTAGAACACAGAAGAATCAGTGTGGAAGAGTATAACTTACATCAGTAAAAAACTAGATTTGAATCCTCACTCCTCCACTTTTCAGCTTTGTGATGTTAAACTGTAATTTTCAAACTTTCACGTGGACGCAAACAACTTTGGGCAGATTCTGTTCGTAGATCTGGGGTGGGGCCTGAGATTCAGCATTTTTTAAAAAGTTTCCAAGTGATAGTCTATGGACCATACTCAGAGTACCATGAACTGAAGACTGAAGGCACAGACAAAAATGGCTAAACCAGAGCAGATTCCATGTAAGTTTGCTTCACTCTCTACTATTTTCCACCACTTCATTTTCTAAAGGGGTCTGTTAGCTGAAAGAACTCACTAAGGAAAGTCAATTAAAAAATGACAAAGAAAAAAGCATAAGAAATTCACAGCTCTACAGTAGGGGTTGATTAGGGTCAAACAAAGATATATTTAAACCTAATTAAGATAAAGGATCCCTCGTTAAGTTGAGAGGAAGGCTAAGAGTAAAAACTCTGAGGACTGGTTGATTTCTGTCAGATTTCTGTCAGAAAAATATTGCATCAAGGGAATATAATGACAGCCTTGAAGAATGATGGTCCCAACTGTAATTCTGAAGGCAGTTTTAGTATCATAGAACTCAGGACATAATAATAACAATGTATACTTAGAAATTGTTTTAAACATTGCAAATCCCTTTGCATGCATTAATACATCCCAGTCCTCACTTCTTAAACTTTTTATCACTCTTATTAAATAGGAGATTGTGAGCTCCTTGAGGTTAGGGATCTACCCTGTTCATATCTGTATTTCTAACATTTGGCAAACATTTAGTATCTAGCAGGCATTTGACAAACATTGACTCGAAAAGAGATTTTTTCCCCCAGGTCCTCAAATACATATCATCCCATTTCATTGAATCTAAGTAATCATCAATAATGTGATACACTATTTTATGTATCTCTAAGAAAGAAAAAATGCCCCCATTTAAATCTTGTGTACCATTGACTGTAAGATATATCCCAATTTCAGAGATGTTAAAATGTGGGCAGAAATGTGACTCTTAAAATTGAGAAACTGCAGCTTGGGCTCCACTATGGAGTCACTCACTGAGAGCAGACGTGAAATAACAAAACAGCCATACATTAGGGTTGCTGAAGATACCATAGGTAAGCAAGGAGACAAATAGGGACAGGGAGATATTTCTTTTTTAATTTTTTTTATTTCAATACTTCTTGGCATACGGGTGATTTTTGGTTACATGGATAAGTTCTTTAGTGGTGATTTCTGAGATTTAGTGCACCCATCACCTGAGCAGTATACTCTGTACCCAATGTGTAGTGTAGTCTTTTATCCCTCACTCCCCTCCCAACCTTCCCTGCCCCCGTGAGTCCCCAGAGTCCATTATATCATACTTATGCCTTTGCATCCTCATAGCTTAGCTCCCACTTATAAGTGAGAACATAAAATATTTGGTTTTCCATTCCTGAGTTACTTCACTTAGATTAATGGCCCCCAGTTCCATCCAAGTTGCTGCAAAATACATTATTTCATTCCTTTTTATGGCTGAATAGTATTCCATGGTGTATATATACCACATTTTCTTTATCTACTCATTGGTTGATGGGCACTTCGGTTGGTTCCATACCTTGGCAATTATGAATTGTGCTGCTATAAACATGTACGTGCATGTATCTTTTTCATATAATCACTCCTTTTCCTTTGGGTAGATACTCAGTAGTGGGATTGCTGGATTGAACAGTAGTTCTAATTTTAGTTCTTAAAGAAAAGGAGATGTTTCTTTATTTCTTTATAACATAGAATGTGTCACAGATTCAGTGACTTGGAGGAAAGTGGGGATCTTTCTCAGATTGTGGTCAAAATGGCAGACAGATTTTCTCAGGAAAAGCATCAGTGGACTCCTGCCTTTAAAGACCAGGTGAACAGCAGAATCCATGAGACATTATTCCAAGGCTAATGGTCCTTTAACAGAAAGCATACAGAAGAAAAAGGCAGGGTGAAGCAGCAGTGTCGTTATTATCTCAAGTTATACAAATCTGTATAGTAGCTATTACAGGAACCCAGAGCTACAGAAATTCAGTGAGTGAGGATGCTTGGAGTAGTTGTCTAGAAAAACACTAATTCTCTGCCTATATTAGTCCATTGTCATGTTGCTAATGAAGACATACCCAAGACTGGATAATTTATAAAGAAAAGAGGTTTAATTGACTCACAGTTCCTCAGTGCTGGGAAGGGCTCAGGAAACTTACAATCACAGCAGAAGGGGAAGCAAACATATCCTTCTTCACATGGTGGCAGCAAGGAGAAGCGCTGAGCAAAAGCGGGGAAAGCCCCTTATAAAACCATCAGATCTCGTGAGAACTTACTCTCATGAGAACAGCATGGAGGTAACTGCCCCCATGATTCAATTACTGCCCATCGGGTCCCTCCCATGACACATGTGGATTATGGGAACTACAATTCAAGATGAGATTTGGGTGGGGACACAGCCAAACCATATCACTGTCTCTGGTATTAAAGTCTTGGATCAAGGGAGACATCTTTCTGCTAAGGATGAATGTGAGCCGAGGAACCATTTTTATGCTCTCTCAAGAGGAGATCAAACTCAACGCCAGACTGTAGACCCATTGAGAAAAATAAACAAATTAGAATTACCTCCAAGTGAAGTTTTTTCCTACCCATGGGAGCTACTGTCACCACAGCTCGGAGTGCAGCTCTGCAGCTGCCTTTACTTGGGTTGAAAAGACACTTGCGGAGATTCTCTCCTCAAGTTAATGACCTTGGGCAGTTATTTAATGACTTTGAGCCTCAGTTTTATTATCTACAAAATGGATGAGTAGTATCCACGTCATCTTGAAATGAGAATTAAATAATACATGAGAATATTTTGAACAGTGTCTTGCATACACCACTCAATAAGCATTACATATTTTTACTATTGTCTGACTTTTTTTTATAGATTGACACAATGACTTCACTCAAGGCTGCATTCATGACAATGCAACAAGTTGCCTATGCCTGCAGCATTCCCAAATTCCTATCCCAAACTTTTTTTTTAAAGGTGGCTTACATAGGCAATGGCAAAATTAAAATCAAAAATCCACAACTGCAGGAAAGGGTCCAATTCTAGAAACCCAGAAACATGGTCTTCCAAGAACTGGGTCCACAGTACTTCCCCTAAAGCAGGCTGACAGCAACAGCAGCTCCAAGGAACCAAGTCCCCAACCCACCTCACTGCACCTCTGAGTCTCCTTTCAGGATGCAGACTGTGTGCTGTGTAATCTGTCTTGTGCACAAAAGCATTAACCTCTGGAATCAAATGTGTCTGTTAATAAACCAACACGCCGCTCACACTATCAGCCCCCTTGTGGCGTCCCCCCTTCAGAGCCACAGCACAGGCACATCACATTTGTCAGCTGGTTCAACTCCTTAGGCACAACATAATTTGGAAATGTGAAAGATCCCAAATTATCTTATCCAGAAGTGACAAATCAAGTACAGTGCCCACAAGCCCAGACAGTTTACACAAATAAACAAAACACAACAGTAGCGGGGGTATCAATCTCATAACAGTTTAGGAAAAACAAGTTTATTTCTTATCTGTAAGATTAATGAAGTAGGCTGTAACCTCACCTCTCATTGTGGCTGAACAGAAATTAGGTGCTGTTTTTCATCTATTCTGCAGTAACATAATAATGTCATGTCACAAAAGTTCATAAAGAAGGGTTCTATACTTATTTGCAGAATTATTTAAAATACCCAGTGACTAGCCATTGAGGCAGAATTATTAATTTTTTCTCAGATAATACTGTTTTCAAAAAGCCACAAATATTAGGCATAGCCCAACTGCTAAAAATATCTTCCAACTGAGTAAGACTTTGTGTTTTTTTTTCACTACAGACACAACTATAAAGAATATTTATTTATTTATATAGCACATAATTGGTATATTTAAAAAGCTATTGATATTTCTATATCTTTGTGGCCTTCTGCTGAACTTAGTTGTTCCAATAGCTGTCCGGTTTATTTCTTCCACCTGATTTTAAATGAATGTTTATGTTATCTGGATTTAGTCAGGGCCCATTCTCCCTGCTTCCCCCTCTGAGCTGAGACACAAACGCTTGAAAAGCTTAGGCGAGGAAGAAGGGAAAGCTGGCAGACTGCAATGAGGAAAGAGAACTTGGTTTCCTTTAGGTCAGATAACTGCTGAAGCCAACCGAATGCTTTCAGAGACTCAGGTACAAAGTACAGCACCTTCCTGTCTCCAGGCTCTGTTGAAAATGTTTGTACATCTAATGAAAATTCACATGGAACTTCACATGGTTAAAAATAATCATACCCAGTGAGGTTTCTCCCACATGGAATATAAAATGTGCTTTTTCCTCAGAACTTTATTCCATCAACGACACTGTGAGTAATCATAGGAAGGGATTCATCCTGAGCAAAAATCAATTTTATTGGAAAAGCAAAGAAAGGTAATGCATACAAAAAGGGAAAAGCAACATTTCCCAATAAATTCCCAGGTGGGGAGATAGGCTGACCATAGGCCATGTCTACACTACTGATTTGAGCAATGGAATTTGGATGCAAGTTAAACTGGATCATCTGTATTATATTCATGCATACACTGATTTGACAGGAAAATCGTAATGAACCAACACTGAAGTCTAGTCATTAGTCTTGGTAGCAAATTGTGCTCACCTAACAGCCCAGAAAGTTCTAGAGCAGACACATCTAGGAGAAGTATTTTCATGGCCTATGTGTGTGTGCATGTGTCTGTCTGTCTGCATTCTTTTTCAGTTGAAGAATTGTTCCATGTCTTCATTATCCAAGCTATGCCTAGTCCACACATAGTAAACGCTCAAGAAATGTTATACTAAAATAGACCTTTTTGCTAAGGGGTGAAATGGCCAAATGACTACCGGACACCCTTATTTAAGAAAGAACTCCACCAGGCATGGTGGCTCATGCTTATAATCCCAGCACTTTGGGAGGCTGAGGCAGACAGATCACCTGAGGTCAGGAGTTAGAGACCAGCCTGACCAACATGGAGAAACCCCATCTCTACTAAAAATACAAAATTAGCCAGGCATGGTGGCACATGCCTGTAATCCCAGCTACTCAGGAGGCTGAGGCAGGAGAATCGCTTGAACCCAGGAGGAAGAGGTTGCGGGGAAAAAAAAAAAACCAACAAAAAACAAAAAACTCAAAAACAAGGGGGAAACAAAATTCCAGAATTCATTATTTCCTTTGTGTGACCACCTCATTTTTGTACTAAAGAAGTCTTCAATAAGTGGAAAGTAACTACAAGCCAGAGATTTCTGACTGTCTCTCTACAGCCTTTGCCCGGGTGCCCCTGGAATTCTAGGGGGGTTGCTGGCTGGGACACTCTGCTCAACCCTTGATTGGTCTCATGCTTATTGAGGAAGCACACGAGGTCTGATTCTTTACTAAGAGCACAGCAAACATTTCAGTACTGAATTACCTTTGTCCATGGCCCTGAAATAGTCCCCAGTAACCAGAAAGACCTAAGAGAAATCTATGGAGCCAGTGTCTTCCTTTCTTCTAACCAATAAGATCAAACCAAACTAATAGCTTAATTCCTCACCAGTAATGACAATGAGGAATTACATTTAGGACCTACATAAGGTCATTGGAATAAGTGCCTTCTTAAAAGAATAAGAATACTTGCACAGCTTAATGGGGAAAGACAATCTGGAAGCAAGTAATTAAATATACTAGGTTAAGTGTTGAACTCAGATGAACAAAAAATACTATGTAACATGAAGAAGAGATTTAAACCCCTGTACAGAAGTCATGGAAACCTTAATGGAAAGGTGTCGTTTGACCTGGTTTATCAAGGATATGCAGAAACTGGTATATTAGAGAAGGAGAGGAAGGGCATCGTGAAATAAGGAAACAGCAGTGCAGAGACATTGAGCTATCCGAGTTCAGGGTCTGCTCTCCATGCCTCTGAATGGTTTGTACTGTGGAAGTGCAAACAGAAGACGAAACCAGGGAAAAAGAAGGACAGATTGTCAAGGGCTTATTTAGCAAGTGCTAAGGTCTGAATGTCCCCCAAAATTCACTTATTGAAACTTAATTCCCATTGTGGTGGTATTAAGAGATGAAGTTTTTTTTTTTTTTTTTTTTTTTTGAGACTCAGTCTCACTCTGTCACCCAGGCTGGAGTGCAGTGGCGCAATCTTGGCTCACTGCCAGCTCTGCCTCCTGGGTTCACATCATTCTCCTGCCTCAGCCTCCCGAGTAGCTAGGACTACAGGTGCCCGCCACCACGCCCAGCTAATTTTTTTATATTTTTAGTAGAGACGGGGTTTCACTGTGTTAGCCAGGACGGTCTTGATCTCCTGCCCTCATCATCTGCCCACCTCGGCCTCCCAAAGTGCTGGGATTACAGGCATGAGCCACCGTGCCCGGGGAAGAGATGAAGTCTTTTAGGAAACAATTAAGTCATAAGAGTTTCACCCTCATGAATGAACTAGTGCCTTATAAAAGGGCTGGAGGGAAGTAGCTTAGGCTTTTCTTGCCCTTCCGTCTTCCACCATGTAAGGATACAGTGTTCAAGGCACCATCTCAGAAGCAGAGACTGTGCCCTCACCAGACGCCAAATCTGCCTGCACCTTGATCTTGGACTTCCCACCTCCAGAACTGTTCTTTTTAAATCACCTAGTCTGTAGTATTTTATTACAGCACACAGACTGAGATACTAGGGGAAGGCATATGGATTTATCCTAGGGATAAAGTGGAAAGCCAGCGGAAATATTAAATCAGGAGAGCCGTAAAGTAAGACTGGATCTTTAGGAATTATGTGAAGATGAGGGAAAGGAGAGAAAAACATTTATGGGAGCTTTCGTAGTTGTCTAGGTAAGACACAATGCTGGCCTGAACTAAAAGAGTAGCATCACGAACAAGTCAAAAGGACTAATTCAGAAAAATGACCCTGATTTAGAATTGTAGAAGATATTGGCCGGGCGTGGTGGCTCGCACCTGTAATCCCAACACTTTGGGAGGCCAGGGCAGGTGGATCACCTGAGGTCAGCAGTTTAAGACCAGCCTGGCCAACATGGTGAAACCCCGTCTCTACTAAAAATACAAAAATTAGCTGGGCGTGGTGGTGAGCACCTGTAATCCCACCTACTTGGGAGGCTGAGGCAGGAGAATCACTTGAACCCAGAAGGTAGAGGTTGCAGTGAGCCGAGATTGCACTACTGTACTCCAGCCTAGGCGACAAGAGTGAAACTCCATCTCAAAAAAAAAAAAAAAAAAAAAAAAACTGCATGATCAAATAGGGAAAATAAAGGAGGAAAGGAGAAATAAATAATGTCAAGATTTTTTGTCTTGTATAGTTGGGTGGAAATTAACATCATTAATAAAGAAAAATCAGGTTTGGAAAGAATGATTTTGAAATGCCAAAGGGAAGTCAAGCACTGATGCTCAACAGACAGTGGGAAATATTAACCTGCTTAGAAAATTTAATTTGTAGGGGATTCTTATGACTTATTTAATTCCTGCAATGTTCAGAAATGTTGACAAGTATGCAGAGAGAGTAGAAAGCATACTCCATGTCCTCTTAGAACTTATATTTCTTAAGACTTTCAACTAAAATTTCTGCTCACTTAAATTCTCTCCAATGCTCAGTTCCCACATGCAGGAAGCTTTCTTCTATTCCCAAAACTTTAAGTCATCTCTCCTTCTGAATTCTGCTGTCAACATACATGCTGACAATGTCTTTCCTTTGGCATTTATACGATGCCTTGTGCCTAATTGTCAGTTAAGTCTTTATAAATATGTATCTTGTTTTTCCAAGATGAACTGAGAATACTCTCAAAGGCAGAGCCATAGTTCATTCTTTTTTTTTTTTTTCAGCCTTAAATATTTTGCACAATGTCCCATAGAAAGGGGTGGCTTAGTTGAGCCAGATTGCCTGGGCTTGAATCCCAGCTTTGACACTAACTTGTTACATTGGCAAGTTATTTATTCTGTGTCTAGTTTCCTTATCTAAAAATGAAAACAATAATAATACCTACTTCACAGAGGTGCTATGAAAACAAAGTGAGAGAATAAATGCAAAGCACTTTCTAAGTTCCTAGGGCATAGCAAGAGTCCAGTAGATATTTGTAGTAGTCAGGATAAGTCAGGATGTGCTATGTTAACAAACAACCTCAGTGTTTCAGTGGCTTAAAACAATTGAAATGTATTTTTTCTTCATACGACAGACTGAATAGATCAACAAGGGATTTCTGCTAATCAGGTCACTCAAGGACCCAGGGTCACAGCAGCCACTATCTTGAATGCCGTTGGTTGTCATGTCAGAGGGAAAGAGAGCCTGGAAGGTCTTGCACCAGCAATTAAATATCCAGAATGAAAGTGTCTCATTCACTCAAAACTCATTGGCCACAGTAGTGACATGACCTCATCTAACCACTGGGGCTAAGAAAGTACAATCCGACCGTGTGCCCAGAGGGGAAGAAGAAGCAGATCTCAGTGGAATATCTCTAATGATTATCAAAGTATTAGTTGTACTATGGTCATTTTGCTGTTGCCACAAAAAATTATTCCATATAAAGTACTTAGCATAAGGTTGGGCTCATACTAAAGACTCAGTGTTAGCTATTAACAGTATTAGCACCAGTAATAGTTTCACATAAGCAAAATTCTTTTAAGTTTACTCAGACCTAAACATTAAAACACATGTACACATGTATGCACACGCACACGTGGAAACACACACACACACAGAGGTGAGATTGTATTAACCTAATCTGTATACTGCAAGTCAAGTTGGGATATATAATACCAAATACATACTTGATATTAAAAAATAAAAGTCAGGCTTTTAAAAAGTTGGCCAGGCACAGTGGCTCATGTCTGTAGTCCCAGCACTTTGGGAGGCCAAGGCAGGGGGAGCACTTGAGGTCAGGAGTTCAAGACCCGCCTGGCCAACATGGTGAAACCCCGTCTCTACTAAAATTACAAAAATTAGCCAGGTGTGATGGTGGGCACCTATAATCCCAGCTACTCAGGAGGCTGATGCAGGAGAATCACTTGAATCTGGGAGGCAGAGTTTGCAGTGAGTGGAGAACATGCCACTGCACTCCAGTCTGGGCAACAGAGTGAGACTCCATCTCAAAAAAAAAAAAAATTATCAGTTCCACTGCTCAAAAACAAACACATTTAATATTGTTGAGTCCCTTCAGTATTAGTATTAGTACCAGTAATAGTTTCACATAAATAAAATTATTTTAAGTTTACTCAGACCTAAACATTAAAACACATGTACATGTGTGCACACACACACACGTGGACATACACACACACACACACACAGAGAGTATTTTAACCTAACCAGTCTCTTCTCTATTCATGAGACTTTGTTTTCTTTATGTTTAACATAATAATACATAGAAAACTTTTACCCAAATGTTTTCATTTAGACCTTTCCGTGTGTTATTGGAAAGCTTACTTGTACTTCCCCACTCCAAACATGCTCTTCCTCTAGCATTCCTTTCTTGATAATGGTATCTGCCAGCAAGTTAAGCCAGACACCAGGGAGTCATCTTTGTCATTCATTCCCCCTCCTCCAACATTCGGTGTATCAGTAAGTCTTAATCAATTCTACCTTCTAAATATATCTCAAACACATTTGCTTTTCTCCTGTTCTATTTTCGTCACCCTAGACAAGCATTTCTCAACATTGGCACCATTGATATTTGAGGCCAGAAAATTCTTCCTTGGAGGGGGCTGTCCTAGATATTATAATCATTTTGAAATATATGCAGTGCATTCTACATAACAAAAACCTTCTCTCCCAAGTAAAAAACTTTTTCAGAGCCTTATCTTATCCAGGGGGACAAAATTACCTAACCCCAGCCCCTTCTAACCTTCCTGTCTCACCTAAGGGAGGTGGGCAGCAGGGGGAGATAAGAAACACTTATGAAGGTCACAGCCCAGAGACACAAGCCCAGAAAAATATTGAGATTTGATTTGAATTATAGAATGCCTCCCCTCCCTCACTTCTTACTAGCCCATCAACAGGACTTCAGTATAATAAGAGTGGATTAAAACTCATACAGGTACAAGATTAAAGCGGACACAGGTACAAACTCTATTTAAGAATAACATTTAGAGAACGCCAAAGACAAGAGGAAAGATTAAAACAAGGACACTAGAGGAATTTGAAGCCCTTTTGCCTTCAGCTACAGCAAACATTACATAGAGCCAAGATCCCAGCCAGATAAATATAAAACCTAATACTAAAGGCCTGTTTGCCTCAGTGCCTATTACCTGATATATTACATCCAGCTTCCAATAAAAAATTGCAAAGCATGACAAAACACAAGAAAAAACACCATCTGAAGAGACAAAGCAAGCATGAGAAACAGACTCAGATATGACACAGATTTTGGCATTGTCAGACAGGAAATTTAAAATAACTGTAATTAATATGTTAAGGAATCTAATGGAAAACGTAGGCAGCATACAAGAACAAATGGGTAATATAAACACAATGATAGAATCTCTAAGAAATTATCAAACAGAAAGGCCAGAAATCAAAAACATTGGAACAGAAATGAAGAATGGCTTTTTGATGGCTCATCAATAGACTAGACACAGCCAAGGAACAAATCAGTGACTTTCAAGATATGTCAATAGAAACTTCTTCCCAAACTGAAATACAAAAAAAAAAAAAGAATTTGAAAACAGAACAGAATATCCAGGAATTGTTGGCAATTTCTAAAGGTGTAACATGCACACAATTGTATACCAGAAAGAAAAGAGAGAAATAGTTAAAATAATAATGGCCAAGAACATTCCAAAATTAACGACAGACAGTAAACCACAGATCCAGGAAGCACAGAGAACACAAAGTAGGATAAATACTAAAATGTCTACACTTGGGCATATGATAGGAACATTGAAGAAAACCAAAGACAAACAGAACATTTTGAAAGAATACAGAGAGTAAAAAAAAGGACAAGAATTACAACATGTTTCTTGTCAGAAACCATGCAAGCAAAAGCAGAGTGGATTGAAATACTTAAAATGTTAAAAAAAAAAAAAAAAAACCCTAGAATACTACACCCAGCAAAATTATCCTTCCAAAGTGAAGAAGAAATAAATATTTTCTCAGGCAAGCAAAAACTTGGGAAATTCATTGCCAGCAAACTGGTCCTCCATGAAATATGAAAAGAAGTTCTTAGGGAGAAGGAAAATTATAATAATCAAAACCTCAGCTCTACATAAAGAAAGGAAAGGAGCCAGAAAAGGAATAAATTAAGGTAATGTAAAATCTTTGATTATTTTCTTATTCTTTTTTTAAATAGAATCAGGGCATGCACATGGTGGTTTGTTATATGGATATATTGCCTACTGGTGGAGTTTGGGCTTCTAGTGTACCCATCACCTGAATAGTAAACATTGTACCCAATAGGTAATTTCTCAACCCTCAACCACCCCCACCTCTCCCCTTTTGGAGTCTCCAGTGTCTATTATTTCCTTTTGTATGTCCATGTGTACCCACTGTTTAGCTCCCACTTATGAATGAGAACATGCAGTAGTTGATTTTCTGTTTCCGAGTTATTTCACCTAGAATAATGAACTCCGGCTTCCTCCACGTTGCTGCAAAAGACATGATTTCATTCTTTTTTGTGACTGCATAGCATTCCATTGTCTATATATATTAAAGTTTCTTTATCTAATCCACCATTGGTGGACACTTAGGTGGATTCTATGACTTTGTTATTGTGAATAGTGCTGCAATAAACATATATATATATAATATTTTTCCTTTAGGTAGATATTCAATACTAGAGTCGCTGGATCAAATGTTAACTCTATTTTTAGTTCATTGAAAAATCTTCATACTGCTTTCCATAGAGGTTGTACTAATTTACATTCCCACCAACAGGGTATAAGCATTCCCTCTCCTCTGCATCTTCGCCAGCATCTGCTGTTTTTTGACTCTGTGGCCATTATTAAAGAGTCAAGAAACAACAGATGCTGGCGAGGCTGTGGAGAAAAGCAATGCTTTTACAGTCTTAGTGGGAATGTAAATTAGTTCAATCATTGTGGAAGACAGTGTGGCAATTCCTCAAAGACCTAAAGCCAGAAATACCATTTGGCCTAGCAATTCCATTACTGAACATATACCCAAAGGAATATAAATCATTCTATTATAAAGATACATGCATGCGTATGTTCATTGCAGCACTATTCACAATAGCAAAGACATGGAGTCAACCCAAATTCCCATCAATGATAGACTGGATAAAGAAAATGTGCTACATATACACCATGGAATACTATGCAGCCACAAAAAGGAATGAGACTATGTCTTTTGCGGGGACATGGAGGGAGCCAGAAGCCATTATCCTCAGCAACTAATGCAGGAACAGAAAACCAAACACTGCATGTTCTCACTTTTAAGTGGGAGCTGAACAATGAGAAGACATGGGCACAGAGAGGGAAACACATACTGGGGCCTGTAGGCGGTAAGGTGCAGGAGGATGGAGAGCATCAGGATAAACAGCTAACACATGGAGGGCTTAATACCTAGCTGATGGGTTGATAGGTGCAGCAAACCACCATGGCCCACAATTAACTATGTAGCAAACCTGCACATCCTGCATATGTATCCAGGGACTTAAAATAAAATAAATTATAATAACAGCCAATTCTGGCTGGTATGAGATGGCATCTCATTGTGGTTTTGATTTGCATTTATCTGATAATTGGTGATGTTGTTTTTATATATTTTTGAGAACTTGTATGCCTTCTTCTGATAAATGTTTGTCATGTCCTTTGCCCACTTTTTAATGGAGTTATTTGTTTTTTTCTCATTGAGTTGAGTTTCTTGTATATTCTGGATGTTTGTCCTTTATCAGATACATAGTTTGGAAGTATTTTCTCCCATTCTGTAGCTTGTGTGTTTACTCTGTTGATTATTTCCTTTGCTGTGCAGTAGCTTTTTAGTTTAATGAAGTCTCATTTGTCTATTTTTGTTTTCGTTGCATTCGCTTTTGAGGTCTTAGTCATAAATTCTTTGCCTAGGCCAATGTCCTGAAGAGTTTTTCCTAGATTTTCTTATAGGATTTTTATAGTTTCCAGTCTAGCCAGAGCAATCAGGCAAGAGAAAGAAATAAAAGGCATCGAAATTGGAAAAGAGAAAATCAAATTATCTCTGGTCACTGATGACATGACCTTATACACAGACAAACATAAAGACCCCTCCAAAAGACTACTAGACTTGATAAATTACTGAAGTAAAGTTTCAGGACAGAAAATCAACAGGATACAAAAATCAGTAGCATTTCTATACGTCAATAATGTTCAAGCTGAGAACCAAATCAGGAGTTCATCTCTTTACAATAACCACAAAAAAAAAACTAGGTAAGAGATCTCTACAAAGAGAACTACAAAAAAAAACTGATGAAAGAAATCATAGATGACAGAAACAAATGGAAAAATATATCATGCTTATGGAGTGGAAGAATCAATAATATTAAAAACAACCATATTTCCCAAAGCAATATACAGATTCAATGCAATACCTATCAAACAGCCAATGTTTTTTTCACAGAATTAGAAAATATCATTCTAAAATTCATACAAAACCAAAAAAGAGCCCAAATAGCCAAAGCAGTCTTAAGCAAAAAGAAAAAAGCTAGAGACATCACATTACCTAACTTCAAATTATACTACAAGGCTATAGTAACCAAAACAGCATGGTAGTGGTATAAAAATAGACACATAGATCAATGGAACAGAATATAGAACCCAAAAATAAAGCCACATACTTACCACCAACTGATCCTCAACAAAGTTGACAAAACTATACAATGAGGAAAGGACATATTACTCATTAAACGGTACTGGGAAAATTGGATAGCCATATGCAAAAGAATGAAATTGGAGCCTTATCTCTCACCATATACAAAAATTAATTCAAGATGGATTAAAGACTGAAATGTAAGACCTGGAACTATTTTTTCTTATTCTTAACTGATCAAATAGAAAACTGTTCAAAGTAATAACAATGTGTTGTGTGATTATAGGATATGCATACGTGAAATGAGTGAAAGCAATGCTATAGGATGGGAGAGAGAAATTGAGAGTGTGCTGTTATATGATACCTATGTTACCTATGAAGCAATATAGAGTTACTTAAAAGAGACTTAGGTGCATTGTAAATGTGTACTGCAAACGCTAGGCCAGCTACTACAAAAAAGTTTTAGTACAATTGAAGTATAATTGATAAGTTATGAGTGGAGAGAAAATGGAATGGTATAAAATGTTCAATTAAAACCAGAGAAGGCAGAAAAAGAGAAGAAAAAAGAAACAAAAAAAAGTACAACAAAAAGAAAATGATGATAAACATGGCAGACAGTAATTCAACTATATCAATTATCACTTTACATATAAATTGGCTTAAACATGCCAATTAAAGGACAGAGATTGTAATTGTTTTTTTAAAAAAATGATAAAAAAAGACCTTATTGTCTACAAGAAACTCATTTTAAACACAAAGGCACAGACAGGTTAAAAGAAAAGTGGTAGAGAAAAATATATCCTGTTAACATTAGTCAAAGAAAGCTGGAGTCATTAGATTAATTTCAGAAAAAAAGTCTCCATCTATTGTCAAAAAGTGTGGGTTGCATACTGAGGGTTAAAACTACCTCTGGCTGAGAGGCACTAGCTTAACCCACCAGCATCTCTTGCCAGAACACCTTCAGTAACTCTTTAATTGGTTCTGTTATGTATACTCTTGGTCTTTAACATTTGATTCTACACTGCAGCAAGAATGATCTTTTAAAATTCAAATCTCATCTGGGCACGGTGGCTCACACCTGTAATCCCAGCACTTTGGGAGGCAGCGACGGGCAGATCACTTGGGGCCAGGAGTTCAAGACCAGCCTGGCCAACATGACAAAATCCTATCTCCACTAAAAATACAAAAATTAGCCAGGCATGGTGGCACATGCCTATAATCCCAACCACTTGAGAGGCTGAGGCACAAGAATTGCTTGAACCCAGGAGGCAGGGGTTGCAGTGAGCCAGGATCTCACCTCCAGCCTGGGTGACAGAGCAAGACTGTGTTAAGAAAACAAAACAAAAGAAAACAAAACAAACAACAACAACAAAAAAAAAAACACTCAAATCTCATGTAATCCTGTTGCTTAAAACCATCAATGTCTTTCCTCTATTTTTAAGACAAAAGTCCAAATTTGGTAATGTGTCCATAAGGCTCTGCATGTTCTGACCCTGGCACCTTCTCCAGCTGCACTTAATGTCATCCCTGCTTTGCTCTGCACACTCCAGCCTCATTGACCCTCTTTCTGTTCCTTGAACTCAGTCCGTTTCTTTCCACACCAGGGTCTTCACAAATGCTGTTCCCTCTGCTGGAATTCGCCCCCACTACCACTTACTGCCTCCTTGCCTAGATAACTGAGCTTCAGACACCACCTTAAAAGTTTACTTTCTCTAGTTCAATTCTGGTTCCCTTCTACAATTTCCTAGCACCTGCTACTGCTCATTATAGCACTTATCAAAACCACACTTCATCAGTTAATGTAAAAATATTAGTTTTACATTTGTTCTCCCTGTTAGATTATAACAGGGATTTTGTCCCTCTTGTTCACATGACCAACATAGCTCTCAAAACATAATAGGCCCTCAGTACATACTTAATAAATGAATACATGAATTGAAGAATGAATATCTTTGTAAATATAATTTTAGGACTGCATAGTAGTCAATCTAGGTTATGATAAAAATTTATCTAGCCATTCTTCTGCTCATGACCATTTAGATTGTTTTCAAATATTTACTAAAAATAGAGAGGCATAAAAAAATAAAATATTATTCAAATGCATAGTGTCAAAATTTCTCTTAGGAGAAAAACTTTAAGGGGAAATCCCTTATTAAGAGCTTGGGGTTACACTGAGATTCCAAGGGGTATATGGCAACTGGCCCCCAAAACTTCAAGAAAGCGTTTACTGCACTTACTGAAACAAGAAGATGAATTTTCTCATTGTTCTAGAGAGGCAGAGTGAAAGACATAGCATGGAGGAGAGATGAGAGGGAGAGAGAGAAAGAGAGAGAGACAGAGAAACAGGCAAGGGCAGGATGTGGTGGTAGGTGCTGAGTGGGGACAGGTCAGGAGAGGATCCCTAGTGACATGGTGACCAAACCAATCCAGGAGAACAGAACAGTGCAGGGAATATGTCCCCACAAATCTTGTCTCTTAAATAACACTTTTGTTGGGTTGTTTGTGTGTGTGTGTGTGTGTGTTTTTACCCCAGAATAGATGAAGAGGCTAGATCCCATATCTGAAAGACATGTAAGAAACTGAATTAACTCAAGATGGATTAAAGATTTAAATGTAAAACCTCAGACTGAAAATTTTAGAAAAATAAAACAGGAAATACCAATCTGAACAATCAGACTTGAGAAAAAAATTCTGACTGAGTCCTCAAAAGCAATTGCAACAAAAACAAAAAATGACAAGTGAGACCTAATTAAACTAAAGGGCTTCTGAACATCAAAAGAAACTACCAACAGAGTAAATAGACAACCTACAGAATGGGAGAAAATAGTTGCAAACTGTGCAGCTCACAATGGTCTATATTCAGAATCTATAAGGAATTTAAACAACTCAACAAGTAAAAAAAACAAATAACCTTATTAAAAAGTGGGCAAAAGAATAGATACTTCTCAAAAGAAGACATACAAGTAGCCAACAAACACATGAAAAAATGCTCAACATCGTTAGTCATCAGAGAACTGAAAACCAAAACCACAATGAGATACCTACCATCTCATGCCACTCAAAATGGCTATTATTAAAAAGTCAGAAAACAACAGATGTTGGTGAGGCTGCAAGGAAAGGGGAATGCTTATACACTGTTGGTGAAAATGTAAATTAGCTCAGCCACTGTGAAAAGCAGTTTGGAGATTATTCAAAGAACTAAAAAGAGAACATTTGACCCAGCAATCCCATTACTGGATATATATATCCAAAAAAAAATAAATCATGTGATATATATATATATATATAATGGAATACCACTTAGCCATAAAAAGGAATGAAATAATGGTATTTGCAGCAATCTGGATAGAGCTGGAGACCATTATTCTAAATGAAGTAACTCAGGAATGGAAAACCAAAGATCATATGTTCTCACTTATAAGTGAGACCTAAGCTATGAGGACACAAAGGCATAAGAATGATACAGTGGACTTTGGGGACTCAAGGGGAAGTGCAGGAGGTGGGTGAAGGATAAAAGACTACACATTGGGTAGAGTGTACACTGCTTGGGTGATGGGTGCACCAAAATCTTCGAAATCACCACTAAAGAACTCATCCATGTAACCAAACACCACCTGTTCCCCAAAAACTATTGAAATTAAAAAAAAAATAAATCATTCTAACAAAAAGACACATGCATACACTCATATGTTTATCACCATACTGTTCACAATAGCAAAGACATGGAATCAATCCAGATGCCCATCAACAGTGGATTGGATAAAGAAAATACAGTCTATATACACTATGGAATACTACTCAGCCATAAAAGGAAATGAAATAATGTCTTTTGCAGCAAGTTAGATGGAGCTGGAAGCCATTATCCTCAGTGAACTAATGCAGGAACAGAAAACCAAATATCATGTCTCACTTATAAGTGGGAGCTAAACTTTGGGTACTTACGGACACAAAGATGGGAACAATAGACACTGGGGACTACTAAAGGGGAAAGGGAGGAAGAGGGGCAAGTGTTGAAAAACTAACAATTGGGTACTACACTCACTACCTGGGTGATGGAATCAATCATACCCCAAAACTCAGAATCACAAAATATACCCAGGCAACAAACCTGCACATGTAGCCCCGACTCTAAAATTAAAAAGTTGAAATTGAAATTTTTTAAAAAACGGAAGCTGCATGAAAAGAAACAGGAAGCAGGAACCAAACAACAAGACATAAGAGGTTACTCAGATCTCCAAGAGGCAACGCAAGGGGGATCCACCCTTTCTCTGTTTCCCTATTTCTCTCTCTCTCTCTCTCTCTCTCTCTCTCTCTCTCTATATATATATATATATATATATATATATATATATATACACACACACACACACATACACATATATAGATGTATATATGTATATATACTATATATACACACATATAATATGTGCATGTGCAGGTGTGTCTATCTATCTTTGTCTCTTTTTTCCTTTCTGAGGGGAGCAAGGGTATATTCAAGGTTGTCTCCTTTAGGATAAATTTATAAATACGGAATTACTGGGTTAAAGGTTAGCCACACATTTAAGGTAAAAATGATTTTTAGTAATTTATATTTCTTTTTATTCAGTAGGAATTTGAAAGAATAAAACATTCCTTGTCCTTACAAATAGTTGTCTTCAATTACAAGTTCCAGCACCTTCTGGTTGAAAGTCATCTCTCTTCTACTCTAAAACTGTACATATCATGAGTGCTTAATCAATGAATATTGAAATAAATTCCTAGCACTCCTAGTCCTGAAAACTAGCCATTTTTCTATGGGCATATTCCCCCTATCTCCAAGAACACTGCAATATGTCTTAATTTTTCGGGATCAGTTCCTTCATCCTCTGATTTACAAATATCTTGAGTCTTCAAAATTGTGTTGGGTATTTTGAATCTTGGTTCTGTGAATTTTCCAATTCTGTTGATGTCCTGGTTTTTTTGGTGTTGTTTGTTTGTCTGTTTGTTTTGAGACGGAGTCTCTCTCTGACCCCAGGCTGGAGTACAATGACATGATCTCAGCTCACTGCAACCTCTGCCTCCCGGGTTCAAGCTATTCTCCTGCCTCAGCCTCCTCATTAGCTGGGACTATAGGCACACCCCACCATGCCTGGCTAATTTTTGTATTTTTAGTAGAGACGGGATTTCACCATGTTGGCCAGGATGGTCTCCATCTCCTCACCTCATGATCCACCCACCTCGGCCTCCCAAAGTGCTGGGATTACAGGCATGAGCCACCACACCTGGCCAATGTCCTGTTTTTTTAAAGGATTTTGACACACATACTCCTGATTAGCATAGTAAACTCAAAATAATTACTAAATCTTTCTGAAATTCAAGCAAGATATTGCTTGTGCTTAGTTTTTAATAATGCAAAATTGTTTTGAGCCAGTACTCCTTTTTTAAACTAATTTGATTCTCCTCTTTAATATGCTACATTAAAAATCTAGCCAATATCAAAATTAGCCATATAGCTGATAAAAGAAAATAATAATAATTAGAATCATAATTTCAGAATTTGTCTAGAAGGCTTTTTCTCTCTTTTCTTTTTCCAGATTTATTAAGGTATAATTGAAAAATGAAAATTGTACATATTTACAGTGTACAATGTGACGTTCTGACATACGTGTACATTGTAAAATGTTTAAATCAAGCTAACTAACATACGCATCAACTCACATACTTATTTTTTGCACTGAGAACATTTTAGAGCTATTCTCTTAGCAATTTTCAAGTATACAAGACAGTATTATTAAGTATAGTCACCATGCTGTACAATAGATCTCCAGAACTTATTCATCCTGTCTACCTGAAACTTTGTAACACTTCACCAATATCTCCTTATCTCCCACTCCAAGTCCTGGCAACCACCATTCTGCTGGCAGCTTCTATGAGTTGGACATTTTAGATTCCACATATGTGAGATCACGCAGTATTTGTCTTTCTGTGCCTGGCTTGTTTCATTTAGTATAATGTCCTCCAGTTCATCCATGGTGTCACAATGACAGGACATCCTTTGTTTTTAAGGCTGAATAGTATTCCAGCGTGTATTTATACCTCATTTCCTTTATCCATTCATCCATCAATGGACACTTAGGTTGTTTCCATGTCTTTCCATTGTGAATAATACTGCAATGAACACAGGAGTGCAGATATCTCATCAACATACTAATTTCATTTCCTTTGAATATATATTCAGTAGTGAAATTGCTGGGTCATATGGTAGTTTTATTTTTAATTTTTTGAGGAACCTCAATGCTCTTTTCCATAGAGGCTATACTAATTTACATTCCCACTGACAGTATACAAGGGTTCCCTTTTCTCCACATCCTTGCCAATACTTGTTATCTTTTGTCTTTTTGATCATAGCACTTCTAACAGGTGTTAGGTGATATCTCATTATGGTTTAATTTGCATTTCCCTGATGATTAGTGATGCTGAGCATTTTTTCAAATGCCCATTGGCCATTTGTATGTCTTCTTTTGAAAAATGTCTATTCAGGTCCTTTGCCCATTTTTTAACTGAGCTATTGGTTCTCTTGCTTAACAGCCATTTTCTTTAGACCCTGTTGGCCCACATAAAAAAAAGAAATAGGCAGATCTAAGACAAAAAGTTAATCTGTAATAATCCACCAAATAGCTACTTCATGCACTCTTTATACCTTTAATTTTTTTCTATCAAAGTTATTCTCTTTCTGCAATTGGTCACTTCTAATATATTTATGGTTGGGTTAGAGTCTGACCATATAACGTTTTTAAGCGCATAGCAATGCCACCTTTAAAAAGTTATCCTACAGTTATAGTCTCACAAAAATACAGTTTATTGGGGCTTTGTTTCTAATATCAAAAGATGGGAAACTATGTAAATCTCTAACATTAGTGGGCTACTTAAATAAATCATGGAACATGAACAAAATAGAGGATCTTGCAGCCAATAAAAAAGAATGAGATCTATCTATGCATGCCAATATAAAATAAATTCTATGGTGCATTTTAAGACAGAGTCTCACTCTGTTGCCCAGGCTGGAGCGCAGTGGCGCCATCTCGGCTCACTGCAAGCTCCGCCTCCCGGGTTCACGCCATTCTCCTGCTCCAGCCTCCCGAGTAGCTGGGACTATAGGCGCCTGCCACCACGCCCGGCTAATTTTTTGTATTTTTCGTAGAGATGGGGTTTCACCACGTTAGCCAGGATGGTCTCGATCTCCTGACCTCGTGATCTGCCCACCTCAGCCTCCCAAAGTGATGGGATTACAGGCGTGAGCCACCATGCCCGGCCTCTATGGTATATTTTAAATGAACAAAGCAAACTGCAAAACATTGTGTATAATATGCATTTTGTATGCTTAAAATATCTCTACTTGGCTACAAAAGAAAGTCATAGTTGTTGCTTCTAAGGAAGGCAGTGGGAGACATGGTTCCGACATGTAAGGAAAACTTACTGTTCATTGAACTTTAATTTTTTTTTTTTAGACAGAGCCTTGTTCTGTCATTCAGGCTGGAGTGCAGTGGCATGCTTATGGCTCACTGCAGCCTCAGCCTCCTGGGTTCAAACAATCCTCCCACCTCAGCCTCCCTAGTAGCTGGGACTACAGGGGTACACCACCACACCTGGCTAAATTTTGCATTTTTTGTAGAGATAAGGTTGCCCAGGCTGAAATATTTTAATTTTTTACAATGAGCATATATTAATTTTTAGTTAAACATAGACAATCAAATGGGAAGGGGGAGGGCTTTGGTTCTGTATTTCATGAAACCAGTCAAAATCACTATCACTTTTGGCTAATGGTAATCAACTCAAATTGCAAATTAGCAATTAATTTATCTCTGAATCTATCGGCAGGATTTCAACATCTCACCAAATCTTACTAAGAGTTTTAACCATATGCCAAACAGTTATTTCCTCGGTCATTCATTCATTGCACCATTCAATTCATACTAACCGTGGGCATGCACAATGCCAGATGCCATGCTGGGACACAGGAACACAGCAGTGAGCAAGAAAAGGAATTCGTTGTTACCTCTTTGAGCTTAGAGTCTAGCAGGAAAGACCAACCTTCCTACTAAGTAACTGGAGAAATGTTGAAGAGCATTGTAAGAGTACTTGAAGGGATGCTTACACAATCTATGTATTGGAAAGACCTCTGAGGAAAGGACATTTAGCTGATACCTCTAGTTAACCAGGTGACTGGTGAGAGAGCATGTTCTAAGAAGAGATGGGCAGATGGTGCCACCTCAAGGGTAAAACAGAGCTCTACCTGGCAGATTGAAAGCTGTCAGGACCAATGGAGCCTCAAGTTCAGATAAATGAATGGGGATACCACCAGGGAGCAGATCCTAGGGGACTTGAGCAAGGTTGAGGACCCTGGACCTCACTTTAATGACAGGAAGAACCACAGCAGGATTTTAAGCAGGTGTGTTAATCTCCTAGGGCCACTGTAACAAATTAACCACAAACCAAGTGGCTTAATACAACAGAAAAGCATTTTCTAATAGTCCTGAGGGCCAGAAGTCTGAAACAAAGGTATGGTGAGGGCCGTGCTCCCTCTGAAAGCTCGAGAGGAGAATCCCTCCTAGCCTCTTCCTAGCTTCTGCTGGCTGTCAGCAATCTTTGGTGTTCCTTGACTTATAGACACATCACTCCAAACCCTCCCTCTGTCATCAGATGGCCTTCTCTCTGTAGGTATCTCTGTCCAAATCTCTCTCTTGTAAAACCACCAGTCACAGTGAATTTCAGAGCCACCATGATCCACTATGACTTTATTATTAAGTTGATTACATCCAAAAAGACCCTATTTCCAAAAAGTCATATTCCCAGGTTCCACATGGAAGTGAATTTTGGAGGGACCCAATTTAACCCAGTACAGCGAGGACACAATATAATCTGATTTGCATTTTATAAAAACTATTCCAAGGATAAAGAGGGAAAAGATAGGGAGGGAGCGAGACTGCAAAGATAAAGATTAACTTCATATACATCTTTATTATTTTTGAATTAGGAGATTCATTTTGAGGCCCGAGCTACATACACATCAGACGTTGAGCTAAGAGCTGTTTCCATGATATCTCATTCTGTCCTCAAACTGCCCTGTGAAGATAGTCAGAGATGTGACTTTACCTGTCCATGGTCACACAGCAGTGCCTCAAACCCAGATCTGGTGGGCTCTAGAGCCTGTATGGTTTCCATCCTCCCAGGCTGAAAACTAAACACATTCTCAAGGCAATGAGACTCCTTTGACATAGATTTCCAGGAGATGGAAAATACTGTACACTGGCATGGTTTTAAGCACACTTCAAATTCTTTATGCAAAGCCAGGGCAAAAGGTGAATAGTTAACATATCCTAAAGAGCAGTCATGTTGTAATGCAAAGGAATCTGAGGGTTCCAATCACACTGTACCATGTCCAGTGATTCAACACTAGGTCAGAAATATTCTTTTTAAAAAGAGACCTATGTAAAATCCGTGCTTCACAAACACAAGCCCATATTAAAAGAAGCCTGCTTTTTATAAAATGAAGAAACTTGAAGCTATCATCTGAAAAACTCAGATACAGAAATGAATACAGAGGAAAAAAGAGGTAATTGGTGGGAATTATTTGGACTGATAGCTGATATTGATCAGAAACAGACTGTGGGTCTTCTCCCTCTTTCCTGCTTTACCTCCATAGTCCACAATTGTAAAGGTGGGTTGAAATTTTAAGAAACAACAATGAAGACCAAGGTTATTCTCTCTTGTGCTCAGTAGTTTTTAAGGGGTCAAATGAGTATTGTGGGTGTAGGTTACAGCTTCTGTCACTTATCACAATTTTGTCATCTCAAGGTCTGAACAAGGGAGCACCCAACTCTCAATTTCCTCTTTTTTGTTCCATGGCTTTTTCCTGCAATATTAAAACAGAAATGAAAGAAGGAAGAAAGGAGGGAAGGAAGGAAGGAATGGAGGAAGAGAGGAAGAAAGAGAGGAAAGGATGAAGGAGAGAATGAAACTTGAAAAAAGTACATGTGAATCCAAAAAGGGAGGAGAAAACAACGATTATTCTGATATGTATTACTAGTTTAAAAATGGAACTGTAAATCAGGTTATAATTTATAAACTGGTTCCTAAAAATAAAGAATAAAATATGTTCAAAAGCAATTAATAAGCAATTTTTATCTAGGAAGTGGGTGATTTTTGCACAAGGGGGAGAGAAATGCTCCAGGCTTTGCCTCATCTCCTAGAAGCATCCCATATTCTTAGATGTGACGTTGCCTTGGTAACCACAACTTGGTGACCTCGTTATTTCAACCTAATCCTGCTTTGAAATTATAGTTGCTCCACCCTTTTGCCTGGCCAGCCTGATAACATAATCATTGTAAATGAGGATGAGAAAAAAACAGCAGGATATAGTCCCTCCGGTGACACAAGACCAGTCTCACCTTATCATGGAAATAGACGAACAATTAAACGGCATGAATCTAAAACCCTAAAAGTGGATTTTCTTATTTTTATATGGCTTCTTATGCTTATTTTCAAAACCTACTGGTGGATTCAATGTAGCAGGGTATCTTGATATTACTATATGAAAATGGAAAATTCCTATTTCTGTTAAAAAAAAAGAGATAAACTGTCAAAGGTGAAGTTCTTAATTATGCATGTGTTTTGCCCAACAGCTGAATAGAAACCAGAATCAGAAAATAATTTTTTAACAAGTAGACTGGCAGTATCCAGGTTTGTTTGTCCAGCTTAACTTCCTCTGGCTAAAGCCTCACAGATCAGTTGTCATCTTGAATTCAGGTTCCTTTCATAACAAAAGAATCAGGAGATGACATTGCTTACATTCTGAATGCATCAAGTCGAACTATACTGTAGTTTAAAGGAAATATATTTACTCATTTGTTTCAATTTGTGTGCTTTGAGATCTCTGCCCGGAAAGGAAGGAAAATCCATTCTCTTTCTCCTTCATTTCCTCCTTTAAAAAAAAAAAAAAAATCCAAAATGGCTAGGATACAGTAGTGATAGGTTCGGATCTCAATAAAATGTTCATACTGCTCCCAACTCATACATGGGTAGCTACGTGGCCTGTCTCTTGGGCTCCTGGGCTCCCCTTCCAGGACACCCCCCCCATTTCTGATTGCCACACACCAGCTCACTCACTGTCTTTCCAAAAGATCCCCAGTTGTGGCACGTGGAGGGGAGGGTTACTTGGATGGATTCCCTTCACCCATTCTCCTGCTGGCAATAGTCCTGCTTCCTCTGTCTCCCCACTGTGTGCTTCCCAAAGAATAATTCTTTGCTACTGGTGGATATGCTGTTGGCCTCACCAATGGATGTCAATGGCAGCTCACAGGTGAGATGCAAGTTCCCACTCAAGGCCGTTATCCAGAGAGAACATGCCCAGGGGATAAGGCCACCCATGCTGGCATCCCCTCCTGCTGGCGAAAAGAGAGCCACTGCCATGGGGGGAAGAGGGAATGGCCAATGGTTGGTTAATGGATCCAAAGTGCAGCTAGATAAGATGAACAACTTCTAGTGTACTAGAGCACTGTAGGGTGACTATAATCAAAAACAATAATTTATCATATATTTTTAAATAGCTAGAAGAGCAGGTTTTGAATGTTCCCATCTCAAAGAAATGATAAATGTTGGAGGTGATGGATATGCTAATTATCCTAATTTGGATATTCTACATTGTATACATGTATTGAAATATCACACTGTACTCCATAAATATGTACAATTATTATGTGTCAGTTAAAAATAATATAAAAGACAGCTGCCATCAGTTATGTCTTTTATCTACAAACACAAGACAAGATTTGTGTCTTGTCATATATGACAAGATTATATTGTCATATAATCTTAAGAATTTAGGGAAAGATTGTAGCTTCTTGAAGAAAGTATGCTGCATCAATTAAAGCTTCACTATCAGAGTGATAATATCAAATCTCTTAAGATAAATAACCTGGAACAGCATGCATTTGACTTAAGAGTATTTCTTCCCTTTTGCTGAGGTGAGTAAAATTAGCATTTCATAAAGTGTGAGCTCCAGGTACACTACACCGGGCCATTCTAAGCCTACACTTCTCTTGTTCACTATAGCCACAAGGAGTAATAATAATGACGATGATAACAGCTAACATTCAGTGAGTTTGCATATTTACCATTTGCCTCATTTTACAGAGGAGTGGCTGACACACAGAAAGCAGAGGGTCTTGATAGCCTCCCAAAGCTGGCAGGAAGTGGCAAGCCAAGATTCAGATGCATGTAGCTACTCAGCTATTCTGCCCTCCTGGACCTAACTGTAGAACTAGGACCAATGGTTGGACCCCACGAGCAGACACATCAAAACTCACTCTGAAAAGAAAAGTCTAAGTAGTCCAAGCTGTCCAAAGACAGAATAGACCTAGACAGTCTCAAAAACAAAGGAAACACACAAAGTATGAAATCTAAGACCAAATATCTTTGACCTCCCAGAACAGATCAAAAGTATAGATCTGAGTATAAATACTGTACCCTACTGGCCTCTCTAAGTATTCATCAGATGGTGTGTTTTTGGCTTAGGGGTTCTTAAATGATATACATAGAGAGAGAAAGGGAAGCAAATTTCTTGGCAGATTCAAGCATCTGTGTAGGGAAGAGGAAGGAAGAGTAGTACACTTAAGAGAATCGCAGTGGAATGGGAGTAAGAGGCTGAGAATAGACACGTTTTAGGTTTAGGCTAAGAATTGAGAGAACTCACACAGTTGCTGCGAGGATCAAAGGATAACATGCAAAAATAGACAGAAAAGTATAGCTCATGAGATAAATGTAAGAAATTCCGGTCCCAGAGGCAGCTGGCAGTGCTACCGGCTCCTGAGCAAGTGAAGCAATGCAAACTGTCGGAGGAATATGGTTCCACTGAACCTATTCCAGCCAGGAATAAACAAGGATGAAAAGGAGGCTTTGGGAACAATGAAGGCAACAAAGACAGCTGGTGGGGGGTGGAAAAAGGAATACATGAAGGGAAGTCCAATTCTGCCATGGCTTGGACATCAAGGTGCTCAAAATTCATGAAGCTCCTCCCTTCTACCATTTGCACCCAAGAGGCCTGAAAATAACCAGATTGCCAGGCCTTTCCTACCTCTCCTTCCCTCTATCTGAAACATCTCTCTTCTCCTTCCTTACTCAGCTCTTTCCTTTGTCTTCTGCTTGGTCATCTCCCAACTATGTTTCAGGTCTCTTAGTTGTCACTTTCTGCAGAAACCCTTTCTGGACTTCCCCTCACCCAATGCTAAATCCTTCTTCTTTTTGGTTCTCCAAACTCCCTGTTCTTTTGTTTGTTTGTTTTTTCTTCCCAGAATGTCTCACAAAACAGCCAAATATACCTCTGTAAAGACAGAAAGTAAAATAACGCTAGTTCTGTGAATTCTCTCTTCTTCTCATGCAAATCCATCAACTGCCATCAATGGACAGAAAGGAGCTCAATGAGAAGCCAAGCTCCCTGTTCTTTCTCCATTTCTATATAGTTACTGCCTCTTGCCATCTTCCCCATCACCCTCCATAAACTTGTTAACCTTGTGAAGGCAAGAACCATGGTGTCTACACAGTACCTGGCCCATAACAGAAACACAATAAATTCATTCATTCATTTACTCACCTGACACATATTTACTGAATATACATTCTGTGCCGGGCACTGAAGTAAAGCAGCAAACAAGACAGATAAATTCTCTGCCTTCATTCTTGGGGGAAGGAAAAGTTTTTTTTTATTTTATTTTATTTTTAAATCAAGTAAATGAAAACAAACAAGACGGTTACAGATTGCTAAAAGAGGTATGGAAAAAAATGAACAGTTTGATGACATGAAAGAGGAAGACCTTCTTTAAGTCTCATGTCTTTGGATTCTGGGAGAATCTGTCCCCTGCAGCCTAAAGCCATGTTCCTTCTTTCACCGGGATTCACTGAGATCCTCAGGGAGATCACAGGGCAATGAGGGGAACTGAAGAGGAAACCAGGGATTGTAATCATATGGGATAAGGCCTATGACAGATACTCACATGGGGCTGGGTGTGATGGAAGGGCCAAGTGGTATGTTGAAAATTTAGGAGCAGTGTTCCAGAAGGGCTTCTGGTGACGATGACTTCGAGCCTGGTGATTCAGAGTACTATGGTTTCTGGGACTGTAGTACTGGATTTGAATCCAGCCCCCACCTCTCACTAGCTGTGTGGCCTTGGATGAGTTACTTAATTTCTGTGTTTCAGGTTCCTCATCTGAAGGATGAGTTAAATGACAATACTCGCCCTACAGGGCAGTTGTGAGGATGAACTTTATTCATATACATAAACTACTTAGAATAGGGTGAATATATAGTGAGTGCTATACATGTTGACCTCGATTACTGTTTTCAGGATGCAAAAGAGTTAGCTCAATGAAGAAAAGAGTGGTGAAAAAGCATCCCAAGAAGAACAAATACCTGTGGAATGAAGGAAAGAATGGAAAGAATGGCAAATGACTCCAAGATGACAGCTTAGTCAACAGGCGCTGGCTTTGTCCGTGAATAATCATAGGGGAGAATCCATTGTGCTAGAGCTGCCTCGTGGGTTAAGAACAAACCCAGGAAAAATAGACGGGTTCTCTGTCCTCACAGGCATATTCAACAAGACTAAACACACAAGGAAGAGAGACTAAACACATGAGAAGGATGCAAGGCAGCAAAAAAACCGGCTCTGAACTAGGTAGCCAGACTCCAATGGTAATCTCAAAAAAAAAAAAAATGAATCATACTATTTTGTTTGTGATGTGCCAGACACTGGGCTAAACACTTTATATGTTTTTCCTGCTTAAATTCAGCCCACAAATACACATTATGTGACTGTCTCTCCATGACAAAACCCCTAGGAGATTTTAGGGAAGGGAGAGATTGACCCAAAGGACCCAAAAAGACAGCAAAGCTTGAGCTAGGCCTTAAGAGAAGGAAAGAATTTGAATAGAAGGTGAGTAAAAGAGAAACTACAGAAGCACAGCCCAAGAGAAACATAATGTGAGCCACAAATACAAGCTACATATCCAATTCTGAATTTTCTAGTGGCCACATTTTTTAAAGTTAAAAAAGGTAAAATTAACTTTTAGAATATATTTTATCCAATATTTGCAATGTATTAAAATTTCAGTATGTAATCAGTATAAAACATTATTAATGAGATGTTTTGCATTATTTTCTTTCTCTACTAAGTCTTTGATATCTGGTGTGTATTCTCTACTTACAGAACTTGTCAGTTTCAAGTAGCCAGACTTCAAGTGCTCAATAGCCCCATGTGACTACCACCTTGGACAGCACAAGTCAAGAGGTTTTGAAAAAAGAAAAGGCATTCATGGATGTCTTGCTAGGCCTCAGTCACTTTTTCTACAAACACAGCTTTATTTAATCTTCCAAACCACTCCCTTAGGGGAATATTGTTACAGGTTGAGTATCCCTTATCCAAAATGCTTGGGACCAGAAGTATTTTGGAATTCAGATATTTTTTCTAATTTTGGAATACTTGCATTATACTTATGCGTTCAGCATCTTTACTCCGAGAATCCAAAATCTGAAATGTTCCAATGGGTATTTCCTTTGAACATTGTGTCAGCATTCAATGGCAAAAGTTTGGATGTGAAATCCAAAAGTTTTGCATTTTGAAGCATTTCGGGTTTTGGATTTTTGGATGAGGGGTATTCAACCTGTATTATCCCCATTTTACAGAGGAGAACACTGAGACTCTAAGAGGTTAAGTTGACAGCTAAATAAGTGGGTTGATCTAGGATTTAAATCCAGCTCTCACCAACTTCAAGCCTGGGCATATTCCTCATGCTGGAATTGTCTTAGGAAACTGCTTCCGAGGACCGTGCACCCCAAAACAAGACAACACCCGGGCAGAGAGAACCACAGAGATCCTGGGATCCACTTCTGAGCAGCTTCCTCCCCAGGCTCCATAGCCCACACCAGCTTTGTACAGCCTCCCGTACAGGGAGCAGGGTGGACAAAAAGCACGCAAACACACGCAACTTTTCTCTTTCCAGTTAATTGAAATTGAGATGTACCCTGCTCCATCACAGCAAAATGACGAAAGGAAAGCAAGGAAGGGCACCTGTGTGGGTAAATCTTTTACTTCTGTTGCAGAGACGTACATGATGAACAGATACTTAGTTGGCTGCTTCTCAGCCAGCCAAGCAGGGCTCCCTTACACCCTTTGCGGCTCTATTTTGTTGTCAATTACTGTTTCTAAAACTATTAAGAGAGGAAGGGGGAAGAGTATAAACAGCATTAACGGTAATTTACGATCTGAAAAGGGACAGCAGGAGTTCGAAATCTGTCTACATTAAGATACTTTCCCCACGCTCCTCTGGGTCCTGGAGCTAGAGGATCAGGATCCAGGATCGTAGGAAAAGGATGTTTATACAACACTTCTGGCAGAAAAGACATTTTTTTTCCTTGCACGCCGAGGGCAAGGTTCAGCTGACTTTCCATAAAGGGTCTGGTCTGTGCCGAGCATGCTGTGGGTACCCTGTCCCTGGTGTGGGAAGATACATGAGCTTTCCAGATTTTTGTTTTATTTTATTTACTTTTTGTTTAATGAACCCTCCCTGATTTCTACAGTCATTCAAGCTTGCTGCCACCCACCCCACCCCACCTCAACCATCAGCAAAGCCCACCAGGAAAATTGCCAAGAGAGACACTCATCAGCTCTTCAGTGAGAATTTTGCCATGCTTCTGCCTTTGGTAACTCCAGATTCTTCCAGACAAAGGTTGACTCCATCACTAAGGCATGTTTTATGCCATCCAGTTTAACTTTGCAGGACCTACTTCTCAAGCCAAGGAATTGCAAGACCACATTATGTAGCAGCTTGAGTTAGAGTCTAAAAGGAGAGCCAGTTGCACCCCAGGATTACCATGATTTTTTCCTTTTTCTTTTCTTTTGAGGTGGGCATGAGATACCACGGTCTGGCTCTGAACACAATCTCTGGCAGCTGCTTATGATTCTCTCAACACTAATGATGTGATCAAGTCTTCGAGTGAATTTTGGAGCTGAAGGGAGAGACAAAAAGAAAATTTCATAAACCACCCCCAGAATCTGTTCGCTGAAGCACCACACATTTACAGTACCACCTTCGCGAACCAGTCTCTTAGATCACTAGCGACCCCACGTGGCCAATTTAAAAGAACAGTAATTTTTCTCCCCCCCCGCAG
Organism: Homo sapiens; assembly: GCF_000001405.40. Lineage (NCBI taxonomy): Eukaryota > Metazoa > Chordata > Mammalia > Primates > Hominidae > Homo > Homo sapiens. The sequence goes on from NC_000004.12 coordinate 17,324,616, forward strand.
AAAAGAAACTTAACGCTTCAAGGTTTTACTCCTAAGTCTTCGTAGAATTTAAAAACTGAAAAGCTGTAAGGACCGTTAATGTCACCTGACCCAACCACCTCATTTTACAGGAAGCAGAGGTTGAGAGAGGTAAAAAGGGCCTCGAAAGGTCACACAGAATGTTAAGGTCAAGTTAGGAAGCAATACAAGAAATGATTCTAAGAGATTCTATGCTACTGGATTTTAATTTCTTAATCGAAGAAAGGAAAAGAAGGCTTTTGTTCCCCAGACCAGAAAATAAATACTGCTATTACAGAAGAATCACTGTAATAAGACTGCATGTTTTAAAGGATCCCAAGTTCCAATAGGTATGTAGGCAATACATATATTTCTTTCCTCTTCTACGCCTAAAACTTACCAGAGTACATTAAATAGAGTCACGGCAAGAATGAGGCCAGCATGGACAAGAGGGAGGAGTCGGCATTTGGCAAATGTGAATTAGATGCTCATTCCCAAAGCCTAGCCACTGAGCAAAGGAAAAGATTGGGTTTCATTTCCACCCTCATAATGGCACTGCAGAGTGGACACTATTATTCCCATTTTAGAAATGAGAACACTGAGGCTCAGGGAACTAAACTAACTTGCTCAAAATCTGACAGAGACTAAACTGCAAAGCTAGCTCTCTGCAGGACTTTACTTAATGCCTCAACTTATCCATCCATCAAATGGGATGATAAAGTCGGCCTGTTGATCAGAAAATGTTAGTGTTAGAAAGGGTCCTCAGAGGAACTCTCTTTCAAATGAAAATGGACCCGCTGTACATATAACAGTCAAAAATGATTGGTATCTATCTGCATATATATAATAAAGTCTAGCAAAGAGAACATGGGTGCTGTTGTGACCAGATTAAAGCTGAGAGTTAAACAGGGCATTTGCAGTTTTCGATCTGCTTGAGCATCCGGGCTGTATATTCTGTTTTGTTTACTCTGTAACATAGAGTTTCTGATTCACTTTCCCCAAGATAGAAGTCTATCTTGGTTTGATGGACAATGTTGCTGCTGCTGCAGCTGTTCAAATCACACTGCCCTTCCAGCCTCAGAGCCCTCCTCAATTCAAGAGAGAGATGCTTCATTCAAAGTCTGCTCTAAAACCAGTTAGTACGTGTCTACCTTCAGGTCCACGTGGTGTTAAAATATGACATTCTATATACATTTATATGTGTATGTGTTGATATTTATTACCACTACTAACACAGTTTTAAATTAGGTGCAGATGACCTTAAAATCATTTACTTAACTCAAGCACCACCATAGAATCCAAAAGTTCCAGGAGGAGGAAGGAAAATTTGAAAATCACTGATCCAGTCCAGCCTGCTATCAAGAAACCCTACTTTTGTTAAAACCAAAATGAGAACCTCCAAAATTTAGGATCAGCTCAAATCTCCACTCCTCATCACCATCACTACAACCCCATGTGTCACCTTTCCCACGAAGCATCTCATTTGGTCTCCTTTTGCCATCATAGGTTGGACCCCTTCCCCGCCCCACCCCACTACAGGACACGGTCCCCCATTCTTGGCAGCTCTATCCAAAGCATGGACCAAACCTCCCTTTGCTGTCTGCTCTGAGTACCATGGAAACAGTCTGGAATTTTCCCAATGCCATTTCTAAAATTACTGCAAGAGAATAGAAGGTAAATAAATACAGAAAGTGGGAGAAATCTAAAATCAATGATTTACAAAGCGTGAAATTCTGATCCAAATCTTACTACAGGTCATTCTCTCTCTAGAGCTAGAAAATCTTTCCCTGTTCCAGGAGGAGGTCCCCAAAATAGAAATACTCCATGTAAATTGGTACAAAGACTCTGAAAAGCAATCCAGCACCATCCTTCAAGGTCTGTAAAAAAATTCCTATGCTCGGGCCCTGTAATTTCACTTCTCCAACTCACCTGAATGAAATAATCAAACAGCGAGGGCAGTAATTCATTCACAAAGATGTTTGTCACTAACTCACCTATAATTATATAAAAAAAGAAAACCTGAAAACAAACTGTGCAACAGGGTTTATGATGTAGCCATAAAATGGAACATTACGTAGCCATTAAAAATGATGTTTTAAAGCATTTTTGATAATACTAAGTGGACAAAAAAAGAACTTTTAATGGCATTTAGTGAAAATAGCAAGGTGCAAAACTGGTACACATTATGTAATCAAATATTTCAAACCAAAACAAGAGAAGTATGAGTGTGTAGAGGGAAAAAAAAAAAGAAGAAGAAACTTAGCAAAATGTTCACAAAGTGAACTGACAGAGTGGTGAGATTCATGCTGATTTTCTTCTGTACTTGAATTCTGCTTTACTTTTATGATGAGTTTGCATTAATGTATAATCTGAAAATAAAATAAGTTGGGGTGGTCTCTTTAAAAAATATTTTATTAACTTTGAAGATATTAACTTTTTAAAGATATGAACTCTGTAGCCCAGGAGGCTGACACATTTTCTCAATCTACATCTCCCTACCTCCTCCCTGTCCCCATCGTGCTCCATCTCCACGCCTCCTGCTCCGCCCACCTCATCTCTGCTTCTCCTTTCTGCTTGTGGATCCCAGAGATCCACATTCATGACAGCCAATGATGCGACCCTCCAAGGGACCTTCCAGAGTCACATTTGTCAGGAGGCTGGTACCTCTTCTGAATTATTTACCCTTAAATAAAGCAACCCCATGAAAAATTCACATCTCTCAAACGTCTTGCAAGATTTTTCTTCTCCTCTTGGTTGAAAGGCAGGGTCTATGGAATTCATAATTCATTCAACTAATATTGATTGAGCGTCCACCATGTGCCAGGACCTCTTCTGGAAGAATACATGAGACAAGGCCACCACCCTCTGAGAACTGGCATTCTGGCATGGGCAAAAAATAATAAATAATCATGCAAATGAGGAGAATATCAACTCTGCTAAGTGCTGTTCTCAGAGTGACTCAGTGGCTGCCTGAGACAGTTATTCTTCAGATCTGCGACAGTAAAACCACGAGGGAACGTCCAGGAGGTACCTTGATGCCAAGATGTTTAGAAAAGCTCAACTTCTTCAGGTCTCGTGCACCAGTGGTGAATGCTAGAAGATGCCAAGACCTCTCAAGAAGAGAGTTGCAGGAGGCTTCTAAACACAGACATACGCACATGAGCTGTGGCCAGCTGGCTCCCGTTCTCCTCATAACATTCCCTCCACTCCCTGTCCAGTGATGTTGGTTAGGAGAGAGATTGAAGGAGGGTTGTCATGGTATTTTTGAGACTCAAACAACTCTTCTAAAAATTAGACTCTTAAATGGGTTGTAGGGGCCCTGTTGCTTCTCTCTTATGTGGACTGCTGTTAGGTTTTGTTTTTGTTTTTTCAAAAGAATAATAAAAGATTTAAAATCACTTGGAGCCATAATGACTTTATCTTTGTTAATTTTCCTCAGCAAATACCTTAGGATCAGAAAGTCCTGGAAGCAGAATGAAAAGTACGACCTAAGACAGAGGGCAGGGGAGATCCGAAGAGAAGAGAAAACCTCCAACTCAGTCTGTTTTCTCAACAGCACTCTGCAAAACACACACAGACACACACACACACACACACACACAGTCACTCACTCACACTCATCCTTCCTTCCCAGATACGCTATGGCATTGCCTGAGGAGCCATTCAGAAAATTTTCCAACCCCTCTATAACTTACAGAGCTCTTCTTTCCAGACATAAATAGGAATTTCAACTGGGCCAAAAGCAGACACTAAATTACCAAAAGATTCATCAAGCATCAAACAACAGAGGAAAATGGTTTGAAGCTGATTGTAAAAGATTAAGGCAAAAGGTTCCGTCCTGAGGAATTGCTGTTTGAACAGGAAATCAAATGACCTAAGGTGGTGTTGGGGGGAAGGGAGGGAAGAGGCATAAATAAAGGAAACAGCAAATACCCGATTGCTCTTGTGCCCGTGGAAAATTTTTAGAGAACTCAAGAAAATGAAAATTGAGCTCGCCCCAAATACATCCCAGATGTCCACTTTTGACTTCCAAGAAATGGGAATGCAAAATGGAAAAAATACTTAAAATGAAAATGAATCCATTGGGATATATCCTCCACTAATCTGGCACCCAGAATTTACCTTCTCTAATTTTGTTAAGCAAGTAGCAAATGTGGTACTTAAGGAAAAGGTGCCTTCTTCTCTAGCTGTGTCTGTGTCTATTTCATTTCTCTCATGGTATTGATGGACCTCAAGGGCAAAAGCCAGAGCCTGTGCTTGTACCAGGCACATTGCTGCTAGTAGGTGTTCAATACATATTTATTCATTGACTGAAACATAAGCTCTGAAAATGTAAGGATCTCTATATATACATATTACCTGTTAATAAAACGCACACAAGCATCCAGGTTGTGTAGAGAAAAGGTTTATGAAGTTACTGGTAATCATAGTAATGGTAAATAAATAGCTCTTTACAGTTTACAAAGCACTTTCATAAACTTTATCTCTTAACTCCTGTAACAGCCATGTGAAATAGGATTGAGGTTAATTCTCCTGTCCTAGCACCTTTCTGAGAATATCACCAGATGGACTAATTACTCAGCTCATAAAAGAATACATCCACTCTAACCCCAGGAATCCTAGATTGAGCTGTGTTAGCAGAAACAAACAGCAGTCAGCTCTGCTTGCACATCCTCAAAAAGACATATAAAATCTGAGCAACAGCAGCTGTAAACAGCAAAGTCAATTCACCGCCAAAAACAAACTATGGACCTAATTTTTCATATTCCTACTATTGCTGGTTCAGTTCTGGTTTGTGGGGATGTTTTGTTGTATTTTGTGTTTCTAATATAATTTTTTAACAGTTTGCACCCTCTCCCCCAAATATCTGACACTGAAAAAGGAAATACTAAAATGGGCTGGGAAAAGCAGAACTAGAAAATATTTCATGCATCAAACCTATTCTGGCTCAACTTCTTTTAACAAACCCACAGTTTGATGCAAGAAAGTCATGAATAAATCTGTTTTTACAGTGTTTCTAGACTAATTTTTTCACTTTGAAGGCTTTCAAAAGTAATTTGGGATTGTACCATTTCCTAGATTTTTTTAGACTTTTCATTTAAAATAAATGTCAATAATTTATTTTAAAGTACATCAGAATAGGAAGTGTAGTGTGTGTGTGTGTGTGTGTGTGTGTGTGTGTGTGTGTGTATGTCTAAATTAGTTTTAATCTACCTTATAGGGTAGGTTAGTTAGCCTTTGAAGAATGCTAATCAGAAAATATACACCTTAGGAGTGTTAGTTAACATTTGAAAGATCCTTATCAGAAGTTCCAACTCCAGAAACTCTACGACAATCACTTCAAATAGCAAATTCTTAATCTATACTATGGAATTTATTAACTTCACATTAGGGATATTTGAAAAAATTTCTCACTGTTGAAAGGAGTAGGGATCAAACATGTGGGTTGGTTAGAAATATCACACACGCATCTATCTCCACTAGAGTGTAAATGGAGGATAAGAATCCAAGGAGCCCAATAGTCTACTTCAGTGGGATACCCTAGCCTAGGTCTCATTTTGAACCTATATTACACCACTTGACAGATGATTCTATTTCCTGATCCAACTGGAAAGCTGACTAATTCTACCTCTAAATGGAACATTGCGACACCTGACTTCAGTAAGCCTTTCCTGCAAGGTGCTTTTAAGAGTGCCAAAGGGCAGGCCAGGCCTGGTGACTCATGTCTGTAATCCCAGCACTTTGGGAGCCTGAGGAGGGTGGATCACTTGAGGTCAGGAGTTCAAGACCAGCCTGGTCAACATGGCAAAACCCTGTCTCTACTAAAAATACAAAAATTAGCCAGGTGTGGAGGTGGGCACCTGTAATCCTAGCTAGTTGGGAGGCTGAGGCAGGAGAATTGCTTGAACCCAGGAGGCAGAGGTTGCAGTGAGCTGAGATCACACCACTGCACTCCAGCCTAGGCAACAGAGCGAGACTCTGTCTCAAAAAATAAAAAATAAAAATAAAAATAAAAGAGTGCCAAGAGGCAGAGAGCTAGGGCTTCACTAAGAATACAAGATCAGACCTAGGACTGCTATGGGTTCTGCTTGCTGATAAATGTTGGCACTTGGGCAGCAGAATTCATTAAACTTCATGGTAACATATCAGCTGATAGCAACACCCTGGGGGAGAGAAGCAGCCACGGTTTTCATCGACCTCTAATCCTTGGAGGCAACCAATATTCACCAAGACAACATGACAATTCCAAACCACCATATTGGCTAGGACAGCAAGCAACAGCTCAGCTTGAATTTATACTATCTGGAATTTGTTGGGAGAGTATAATGTCCTCTACCCATACTGCAGCCCACAGGGAAAAGCATTTTACCTTCTCTCCTTGTATGAGGAAGTTCTGGGGAAGGCATTTCTGCCCTTTCTCCACCTCCATCTTCCTACTCACTTTTCCCTAACATGGAAGCAGCTGAACATGGCCAGAGCGTGGACATTCACTGAGTCACATTGCACTGTGATAATGGTTAGTGGATATTCTTGACACCCACTCTTGTTCTCTTTCCACATCTTCTTTTACTTCCTTTCTTGGATACAAAAAACTTGCCTGAGCTTTGCAGCTGCCATGTGGTAGACACACCTGGGAAGACATGGCTGCTGAAGGCAGAGGCTCATCTATCACGTTGGTTTTTCCCACTGGGGCCTTAACTATGGTGCCCATTAATGTGGCCAGTTACAAAATAGTGTGCTCTCACTCACTATCTCTCGCTCTCTTTCTTTCTCTCTCTCTCTCTCTCACACACACACACACACACACACCATGAAGGCCTCAAGATTCAGATTCAGATCTAAGCTATGTTCTCCAATGCATGTCACACCAGGTGATGAAAGATGGGTTGTTGGGAGCCTGCCCAAATATCACTTAATAAAGCAAGTCTTCATTCATCATTGGCTGTTGATATCTAGGTGTACACTCCACTGGTCAAAAACTCAGAGAAGAGGAACGACATTTGGTACCCTGAAACTGAACCTCTACCAGAATGCTCTGTACCCATCAAAATCATTTTGTCTAACAATATTTAATAACATGGTGAAATATTTACAATACAATTGCAAGTGGAAAAAGCTTCATGCTCAAGAGGCTATGTAGTGTGATTGCAGTTTTGTTTTCTATATGAAAGGATAATGAAAGAAAATATCCCCAAAATGCGTATCTGCCTATCTCAGAGAGATGTTACCACTGAAGATTTCTATTTTTGATCATTACACTTTCAAAATGCTTTACAATGAACAAAAACATTTATAACTAGTGGGAAAAAATGTTATTGTAACAATTTAAATATTTGCTCTTGAAAGGGAAGTCTCTGTAACAGTGATGTCCCACAGGAATAGAAGAATGCAAGCCACGCAGGTAATTTTAAATTGTCTAGCAGTCATACTTTTTAAAGTCTAAAGAAACAGGTGAAGTTAATTTTAATAATGTATTTTATTTAACCCAATATACCAAAATATTATCATTTGAATGTGAGCTCAATATAAAAATTATTCATGAGATATTTTCATTGTTTCTTTTGTACTAAGTCTTTAAAATGTGAGGTACATCCTGGCTGGGCGTGGTGGCTCACACCTGTAATCCCAGCACTTTGGGAAGCTGAGGCGGGCAGACCACTCGAGGTCAGAAGTTCAAGACCAGCCTGGCCAAAGTAGCAAAACCCCGTCTCTACTAAAAATACAAAAATTAGCCAGGCTTGGTGGTACATGCCTGTAATCCCAGCTACTCAAAAGTCTGAGGCACAAGAATCGCTTGAACCCAGGAGGTAGAAGTTGCAGTGAGCTGACAACAGGCCATTACACTCCAGCCTGGGAGACACAGCAAGACTCGTCTCAAAAAAAAAAAAAAAAAAAAAATGAGGTACACCTTACACTTAAAGAATTAGCTACATTTTAGAGTGGCTATGTTTCAAGGGTTTCATAGCCACGTGCAGCCAGTGGCTTCTAGAGTGGACAGCACAGTTCTGTACACTAGCACTGAAGAATCAATTTAGAAAGCATGATGCCAGGAGAGTGGAGGGAGATCTCCCCCTAGTGTGCTTTAGACCTTGACATCCTACCACAGTCATATGTTAAAGTTGGGACTGTAAAGGCCCCTGTTAGAAAGTAAATATACACCCTTTATTCATCCATTGTTCACTGAGTCGTCATCATAGGTCAGGCGCTTGGCTGGATGCTAAGGATAACGTCATGAAGGGACCCCTGCCCTCCTGGTAACCCACTGTCCAGTGGGAGCAATGGCCCATAAATAGACTGTGGCTTTGATGGAGCACAGAATTCCTGCAAAACGAGACACTGGAGCCAGTCCTGAAGATGAGTTGAGGTCTTGGCGGAGGCGACAGAATGGGTAATGGGCACAGGTGTGTAAAGGAGCACGCCTCTCAGGGAATGAGGTGGGCTGTGGTGTCTGCGTCACAGGCTATATTGGGAGTACTGGTGGGAGCTTGGAGTAAAGAGAGGGCAGAAGCCATGGGGTGAAGAATAAACTGGAGAGACAGACTCCTGGTGTTTTAGAAAGGGCATTTCGGCTGCTACATGGAGGATGTATTGGAGCCATAGAGTGACTGGAGGAGTGAGGTCCAGCTAGGAGAAGAGAACTATGTCCACATGAGAGCCAAAGGTGCCGAACCACACAGTGTAGTAGGGAATGGGGATGAGTGAACAGAAGTAAAATCAACAAAACTTCGCAAGCAACAAGAGGTAGGGTGTGAGAGAGAAGGGAGAAGGTTTTAGTAACGCTTCATTTCTAGTGCCCTAGTCTGGCTAAGTGGGTGAACAGTCGTGTCCATAAACAATGGAAGCCTTGCTATCTGCATAGAGGAGGCTAAGTAATCACTGGGGACCAGCAACCCCAGCCTGGCACCTTGATCCAGCCCAACGATGAGGCTTGAGCTTGAATCTCTCTTCCTAACTGTCCAGTTGCCCTGTCTAGGGCCCTGTGCTTCTCCAGGCTGGGGCCCTACCTTACTCCTTGCTTTGATCTCCTTGGAGATCTCCTGGGGATAGTCACTGTCCTGGTGCCCCTGTCCTATTTGAACAGAACCACAACTGCCATTCTGCTAGTCAGCCTTCCCGCATTTTCTCTCCTACCAGGAGATGGGGCTCATTTTCAGTCATTCTTCTTAAATATTTTTCTTTTCAAATTTAATGTCGGGCTGGCTCAAAAAAGTAATTTTAGCAATACCAAAGCATTCATATTTTCCTTCTAGTGCCAAAATTATATTTCTTGCAAATAATTCCTTTTACTAAGTACAAATGTCCAGCATACAGCAAAAAGTGTTAGTCACATTTATTCACATTTCTAGAATAATTGGTAGTTTTCAAGGCACTTTCATGATTTCTCACTGCTCTAAAGGCAAGGTCCCAATTCCTGCCTTGATATGCCGGGCTCTTGGTGCCTGGAGCCCTCCCTACCTCATTGCCCCATTTCCCTCCATCCTGCCTCAGACTCTGCTTTCCATTCAGACCCATGGCTCCGACCTGCACCGTGCTCTCTTCCCCTTGCCTCTGACTGCACCTGTGCATAGGCTGTATCTTCCATCTGGAAAGCCTCTCCCCACCTTTCACACCCTGTTCTGTTCTTTACTGCCAGCATCTCCTCCAGGAACACTTTCCAGCCCAGCCCAGCCTGACCCCAGGCTAAGATTGGTACCCTCCTGACTTGGGGTCTCATAGCAAATTTACTCATTTTTTCCTGCCCCTGGCCACACTACTGCCCAGTCCCACACTGGACTGTAGGGCCTGCCTGCCTCCCTGCCACTAGAGTATGAGCAACTTGTGGGCACATTCTGTGTCTTTTTCATCCTTTTCAGTTTTCTCCTTGCAGAGTCTAGAGCACAAGATGGATAAGTAGTACAGTATCTTATTCTTACTCCTGGCAATAGGGTTTGGTTCTGTGTCCCCAACCAAATCTCATGTTGAATTGTGATCCCAAGTACTGGAGGTGGGGCCTGGTGGGAGATGATTGGATCACAAGGGTGGTTTCTAGTGGTTTAGCACCATTCCCCTAGTGCTGTCTTGTGAGTAAGTTCTCATGAGATCTGGTTGTTTGAAAGTATGTAGCACCTCCCCATTCTCTCTCTCTTCCTCCCGCTCCAGCCATGTAGGATGTGCCGGCTTACCCTTTGCTTTCTGCCATGATTGTTAAGTTTCCTGAGGCCTACCTGGCCTTGCTTCTTGTACACCCTGTGTAACTGTGAGTCAATTAAACCTCTTTTCTTTATAAATTACCCAGTCTCAGATAGTTCTCTATAGCAATGTGAGAACAGACTAATACACTTGGTAACAGGGGTGAACAGGGGCCTCAAAAAGCTATGTCCAAGTCCTAAGCCTCCCCACCTCCACCCACCCCACCCCCATTCAGTATCTGTGAATGTGACCTTATTTGGAAATAGGATTTTGCAGGTGTAATTAAGGATCTCGGCATGTGATCATGCTGGATTTACAACAGGCTCTAAATTCAAGGATGGTGAGAGAAAGGAACAGGGACCTTTCAGACACACAGACACAGACAGACACACAGGGATAAAGCCTTGTGCAGACAGAGGCAGAGACTGGAGCGATCCGTCCACAAGCCAAGGATCACTAAGGATGGTCAGAGCCGCCGGAAGCTAAGAGAGAGGCAAGGACGGACTCTTCCCCGGAACCGCCTGGGGGACCACCCCTGCTGACTTCTTGCTTTCAGACTTCTGGTCCCCAGAATTGTAAGAGAATAAATTTCTCTTGTTTTCAGCCACCATGTTTGCGGTAATCAGTTACAGCAGCTCTAGGAAACAGAAATAAGGGGATCACTGTGAAGTGCAATATGAACACACATATGATGCCTATATACCTGAGTCAAAGTATTTTCTGTTTATGATTTGGTTTCCTTTTGGAAATCCCCTTAAATGTCTAAACTGCTTCACCACCACCCCTCAAGTAAGTGCCCCCTTCCCAGCCTCACCCCCAAGCGGGGTAAATCACCCAATGTGGTCTAGTCAGCATTCTACTGGCCTAAGCCAGCTCATGCTCTTGACTTGGCTGCCCTGTTTCTCCCACTTTCCCCTTATCTGTTACATCCCACTCCCCAGCGTGGAGTCCAGTTGGATTCCATGACTTTGTGTAGCCTCTGCATCTGTGACACCTGTTCGTTCACTCCCAGTCCTCTCGACCTGCAAGTTCCTCCTTTCTTCCACATCCAACCCCAGGAGCAGCTCTTGCAAGTTCCAGGATGCCCCCACCCCCAATCCTGATCTCACTGCCCTCCCAAGTAGGTCCTCTTAAGAGCCCAACTCCCAGCACAGAGCATCTGTGAGCATGTCATGAGTAAACACATTTTCCTGCACAATCAATACACTGATGATGGTGTTGTTAATTTCGAGCAGTAGTAATTAAAGAAGGAGGACCTTTTCTTGTCTATCTACAACACATTTTCAGGTTTGAAATCACACATGTTATCTTTAACAAACCCATTTCTCCTCAAGACATTTTCTTACTTACTTCATCAGACACTTGAGAGCTATCCGAATAAAAATGAAAATATGCTGGCCTCCAGGAATGGTATCTTTCCTGATACCTAATTAAAGCAAAAGTCAATATCTAGTCCCACCATAACTGATTTGCTAATTGTGCTGAGGTAGGTAATATTCTTACTCTTTAAGTCAACTACCACCCATCTCTACCCTGAAAAAAATTATTAGATTTTTTGCAGTGAAAGCAAACCAAATGAAGGCATTTCACATTCCTGGGACACTGCAGGTATTTTTATTATTAGGAATGTGTCTATGCAAAATAAGAGGCATGCCAATTAGCAACATGATTAGTTTTCTCCATGACGGGGGGAAAGGCACCATTGAGAACTCCATAGTTTATTGTTGTAATTTTGACACAACTCAGTAGTTTTCCAGAAGGTCAGAGGGCCTGAGGCAGATGGTGGGCTTCCTCTGATTCACCACAGTGACGTCCTTCCTGGCCAGGCCCCGAGCCCTGGTTCAGGCCATTTTTATCTTCCCTCCTGCGACTGCCAAAGCCTCACGCCCGGCCAGCCTGCCACTTCCCACAGCCTCTCCGTCCATCCGCCTAGAGATGCAGAGCCACCTCTCACATAGCTGATGATGTCACTGTCATGTTTAAAACTTTCCTCTCACCTTTGCCTTGGGGATAAAATCTGAACCCCGAGACCCATTCTCTCTGAGTCACATCCGCCTCACACGCTCTCTGGCAGCAAGAGACACCTGAACTCAAACCACATCAAAGTAATTTGTGTTTCCAGCTCATTTCACTCAGAGCCAATTTGCAGCATTTCATAAATGAAGGGGTTTTCTTGTTGTTCATTATGCCTATAGCCCTCTGTTTTATTTACTCTTGAACACTTCGGTCACTTTGCCTTTGCATTTTGTTATAATGTAACCTACTTGTTTAATTTGTTTTATTGTTTTTAAAATCCTGAAAAGACTAAACAATAATAAGCCCCTGAAAAGTGTGCAAAAACACACACACACAAAGGTGTACTGATGGTATTGTGGTTATGGGGTAGATTGTCCTTATTCATAGGAGACCTTTGCTGGAATTTTGGGCTGAGGTGTCATCATGTCTGCAGTTTACAAATGTTCAGCTAAAAGAAAAACTGAGTGTGAGAGAGTGAGACAATGTGGAAATTTTTCAAAATAAAAAGTTGGGGGGAATGGGGAAAGTGAATTGAATTTTAAGTAAATTCATCATTCAACAATTTGATCCTACATGAGCCAGCCTTTGGGAAGCAATGACTTTTAGCACCCTTGCCTCCTTATTCCACTCCCTCTGCCTGAATCCCTTGGTAAATCTAAGGCCCCAGTCCAAATACCTCCATGATCTTTCACTTGCTCTTTGCAGGCCAATCTAATCTCTCCCTCCTTTACAGTAATATTCTATCGTCCATACTCTTCATTCCTACAATGTTAATATTGCATTTTGGGTTGCTGTCAGCTTCCCGTGAGCAATTTGAGAGCTCCTAGTGCCTAGGATAGGGCCAGGCATACAAAACGTGTTCAAATATGTCATCCTAGAGGAAATCAGTGAGGAAATGAGTAAAACCATGCCATCTATTTTATACAGAATGACATATATTTTTTTGAAACACAGTCTTACTCTTTTGTCCAGGCTGGAGTGCAGTGGTGCGATCTTGGCTCACTGCAACCTCCACCTCCTGGGTTCAAGTGATTCTCGTGCCTCAGCCTCCCAACTAGCTGGGATTACAGGCGCATGCCACCATGCCTGGCTAATTTTTGTATTTTTAGCAGAGACAGCGTTTTGCCATGTTGGCCAGGTGGTCTCAAACTCCTGACCTCAGGTGATCCTCCTGCCTTGGCCTCCCAAAGTGCTGGAATTACAGGCGTGAGCTACCATGCCCAGCCTTCTTTTATCCACTAGGGTACTTGAGAAAATGAGGCAATATGAATTGAAACTGGGCCCACAAAAGCTCACACTTAGAGAGCCTGAGAATTCAGGGCTCTGCAAGTAAGAGAAATGGGGTGTAGCAACTAAATGAGTTTTTCCAGAGAACTATCCCAGAAAACAGAGACTGGGGAAATGGTCTTTCTTTGGTGGGGGGTGTACTGATGCTGCTAGCTGAGGAAAATGCCTGGCCGCCCCAGCCATGGGACCAGCCTCAGTCTTACTTGTCCAGATGTGCTGGTTTCAGCCTAATCCATCCCAGGCAATTCATTAAGCATCCCTTGAGGAGCTGGCTTCTAGTCTTTTCTTTTCTGTGGATCCACTAGATTTGCAGGGGCTCACGCAAAGTTTCATCCACAGGTTACGGCAGATCCATGACAAAGAACAGAGCTTTTGTGGCCAAGAATGTTTGCAGCCCTGAAATGCAAGAAGGTGTGACAATCTGGTGAAGCCCAAGGGAGGGCATTTTATAGCCATCTCACCTTGGACCGTCCACTCAACTACTTTGTTTCACGCCATCTTTACACCTATTGCACCTATTATGCCCTTTAATGACATCCTTTCTTGGTTGTTGAACCTCAACACATCATAATTCAGAACACTTTCAATCCTAAATTGGCCTTTACAAAGCATTTCTAAATTCCAGAGTATCTTTTTTTATTATACAGCATATTAATGTGTATATCATCTCCCATCTCTTCAGAATTATTATCTGACTCCAAACTCTTACACTATTTTTTTAAATGCAAGGGTTTTTGGAACTGGGTCATCATCTAGATTCCTACTAAGCCTTTCTTTTTTTATTTTTTAATTTTATTTTAAGTTCCAGGATACATGTGTAGGACGTGCAGGTTTGTAACAGATAAACGTGTGTCATGGTGGTTTGCGGCACCTATCAACCCATCACCTTAGGTTATATTAAGCCCCGCATGCATTAGCTATTTATTCTGATGCTCTCCCTTCCCCCACTCCCCACACCTGACAGGCCCCAGTGTGTGTTGTTCCCCTCCCTGTGTCCATGTGCTCTCATTGTTCAGCTCCTACTTATAAGTGAGAACATGCAGTGTTTGGTTTTCTGTACCTGCATTAGACTAAACCCTTCTTCTTGCTACCTCCACCCAGTACCTTGAAGGATGGCATGGAGGAATGGAAAGACCAGAGACTATGTGACCTTTCTAAATACCCAGCATCTCTCTAAACTTGAGATCCTTCAGCTCTAATTAAATAACAGCAATTGTGCCAAACTCAGAAGACTGCCTTAAGTAGTAAACAATGTAATAAATACAGTATCTACTGCATGTAGCAATAGATGCTGGAAAGATAACTGTATTAGTCAGGGTTCTTCAGAGAAACAGAATCAATCAGACAGAAGAAGAGAAAAAGAAAGAGATGTGTTAGATGCTATTATCCCACATGATTATGGAGGCTGAGAAGTCTTACAACCTGCCACTGGCAAGCTGAAAACTCAGGAAAGCTGATGATGTCATTCAAAGACCTGAGAGCCAGAGAGTCCGTGGTGCAGATTACAGTCCAGGTCCAAAGGCCTGAGAACCAGGAGAACCAAGGGCAGAAGAAAATCAATGTCCAAACTTGACTAGTCAGGCAGAGAAAAAATTTAACCTTCCTCTACCTTTTTGTTCTATTCAGGCTCTCAATGGATTGGATCTTGCCCACTCACACTGGGGAGGGCAATTTACTTTACTGAGTCCGTGAATTTAGATGGTAATCTCTTCGAGAAACACCTCAACCTGACACACCCAGAATAAAGTTTAATCAGCTATCTGGGTATCCCTTGGCCCAGTCAAGTTGGCACAATTAACCATCACAATGCCAGTTCCTTTCCTATTCTAACAATAGTAAGTGCTGGTATTTACTGAGCCCTTACTCTGTGCTTTATATGTGGTAAATCTTTAATCTTAGGAGAAACCCCATGAAATAGGTTTTAATTTACAGGGGAAACTTAGGGGGAAAGGAAGTCAAAAGTGGCAAAGCCAAACACTGAAAAGCTACATGCTGGAGAAACGGCTGAGGCAGCTCCACTGCAAAGGGAAAACTTTTAGCAACTACATGTGAACTCATTTTCAAAAGTTCCTAAGAGATACTGTGAAGTCATGAAAATAGCAATAGATGAGAAGTCCAAAGCCTGGGCTCCTGTCCAGGCTCCATCAATTCCTAGTTTTGTGATTGTCGTGGGGTGCCCTCCACAGGCCCAAACAGCATATGAGATTGTATGGTTTTCTTCCTCTTTGGAATAGATGGGTTTGCTAGACAGTTACCACTGATCTTGAAAGCAAAGAATAGGCCAGGTGTGGTGGCTCATGCCTGTAATCCCAGCACTTTGGGAGGCCAAGGTGGGCAGATCATTTGAGGTCAGGAGTTGGAGACCAGTCTGACCAATAAAATCAAACCCTGTGTCTACTTTAAAAAAAAACAAAACAAAAAAAATAATGAGCCAGGTGGTGTGGCATGCACCTATAATCACAGCTACTTGGGAGGCTGAGGCACAAGAATCACTTGAACCCAGGAGGCGGAGGTGGCAGTGAGCCAAGATCGTGCCACTGCACTCCACGCTGTGTAACAAGAGTGAAACCCTGTCTCAAAAAAAAAAAAAAAACAAACAGAAAGCAAAGAATGCCAGTGTCCCTGTGTCCCTTCCTAAAAGACAGGCTACACATCTGTGGTGAGAGAGAAAAATAAATAACATCTGCAAATTTCCTGCCTAAAAATCCCCTTTGTTTGGAAATTCAGCTTGCTTACATATATCCTCAGAAAGGCAAATTTTAAGTTCCAATCAGCGGTCATGGTTCACAATTTATGATCCTAGGGAAATTTTTGAAAGGCAGCTGTACATCCCCTTCCTTTGTAGGACAGACACCCCTTCCCTTTGTAGGACCCTTCAAGGTCCTGACTGTAAGTTTTAGTCAAGATCCCACTGATGCCCCCCTCCCCAACCCTACACTATGGAACAAAACTAAGGCTCCAGATCAATTGAGATGGGAAGATGATATCCCACCTCAAGCAGGAGGTAGTAACTAGATATTGTCCAATGTTGTCTGCATAAAACCCTTTGATCAGCCTCTGTCCCATGGCCATCGAAATAATTAAGATCTAATGCAGAGAAGAAAGATTTGCACTAGGTTTGGCAGGCCCTGGAACACTGGTCTTAGCTGAGTTGAGTCATTTAAGTTCACCAAGACTCGAATTTCTATCCAAAAACATGACAATAATAACATCTATCCTGACTCTTTCAAGAGCCACTGTGGAGATTAAATTTGGGAGGCAGATCAGCCTCATGGTTAAGAGGTCAGATCCAGAGTTAGACAGCCTGGGTTCAAATCCCATCTCCAATACCTACTAGCTGTATAACCTTGGGCAAGCAATGCATTCACTCATTTAACTTATCTGTGCTTCAGATTCCTTATTTGTAAAGCAGGGAAAAGCGAAGATCCTATGTCATAAGGTTGTTGTGAGGATTCAGTGGGCTAATATGTGCAAAGCATTTAAAAGTGTTTGCCATTATGTGTTAGGAGTTAGTGCTCATATAAGTGGTAGCCATCATTATGGGAAAGCATTTTAAAAGCCAGAACTGTCACTCTAAGATACCTCTGTGGAATGAGCCTTACCCAAAAGCTTTCTGTGAATTTTCAAACAATAAGGGCCTGGAAGCTTGCTTTTGACTACTTTGAAATATTCCCTGCCCAATCACCAAGTCAGAACTGCAGCATCTATATTTCCTGAAACTTAAAGGAATGTTGTTGAAGTCCTGTACGGTCCCATCCTGCTTTCTGCCATCCCAAAGCATCAACTTTAATTCAACTAGAGAAGATGGTCATTTCCTGAATGATATGGTTTGGATTTGTGTCCCTGCCCAAATCTCACATGGAATTGGTGGAGGGGCCTGGTGGGAGGTGATTGGATCTTGAAGGCAGATTTGCCCCTTGCTGTTCTCATGATAGTGAGTGAGTGAGTTCTCATGAGATCTGATGGTTTAGAAATGTGTGGCACTTCCCCCTTCTCTCTCTCTTTCTCCCGCTGCCATGAGAAGGTGCTTGCATCCCCTTCACCTTCCACCATGATTGTTAAGTTTTCTGAAGCCTCCCAGTCATGCTTCCTGTTAAGCCTGTGGAACTGTGAGTCAATTAAACCTCTTTTCTTCATAAATCACCCAGTCTCAGGGAGTTCTTCATAGCAGTGTGAGAATGGACTAATACACTGAGGATAGTGATGATTATTGGAACCACGTGCAATAACTGAACAATATTTTCAAGCATACGAAGCACTTTTTGAACATAAACCCTTCAACCATCACAACCAATTCGCAGATCATCCTTCTCTACTGTTCCCTCTTGGAGGCAGACAAACAAAAGTCCAGGTCATAAAAAAAAAAAAAACAAACATACGTTCATGATAACAACTCTCACAATTTCTGAAAAATCACTGTGAAATTCACCCCCAAACCCTCACTGAATCAGTTCCTGGGACTCAATGTCTAATCAATCTATAAATGTGACCTATCTCAACAAGTCAATGACTTCAACTTCAAAACACACAAATAGACACAAGCCACAGTGCACAAGGTTATCATCTAATGTGACATGGGGAGACACCAGTTGGGACTATTACCAGGTACCCAGAGGACTGTGTAGGATCATTGCATCTGTGGGTCACTTCAATTTTAGCACCTCGCACATTACCTAACACTACCCAACACATACTAGGCACTCCATAAACATCTGTTACAGTTGGGGTTTCCTAAGCATCTTCACACACATTATATGGTTGTTAAACCTCAAACTATCCTTCGCAATAGGCATTTTTTACTTATACTCACTCATTTTAAAGTTTGTGAAACTGACATTTCTACCAGTTCGACGAGTTGCCCAAAATTGTAACAAGAGTAATAAATGATACAAATAGAACCCATCTCTCCATCATTCAAGGCTAGTGTGTGTAATACTGTTACATAAGTATAAAAATTTCAGAAGTAACATGGAACTGGGATTGACTTAGATAGAACGTCATGTCCCTCACAACACTATAGACCTTGCCATGGTATATGCGGTTCTAGCAAAAATGCATTTTTACACTTCGATCAAAATTTAGCAGAGTATCTGAGAAGGTTGACAAGATGTTAGCAGCAAGCCAGCTGAGAATCTCTGTCTCAATAGGAAGATATGCCAAGAAAGGGAGAAGATAAATGGGGTTTCAGGAGGGGTAAATGCAGTAGGAGTTAGGCTTATAAGCCCTCCTCCCACCCACCTTCTCGAAATCCTACCTCCACCCATGGCTCCACACACATTCTACTAAGATTGTTCCCTCTAGCACAGAAGAGTTTTTCCCCTTCATTGATGAACATTAATGCCGCAGAATATAACTACTTTCATTTTGTTATGTTAATCAAATCACTAATTCATATTTATTATAAAATGACTGGTAAACATAGATAACAAAAATAAAAATTATTAAATTAAAATCACTCTGAATTCCACAACCAAAAAATAACTACTGCTAACTCCTTAATGTAAACATTCCAGAATTTTCCTAGCATACCAACTCATATAAACATGTACATATATTTGCAAAACAATACTATAACTATTTTTAAACCTGGCTGTTGTGTTTTTTTCACTCAACAGGAAATCTTGCACAACTTTTCATGTCAATACATAAGAGCATGTAAACATCATAATGACTTCAGTATAAACTAATGAATTTTCTACGGCTGAATATTTAGGTTGTTTCCAAATTTTTGATACTAGAGACAATATTTTATGAGCATTCTTGAACATACATACATCTTTGGGCACCTGCTTAGCTACTTCTTTAGGATAAATGTGTATTTAGGATAAACAAGTATTTGATTATCTCATTTATAATGGAGAGGTCTTTAATGGCTCCTGCTTGATATTTAGAATAAATTCCAAATGAATTAGCATAGCCCACTTTAGTCTCCCTCTCACCCCAGAACTTCCCTGCATATACTGTTGGTGCCTTAGGCTGTGCTCACTCTCTGTGTCTTTCTCCACTTCACTAATCCTTTCTCTTCTTTCTCCAAACTTCAAAATTCCGCTTAAATATCACCTCCTTCTGAAAGTCTTCTATTATCATGATCCTTCACCAATACAACGCAAATTATACTACTACTAATAATAGTAATAAACACATATATGTAGCACTCCTTTGTGTCAGGAAGTATTCTAAGCATGTTACATAGATATGTCATTCAATTCTTTCAACAAATCTATGAGGTCATCACTGATACCTCAATTTTACAGATAAACTGTATTTAGAAACTTTGAAGTTTGTTAGGATTTATGAATATGTGAGTACTTATACAAACTTAAATTAAATACATATATGCATATGTGTGCAGCTCGCTCTAGCTAGAAGTATAAAACCTTAGCTACCTGTGTTGATGAATAAATCCTTTTTCAAACACACTTAAAACTAACGTTATTATCTAGAGGAAAAAACTATAAGATGCAATTAAAGAGACCTATGTGACTTAAGATGAAGCTATTTGGATAAAAATTTGAAATGAAGGTGAATTATTGGTATTCTAGATTAAAACTCAGCCCCAGAATCTGTTAAACACTTTAATTGCCTTTACACATCAATAACAATTGGGGAAAATTTCAACCTATATATACTATTTTAGTTTAAGTATCAAGCTTTTTGTCAGGTAGATAGCAACCTATAATAAAAATCAAAGTTATTACTTTATTTTACCCAGTTAGTCAAAAGGGAAATTGGAATTCCTACCCATAAGAAAACAAAACCAAACAACAGCACATAATAGTTGTTAAGCGTTTATATAAACACATTACATTTTTAAAGCACTCAACAAGTAATTAGTGGAACCTGGAATTAGATTTGTTTTTATTGTCACAATACAGAAGAAAACCTAGTACTGAATAAGTTATTCAACTATTAAACCTTGACCAAAAAGATTTATTGTTAATTGCTTAAACTCCCTGCAATAAAATTAAACAACTTTTTTCCCCTTCCAATCAACTAACATGGCCTGCATGACTTTCACTAATTCACTTAGTGTCTAACAAAGGTAAAATAATAAACACTCAATGAAGAGGTGGCCATGCCTCGTCAAACAGAGGTGCAGAGACTCCTGAATTGCCTGGCTCTGTGCTGGGTGGTATGAGCAGATGAGACAGATACAACTGACCCCCTAGAGCATCAATTTTTCTAACAATGAAGATAAACATGTTTATTCTAAAACAAGCATAGTTACGCTATAACATAAAATAGCACAAAATTTTGAAACAAAAAGCTGTCATCTACTTAAATGCCTTCCTATCCACTTTATATTTGTATGCCTTTTGAATTTTGCACCATTTTAATGTATTACCTTTTAGAACAAATTAACTTTTTAAAAGCTGTTAAGATGGAAAAAATGATTTGGAGAAACTAACAACTATGTTTTGCACATCTGAATTTGTGGAGAATTCATATTTGCTACACGTATGTATAGCTGCAAAGATTATCCTTGTCCAAAATATGTGTATTAATCTCTCTCAATCTTCCAAATCTGTGTGTAATACTTCCAAAAGGTTTCCACCAAAAAATCCTAATAGTCTAAGTAAAAATTTGTTTACCCTCCCTCCACTCCAAATTCATGGCAAAAGGGTTACTAAAGATACTAAAATGTTTTACTACATTTTTAAAGTAATATTTTTCTTTATTAATTTTCTTTTAAATTAATTTTAATTTATTTAATTTTTGTTTGATAATTTTAATAATTTGGTTGGGTAATGATTCCAAATTCAAGAGAAAAAGAATACACATAAAAATTTCCCCTTCTTTGGGAGGCCGAGGCAGGCGGATCACAAGGTTAGGGGTTCGAGACCAGCCTGACCAACATGGTAAAACCCCGTCTCTACTAAAAATACAAAAATTAGGCAGGTGTGGTGGCACGCACATCTGTAATCCCAGCTACTCGGGAGGCTGAGGTAGGAGAATCGCCTGAACCCGGGAGGCAGAGGTTGCAGTGAGCTGAGATCGCGCCACTGCACTCCAGCCTGGGAGACAGAGTGAGAGTTTGTCTCAAAAAAAAAAAAAAAAAAAAAATTGCCCCTTCCACCTCTGTCCCCAGCCACCCAGTTTCCCTTCCTGAAAGCAACAATCAAAGTTATCAAATTGCTGTGTATCCCTCCAGAGGGCTCCTTAAATCTAACTCTGTGCCCATTGCACCAAGCTAGAGAGAATTTAATCTTAGTCATGTTAAAGGATACACATTTTTAAAACGTGTAATCATGACTTTCACACAAATATAAAATGAACATGGGCCCAAAATTGTATTTAACTCATTAAATAATGAGGGAACTAATAAGGTTCGAGTTCAGACTAGTTGGAACCAGTCTGAAGAGGAGTTCAAAGAACCACACCTATTTATGCAGGTAAGAAATGCAAAGTCAATTTGCAAATAGATGCCAAATTGGCCTGTCCATAGGGCAAATAATCAATCACCTCCCACCTGACATAGCTAATTTGCATTTCTATAGATGAAAATCCTTTTCACTAGCATCAGTTTTCTATAGCTCAAAGACAGTAAAAGGCAGAGATAAGCAGAAAAGGTGTGTTTAGATAGAACACTTCATTATCTTTTCTTTGTCCACTTTGGTCTTTCTCAGTTGTTTCTGACAGTCACTTAGATGGACCCCTTATGCCCTCTGCTACACTCTGCACACTCCTGAGGTACATGAAGGCACAGAGATCTATGTCACAACAAAAATTCAGGAAGGGTCCTCCAGTTATTGTTCTACACTGGTTACTGCTAATTGTTCCATGTCCTTGCCATGGTTCTATGGAAGGAGAGGTCCTCTGTTGCTTTCCTGATGCTTTATTTTAGGTTCCCAGAAGCAGACCCTGAGATAAGGATTTGAGAGCAGAGAGGTAGTTTATTTAGAAGGTGAAGGCAACACTGGTAGGGGAGGGAGAAAGTGAGGCAGAAATGGAAAGACAGTAATTAAAGGATTGAGTAACCAGAACTTAATCTCATAGGAAAATTATGGGAAACATTGCAAAGCCCCCTCTTTGGAAGTACACCAACTAAAGGGCAAGGGAACTGGGGCCTTTATACTCCAGCTCCCTGGAGTCACTGGTAAAGGGTTGCTCCCAGGAGTGTTAATTCTGTGGCTCTATTGGCCTACTCTAAAAAAGAGCAGAGCAGCCTTCCAAAGCTTTAGAGAGACACCTAAGGCACCGAGATGCACCTACTGGCAGTTGGAAGTCCACAGAAACACACAGAAGGAGTGGGATCTAGAGATGTAGACAGAACACCCATAGAATCCACTTCATACCAGGCTTGGATATGCAAGCCTTGGCCGGGCCTCAAGTAGGAAGCCTGAAACCTAACTCTTATGCCTTGCACATCCTCCCCACTCTAAGGTCCTGCCACCTCCTGTCTCAGGCACTGTGAAGGAGAGGACATGGGTCCTGCTACTTACAAAATCACCAGCCCCTGTCCCTTTCTAGTCCTGGATTTGTTTCTCCTCCCCGCTAGAGCTTTGACCTCCCTGCTCCCACAGGTGTTCATTTCTTGCTCCAGTTTCACACTAGGGGGCAGGCTACCCAAGACAAAAGCCAAAATAACAGCCTGCCTTTGATCAACTTTGAAACACATTTCCCTAGAAGCAATAGAAGCTGAAGTCCCAATAACCTTCTTGAAATAGGAAAAACAAGGAGAACGAAACACAAGTCATGTTTCAAACTTTATCCTGCCACATAGAACAGAAATAGTGAAAATGTGGCATCTTCTTTCCATCTCTGGTGATCTGATGGTTTCTGAAAAAGAGCACTCTCCCCATTTGTTTCTGGGATTCCTCAAAAAATAGTAAAATGAAGGCCGGGTGCAGTGGCTCATGCCTATAATCCCAGCACTTTGGGAGGCTGAGGCAGGCCAATCACTTGAGGTCAGGAGTTAGGGACCAGCCTGGCCAACACGGTAAAACCCTACTAAAAATATAAAAATTAGCCAGGTGTGGTGGTGGGCACCTGTAATTCCAGCTACCCGGGAGGCTGAGGCAGGATACTCACTTGAACCTGGAGGCAGAGGTTGCAGTGAACTGAGATCACAGCACTGCACTCCAGCCTGAGCAACAGAGCAAGACTCTGTCTCAAAAAAAAAAAAAAAAAAAAAGAATGAAAACTCAGCTAAACTGAGGACTGCTTCAGTCACAGCACTGAAACAATGGTCGACCTCCACTCCCCAGTGTTTGGAAGTTGTTTTCCAGATAGTTTGATCCTTATGGGAATCTGTCTTCCTTCTTAAATTAGAGCGCTAGTGTATATTTCTCCTTAATCCTGGACTAGGAAGTGGTAGTAAAAAATCCTGCCTTCTTGCACATTTTATTTTCTCATTATTTTAAAGTTATTTTACCTTCTATGGTCTCTGATGAGGCATGAAGAAACTGCCATTTTTTGAAAGCCTAGTAAACATCAGCAGCTCCACACCCATAATCTCTCTTAAAAGTCTCCACAACGCTGA
This sequence comes from Homo sapiens, assembly GCF_000001405.40. Lineage (NCBI taxonomy): Eukaryota > Metazoa > Chordata > Mammalia > Primates > Hominidae > Homo > Homo sapiens. The sequence goes on from NC_000004.12 coordinate 17,348,569, forward strand.
GGTGTAAAAAGCATTTTTAAATGGGGATTATGGTCCAGAGAGGTTAAGAAATTTCCTACAGGTCACAAAGCTACAGTTGGAACTAGGATTCAAACATATTCCCTCTGATATTATCCACTATACCATGATAGGTATTTTCCTTATTAAATCCTAACTGGACTTTGTATCTTGAAAGTCTCCACAACACTGAAGTGTAAAAAGCATTTTTATATGGGGATTGTGGTCCAGAGAGGTTAAGAAATTTTCTATGGGTCACAAAGCTACAGTTGAAACTAGGGTTCAAACTTATTCCATCTGACATTTTCCACTATACCATGATAGGTATTTTCCTTATTAAATCCTAACTGGACTTTGTATCTTCCAAGGCTAAAAAGTTATGAAAGGTTAAAAACAATAGAATTTTCCCTATGCTTTTTTCAAATTCTAGGAGATGTTTGAGCCCTTTCAATTATTATCATAATAAATAGAAAATAAAACTAAGGAAAATTTATTACATCAATTAGTGGACATCAAAGTCAATTTTCCATGATCCAGGAAGTGAAGTTCTACCAAGTAACTCACATTGTAACTTAACAATCTTGGAAAGAACAGGGCCTCCAATGGCATTTATCAGGCAGCATAATGGTTTCTTCCAAAACGATACTTTACCCATTTCCCTCTTATGCTCATGGGAGGGAGTGACTCAGGTAAAAAGATCAGAGTTTTGCTGACCGACAGACCTGACTTACCACAGTGCTGCTGGTGCCATGCTGTGTGTATTATAGTCCATTCTCACACTGCTATCAAGAACTACTTGGGACTGAGTAATTTATAAAGAAAAGAGGCTTAATCAACTCACAATTCCACAAGCTGTACGTGAAGCATGGCTGGGGTGGCTTCAGGAAACTTACAATCATGGCAGAAGGCGAAGGGGAAGCCAGCACATCTTACATGGCCAGAGAAGGAGGAAGAGAGAGTGACGAAAGAGATGCTACACACTTTTAAATGATCAGATCTTGTGAGAACACCCTCACTATCATGGGAACAGCAAGGGGAAAATCCACCCCCGTGATCCAATCACCTCCCACCACGCCCCTCCTCCAACACTGGGGATTACAATTTGACATGAGATTTGGGCAGGGACACAAATCCAAACCGTATCACTCTGCCCCTAGCCCCTCCCAAATCTCATGTCCTTCTCACGTTGCAAAATACAATCGTCCCTTCTAGTAGTCCCCTAAGTCTTAATTCATTTCAGCATTAACTAAAAAAGTCCATAGTCCAAAGTCTCATCTGAGACAGGCAAGTCCCAAAAGCAAGTTAATTACTTCCAAGATACAATGGGAATACAGGCATTGGGTAAATACATCCATTTCAAAAGGGAGAAATCAGCCAAAACAAAGGATTACAGGCCCCATGCAAGTCCAAAACCCAGCAGGGCAGTCATTAAATCTTAAAGCTCCAAATTAATCTCCTTTGACTCCATGTCTCACATCTAGGCCACACTGATGCAAGGGGTGGGCTCCCAAGGCCTTAGGCACAGTGTGATCCTGAACAAGTCATTGATTTATTCAACACAAGGTTACTGAGCACCTACTAAGTACTAGGCTCCATGTTCCATCCTGTGGCTAGAACTGTACTCAAACCCTGTCCTCAGAGCTGTCTATGTAACGGGCCAGACAAGAGTCAAGCAAACCTAATGGAATTTGGATTAAATACTGTGAGCATGTGGCCAACAGACTCTAAGATAGCCCCAACAACCCTGACTCTTGGTATTCACACTTTTGTGTAATCTTCTCTGCTTAAGTGTGAGCTGAACCTAGCTACTTGCTTCTACCAACAGAATATGGCAAAGGTTATGGCGTGTTATTTCCATGATTAGGTTACCTAAGATTGTGATTGTACCTTGCCGGAAGATTCTGCCTTGCAATCTTTGATGAATCAAGCTGCCATGTTGGAGAGATCCACATGACAAGAAATTGAGGGCAGTCTCTGGCCAACATCTAGCAAGGAACTGAGGTTCTTAGTCCAACAACCCACAATTAACTGAAGCCCACCAATAAGCATGAGAGCTCAGAAGCAGATCCTTCCCCTATCAAGCCTTCAGATAAGACTTTACCCCAGCCAACACCTTGATTATAACCTTGTGAGAGACTGAGTAGAGGACCACAAAAAGCCATGTTCAACCTCCTAACCCACAGAAACTATGAAATAACAAATATGTGTTGCTTTAAGCAAGTTTGGGGGCAATTTGTTACATTATAATACATAACTAATATGAAGCCCAAGAACAGGCTGCTATGAGAGATCCCAGAGGGGGACTGCTTGAGACTAAGTGGTGAGCACAGGCTTCTCTGAGGAATCACATTTAAGCAGAGTCCTGAGTGACGAGCAGGTGCCCACCAGGAATGTGAGGAAAGAGAATTCCAAGTCTTTGAACCTTAGTGGAGCCTCAATTTCCTCAAATAGAAAATGAGAATTTTCCCTAGGTATTTCCTGCATATAGTTGCTTTGAGGATTAAGTAAGAAAATATTTGTAATGTGCTTTACATCATCTATGATGCAAATAATAAGCCTGATTACAATGATGGATGGTGAGGATGTTATTACCACCAGTATTTTACAAATAAAGTACTAGGACTGAATGGCACCCAATGGCAAAATGTAGTATGTGTTCTAAGAATGGACACTTCCTGTCCATAGATTCTGTTTCTTTCAGTCTTCTCTGGCTGGCCCATGCCTTTCTCTGGCTAGGCCTTTCTAGGCTTCTTTATGCAGATAGGGGAAGCAGTTGTATAATCCCTCCTACTAATCATTGTGCAGATACATTTATTTCTCTGTTACAAACCACTGTCACATTACTGACTGACTCTCTTATCAGCCAATAGCAAATAATTCTGTACTTAGCTTGGGCAGTCCTGCTTTCTCATTCAGCTCACTCCTGTCTACACCCAATTAAAATGCATCTCCCAGGCCAGGCACAGTGGCTCACACCTTAATTTCAGCACTTCAAGAGGCCGAGACGGGTGGATCACCTGAGGTCAGGAATTTGAGACCAGTCTGGCCAACATGGTGAAACCCTGTGTCTACTAAAAATACAAAAATTAGCTGGGCATGATGGTGTGCGCCTGTAATCCCAGCTACTCAGGAGGCTGAGGCAGAAGAATGGCTTGAACCTGGGAGATGGAGGTTGCAGTAAGCCGAGATTGCGCCATTGTACTCCAGCCTGGGCGACAGAGTGAGACTCCATCTCAAAAACATAAATCAAATAAAAAAATAAAAAATAAAATAAAATCCACCTCCAAAAGGCAGAGCTTGTGACATATCCCTCTTTATGTTCCCAATACCATACAAAAAGCTAGAATAGTTACCCCATCCTTACCTCCTCTTCCTTCCCCACACACATGCCTACACACACACACACACACACACACACACAGTCTGATGAACCAGTTTCTAAACACCCTCCAAAACTCAGCTCAGAAGCCTCAGTCCCCGGGGAAGTATCTTTCCTCTCCCTAGGTGATGGAATTAATAATCACTTCTCTCTGCAACTTGAACTTGCTTCTATCATTGCACTAATCAGACTGTATTACAGTCTATTCACAGGTATTGTCATCTTGACCAGTAGTTACTTGAGCTCATCCAGCATATTTTGAGAGCATACTGCATGAAGCTAGGAATACAGCAACGAATTTAACACAGACCCTGCCCTGGAGGAGAGGCAGGCTGTAAACAAGTAGTTTGAACTAACGTGGTAAATGCTCCCATCCATGTGTATCCCAGTGGCTCTCAATGTGAAAGGGCACTAGCTGAGCGCTTAGGCCCCTGGAGAATCTGGAAAGACTTCCTGGAGAAAACAACAGAAAGGAGTGAACCCCGAAGGATGGGAAAGTTGGATGGTGTTATGGACTGAATTGTGTTTCCCCAGATCCGTATGTTGAATCCCTAATTGACAATGTGATGGTATTTGGAAATGGGGCCTTTGGGAAGTAATCAGGTTTAGATGACGTCATGAGGGTAGGGCCCTCATGATAAGATTAGTGTCATTATAAAAACAGATATGAGAGAGCTTGCTTTCTGTGTCTCCTTTTACCATGTGAGGCCACAGCAGAAAGGTGGCCATCTGCAAGCCGGAAAGAGGGCCCTTACCAGAAACTAACTATGCTACTTCCCTGATCTTGAAATTCCAGGATTCAGAAATGTGAGAAATAGATGTCTGTTATTCAAGCCACCCAGTCTGTGGCATTTTGTTATGGCAGCCCGGACAGACTAAAACATATAAGCAAAGAAAGATGGACCCAGCATCTCTGGCAGAGGAAACCACCGAAGGAAAGGCATGGAAACATGGATCAGCACAGAGTATGACCGAGATATCAGAACTGCATTTGACAAGTGTGCAAAGCTGAGACAGGCAAGAAGGTGTGGCCCATGTGATGATGGCAGTAAATGCCCAGCTCACATTTTCTGAGAAGCAGGATTCACCTGCAGGATTAAGCTCCCAGCAGCCATATTTCTATCCCATGACTCTCCTGAGCATAGTTTATCAGACCATGGTGCCCACGTGACCCACGCTGGACCAAACAGATCCTCTCTGGTGAATCTGGAATTGGTATGAGAACATACTAATCAGACTAGGCTGTCCTCCTGAATAGAGATGAAAAAGTAAAAACTACGTGATGTCATGCACAGAGAGAAGCAAGAAAAAGCTGCTCTCAGGATGTGAAGAATAAAGCAAATGAACCCAGCAAAGCAGCAGCTGGAAAGAAGACAGGGATGCCTAGAGTTCATGGGAATTTCTTTCCAGTTCTTGCGTAAGTTGCTTGAAATACCCCAGAATCGGGCCGGGTGCGGTGGCTCACGCCTGTAATCCCAGCACTTTGGGAGGCCGAGGCAGGCGGATCACAAGGTCAGGAGATCGAGACCATCCTGGCCAACATGTTGAAACCCTGTCTCTACTAAAAATACAAAAAAATTAGCTGGGTGTGGTGGCATGCGCTTGTAGTCCCGGCTACTTAGGAAACTGAGGCAGGAGAATCCTGAACCCTGGAGGCAGAGTTTGCAGTAAGCTGAGATCATGCCACTGCACTCCAGCCTGGTAACAGAGTGAGACTCCGTCTCAAAAAAATAAAAAAAGAAAGAAAAGAAAAGAAAAATACCCCAGAATCCTTCTAGTAAATTTTCTTTCTTCCCTATGTGCTTAAATTGCTTTGACTTGGCTTCTGTCACTTGCTACCAAAAATGCTGGTGTGTCCTCAGCTCTATCCAAGACTCCCCACTTCTGTTATTTATCTTCTTTGTTCTTCTTAGATTATCATCACCTAGTCCATGAATAAAATTACCATTCATGTTCTCTAAGTCCCAAATGTGTCTTCTCCCCCCATATATCCAACATCCTACTTCCCATCTTCATTCGAATTGGCTAAACACATCTCGAAAGTATCATGTCCCCCAGAATTATTTGACTCTGCCTCCTCTTCTAAATATTCTTCACCCTGAGTCTTCCACATCTCAATAAATAACACCAGGATCTCATTCCACCAGCCAACAACTTAGAATTTTCCTTATTTTTCCTTTCCTTCAGCTCCCTCATCCAGTCCATCAACAAGTCTTACCATCTCCATTTGCAAAATATGTCTCAAATCTATCCATGCCAGTCCACCTCCACCACCCAAATCCATGTCATCAAAATCTGTCACCTGCTCTGCCTCAGTCATCTCCTTATTGCTCTTCCTGACCCCCTCCCCTGTCCCGACTCCACCAGCACATATACACAATGATTATCCTCAGAGCTGCAAGAATGATTCTCTTAGAACATAAGTCATGACATGTCATATCATGAAACCATGTAAACCTTTACAATGGCTTCCCTCTGAATATTGGAAAAAATTACCTTAGTCAATAAGCCCTTACGTGATCTAGCCCCTGCCCACCTGTCTGACTTTCTTCATGTTACTCTCCTCCTTGCTTAACAACTTTTGGGAACTGGTTTCCATTGCTTTATTTTTGTTTTCCTTTTGAACATATCTGGATATTTCCCTCCTCAGGCCCTTCATCCCAATGTTCCTATTGTACCCTCTTTCTCCACCTCTCATCATTCATGTGCCAGTTCAAATGTCAGCTCCCAGAGAGAATGTCCTAATCACATTTGCAAAATAAGACCATCCAAGATTAACTACCTCACATATCACTCTGCTTCTTTCAAGTACTTATCACAATCTGAAAAGATCGTTTGATTGTTGTTTAACTGTTTATTACCTGAATTCTCCTGCCAAAAAAGTAAGCACCAACCAAGGAGGCAGGTACCTCATCTGCCTCATTCACTGTGTAGCCCCAATTAAGCCCAAAATCTGGCATATAGTAAATGTTCAATAAACATCTGTTGACTGAATGGATGAAACCAAGGACAACACTGAAGTTCAAATAGGAGAGTGACAAGAAACATCTCGCATGCTTCATCTACATCCATGACAACAGTGTGGAAGATTGACTTCAGGAGGCAGAGTCCACATCCTATTCATCTTTGTACCCCCAATGTCTAACGTGGGACAATCTGATCTACTATGTATAATAATGAGATTCCAAAGCAATACCATTTTATCAAAAATCACATTTAAAGTACATTCACTTTGGTGTGTTTGGCTAGAAGGAGAACTAGATATACATAATAGCAAAGGTTATTTTTCCTGTATGAATTTCATGAATAAAGAATTTTAGTTGTGCATGCTTTTTATTAAGGAAAAAATAATTTATCAAAATGAACAAAAACAAATCCAAACATCCCCTGAACTTACCAATTTGTTTTAATAAATTCTGATAATCCTTGAATGCTAGTGTTTGAGTTTGAAGAGCCTTTGAAAAGGATCTAGTTCGATTATCTTAAAGAACAGATGTGGAAACAAGCTGATTGAAATTGAGTGTTCAAGGTCAGAATCCAAGCTATAATTCAAATGTCCGACCTGTTCTCCTGGACGCTGTACACTCTGCCTTCATGAGTTGGGAAGATAATGTTGAGGATGGAGTTGGCAAGATGGCAGCAGCCCAAAGCTGACAAAAGGCCATTGATCTATTTGAATCTAAAAATTCAGGTTCTGGCTTTTATGACCTGTTATTGAAAGAATATTATTCTTAATCCCAATAAAAGAGGATACTTCCCAAACAAAAAAGGAAAACAAAGTCTCACTTTACATCAGCAGAGCCCAATTTGAGTTCTTTTATAGTCCATAACCAGATGTGCATTTAGAGAAACCATCTGTTGCAATCAGGATGCAAAACAAACCACATAAAAGAGAACTCTCACCCCAATCCCATCTCTGAATGGGAAAGGAAATAATCAGGTGAACCATAAAGCAGAAGTTGAAGAGATAGATAGGTAATTAGATAGATAACACAACAGAAATTGCAATCGATGGCAATAGATGTAGGTGTTTGATGGAGATTGGCAGATGGAACAGGTGTTATGACTGTGGCTCCATGTGTTTCAATCAGAAGATGCTCAGGAGCTGAGGCTTTGGGGAGTCTGGCAGTTCGGACGACTTTGCCCACAGTCATATTCACTCCATAGACACCTACTTCAGTATCATTAATTTTGCCCTTCTGAATTCACATTCTAGCTATCTCTTCCTTCCCATTACTGCTTAAAAGTTGGTACCCTTCATATAAATAAAAATTCACCTTGTTTTTGGCTATATTCATTCAGGGAAATAAACACCCAAAAAGCAACATTTGCGCATCTTTGAAAATTGCTTCCGGAAATGTTTCACTATACTGGTACCCTGGTTAGAGCTTTAAAATGGATTCTCCTGTTTCAATTTTGTTTTTATGCTGATTGACTGGAGCATATTTCAAGTCATTCATTATCCCCCACATGGAAAGCACTCTTGATACCTGATGAATTCGATCTAGCCATGAATCCAAATCCAAGAAAGAATTTAGGTCAAATTTAGGCTTCTGCTTAAAATCCTATTCCCACAAATATGTCTTATATATCACATGAGAAATTGCCATCTATTGCCATCTATCCTAAAGTTGTATTCCCACAAATATGTCTTAGTGTTATCAATAGCCTTGAATCAGAACTATTAATATCAGCAATATGATGACAACTTTACTGGAGAATTACAATAACTTTATGCTTTGTTTGAGTGGGTACAAGCAACCATCCACCTAGTCTTTCAAACAACATTTACTAAGAACTCATTCTGTACCAGATCCTTTGGTAAATGCTGAAGATACCAAAATGGCTCCTAGATGCTTCTTCAATTGTTCCTGTCTCCAGAATTCATCATCTGATATAGTTCAGAGTTTGGTGTAATAGATAGACCCTAAGGTGACTCTTCATGATTCCACCTTCTGGTATTCATGCCTTTGTATAATTTCCTCTCCTTGAGTGCAGGCAGGAAATGTGAGCTGCTCCTAATCAATACCTTACGGCAAAGGTGATGGGATATCACTCTCTGGGATTGGGTTACGTTGCTTAAGATATCTTGTTGGCTTGATGAAGTAAGATGCCATGCTGAGGAAGCCCACATGGCAAGGAACTGCAGGCAGCCTCCAGCTGGTAGTCAGCCAAAAGTCAGGACGTGAAGTTATACAGACATAAGGAAATGAGTTTGCCAAAAATGTAAATGAGCTTAGAATTAGATTCTTCCCTCATCAAGTCCCCAGATTAAAACAAGCCTGGCCAATACCTAAATTATAGCCTTTCAAGACTCTGAGCAGAGGACCCAGTGAAGCCATACCTGCACTCCTAACCCACAGACACTGTGAGATAATAAATATATGCTTTTGTTTTTGGCTGCTACATTTGTGGTAATTTTTGTTTTGCAGCAATAGAAAATTAATATAGTTAGCCAACGATAGCTCACAAGCCAAATCTGGCCTGCTACCTATTTCCGTATAGCCTACAAGCAAATAATGATTTTTACATTTTTAAGTGGCAAAAAATAAATCAAAAGAATGTTTTGTAACAGATGAAAATTATGTGAAATCCAAACCAGTGTCCATAAAGTTTTATTAAAAAACAGCTACATCCATATATTTATGTATTGTCTGTGGCTGCTTATGTGCTATAACTGCACAATTCTGTAGGTGTGACAGAGGCTATATGGATGACAAAGCCTAAGATATTCACTATCTGACCCTTTTTAGAAAAAAAAAAAATACACTGGCCTCTGGTCTAAGAGAAAGGACAGATATATCAACAGATAAATTACAAGCCAGCCTGGGAAAAAGCTCAGAAGAAGAGGCATGGAAGCTAAGTTCTACTGTTGAGTAGGTGTTTCCCAGATGGAAAGAGAAGACAAGAGATCGCAAGGGAAATTTTTTTTTTTTTTTTTTTTTTTGAGAGGGAGTCTTGCTCTGTTGCCAGGCTGGAGTGCAGTGGTGCGATCTCGGCTCACTGCAACCTCCACCTCCCGGGTTCAAGTGATTCCCTGCCTCAGCTTCCCAAGTAGTTGGGACTACAGGCACGCCACCACACCTGGCTAATTTTTTGTATTTTAGTAGAGATGAGGTTCCACCATGTTGGCCAGGATGGTCTCAATCTCCTGACTTCGTGATCCACCTGCCTCGGCCTCACAAAGTCCTGGGATTACAAGTGTGAGCCACTGTGCCCGGCTACAAGGGAGAAATTGAAAGTGGAAAAATCATGGAGATATGTAAGGCCTCAGTCATCAGAAAGTGGTAGAAATGCCCAAAAGGTGGGAATTCTGCCCATCATTTTACAACCCCATAAAACTTCTGACCCCCTGATTGAGTGGCATTGGATCGGACTGAAGCTTTGGGAAAATTATTGCACATAATAAGATCTGCAATTTAATCCATATTTCTAAACTGTTCTTGTGGTTTGCCTAGGATTCTTGGCCAAATCATGTCACATGTGCTGCTCCTGCCTAAATGAGTTTGATAATGATGCTGCATTCCATTTCCAAATGCCATAAAACCCACAAATGTATTGCACTGCTGCGTTTGGTTGTTTTTGGTTTTTTGAGGATTTTTTTTTTTTTGGAGGCGGGGGGCTTCTCTACAGCTTAGTTGCTGCAGATCATACTCGCTGCTGAGTTACTGAAAAGATTTAGTTTCACCTCATGCTTCTGCTCTGCTTCTATCTCTTCCAATACTCAAGTCAGTTCTATTGCAGGTGTCACTGAAGTTTGCAAAAAAAAAAAAAAACAACATCTGGGGAAGATCAGCTAGCTGCCTCCAAGAGCTCTCACAAGGTGAACTTGTCAGAATCTGGCCCTCAGCTTCTCAAGTCTAGAATCTCCACCTCATTAGAGCTTTGTGACTATATCATCCTAAGTGTCATCGTTATTATCACCATGGTACTCTAAGACTTTAACAGGGGGTGTGGCATTGAGGGCCCCTACACAAAATGACCCCAAACCATAGTATATTCTGTGACTGCATCTGACATTGTTTTTTCTCTCTTTAATGTAATTGGAGTGTGTGGGCATCTCTCCCTTCTCTTGACTGCCTTCCAGTAGAATCCACACTGCCCATTTCTAAATTATGAAGAGCTTTAAGAAAAAAAAAGATAACATAGGTCTTTAAATTATGTGTAAAACAACAATCTGTAGGCAAAGAGTGAGGGTCTAAAGCATTCTTTAATTACTTAAACTATACAAATTTACTGTATACAATTGATGCCCCCTCTTTTGACTGCTCAGAAACTGTTCTACTGCCTAGATGTCAATTGCATTCCAGGTAGCCGAGTTCAACAGAAGTTAGGAGTTACCGCTCTGATCTTGAAATACTTAGGGGCAATAGAGATGCATGCCAAGAAAAAAACAAAACTCTATCACAAAAAGTATTCATATTCACTCTGTACATATAGGTTTACAGATCAATTTATCTACATTACATATATTGTAAGAATTTCTAATCAATGTTCTATAACTTAAACCTAAGTTTGAGAAATTCAGCAAATTGAAGAAACCAATAAATGGCCCCTTCCTGCTGGTGCTCTATGGCATTTCCAAAAGCTCAGCAGTTACACAAGCAGAAGAAACCCACAGGCCAAAAATCATGGCTGTCCAGTTGCCAGAGTGTCCACAGGTGGTGACCCTCTCACTTTCTCCCCACTCTTCCCTGAGGCCCAGCACAGCTGAACTGCCCTGGCACAGGAGACAGGAACTAACAAGATCTTACTAATTAGTTGAAAAATATGTTTAGTAGGAAAGAAAAAGGAGCACGAAATTCTGTTTGAGCAATTATAGAAACAGTGATCAACTGTCCTGGTTTTCCCAGGACTAGGGGGCTTCCAGGAATACCGAACTTTTACTGCCAAAGCCAGAAAAGATCCAGGCACACTGGGATAAGTAGGCAACCCTATATATTATATTAATTGTAGCTACAGTTTTTTTTTTTTAAAAGCCATAGTCTACTAAAAAGGAAAAAGAAAAATGATTTTCTAGAAAAAGTAAAAACAGAAAGACACATTAAGATGCTCCTGACCACTACACTGATTGAAAAGGTTTATCAATGAATATCAGTTACTGCTGCCTGTTTCTTCTGTACTTTCCAAGCATTCCTCTCCCCTGAATTTTCTCCCTAAGTCTACGTCTTTCCCATTCTAAAATATGAATCTCCCTTACCAGTGGTGTCTGTAATTTAAAATACTCCAGCATAAAAAGTGTAACACACGCATGTGTTCAGCTAAGTTGCACTCTAGGGCTCACACTTCTGGGGAAGTTACTACAAGCCCTTCTGTTATTCCTATCTCAACATATCAGTCCATTTGTGCTGCCGTAACAAAACACCTGAGACTGAGTAATTGTTAAACAATAGAAATTTATTTCTCACAGTTCTGGAGGCTGGGAAGTCCAAAACCAAGGTGCCAGCAGGTTGGATGTCTGGTGAGGGCCTGCTCTGTGCTTCCAATATGGTACCTTGTTGCTACATCGCATCCTCACATGGCAGAAGGGATAAATGTCATGAACAGCATAGTGGAAGGGCAAACAAGGAGCTAGCTAGCACCCTTCAATCTCCTTTTTAGTGGAACTAATCCCATTCACGAGGGCACAGCCATCATGATCTAATCACCTGCTAAAGACCCCACACCTCTTAATACCATCAACTTGGGGTGTAAGTGCCAACATGTAAATTTAGGAAGGATACATGCATTCAAACCAAAGCACTCAGATAACACCAGAAGCTTTGATAATTAACATAATAAGGGTCAGAAATGAGCTTTAACTGGTAAAAAATAGTGGTTTAATTAGCATCATGGATATTAGAAATGGTCTCTCACCAGTGAAATTTATGGTATTCAAGAAGACGTGAGTTGCCTTACACTTTTCAGCCATCTTAGTTTCCTAGGGTTGCCATAACAAAATATCACAAATTGGTACTTTGGGTGGCTTAAACCAGCAGAAACTTACTCTTTCACGGTTCTGGAGGCTAGAAGCCTGAAATCAAGGTGTTGACAGAGCTATGCTCCCTCTGAAGGCAATTGATAAGACTCCCTAACTTCTTCCTAGTGTCTGGTAGTTCCTGGCAATTCGTGTTCGTTGGCATATAGCTGAATCATCCCAATCTCCACCTCTGTCTTTACATGCCTTCTCTCGTGTCTGTCTTTATGCGGTCTTCTTATAAGGATACCAGTCATTGTGTTTATGTCTCACCCTAATCAAATATAACCTTATCTTATATAATTACTTCTGCAAAACCTATTTCCAAATAAGGTCACATTCTGAGGTTCTGGGTAGATGTGAATTTTGGTGAGGTGTTAGGAGGAGGAGACACTATTCAACCCAGTACACTGTCCATGCTTGAAGAGCGTATAAGATTATTTAAAAAAATAAAACCCAAATTTTAGAAATGGTACACGAGATCTGATTTCTAACAGTGTCCGGCCATTTGGTTGCCTGGTAACAATGAGATGGCAATGTATCTCTAGAATACTTACTGAGTCAGCCTCAAATGAACGTGCCATCAAAGTGAAGATCAGATCCCCAGAAAGGTCAGAAAGTTGGGAATTTGTGATGCTTTTGGAACATTTGAATGTATTGTTTGCCCGCTAAATAATGTATACGTGAATACATGTACGTATGTGTGTCAGAATTTGGCCTGAGACTTGTTTTCATTATAACCTGGCAATGAGATTATAAGAGAACAGTTGTCACCCTCAAACACCCCCAATATTTTGTTGGTTACTGTTATTAATTAAAAAGGACCAGGGAGTTGGGCATGACCAAATTCCTGTGAGTTTTCTGCAACACCCTTTAGCCCCACTTCCCTCCCTCTTCTCCCCGCCTCAGTCAAACTTTTAGAAATAATAATCTACACTCTCTTATCTGCACTTTTGCCTTTTCTATTCACTCCTCAACCCACTGAAATGTGTGCTTTCAATCCTTCTCTTAGGGACTGCAGCAACATTGGATTGAGGATTCCAATCAGCTGAGGATTTATTTCTTCATGCAACCCTCTCTTTTCTTGGCTTCCCTGACACCACTTTCTTCCTAACCTCTTACTTCTCAGAGTATTACTCCTTGGTATCTTTCAACAGTTCTCTCTCCATCTGCCCTGTCTCTGTATTTCTGAGGGCAAAATTCTAAATTCACTGCTATTTCCATTCTCCCTGGATAAACTAATATTCTCTTCTAGTTTTCATCCACTACTCTAACTGATGACTCTAAAATTATGTTTCTCTAAGCTTCAGAGACACTTAGACAAATGCCTACTGAATGTCTCTACCTGAATAACCCATGGCCAGCTCAAACCAGCTTGCTTGACTTGATCTCATCTATTTCTGCCAATATCTCTTATTCCTCTTGGGTGGACCTCAGGTAATGGCTGCACCAGATGCCCCATCATACAAGGCAGAAACTTGACCACTCCCTCTCTTTTCCCACTCACATCCAAATAGTCACTAAGTCCTCAGCTCCAGCAATTATCCTCCATCCCACTACAAAGGTTCTAGCCTAGATACTCATCAGTTCTCACTTTGTGCTACTGCAGAAGTCTATCCTTCTATACCACTCACTTGCTTACAGCCCTGCAATAACCCAGCTCCCTTCCTGAGAGCGGAATTTCTCAACCTCAATACTATGACATTTGGAGGCAGAAAATTCTTTGTTGTGGCTATTTTTGCCTTGTAAGATGTTTAGCCACACCCCTGGCCTCCACCCACTAGATGCCAGTAATACTCCCTAAGTTGTGACAATCAAAAATGTCTCCAGACATTGCCAGATGTTCCCTAGGGGGGTCAAAATCACCACCTCTTGAGCATCACCAACCTAGAAAACAAAGACCAAGCTCTGTAATGTAGCCAAAATGGCCCTTCATCAGCTGGTCCCTGGCTACTAGTCCCACACCTTCTCCCCCCTCTACCTGTGGTGTGCCTGATGCCCTATAAAACTCTTTATGATTATGTCTAACATATTGCAGCATAATTAATTCTGTATATATCTGCTTTTCCCATGAACCATGAGCTCCTTGAGTGTGGAGGACCCTCAGGTATTCCTCTGTATATGCAAACTGCATAACAAGTGTAGTGCCTGCCAATTAGTAGACATTTAATGTCTGTTGGATAGGTAAACAAATCAATTGAAGAGGACTTGGAAACAAACAAAAAAAAACTCTAGCTTTGGTGTCTATTATTGCCACATCTCTGAAAAATTACAACCATATACTTTCCTTTTCAACTTTTGAGCACTGTTAACCAAGAGAATTTTTCTGTTACTCTCTGTTTCATGATGTACACCTAATTTTCCCAGTTAGAGGGTAAGATCCTTTAAAATGAAGATTTTTGTTTTAAACTTCTTTCCTAAATCTCATATCCTTCAATACAGTGCTGACCCCATAATGTAGCTTAACATAGACTTTGAGAAATACAGTGACTCTCTGTAAAAACTTCACTCATGGAAGAGAAGCCTGGGTAGGATGGTAATTAAACACATGGATTGCAGAGTTCCACAACCTAAATTCCAATCCAGCCTTTTTCCACCTCTTACTAGCTCTATAATCACTCACTTAATATATCTAAGCTTGTGTTTCCTCATGGGGAAAAATGAATAAAGTAATAATATTTACTTCATTTATTCAAAATAATTTATTGATTATCTATTACATGCCAAGCAGTGATTTTAGCATCTGAGGTGCAATCGAGATCAAAAGTTTCTTCGGCCGGGCCTGGTGGCTCACGCCTGTAATCCCAGCACTTTGGGAGCCAGAGGCAGGCGGATCACCTGAGGTCAGGAGTTCAAGACCAGCCTGGCCAACATGATGAAACCCCAGCTCTACTAAAAATACAAAAATTAGCTGGGCATGGTGGCACACACCTGTAGTCCCAGCTGAGGCTGAGGCAGGAGGATCACTTGAACCTGGGATGCGGAGGTTGCAGTGAGCTGAGATTGCGCCACTGCACTGCAGCCTAGGCAATAAAGCAAGACCCCATCTCAAAACAAACAAACAAAAAAGTTTATTTCCTCATTTGAACTAATATTTTAACAGATAGAGACAGAAAATGAATATGTAGTAGTTACATAATATAACTCCAGACAATGGTAAGTGCTCCAAAGAAAATATACTAGGGCATTTAGTGGGATAATCTTAGAAAAAAATTTCA
The DNA here is from genome assembly GCF_000001405.40 of Homo sapiens. Classification (NCBI taxonomy): domain Eukaryota; kingdom Metazoa; phylum Chordata; class Mammalia; order Primates; family Hominidae; genus Homo; species Homo sapiens. The sequence continues at coordinate 17,364,119 of NC_000004.12, forward strand.
AGAAAAATGTCATTGAGGAAATGAAATTTGGTCTCCTAAACACAGAAGGTTGCCATGAAGATAAAATGAAGTAAATGCATGTAAAATGCTGAATACAGTGAATATTCATAAAATTGGAAATATCCTATAAATATTTAGTAGTGCTATTACAGGGAACACTCACTAGAGAGAACTATCATTTGTTGAGTACTTGCTGTGTGCCAGGCATTTGGCCATCATTTTATTGTAATTTTCACTTAATCCTCCCAACAAAAACAACCTTGAAGAACAGTATTATTGGCTCCATTTTACAAGACCAAGGCTCAGAGAGCAACTGGCCCTGGGGTCACACAGCTTGTGAGTGGTGGAGCCATGCGGGTCCCTCCAACCTCAAATCCGTGGGTATTTTTGTCTTTTTTTCTGTTAAACCATGCTGCCACTTTCTTCATACTGACTTCCCTCAAAGACAAAGAAAGAATGGCTCAGTAGTTGAAGATCAATAAGTAGGAGGAGGGAAGGAGAAGGATCCATACGAAGTTCGAAGTTCGTGGTTCACAATTTGGAGTCAAAAGCGCTAGCAGGCTACAGAATAAGCAGGCGCCTCACATCAAGGGGAAATTCTTCAGAACTGTTTTCAGGGACAGCCTAGCTTTCTACTCCATCGTGGGGATTCCAGCCTCTGAGATTCTCGTGAAATCGTGGGGATTCCAGCCCCTGAGATTCCCATGAAATCAAAGCTCAAAGTGACACCTCATAGCCATGAAACAGAACTGGCAGAAACACTTCCTCAAGGTCCCCTCAGGGCAGAAGCAGGTAGAAAAATTCACTCTGTGAACACAACAGAAGATTTTGTTTTCTGTAAACACCATTCTGGTTTCTCCCGCCTGATATCCCAAAGAATCTGCCCAGATAATCAGGTAAAGGATCCCACAAGCCTCTTTTGGCAATCTGGCATGTGGGAATGCACAGAGAATTCAATCAACGTCATATCTTACGGATCCAGCAGCAATAGAGACCCCCAGGGCAAGAAACCCTGACTGAAAAAGGAAAGAAAATGGAAGGCGAGCTCTATTCTGAGGATAAATTAACAACCTGCATGGTGAACACAACCAGTCCACACTAACTTTGGAAACAAGAAAACCTGGAGAATGAACTCCAAATGGTTCACTCTGTCACCCACCAAACATTCATTAAGCATTAATATTGTGTCAAGATAAGAAGGAAGACATCACACTCTATTATTGCTCACACTTTTAACTTACTTATCTCTATTTGCTATGTGGCCAAGAGTAAACACAATTTTATGATATTTATTGTAAGAATACATCCCTGCATATTTCAAATTAAAATAAACAGTGATGTGCTGGTGAAGGTTTACCAGCTCTCCAGGAAGGATTATCCATGGAAGGCCTGATATATAGCATTTGCCAATTTCCATGGTGTAAATATTTCCACCATGGCCAGTTTTGAGCTCCCAGTGTGAAGTCACTAAAATGAGGCGATGGGAAGTGTTGCCCACAGTCAGCTCTCAGGAGCCAGTGCAAGTCAGCTCCAGCACACCACTGAGAAAAGTTTTTTACTATTGAAGTGCCCTTCGTACAAGCTTGCAAAGAAGTAAAACTTTGTCAGCAAATTCCAAATTAGGAAGAAAGCATAGTGCAACAGAAAAAGCACAAAATGAAGTTTAGGAATCCTTGAGTTCTAGTCTTAGCTCTGCCTCTAATATGATCTTGGGTTAGTCATTTTTCCCACTCCAAGCCCAAGTGTCTCATGTCTAAAAGGAGAGATTTGGCTGGATGCAGTGGCTCATGCCTGTAATCCCAGTGCTTTGGGACGCCAAAGCAGGAGGCTTGCTTAAGACCAGGAATTGGAGACCAGCCTGGGCAATATAGCCCCCATCTCCACTAAAAAACAAAATATTCTCCAGGTAGTGGTGTAGACCTGAAGTCCCAACTAGTCAAGAGGCTGATATGCAAGGACTGCTTGAGCCCAGGAGGTCAAGACTGCAGTGAGCCATGATTGGACCACTACACAACAGCCTGGGCAACAGAGTGAGACCCTGTCTTTAAGACGGGATTTGGACTAGATCAGTAGTTTTCAATCATGGCTATACATCCAAATCACCATGGAATTTTCTTTTTAAACTACAGCTGCCTGGACTCCACCTTCCAGGAGGAATTATTCTGAGGGTTTGGAGCAGACTCAAGATCTGTCTTTAAAAAAAAAAAAAAAATCCGCAGGTAATTTTTGTGTATAAGGAAAGCTGAAGAAGCACTGAGCCGCTTTAAGGCCCCACCTGAACTTAACCTAGTGCAGCAAACAGACTGTAGGTGACCCCAGTGATCCCTAGCTCCTGGTGGTGGAGTCCTTGTGTAATCTCCCCTTGGAGGTAGGTGGGACCTGTGACTTGCTTCCAAAGGGTACAATATGGTAAACATAATATGATTGTCATATCATATGAGACCCCATCTTGCAGGCAGACTTGCTCTACAAATTCACTCTCCTGCCAGCCTGGGAGAAACAGCTCCCAAGCTGTGAACTGTGGGAGACTCTAGATGCTGACAGCAGCCTCCAGCCAACAGCCAGCAAAAAGCTGGAGTTCCCAGTCCTGCAACCACAAAGAAATGAGCACTGCCAACAACATGAGTGAATTTGGAAGATTCCTCTCTGGCTCAGCCACTGGAAGAGAATGTAGCCCAGCTGACATCTCAATTGCAGTTTCATGAGACCCTGGATTAGAGAACCCAGCTCAGTCCCGCCTGGGTTCCTGACCCATAGATACTGGGAGATAAAAATTATGTTTTCATCTGCTAAATGTGTGATAATTTGTCATGCAGCCTGAAAAACCAATACTTTCAGAAACACTAGAACCTAACTCAACTAGAAGTGCTGGGGCACCTGAGGACACAGATTCACAACTCCTTTTTCAGGCTTTCTCCAGGGTGTCAGTTCATTGCATGGAATGACTGGCATGATTGCTCACACTTTTTTATTTTTTTATTTTTTTCTTGACCCCTAGGGTTACATTTTATTGAGTTAAATGTGTAGATGATGTGACTTTACTATAAAATTATACTCTAGAGTTCGTAAAGCTTGTTTCTTAATGTTTACCATATCCCTGTGTGGTATTATTGTTGTATTAGTTTTCTATTGATAAATAGCAAATTACCACAAAACTTAGAGGCTTAAAAAGACACATTTACTCAAAAGAGCCAAGAGATGGAAGCAACCCAAATGTCCAAAGATGGATGAATGGGCAAACCAAATGTGGTCTATATACAGTCAATGGAATGTTATTCAGTCCTAAAAAGGAAAGAAATTATGACGCATGCTACAGCTTGGATGAATCTTGAAGACATTATGCTCAGTGAAATAAGCCAGTCACAGACAAATACCTTATGATTCCACTTTTATGAAGCACCTCAAGTTAGTCAAGTTCATAGGAACAGAAAGCAGGATGGTGGTGGCCAGCAGTGATGGGGAGGGACAATGGGAAGTTGTTTAATGGGTACAAAGCTTCAGTTTGGAAAGATAAAAATGTTCCAGAGATTGGTTGCCCAGAAATGTGCAATATTTAACACTATTGAACAGTACACTTAAAAATAATTAAGATAGTAATTTTAAAATTATGTGTGTTTACCACTGATATGGTTTGGCTGTGTCCCCACCCAAATCTCATCTTGAATTGTAATTCCCACAATTCCCACATGTGGGAGGGACCCAGTGGGAGGTAATTGAGTCATGGGGGTGGGCCTTTCCCATGCTGTTCTCGTGATAGTGATAAGTCTCAGGAGATCTGATGGTTTTATAAAGGGGAGTTATCCTGCACACACTTTTCTTGCCTGCCACCATGTTAGATGTGACTTTGCTCCTCATTCACCTTCCACCATGCTTGTGAAGCCTCCCCAGTCATGTGGAACTGTGAGTCAATTAAACCTCTCTTCTTTATAAATTACCCAGTCTCAGGTATGTCTTTATTAGCAGCTTGAGAACAGACTAATACAACCACAATTAATTTTTTAATTTAATTACCAAAAACCCACACATTTACCATCTCATAGCTTCCATGGGTCAGGATTCCAGGCCTAGTTTAGTTCAGAGTCTCATAAGACTGAAATTGAGGTGGAAGTCAAGCTACCTTTTCATCTGGAGGCTCAGCCGGGGAAGAATCCGCCTCCAAGTTCATTCAGGTTGTTGGCAGAATTCATTTACCTGGGGCTCTACGAGTGTGGCCTCTGTTTTCCTGACAGCTGTTGGATGGGCTGCTCTCAGCTCCTAGGGCCTGCCCTCAGGTCCTTGCCATGTGGCCCTCTCCACAGGACTCTCATAACACAGCAGTTTACTTCTTCAAAGCCAGTAAGGACAGCCATCTCTTTTCAAGCTGCTAAGAAACAGTCTTCTACACTGTAACCTCTACAGTCATCTTTGCCAGATTCTGTTGGTTAGAAGCAATTCACAGGCTCCTTCCACATTTAAGCAGAGGGAATTATGCAGGTTTGTGACTCACTGGGAGTCACTTTAAGGTGTGTCAGCCACCACTGCCAACCTCATGTTTTAGATGAGAAAACTGATGCTGAGCAAGGTTGTGTGACATATCCAAGGTCACACAGTCAGTGGCAGGCTGAACTAAGACCTCTAGCTATGGAGTTCTGAATGTAATTTTCAGGCTCCATTCATTCCATGTGCTCAGAAACCTTAAAAGATAAACTTAGAGAGAGGGCCAAAACACTATCTATTGGGTACTATGCTTATTACCTGAGTGACAAAATAATCTGTACACCAAACCCCCATGACATGCAATTTACCTCTATAACAAACCTGCATGTGTACCCCTGAACCTAAGATAAAAGTTAAAAAAAAATAAAAGATAAACTTAGGCACAATAAAATTTTAATCAGTTTGGCCAGGTGCGGTGGCTCACGCCTATAATCCCAGCACTTTGGGAGGCCAAGGCAGGCGGATCACCTGAGGTTGGGAGTTCAAGATCAGCCTGACCAACATGGAGAAACCCCGTCTCTACTAAAAAAAAAAAAAAAGTTAGCCAGGCATGGTGGCACATGCCTGTAATCCCAGCTACATGGGAAGCTGAGGCAGGGGAATTGTTTGAACCCAGGAGGTGGAGGTTGCAGTGAGCCGAGATTGCACCATTGCACCCCAGCCTGGGCAACAAGAGCAAAACTCCGTCTCAAAAAAAAAAAATTTTTAATGAGTTTATTTGAGCATTCAGCAATTCATAAATTGGGCAGCTCCAGACCCCAAGTGGTTCAGTGCTCCGAAGGAGAGGGGAAGAGTGAGAGAGAAACTTTTAGAAGGTGTTCAAGGAAGCCTGACAAAGAAAATATATTTGATCAGTTAAAGTGGAAAGTCCCTACATAGAGATTAGTTGGCATTTTCTCATTGTTGAAGACTCTAGCTAGAGTTTAGTTAGTGGTTTCTAACTGGTTAAGCTTAAATTTAGTTTTACTGCTAACACTGGGCTTTGGGTTTGCTTACCCAGAAACCAGAAGCACTAGAGGTGCCTCAGCCTAATGGCTTCTCAATTAAATGTGTTTTACCAGGGTTAATAGGCACTCCTGGAATGGGATTGGAGCAGCCAATCTCCTTTTGCTAATGGCAGCAAAGATGCCCAAACTTTAAGAACTAGCTCTCAAACCTCAGCAGCAAACTGGCTAGATTACACGGTTTCTGTGCTTCTCTTCCTTATCCCTGAGCTCTGTGTCGGTAATCAGGACTTCAGGAACCTAAGATGAAGTCCAATCAGCAATCTTATCCATAAAACACATTGAGAAATGTAAGTTATATTTTACCTCCAAAGAAAAAGATAGTCACTTTTAAAATGAATGCATGTTTAGTCAATTTTTTAAAAGGAACCTCTGCACTCTGGTGTGTCAAAAATCATTTCTCTTAGACCAAGATCGTGCCACTGCACTCCAGCCTGGGCAACAAGAGCGAAACTCCATCTCAAAAAAAAAAAAAAAAAATTCTCTTAGAAGTGCAGTTTATATTATATCAGAGAATCTTAGGACACACCGAGAATATATAGTACTCACTACCAGCTCAGCCTCTGAGAAGGAAAGGCAGCAAAGTCAATGAAGTTGAAAACATATACAAAATAAAGTTAGCAAAGGAAGATGAAAACAAATTTTAATGAGGTCAATTTAAAATTTTTTTTTTAATTTGCACTCAACACTCATTTTCTAATGTGACAAATCCTATGTAAAGGTCTCCACCTTCCAAATCTACCTGAGATCACCCCTGAGGGCTGCTGGACAAGATTCAGGTGCCTTTCCTTATCTTTGTCATAATGTTGAAATGATAAAAAAGGAAATATATTTTTTTCACCTATAAAGCTAAAAATTCACCTATATTGTTATTTTTCATATTTATGTTCAATAATGATGCCAAGGTATTTGAAAGTCATGAATATCTCAGCTAACCTAAAAGAGATTAGCTTTCTTCCAAACGTTTTTCAGTAGATAGAAAGTCTAAAAAACAGGAATGAAGAAAAGACTGGATGGCTAGCACCCTTCCTTAGTAAAAAGAAAAGATCAAATAATGATAGAAAAAGGAAATATATTTCTTATACCTACAAAACTAAAAATTAACCCATATTGTTATTTTTCATATTTATTTTCAATAATGATGCCAAGGTATTTGAAAGTCATGAATATCTCAGCTAACCTAAGAGATTAGCATTTTTCCAAACGTTTTTCAGTAGATAGGAAGTCTAAAAACAGGAATGAAGAAAAGAGTGGATGGCTGGCACCCTTCCTTAGTAAAAAGGAAAGATCAAATAATACCTCACAGAGGAAAATGTCACCAGGGAAAATCATGTGCCTTTGTAAATTAGATACAGGATCCTCCCCTCTCAAGTCCATTTCCTATTCAAACCTATTGGAACATGCTAGGGTCAATGAAAGTTCATTTTATTGAAGTCAAGATCAAAAAGCAGGCGGCTCCAAGATATATACAGCCCTTTAGCCACAAAGGCCAGTGTTGGGGGCAGCTCGTGGGCTAGTATGAGTATCTCCATGTCTTTATTGAAAAGCAGGCTACTTTCATTTTCAAGCAGCTTCCATAAGCCTTCATCTCTTGTGAGCATTCCCATTGCAGTAAGAAGAGAGAATCCTAGCCATCTCATCACACCCAGAAAGTAACAAGAGGCACAGCTATGGTAAGTGTTGGAGCTGTCACTTATCATGGGAAAGAATTGCAGAGTGATATTAAGTGGGATGGTTGTAGAGACAGAATGTGTGGGTTTCAATCCCACTTAGCAGCTGTAGGATTTCAGGCAACTTACTAACCACTCTGCCTCAGTTCTCCTATCTGAAAGATGGGATGATAATCCTCACCTGATGGGTTACTGTAAATATTAAAATGGCTTGATTTATCCAAAGCACTTGGAACAGTGTGACCCTACAAGAGCATGTACTACCATGATTATTTTTCTCCTATGTAAAAAAGGATAAATGCTTGCTGATTGACTAATTAATAAGATAAATGACTGAGTAAATTATTAAACTAAAAAACTAAGGTCTTCATGGTCTGTTTCCCTCTTACATCTCTAATTCATATCCCCTTCCATAATTGCACACCTCACAGCCCCCAGAAAGTTTTCCGTGACCCAAGTCTCAGTTAAGCAGGCTTCTATGTGTTCCCACGCACCCCAGAATCACTGTCTTGTCACTTCTCATTCTGTGTTGCAATGACTTTTTTCCCTCTCCCATTGTCAAGTGAGATCCCCGAAAGGAGAGCCTGTGCCATGTTTTCCAGCTTCCCTCTGCCTGGAACATAGTAGGTGTTCAATATGCACATTCATTTGCTGAATGAATGAACAAATGTGTAACTGGAAGGCCTGTTGATATCTGCTGTTTGCAAGGGTCACTACTATGGGCTAAATTGGAAGGCCTGATAAAAAGTATCTTACAACCCAATTAGGAGATAATCTTAAATAGATGAGAAGTTAAATAATTATAAAAGATCCAAATACACAGATAATCACCAAAAATATTAAACCTTCTTGCACATATCACCAGCCATGATGTCAGGGTGCCAAGACAACTAGTAAATAGCATTTACTAGGGAAAACACAACCTTTTACATGGGCTCAAAATTATATATCTGTATTTCACTGATTACAACACATTTCTTCAAATTTTAACATCTCAATCTTATGAATAATGGCATGTCATAGTTTAAGCAGAAACATCTTTCTTTCTTAGTAGTACATAAACAATGGTGTATCTTATAATCCATGGTGTTCTAGGTTCGATGAAATAAGGTCAAAAGATTTAAAAAAAACCTGAATTATTACATATGCATATTTTTCTGTAGAGGAAATAACAGCAAATGTAAGGGCTAGTTGTCTGAGGACTTTGCTAATCTCTTCTGTGGCATGTAATTAAAAATAAAAGGTTGCAAGGATCCTAGAAGGTAACTCTTGCTTCTTAATGCACAAGGTGAATATCCAATAATGTCTGAGCTATTATTATTCAGCCTTAGCTTAGAAGCCTGGAGGATATAGTCTAAGAGATTAAGGGGGAAGGATGCAATAGCTACATTCAAACATTTAGTATAATTATTCACTATCACTTTAATGTTCTTCTAAAAGAAGATAATCTTGCACTTCTTCTATTCTGTTTTATGACTTTTATAAAAAATTAAAACTAATTTGGCTATCTTAAAAAGCCCCTTATAACTAACTCCTTCCTCTGCCCAGTGACCACTCATATGAGTGTGTGTGTGTGTAGTGATAAACAGTTTATCATTAAAGACAACTATTCACTAAATGAGATTGTTCATTCAAGTGACGTAGTTCCTGCTAGAATCATACTTTTTATTACAAGTGACACAGAAATTGAGGAGGTGTAATACTCACCAGCACACTACATCTCACATGGCTATTGTTTAATTTATTTGATTTCTTAACTGATTTCACACTCACAAGAATTTCACACTATAGTCACATTAATTTTTTTAATTTCCTAAGTCATACCATAACACATAGGGGAAAATAGATTTTTGTCAGAGTGCTTTTTTCAAAATTGCAAAACAGATATTAACTTACCACACCACTTTTGCCTCCCTCTCTCTGTCTCTCTCTCTCCCTCTCACACACACACACATAGACACACACACAGAGAGAGAGCAAAGTAATACTCTCCTGTCAAGCTAAAATCATCTTATTTTGATATATCAACACATATCACATAATTCGTATCTTTAATCAATACATCTAATTTGGATAATGCACATGGGGTGATTGGGTGTCTATCTGCTAATAACAGGGTCTGAATGCTAATGGCTGAGAAAAGCTAAATGCCCAAGAATAGACATGGATTAACTATGAGCATTTGCCTCTTGGCTTTCCTAGCACTGTTTGATTTCCCCTTCATTTAACCTTGACATTTATAAACCTAATCAAAAGGTTTAATAAATAGGAACCCAACTTAAACACAAAGCAAAATGCCAAAAATCCTATATGTATTGCCCTAAGGGGAAAAAAAGTTGAAGATGAATGAGAGCCTCTTCTTTTAACACCTTGTACTTTGACCTCATTGAGTAAAGATGACCTAAGAATCAAGTAGCTTGTTATTAAAAAGAATTCTTGGTGAGTAAAGGAAAAAATATAGTTAAGAGTATTTAATTACCCATGAAAATATTCGAGGACCTCTGCTTTGAAAAAATGACAGCGTTACATGTACATAACTCTGGGTGAGTATACAACTTTATATTCAAGTAAGTTTCAATACAGTATACCTCCACCCACCTTAGAGTTTCATATTATGAATCTCTTATCTTAAAGGCTCAAAGAACTCTTGCAATATAGAAACCTATTTAAATTTGGTTAACTCATTGTTGCCTAAATGTATTTGGCCAGGAAATCCTTTTGTGAGCAATGACATTTTGAGAAGTTTGTTAAATGAAAAGACAACCAGAGACAAATCAGGAAAGCTAGAGCCCAAGGTTAGCTCTGTTTTAATTAACTGTACAACACAGAGTAAGTCATCTCCCTTTAGTTCATGCTTTTAGAAAATGAAAGCGTTGGGCTAGATGAGTTCTGAGGTCTCTTCCAGCTCAGAAATTAACTGATCCTGAAAAAATCTAATGAAAATGAAGGTAAGAGGCTAAAGAAAATATTGGACAGCACCTGAAGGAATTGAATAAATGTGGTGAGAATAATGGCCACTAGGTAAAGGCATATGAAGATCTGGATAATTCATTCCCAAAAAAAAGACATTCCCAAGCAGCTTAACTCAGTGGGCCCAGCAGCAGAACCACATCCTTGTCAAGAGAAACCCAATTCAGACTCAGAAAGACAAGACCTTGCAAAAGCAAATAGGCAAGAAAAAGAAACGAAAACGAAGCCAGGAGGTCCCAGGAATAGCTCCTGGTGAGTGGTTCAAGAGTGAGACCAAGAACAGAGACTTGGCAAAATGGCATCCTTTGTACATAGTGTGCAACATTCTGGAAGTTAAGAGTAGACTAGACAAAGGAATCCGTGACAGACTGGACAAAGATTAAAATTATGGGTTACCTTTTCTGCAATATTCAGTTGGCTCTTTACATCTTTTAATAAACTTTGAAATTTGCCTTACAACTCAGTAAACAGAAATAAAAAATAATATAGTTGAATAAGACCAAAGCTTTCCAGCCTAGAATCCTTGGGCTGCCAAGGCTTGCACAAGTCATAAAGGGTGTCCAAGACTCCTCTGTTAAATAAAAGAAGTGGGACTGTTACAGCTGTTTTCTCAAGATGATGGTCAAGAGGCTGTTGCCTAGAACTGGAGTCCACAGGGCTACAGGTAGGGCAAAGAGTTAGCATTGCTTAGGAAAAGGCAAAAATGCAAGTGCTAAGACCAGAAGAGCAGAGGCAGAATAGAAGCCAGGGTTCCTGTACCAAGACAAAACTATGAGCAGCAGGCTCCCAATGTTATTTGATTGTGCACCCCATTACAATGCCTTTAGTGCAATATATAACTGCATGGTCTGCAAATTGCATATGTATAGAACTATGTTTGTAAATGATACACATCATGCAATTTGCACAAAAGAAGGACATGTTAACCAAAAAGAGAAATAAATACAAAGCTTCTAATACTGCATAACTCCTAGAGTAAAAAGCACTCCATTTTGGAGAGGACTGATACAGAAATCAGATCAGAGCAAGAAAAGATGTGACACAGCAAGAAGGGAACCAGCCAAAGAGATGTCTGCAAGCAACAGTGGGAGTTCACCTTTTGGGTCACAGTGCATGATCAGCCTGTGTTGAAGAACTAGAAAGAGGAAAGGCAGTAAGGATCAAGACTTATAATGGAAAATACACCTTTACATGTGATAAGGCCACCCAAACTGAAAAATAATAAAATTTTTTAAAAATTTTGGCTACTATCATGTCAGCTCAATGACATCATATCTACTTCCTAATAGATGGCATTGCAATTGTTCATGCCTGCAATGAACAAGTGGGAGAAGACATCCATTATTTAATAAAAACTTTGCAAGGCAGAACCTTTTTTAACAGGAAAAATACAAACAAGTTCTCAGAAATGAAAATACTAGGAATTACTAAAGAAGGGTATCTCTGACTCTATGATTTGAGGTCACCAGTGTGACCTTCTCCAAAGCTACTCTTCAAACTGGAAAACTTTCTAGACTGGCACAGCCCAGAATAACTTTCTTCAATGATGAAAATATTCCATGTCTGTGCTAGCCCATTGAAATTTGCCTTACAACTCAGTAAACAAAAATAAAAAATAATATAGTTGAATAAGACCAAAGCTTTCCAACTATCTTGCAGACCGTGCAATATAGTAGCCCCTAGCCACATGTGACCATTGAGCACTTGAAATGTGGCTAGTGTGACTGAAAAAAACTGAGTTTTTTAGTTTAGTTTAGTTTTAAATATTCACATGTGGCTAGTGGCTACTGCATTGGATAGTACAGTTCTAGAACAAAGTGCCAAGCAAATCTATGACAATAAGTTACTAGTAGTAATCAATATAGCTTATGAAGACTTGGGCAAACTTGCTAAAAATACACAATATAATGTGTCAAGTTGACTTTGAATTCAACAAACCACAGAATCAAAGGGTGCAATTTAACAGGCTTTAAGTATAAGCTATTAGACTGTAACCAAAACAGACAAAACCCACAGATACAAGAGGGTCAATGACCTGCTAAGAAATAAAAAGAGAATAAAAGCCCATGGGAACCACAATGGACAACAAGTAGAACGAGTCAAGAGCTTGTCTAGAATTAAGACAAGGGGGACTAAGCTGAGAGATAAGGATATAAAACTGCCAATGAAAAATCCTTTTTTTCTCTAGACTTGGCTTGCATTTTTGGCCTCCACATCTAAAGAGGAATGAGAAGGAATTGGAAAAGGTCCAAAGAACAGAGTGATTTCAATTGTTGAATCACAGAATCACAGTGGCGAAATATTGAATGTGTTGTGGCTTTTTAATCCAGAGAAACAGAATTTGAGGGTAACAATATCTGCCTTCAGGTTCCAGAAGAAGCACAATAAGTGGCATTTGCCAGAGTCTTCAAGCACCTGGAGGAGAAAATGACACTCAACGTACAGTAAGGAAAAGTGTTTCATTCAGCCAGAAGGGAGACTTGTCTATTCACAGGCAATGATTTAACAGGGAAGGAGTTTTATTTAATAAAGCAGAAATGTTGAACATCAGGAGCTGCCAGGACTGGATCTTAAAAGATAAACAAAGCAGAAACCCTGGGCTTCGTCAGCTTCACCTGGAAAAATGAGACAAGGACAACTCCACGCTTCCCAACCAACCACCAAACCTGGGATATGCTTGTTAGAGAGAGGTTTCAGCAATTTGGCACTCACTCCTCCCTCCCTTCCCTACAGAGGAAGCTGTCCACACAAGCTGCAAAGAGGAAGCCAAGGGCCAAATTACAAAGAGAAGAAAAAGCACCTGGAAACACATACCACATGCTCAAGTAAATGCTGGATTTAATATATGGAAAGACCCAAAGTCTAAAGAAGTCAGTTGCCCTGAACCTCGTATAGCAGGATCTGTGGGGCATAGCATCCCTCTAACTTAGCGTCTAAGTTAGATGCTAAGCGTCTAAGTTAGCATCTAAGTTAGCGTCTAAGTTAGACACTTTGGTGTGGGAACCAAAGCAGAATCAAAAAAGAGGCAGGCCTGCCTAGGTACTCTTGCCACCTGGAAGCCAGATGCACAAAGAGAGCAATTCCACCATGGGATGCTGCTGCCAATGAGTCCTGGCCAAGGGTGACTGTATTATGTTCTCACACTGCTAATAAAGACGTACACAAGACTGGGTAATTTATAAAGGAAAGAGGTTTAATGGACTCACAGTTCCATATGGCTAGGGAGGCCTTACAATCATGGTAGAAAATGAAGGAAAAGCAAAGGGACATCTTACATGGCAGCAGGCAAGAGAGCTTGTGCCAGGGAACTCCCATTTATATAACCGTCAGATCTCATAAGACTTATTCATGAGAACAGTATGGGTGAAACTGTCCCCATGATTCAGCTATCTCCCATGGCCCCACCCTTGACATGTGAGGATTATTACAATTCAAGGTGAGATTTGAGTGGGGACACAGCCAAACCATATCAGCGGCCTCATGGTAGACAATGGATCAATCAGAGCTGCCCTCGGAGAGTGGACACAGTCCCCCTTCCTTTCAGGCACTATACTCTTACCAGTCAGACATTAACTTTGCCCAATTGAGCACTTAGGCTCTACCCAATTAGAACAGCAACTCCATTCTTAGAGAAAATGAGTGAAGGTTTCTGCTGCAACTATTGCAATTATTATGACAAATATAATCAAGCACTAATGAGAAATCAGAGGAGGTAGTATAATGAAGGGCAATTACATATTATGCAACATTGAATTAATGTGAAAGTATATGGTATAAAAATATTAATGAAGTCCCCATCTATGCACAAAATTCAAAATTAGGCAATTTCCAAAACATTGTTTAGTTCATCAGCAACTATTATTTTCAGTGCTGTTATGCAAAGTGAATTGTAAGCAGTGTTCATGTTACTACCACTTGAGCCGGTAAACAGAAACCCACCATCAGAAATACTTTTATTGGGTCTGTGAGAAAATTCATCTTCAATTATGTTAGCTTTGAATTATGTAAATTCTTTAAAAATCTATCCTTCACATAAACTGTAATCTCTGTCCATGAGTGCAGGGGAAAGGCATTTCAGAAAAAGCTAAGTATCATTCATAAACACATAGAAGCAAGAAAGAAAGAAAGAAGGAGGGAAGGAGAAAGGAAAGGAAAACAGAAAGGAAGAAAGGAAGGAAGAGGGTTTAAAATAGTCAAGAAACAGTAGGAAGTGGAGGAGCAGGGAATGAAGCTAAAAAACATTGGTTGCAAACCAATAATGCCCAAAAGCCTGGCCTCAATTCAGTATCAGGCCATGATGGAATTTTCATAAATCCACAGTGAAATGAGAAAAACCAGCATGGCATTTTCCACAAAGCTAAATACGTAAGATATTTATATAATTGTTTCAAATGACCTTTTATTATGAGACCACATCCTCTGTAATTTGTTAGCAATAAAATTTCCTATCTGTACACCTACTATGTACCCACAAAAATTAAAAATTTAAAACTTGTTTTAAAAATAAAATACAGTATCTGTTATGAAATGGTGGCAATGGCATATGACAGATGTCATACAGAGTTATTTTTATACATTGTTTTTTGACAAAATTAAAATTGACAATCTTATATAGATCCACAATTTATTTTTTGGAAATATTACTGCTCATAAAATGAAAGAGACTGGGAACCACAGTCCTATGGGAAGAAATTTGCATAATTGAATAAGGCACCAGATTAAGCACCATGGAAATAATTCTAGATGTTGATTATTAAATGTGTTTAAATGTACATCAATAATTTAAAAGAAAGCACTACAAGACCATAAATAGTATGCAAGTGTTTCAAACTACTAGAGGGAAAAAAATGTAACAAAAAAGCCTAATAAATTCAACAAAGATCAAAATAGAAAAACACAAATAAAACATGAAATAAATAAGATGGCAAGAATAAGTCCAAACATACCATTAATCATGACAAATACATCTGGGTTATATTTTCCACACAGAAACTCCCAGATTGGTCATGAAAACCAAACCAAATCAAACAAATAAAAACTGTCTGCATGATGTTCATAGGAATCACATTAAAATAAGAAATTTAAATAAGGTGACAGTGGAAGATAAATCAGACAAATGTTAGCTACTATTCCCCAATCTGTCCTCCTCAAAGAAAACAGTGACTCAATATTAATTTCAAATGAAATAAAATTCAAAGGAGTGGAACATTAAATGAGATGCAAGAAATTTTTACGTTGACAAAATGTAAAACCTACCAAAAACCTACAACAGCAGTTAACAACATAGCAGTTAACAGCATAGTTTCAAAATATACAAGACAAAAATTGTTAGAAAGCAAACAGAAACTCACTAATATCCACAGAAATAGTGGGATGAATTAATAGACACCTGAAAAAATGATTGTATTTCTATATGGAAATAAGAACTTGAATTTCATTGTTGACAAGCTTAATCACAGCTATATAAAGAAATTGTACACAACAGAAAACATACTTTTTTGTGTCATTTCAACTTTTATTTTAGATTCGGGGGGCACATGTGCTGATTTGTTACATGGGTATGGTGCATGATGCTGAGGTTTGAGGTACAATTGATCCATCACCAAGGTAGTAAGCATAATATTCAGTTTTTCAACCTTTGCCTCCCCAGACTCCCTCTCCCTCTAGCGGTCCCCAGTTTCTATTGTTGCCCTCTTTATATCCATGAGTACTCAGTGTTTAGCTCCCACTTATAAATGAGAACATGCAGTATTTGGTTTTCTGTTCCTGCATTAATTTGCTTAGGAAAATGGCGTCTAGCTGCATTCATGTTGCTGCAAAGGACATAATTTTGTTCTTTTTTATAGCTGTGTAGTAGTCCATAGAATGTATGTACCACATTTTCCTTATGCCCCAAAGCTAGTCCCCAATTCAGGATCAGGCCATCCACCTTTGATGGGTACCAGGTTGATGCCATGTCTTTGCTCTTGTGAATAGTACTGCATTGAACATACGAGTGTGTGTATCTTTTAGTAGAATGGTGTATTTCCTGTTGGATATATATACCCAGTAATAGAATTGCCGGGTCAAATGATAATTCTGTTTTAAGTTCTTTGGGAAATCTCCAAATGGCTTTCCACAGTGGCTGAATTAATTTATGTTCCCACCAACAGTGCATAAGCGTTCCCATTTCTCCACAGCCCTGCCAGAGTCTGCTGTTTTTTGACTTTTTAATAATAGCCAAAAAATACATTTTTAAATATTCATGAAAGATTTAAAAATAAAATTTCAGGAAGCTCCAAAAGTAGAAATTATTGCACAATCCAAAGGCATTAGAAATTTACAACAAAAGATAACCAGCATCATCCTATCCCAAAATAACTATTTGGGAATTTTAAAGAGCTATTTTAAATAACTTCTAAGTAAAAGCTGAAATTAAAAGCAAAATTACAGAATCTGTCAAAATTAATGCTAATGACGGCATTATATAACAAAAACTTTAAGATTCAGCCTCAGTGGCATTCAGAGATCTTTGATACATTTATTAGGTTAATTATCTAACTATCCAATTCAAGAATTACAAAGTAAAAAACAAATATAAAGAAAAGGAAAAGAAAGGCACTAATACATAAAATAAGTTAATTAAGTGTAAAATAAACAGTAAATATAAAATTTTTAAATAATCTTGATCAATAAAATGACAACCAGTCATTCAGATGCAGAAATAACAACAGCAATAATAAGACTGACAATTCTTTAGTAAGTTTGGCTATGAGGAAAAGAGAACAAAAATTAACTCAAGAGGCCAGGTACGGTGGCTCACACCTGTAATCTCAGCACTTCGGGAAACTGAAGCAGGTGGATCACCTGAGGTCAGGAGTTTGAGACCAGCCTGGCCAACATGGTGAAATCCTGTGTCTACTAAAAATACAAAAAATTAGCCAGGCGTGGTGTTGGGCACCTGTAATCCCAGGCACTAGGGAGGCTGAGGCAGGAGAATCGCTTAACCCGGGAGGCGGAGGTTGCAGTGAGCCAAGATCGTGCCACTGCACTCCATCCTGGGCAACAAGAGTGAAACTCCATCTCAAAAATTAAAATAATAATGATAATATATTAAGTCAAGGAAAGTAAGACAAAAAAGGGAAAAAGGGGGAAAGAAAAGGAAGACAGGCATAACTACAGATACAGAGGGGCTGAAATAATGGTAGTAGTTTCTGCAGCCAGATTACACGGGTTTAAATCCCAGCTCCACCTCTTGCTGGAAAAGCTACTAAACCACTCTTCTGTGCCTCAATTTCCACATCTATAAAATGAGTTTAATAATAGTACCCATCTCGAGGAGGATTAACTACTTTATATAAGAAAGTACTTAACACTATTCCTGACACCGTAGTAAGCAAAGTATACAT
Source organism: Homo sapiens (assembly GCF_000001405.40). NCBI lineage: Eukaryota > Metazoa > Chordata > Mammalia > Primates > Hominidae > Homo > Homo sapiens. The sequence goes on from NC_000004.12 coordinate 17,381,627, forward strand.
TTCAGCTATTATTATGAGTACAATTTCAACTTTCATCTACATGAATATATGATTTCCTAAAAACATGTAAATGAAAAAATTGACTCAAGAAGAACTTTAAAACTGAGTAGGTTAATACTTAAGGAAGAAATTAGAAAAGATGGTGAAAAATTTAGAACTAAAAAGGCATTGGGCCTACTTTATAAAATTGTTTTATAAGAAGAATACTAAGTTTTATGTCAACTAAATATTTCAGAGCATGGAAAAGCTTGATAAAATGTTTAATTCATTCTCTTGGGCTAGCATAATCCTGATATTAAAATCACATGAAACAATATAGCATGCACATACACAGAAACACACACCCTTTGGCTGAGTTTACTTATGAAGATAAACAGAAAAATCCTAAATACAATCTTAGTAAATCAAATCTTGCAATGTCTTTTTTTTTTTTTTAGTAGAGATAGGGTTTCACCATGTGGGCCCGGCTGGTCTCGAACGCCTGACCTCAGGTGATCCACCCGCCTTGGCCTCCCAAACTGCTGGGATTACAGGAGTGAGCCAACCATGTCTGGCCACAATGTCTTTTTTTTTAACATTAGGAAAACAATCTTAGGAATGGGTTAACATTAGGGAAAATACATTAATGAAATTTGTTATTGTAATAGGTTAAGAAAAAATATATAAATATACATTTAATTACATTGATAGATGCTAAAAAGTACTTTTAAATTCCACACTCAGCTTAATTAAAAAACAAACAAACCAACAAACACAAATCTTAAGTTAACAGAGAGTATCTATGACAGTAAACATCAAACTTAATGGTGAAACACTAGAAAGATCCCCAGTCATCAGGAACAACACAGGAAAATCTGCAATCTTCCTACAAATCAGTATTATGCTAAAGATTCTAATAATCTCAATAATAGGAGACAAAAAAGAAATAACGTTTTTTGTTTTTTATTATACTTTAAGTTCTAGGGTACACGTGCACAACGTGCAGGTTTGTTACATATGTATACATGCGCCATGTTGGTGTGCTGCACCCATTACCTCGTCATTTACATTAGGTATATCTCCTAATGCTATCCCTGCCCCCTCCCCCCACCCCACAACAGGCCCCAGTGTGTGATGTTCCCCTTCCTGTGTCCATGTGTTCTCATTGTTCAATTCCCACCTATGAGTGAGAACATGCGGTGTTTGGTTTTTTATCCTTGCGATAGTTTGCTGAGAATGATGGTTTCCAGCTTCATCCATGTCCCTACAAAGGACATGAACTCATCATTTTTTATGGCTGCATAGTATTCCATGGCACATATGTGACACATTTTCTTAATCCAGTCTATCATTGTTGGACATTTGGCTTGGTTATAAGTCTTTGCTATTGTGAATAGTGCCGCAATAAACATACGTGTGCATGTGTCTTTATAGCAGCATGATTTATAATTCTTTGGATATATACCCAGTAATGGGATGGCTGGGTCAAATGGTATTTCCAGTTCTAGATCCCTCAGGAATCGCCACACTGACTTCCACAATGGTTGAACTAGTTTACAGTCCCACCAACAGTGTAAAACTGTTCCTATTTCTCCACATCCTCTCCAGCACCTGTTGTTCCCTGACTTTGTAATGATTGCCATTCTAACTGGTGTGAGATGGTATCTCATTGTGGTTTTGATTTGTAAGAAATAACATTTTTTGAAAAGCAAGGGACAAAACATTCCACATTGATAGGTAATACTATAACCCACTTAGAAATTCTAAGAAAACCGATTTTCCCAACTACTGGAACTAATAGGAAAATTCAGTAACATGAGCAGACATAAGATCAACATGGAAAACACAATAGCTTTCTAAACACCAACAATAACCAATGAATAGTCAAAAAGGATACCATCACATTTAGGACTCCATTGCAGACAACAGAAATCTCTCTAGACGGTTTCCATAGCAAGGAATTTTTTTCCCATGTATTACAAAATTATTGGAACGGCTGGAGAAACAGGCCTTGCCTAGGCTGCACTTCCAAGAACTATTCTCCAGAATCATATTCCTCTACTGTTGGGGCCTATTTCTCCCTTTAGGAATGGAAATGTCTACCCTACGTCTGTCCCACCATTGTATCTTGGAAGTAAATAACTTGTGTCTTATTTTACAGGCTAATAGCTTGACTTTGGACTTTTAAATTGGTGCTGGAACAAGTTAAAACTTTGGGACTAATGAGATGGAATGATTGCATTTTGCATGTGAGAAAGACATGAGTCTTAGGGGTTCAGGGATGGAATGCTATGGTTTGAATGTGATTTGTACCCACCAAAATTCATGTTGAAGTCTGATCTTCAGTGTGGCAACGTTGACCCTACTGGAAGGTGTTGGGTCATGGGGGCAGATCCCTCATGAATAGATTGATGCCCTCCTGTGGGGATGAGTGAGTTCTCACTCTTGCAGTAATGGCTTAAATTCTGTAAGAGGGAGTGGTCAATAATAATCTGGCTTAAGGCCAGGCGCGGTGGCTCACGTCTGTAATCCCAGCACTTTGGGAGACTGAGGCCGGCGGATCACTAGGTCAGGAGATCAAGACCATCCTGGCTAACACGGTGAAACCCCGACTCTACTAAAAATACAAAAAAATTAGCCGGGCGTGGTGACGGACGCCTGCAGTCCCAGTGACTCAGGAGGCTGAGGCAGGAGAATGGCGTGAACCCAGGAAGCGGAGCTTGCAGTGAGCTGAGACTGCACCACTGCACTCCAGCCTGGGCGACAGAGCAGGACTCCGTTCAAAAAAAAAAAAAAATCTGACTTCTTTGGTTTCTCTCTTGCTTCCTCTTTTGCTGTATGACCTCTCTGCACCTGCCTGCTCCCTTTCTGCCTTCTGCCATAAGTTGAAGTAGCATGAGGCTCTCACCAGATGTAGCTGCCTAATTTGAACCTCCTAGCCACTAGAATCAGGAGCCAAATACAACTCTTTTCTTGGGGTTTTTTATTTTTTTATTTTTGGGGGGTGTGAGGGATGAGATCTCACTCTGACACCCAGTCTGGAGTGCAGTAGTGTGATCACGGCTCACTGCAGCCTCAACTTCCAGGGCTCAAGTGATTGCCCCACCTCAGCCTCCTGAGTAGCTGGGACCACATGTGCACTCCACTATGCCCAGTTGATTTTATTTATTTTCTTGTAGAGACAAGGTCTCACTATGTTGCCAAGGCTGGTCTCAAACTCCTGGGCTTAAGCAATCCTCCCACCTCACCCTCCCAAAGTGCTGGGATTACAGGCTTGAGCCACCGCACCTGGCCTCAAAACTCTTCTCTTTATTAAAGTACATACCCTTGGACCCAAAAATTCCACTACAAAATTTATCTACAGAAATGCTCACACAAGGATATAAAATTTTGGTTAAATTTAAGTATTGACAGAGAGAAGGAATGAGTTAAAGAGCACTATTGTACAACATAGTGACTATAGTTAATAACAGTGTATTGTATTCTTGAAAATTGAGAGGAAAATAGATTTTAGGTGTTTTCACCACAAAAAAATGATAAGTATGTGAGATATTGCACATGTTCATTAGCTTGATTTAGCCATTCCACAATGTATACATATTTCCAAACCATACAGTGTATATGATAAATGCATACTTTTTGTCCATTAAAAATAACCAAAAAATGCTCACATATTTACACAAAGATATATGAACAGTGATGTCCCCTGAAGTGTAATTCTGATGGGAAATACTTGTATCTGTTATTTGCTGCATATCAAATAAGCCCAAAATTTAATGACTGAAAACAACAGCTACTTAATTAGTTTATAATTCCACATGTTAGGAATTTTGACTGGGTTAAACTGAACAGTTCTGGCCTTCACTGTGTTCATATAAATGTGGTCAGCTGCTAGGTCAACTGGGTGCTAGCACATGTGGAGGCTTGCTTCTGCTCAACACGGTCTTTCCTATTCTACAAGGAACACTGGGGTTTGTTCACACACTTGACAGCAGCCTCCCAAAAACGAAAGTGAAAGCTAGGCCTCAAGAGGTCAATGCTTAAACTGGTACACATGGCTTCTGCCACAGTCTGTTGGTCAAAGCAAGTCACAAGGCCACTCCTGATTCAAGGTTTAAAGAAATAATCTCAGCCTCTTGATTCAAGAAGCTACAATATCACATTGCAAGGGTACATGCACATAGGGTCAAGTAAAGAATTATGGCCATTTTTTCAATCTACCATATTACCTAAATACTCACCAGTACAAAAATGATAAACTTAAGGGAATAGTTGAATTTTGGCATCTATAAAATAGAATAGTATGCAGTTTTTAAATAGGATGAGGTCAATTTATACATTGACATAAAAAGTTTCCCAAGTCAAATTGTTGAAGCAAAAAATAATAATAATGTAAGTTGTGTAAGAATACATGTTTATCTATTAAAGGATTAAACATAATAACTGAAGTGCCTGGAACACAGAGTAGAATGCTGTATTAGTCAGTTATCGCACTGCTGTAAGGAACTACCTGAGACTGTGTAATTTATGAAGAATAGAGGTTTAATTGACTCACAGTTCCACAAGCTGTACAGGAAGCAGGGCTGGGGAGCCCTCAGGAAACTGAAAATCATGGCAGAAGGGGAAGGGGAAGGAGGCACATCTCACATGGCCAGAGAAGGAGGAAGAGAGAGCAAAGGTGGAGGTGCTACACACTTTTAAACAACCAGATCTCACGAGAACTCACTCACTATCACAGGACCAGCAAGGGGGAAGTCCGCTCCCATGATCCAATCACCTCCCACGAGGCCTCCTCCTCCAACATTGAGGATTACAATTTGACATGAGATTTAGGTAGGGACACAGAGCCAAACCATATCAAATGTAATAAACAGTGACTACTTATTTTTGAACTTTTTAAAAAATGTCTGTAATGATATTCTATAGGTTCCGGGAGCTACTGAAGGTTTTTAAACAGGAAAGCAATCAGATTGGATTTATGTTTGAGAAAGACTGCTCCAATGTCCAAAGGAAGATGAATGATAATAAAAGCTAGCACTTACTGAGTGCTTACTGCATCCTTAACATTGTTCTAAGTGCATTACACATATTATTTCCTTTAATGTTTACAATAATCCAAGAAGGTTGTTACTATTATTTTCCCTCATTTAACAGAGGAAGACCTTAAGGCAAGGGAGTCTGTCCACAGAAATTTGTCTAGAGAGTCTAGTCAGTTACCGGTAAAAACATGACATAAATACAAGCAGTCTGTCTTAGACTCTACAACTTGACATTACTCCTTTGTATTGAAAGAGAATACAGACCAAGGACACCTAACTCTGTACAGGTGAGAGAACTACTGAATTAATATTAGTCTATATGACACATGATGATCATCTGGACAGAGTAACAATAAGGCTTGATAAGTATTTTGGTACAAGAAAAAAATGAAGTTTCAAATAGAGGGAGGAGGGGCTGGGCATGGTGGCTCACACCTGTAATCCCAGCACTTCGGGAGGCTGAGGCAGGTGGATCACCTTAGGTCAGGAGTTCGAGACCAGCCTGACTAACATGGTGAAATCTCATCTCTACTGAAAGTAGAAAAAAAAAAAATTGGCCGGGCATGGTGGTATCTGCCTGTAGTCCCAGCTTGAACCCAGGAGGCAGAGGTTTCAGTGAGCCGTGATCACACCACTACACTCCAGCCTGAGCAACGGAGCAAGACTTTGTCTCCAAAAACTAAATAAATAAATAAATAGAGGGAGGAGGAATTAAGGATGCCAGCAGAAAGGTAAAAGATTCAAGAACGTTTGGGGTTTCCAGCTTAGATAATTGAATGAACATCTGCATAATTAACTCACATGAGGGAAACACAATGAACATCAGATCTGGTTTTGGACATGCTGCTAAGTTCTAGATGAAGATGCTTTTGTTGATCAGCAACAATAGCTTGAGTGAACATGGTACAGGATGGCTCATAAAGAATATTCAGTTGACTACATCACCTCCCAGCAGTTAGGAGGTGGGAGACAAAGGATTAGTTTTTGAGTGTGGACTCTTCTCTAGCTGTGGAGGGGCACTTTAATTTTTCTGAGTCCCGGTTTCCTTGTCTACAAAATAGGAATACTAAAACCCACCTGCCAGTTTTGGGTGACTCTCAAGTGAGATAATAAATAGAAAAATATGGTTGTATTAATCCCTTCTCACACTGCTAATAAAGACATATCTGAGACTGGGTAATTTATAAAGAAAAAGAGGTTTAATGGACTCACAGTTCCATGTGTCTAAGGAGGCCTCACAATCATGGCAGAAGGTGAAGGAGGGGCAAAGGCACGTCTTACATGGCAGTAGGCAAGAGAGCATGTGCAGGGGAACTGCCCTTTATAAAACCATCAGTTCTCATGAGACTTACTCACTATCATGAGAACAGCATGGGAAAAAAATACCCTCATGATTCAATTACCTCCCACCAGGTCCCTCCCATGACAGTGGGGATTATGGGAGCAAAAATCCAAGCTGAGATTTGGGTGGGGACACAGGCAAACCATATCAATGTTGTTGGCTATTAAATACATATATAGAAGATGGCATTTAAACAAACTTCATTTTTAAAAACTTCAGTGCTTTTAGTAAGAGAATTCAACCTCATGTAGATAAAGTATTTCAATAATATCACCCCTTCCTAAACTTAGTTAACATTTGGTGTTCAATGGGATTCAGCAGTTAGAATACAATCATGAGAAATCAAAATGACTTTATGGATTTTAGTTTTTAACAAAATCTATATTTTCATAGTGTTAAAAAATTGACTTATATTATCTTTCTGGAATCAATATCTGCACTTACAGAGACACTTTAGGAAAAAAGAACAGTGGCTTTTTTAGGATCAATAGTAAATGACTTGATTCTTCCCCAGGCAATGAACACATCCAGATTAATAAGAAATGACAGACATCATCCTCAAAACCCAGGTTTGCCCAAGACTTGGTCAGCCTTCAAGGCCCAGCATACTTACCACCTCTGAGTAGCATAGCATAGGGTAATATTTAAGATAACATGCTTTAAAGTCAGTTAGAAATGAGTTCATGTCCCAGTTTCATTGTTTACTAGCTCACAAGTTAGTCAGCCTCATCATGTCTTATGTCAGTGCTATGGTTTGAATATGTTCCCCAAAAAAGCATATGTTGGAAATTTCATCCCCAGTGCAGTAGGATTGGGAGATGGGGCCTAAGGAAAGGTGATTAGGCCATAAAGTCTCTCCCTTCATTAATAAATTGATGTCATTATCATGGAAGTGAGTTCATTATTGCTGGAGTAGATTCCTCAAAAACAGACAAGTTTGGCCTTCTCTCTCTTTCTCGCCCTTTCACCTTCCTCCATGAAATAACACACTAAGAAGGCTTTTGCCAAGGCATCCCCTTGCCCTTAGACTTCTCAGCATCCAGCAACCATGAGCCAACAAATTTCTGTTCCTTATAAAGTACCCAGTCTCAGAAATTCTGTTCTAGCAGCACAAAACAAAGACAGTCAGGTTACCAGGAAATAGGCTCTGAGATAAAGATTGTACCCAGAAAGTTTCTTGCAGAGTATGATTCAAAATGGCCACTTTTGGCATAGGGAGAGACACAGGATTGGGCAGGGGTATATGTTGCAACATGATACAGTCACAAGAAGGACTAAGGGGCACTTGTGAATACAGCCACAAGAGGAACTCAGAAAAAGGAGTTTGTAGGCAGCAAAATCTTCCATGCAGTGAAAGAACGTGGTATGTAATAAAGCCTTCAACTAGGAAATGTTTCCTTACTTTTCAGGGCTGTTTATCTCCTATAACCTATAGGAGCATCAGCATTTAAGAATCTTTGCCAGACACAGTGACTCATGCCTAAAATCTCAGCACTTTGGGAGGCCGAGACGGGTGGATCACCTGAGGTCAGGAGTTCAAGACCAGCCTGGCCAACATGGTGAAACACCATCTCTACTAAAAATACAAAAAAAAAAAAAAAAATAGCTGGGCATGGTGGCGCATGTCTGTAGTCCCAGCTACTCGGGAGGCTGAGGCAGGAGAATTGCTTGAACCCAGGAGGCAGAGGTTGCAGTAATCCAAGATCACACCACTGCACTCCAGCCTGGGCAATAGCGTGAGACTTTGTCTCAAAAAAAAAAAAAAAAAAAAAACCAAAAACAAAAACAAAAAATCTCCTTCTCCCACCATCTTCTCAGTATCAGCCTACAAATTCTTTTTTCTGCTAAAATGTTTCATGCAGTAAAAAAGCACTGTACATAATGAACCATTCAGTCAGGAATGGTTCCTCAGACACCAGTCGCCCAGTCACCAAGGCTGGCCAAGGCCAACAGAAAGAGGAATAAGTGCCTGCTTCCTAAATGGGGATCTAGGTGGGGCAAGGCAGTAGCCACTATAATGTGCAAAAGTAGTTTTGTTAGACTTTAAAAACCATAAAAGTGACCACCTTCCCTGCTATTTGATGTCTATTCTCAACGTCTAGAATAGTTTCCAGCACACAATATGTCCTTAATAAATATTGGTTGAATGAAGAGAAGATGCTCAATAAACGTTAGCTACTGTTATGATCGATAAGACTTCCCTGATACTTCCAAATAGAAGGTATCTATGTACCCTCATGACTTTGGTTCTGTCATTTTTTTCTCTTCTTCAGCTTTTAAGTTCAGGGGTGCATGTACAGGATGTGCAGGTTTGTTACACAGGTACACGTGTGCCATAGTGGTTTACTGCACAGATTATCCCATCACCTAGGTATTAAGCCCAGCATCCATTAGCTATTCTTCCTGATGCTCTCTCCCTCCTCCTCAATCCCCTCAGACCAGCCCCAGTGTGTGTTGTTCCCCTCGCCCCCCAATGTGTCCATGTGTTCTCATCATTCAACTCCCACTTATAAGTGAGAACACGCGTTGTTTGGTTTTCTGTTTCTGCACTAGTTTGCTGAGGATAATGGCTTCCAACTCCATCCATGTCCCTGCAAAGAACATGATCTCATTCCTTTTTATGGCTTCATAGTATTCCATGGTGTATATGTACCACATTTTCTTTATCCAGTCTATCATTGATGGGCATTTGGGTTGATTCCATGTATTTGCTATGGTAAATAGTGCTGCAATGAACATACGCATGCATATATCTTTATAATAGAATGATTTTTATTCCTTTGGGTATATATGCAGTAATGGGATTGCTGGGTCAAATGGTATCTCTGCCTCTCGGTCTTTGAGGAATTGCCACACTGTCTTCCACAATGGTTGAACTAATTTACACTCCCAGCAAGGGTGTAAAAGCATTCCTTTTTCTCCACAACCTTGCCAGTATCTGTTGTTTTTTTTTTTTTTACTTTTTAATAATAGCCAGTCTGACTAGTGTGAGATGCTATTTCATTGTGGTTTTGATTTGCATTTCTCTAATGATCAGTGATGTTGAGCTTTTTTACATATGTTTGTTGGCTGCATGTATGTCTTCTGAGAAGTGTCTGTTCATGTCCCTTGTCCACTTTTTAATGGGGGTTTCTTCTTTTTTCCTTGTGAATTTGCTGAAGTTCCTTGTAGACTCTGAATATTAGACCTTTGTCAGATGGATAGATTGCAAAAATTTCCCCCCATTCTGTAGGCTATCTGTTCACTCTGAGGATAGTTTCTTTTGCTGGGCAAAAGCTCTTTGGTTTAATTAGATTGCATTTGTCAATGCATACTTTTGTTCCAGTTGCTTTTGGTGTTTTCATCATTAAATCTTTGCCCATGCCTATGTCTTAAATGGTATTGCCTAGATTTGCTTCCAGGGTTTTTATGCTTTTGGGTTTTATATTTAAGTCTTTAATCCATCTTGAGTTAATTTTTATATATGGTGTAAGGAGAGGGTCCAGTTTCAATTTTCAGCCAGTTCTCTCAGCACCATTTATTAAATAGGGAATCCTTTCCCCACGGTCCCGTCATTCTTATTGCCTTGTCTTATTCCACCTTGCTATACCCACCATTTGCTTATTTGTTAATATCGCACGTATTCCACAAAACATAAGAGAATCCCCAAATTCAATCTTCCCAGGTAATATCTGTCATTCTTCAGCTGAAAGATCGAAAAGGTTTCATGGGCTGAATGGTAAAATTCATTTGCTGAAGCTCTAACACCCAGCAGCTCAGAATGTAAGTGTGTTTGCAGATAGGGCCTTTAAAGAGATGATTAGGTTAAAGTGAGCTCAGTAGGGTGGACTCTAATCTAACTTTACTGTCGTTATTATAAGAAGAGGAGATTAGGACACAAGGAGAGACACCGGGGATGTCTGCACATAGAAGAAAGGCCACATGAAGATACTACGAGTAGGAAGCCATCTGCAAGCCAAGGAGAGAGGCCTCAGAAGAAACCAAACCTGCTGGCACCTTGATCTTGGACTTCCAGAACGGTGCAAAATAAACTTCTGTTGTGAAGCCTCCAAGTCTGTAGTATTTTGCTATGGCAGCCCTAGAAAATGCATACAAGAGCTGAGTGCAGTGGCTCACTAACCCTTTGGAAGCTCAAGGTGGGAGGACTGCTTGAAACCAGGAGTTTGAGATCAGCCTGAGAAACAAACTAAGACCATGTCTCTACCCAAGTTTTTTTAAATTAGCTAGGTGTGATGGCACACATCTGTAGTCCCAGCTACTCAGGAGGCTAAGGCGGGAGGATTGCTGGAACCCAGGAGTCTGAGGCGTAGAGAGCTATGATCATGCCACTGCACTCCAGCCTGGGTGGCAGAGTGAGACAGTAAGACAGTGAGACAGACAGACAGACAGACAAAGGGAAGGAAGGAAGGAAGGAAGGGTGGGAGGGAAGGAGGGAAAGAAAGAGATAAAGAAAAAGAGAAAGAGAGAGAGAGAAAGAAAGAAAAAGAAAGAAAAAGAGCCGGTTGTGGTGGCTCATGCCTGTAATCTCAACACTTTGGGAGGCCGAGGTGGGCAGATCATGAGGTCAGGAGATCGAGACCATCCTGGCTAACATGGTGAAACCCCATCTGTACTAAAAATACAAAAACGCCTGTAATCTCAGCTACTCAGGAGACTGAGGCAGGAGAATCACTTGAACCCAGGAGGCAGAGGTTGCAGTGAGCCCAGATCGCGCCATTGCACTCCAGCTTGGGCAACAAGAGGGAAACTCTGCCAAAAGAAAGAAAGAAAGAAGGAAAGAAAGAAAAGAAAGAAAGAAAGAAAGAAAGAAAGAAAGAAAGAAAGAAAGAAAGAAAGAAAGAAAGAAAGAAAGAAAATGAAGGAAGGAAGGAAAGGAAGGAAGGAAAGGGAACAGAAGGAAGGAGAGGGTGGAAGGAGAGGGTGGAAGGAAAAAAGAAAGAGAAAGAAAAAAACAGGAAAAACAGAAGAAAGGGAGGAAAGGAAGGGAGGGAAGGAAAGAAAGAGAGAGAGGAAGAAAGGGAAGAAAAGGAAGGGAGGGAGGGAGGAAGGGAAAGAAAGGAAGAAAAGAAGGCCAGGCTCGGTGGCTCACGCCTGTAATCCGAGCACTTTGGGAGGCTGAGGCAAGCGGACCATGAAGTCAGGAGATCCAGACCATCCTAGCCAACATCATGAAACCCTGTCTCTACTAAAAATACAAAAATTAGCTGGATGTGGTGGCACGTGCCTGTAATCCCAGCTACTTGGGAGGCTAAGGCAGGAGAATCGCTTGAACCAGGGAGTCGGAGGTTGCAGTGAGTTAAGATCACACCATTGCACTCCAGGCTGGTGACAGAGCAAGACTTTACCTCAAAAAAAAAAAAAGGGGGGGGGGGAGGGGAAGGGGAAGGGGAAGGGAACTAATATAAAGCTTAAGAGTCTTTAGGTCACTATGGGAAAGTAGAAACCAAAGTTGCAATCCCTTCCTTCCAGAGAGGAGGGGAGATAATACCTGTGTCAATATAGGAGGCCTTGGGGATGACAACTTTGGCCAGGAGTAGAAGCATTTTCTCAGAGAATGGCTCCCTACGCTGACCCTCACAAATACTCACTGGGTTAAGCCTCCCATTATACCTCCATAGCAACCTAACTCAATCCTTCCAACACCAACACACTTAGAATTCATTGTTAGGTCTCTCACTGAACAACAAATTCCACGAGGCCTGGGACCAAAAAATCCTGTGTCGGGGGTCAAGATGAAGCCAGTATGCACACACACACACACACACACACACACATATACGCCAATTATTGACAACAGGCATCCTTTCCAATTGGTCCAGGTCAGTCCTGCATGATCACTATCCATGCCATCTAGTTGTGAAGAATTTTGAAAGACTTTCAGAGACTAGCACAGGTCCCAAAAAACAGTAGGTGTCTGATAATATCTGCTGATTGATGGATTTGTTGCTTAGGTCTCAGGATGGTAAAGGGAAGAATAGATTATTCGCCAGTTGACTATTAACCAACTGCTGCAATATGCCAGGTCCCTGGGCTAGGTGCTAGGTAACAAGCATGAGTAAAATGCAGCCCCATGACCTCAATGAACTGACAGCAATAGTCCAAAAGGAGTAAACGGAGGATGTAAAACCTCTGGGACCCAGGGGCAAGAGCGGGAAGCCAGCTGAGGAAAGATATGGTTGCATAAAGAATCTCATGCTGCTGGGATAGAGACAAGATACTTGATACAGGCAACATGATGCCTGAGGTCAGGTGCATTTTCTCCAGGCCGTGAGAGACAAAGGGAAGTTGCCCTTGCTCAAATCTGTTTCTTTGGACCCCCTTGTCCTTGGGCTTGCAGTGACTGATCATCCTGGAAATAATGAAAAGATCTGTCATGTTCTGGCTCATTTAAAGCTTAAAAAGGGTCACATAGCACAGAAACAACGCCCCACGAAGGATCAAGCAAATTGAGCAGAGATCCAGTGGACACTGAAAGAACACAGGCCACAAATCCAGTTGCCTTAGTAAAGAAGCCCTTCCTCAGCCTATGATACGATCATTTTTAAAAAGCCACAGAAAAATGAAGGCAATTGGACAAGAAAGCAACATTTAGCTTAATTAGCTCCATCTTAGGAAAGGGTCTTGGAAAAAACTATGGAGAAAATGTGCAGGGGCAAAAGACGGGATCATGAGGAGACCATCCTGGATCATACATAAGGACTGTATCTAAACCCAGGAGCTTGAGAATTTCTTGGTTCTGCAGTGTCTCATCCATAAACTGTTTGAGGTCCATGTAAATAACGCAAATGTCTGCAAACCCTACGTGCTTTATCTATTTTACTCTACTGCAAGACAGAAAACCCTGGAGCCAGAGACAGGAGAGCGCCTGACCCCTTGGACTGTTCAAAACATTGGCTTGCGGGGCTGGGCACGATGGCTCATGCCTGTAATCCCAGCACTTTGGGAGGCCGAGGCGGGTGGATCACCTGAGGTCGAGAGTTCAAGACCAGCCTGACCAACATGGAGAAATCCCGTCTCTACTAAAAGTACAAAATTAGCCGGGCATGGTGGCACATGCCTGTAATCCCAGCTACTCAGGAGGCTGAGGCAGGAGAATCTCTTGAACCTGGGAGGCAGAGGTTGCGGTGAGCTGAGATTGTGCCATTGCTCTCCAGCCTGGGCAACAAGAGCAAAACTCTGTCTCACTAAAAAAAAAAAAAAAAAAAAAAAAAAAAAAAAAAAAAAAAAAAATTGGCTTGAGTCAGTAGCTTTCTGCATTTGTTAAATTCCTACCGCCTTGTACCCATCCAAAAGAGCTGAGATCACCAAAAGGACTTAGAGTATATATGAGAATCTAAGAGCTCTCTCAACTTAGAAAACATATTGCCTAGACTTCATTAGAATCAAGAGACACTTACAGGCTAAGATTTCTATCCCAATTTTAAATAATTATTTCCTCCCTAATCAGAGAAGTATTTTATTTTAATGTAATGTTTTTTAAAAAATAAGAACTAAAACCAGAGCAAACACCAGTTTATATGTTCCCCTCAAACATTTTTCTGATTGAATCTCCCCTTCTCTTTTCAGCCTGTGACAGAATGACACTTTCCTTATACCTTAATCGAATGTTTCTGTTATAAAGCCAATGAATGTGAACAGGCCAAGCTCCTGAACATGTCAAGAAGCAATGAGAACTCAGTGGAAAATGGCCCATAGAAAAGTTTTATGAGCTGCAAATGTTACATTTCATCCTACAATGGAATCTGCCTCCCTTCACAATCCTCCAGGATTCCAGCCCACCCCCAGGCACCTTTATTTCTCACAGAACCCCTGACGCTCAGTAATCCAGCAGAACAGTTAAAGAAACCGTGAGCACTTTCTTGAGGTTCTTGGTGTGTTTTGATTTGGGTTATTTTGCCTTGTTTTGTTTTACTTTCCTGGTCACTGATTCTTGTGAAGTCTTAGGAGCCAAAAATCTCCCCAACCCCTCCCTTTCTTGAAGTCAAGAAAATTAATGAAAAACAGTCATGCATGGGAATACTCCATTATGAAGAAGGAAAACTCAGTGCAAACATATCATTTGAAGGGGCTTGCAGGTGGACCTGCAAGGGTCAAAGCCACACAAAACCAAAGAGTAAGGTCAAGTTCTAAAATATTTGTATTCCACTGACTGCAATGAAGGCTAATGTGTGCCCTAATTAAATTGCTAAATACTTCATATCTGTAATGAGCTTAGGGAAAGGAATCTATTGTTTCATTTTAGCATTCAGTTTTAAGAAAGTTTTTATTTAATCCAGCTTTACCAATTCTACTGATTTGGGGCACGACAAAACCTCTATTTAGAAAAATGGTTAGCTAAATCTTTATGAGAGGCAGCATCATATGGTATTGAGGACATACACTTTAAAATCAAACCGCTCTATATGCACATCTTGTGGCCTGTCACCCATTTTGTAACCTGGTGTAAGATGCTTAGTCACTCTGAGCCACAGGTGCCTTGCTACCAGATGGGAATAGTAATATCTAATTTGCAGTGTTGTTATAAGAGTCAAATAAATAGTACTTCTGAGGTGTACAGCACTGGACAGAGAAGACTCTTGATTAATGTTAGGAATGATGGTCATCGACGATGACAATGATGATGAAGGTGGTGATGATGAAGATGAAGATGAGGATGGTGATGTTGATGGAAGAGGATCAAGGCCAACGTTGCGTCTCCACAAGCTACTGATTTCCATCTTTGAGTGTTGAGCACTGATCAGCTATTACTCATCTGTAGACTCCTACTCTGCAGATCATCCTCAGCCCATAGAGTTAAAAAACAACACCTGAGTGCCAAACATCCACCAATTCTAGGCCAGAGACAGGAAAGAACAAAGGTTCAAAGGTAGAGATTTGACACACACGTATACACGCACACATACATGAGAACCCCACCTCCAATAAATCCATCTTCTCAGGGCAATAACTCCCCAGTATGATGCATTCATCAATCAAAGCGTCTATCGTGGGTTCACGCCACAGACCTGTCTACACCACAGAGGTGGCATTACAGACTTGGGCTCCCATCTTGCTTTAGCCCAGGTGCTTACTGGGACCTGATATTGTCTGTGATTTCTCACAAGCCTGAGACATGGAAAACTGACACAATACAGTATCGTAAAAATGAATCTTTGTCACCTGATCATTTTCATGTTAACAACTGGAAACAAGACTGGGGCTCTTTTTAAACATGAGATTTAATAGGGGATGGGAGACTGAAGACGGGGTGAGCTTTTCTATGAGGCATGGTGGTAATAAATGTCACCAAGTGGGAAATATTCTAGCCCTATTTCTAGGAACCAGAGGCAGCAGCTCAGGGCAGAAAAATGACAATAATTATATTACTCAGAAGCCGACAGCATGTATAAATCTGATGTATTAAGCCCTGCTTGTGGATTTGCTTTCCAAATCTTATTCTGGCAGTTCCTTCCTGGGAGCTGAAGTCCCCTATTTCTGCCTAGAGACCTAAGGTAAATTCTGCCTTTGCAAAGAGTAACTACTATTAGACTTTTTCTTTCTTTATCTTTTGTTTAGGCAGTGCGAAGTCCCATAATCTTTTCATTTCTACCTGGTGAATTACCAGTCACAGGAAGGAGGAGGGCAGATGAGCGCTTGGGTCAGAGTCCCTCTGCTTCACTTGGCCATTGTATGGGGGATTTCTCCCAGCTCCCTCCCAGACGAGTCAGACTTGAACCTGAGCTTACATAATAAACCTCTGAAAACCACTGCTCAAGCAGTTTCCAAGTGACTAAGCTGCCGTCCTCAGTCAAGCTGGATTTAAGACTTCATCAGGAGATCATGCTGGTATATATGTGTCTCTAGAAAAATACATTCAAAATTCATCACACTGAAGGAAGGGATTGGATGTGTCAGGACAAAGCTCAGTTTTAGGGTGCAAATGCTGGAGAGATATGAAGGACTTTTAAAGCCACATGCTTTCCAAATACAAAGGCAAATGAGAAACATTCCTTTTAGTGGCAAATTTTACACTTTGGAGTGAATTTTGAACGTCTGGATCTGGTATCAATCAAAGCATTAGAATATAAGATTCTATATTTGAAGGGTCTCAGTGTTTGCAAGTCTTAAGCCTTAACAACTAAAAAAAAAAAATTATTAACAGGGACCTTCTCTGCTCAGAGGAATGCTCTGATAATTACTACCATCTGCCTTTCCAAGCTGAAAGCCGGTAACTGGGCAGGCAGGGGCTGGTAGGGGGAAGAGCAGTGGAGAGCCCAGACAGAAGAGAGGCCTGGGATGGGGAAGTGGGGGCAGGCCCATCCCTCCCCACTTGAGGATCTGCCCCTCTCAAAGACCTGGTACAACTCACCAACATCCCAAAAAGGTATGAAAACATTCATAAACTTGAGGGAACACAGACTAGAATAAGTGAATCAAGATGAGTAAATTGTGAAACAGGTCCGGGTTAGGCCATTCTTTTCTGGCCATAAAGGAATACCTGAGACTGGATAATTTATTCTGGGGAGGCCTCAGGGAACTTTTACTCATGGCAAAAAGCAAAGTAGGAGTGGGCAAGTCACATGGTAAAAGCAGGAGCAAGGGGAGATGTCACAGATCTCATGAGAACTCACTCACTAACACAAGGACAGCACCAATCCATAAAGGATCTGCCCCATGACCCAGACCCCTCTCACCAGGCCCCACCTCCAATACTGGGGATTGCATCTCAACATGAGATTTGGAGCAGACATGCAAACTATGTCAATGTCCAATTCCATTTATTCTGAAGTGGTGGTAATATCACAACTCCCACAAAATTGAGATCAAAAATAAACATAAAGCATGTTATAGAGGGATCTATCTCCATAAGTACACACGTGTACTTAACATACATGTGAGGGAGGTACATTTAATCTCCACCCCTTATGTCTCCATAGAGGGGAGAGAACTTCCACTGTTCCTATCCAATGTGGAAATTGCAAGAGGGTTATTGTGACCTTCTTTCTCCTCCCTCACCATCTGGTCCAGAAGATAAGGAGAAATGACTTATCCGATTGGAGAGTTTGGAGACAGAGGGAGGACTGAGTATGTCCAGCAGGGCCTCTGTGAAGGGGCTGTGCCTAAGATACAGGAGAACTCTCACATTCTCTGCTCATCCAATGAGGGTGAGCTTCTGAGACCCGCTCTTCTCCTGCAAGCAGGAGGCCAGATGTTGAGCAGACTGCAGACAGGACATTCAGTCCAAGAAAGAGTACTGAGGCCAGGCATGGTGACTCATGCCTGCAATCTCAACACTTTGGGAGGCTGAGGCCAGCCAATCACCTGAGCCCAGGAGTTTGAGACCAGCCTGGGCAACATGGTGAAACCCCATTTCTACAAAAAATACAAAAATTAGCCAGGCATGGTGGCACATACCTGTAGACCCAGCTACTCGGGAAGCTGAGGTAGGAGAATCACCTGGGCCCAGGGAAGGTTGAGGCTGCAGTGAGCCATGATCATGCCACTGCACTCCACCCTGGGTGACAGAGTGAGACCCTGTCTCAAAAGAAAAAAAAGAAGGAGTGGTGCAAAGTTCTTTGTGGCCACACATCTAGGTATCATTACCTAATCTAACTTATACTGAAATAAAGCAGAAATGTTTGTTTGCTAGCTTTCCTTTTCTTTCCTTATTCTATGTAATTGTGGTAAAATATACATAAAATAAAATTTGCTATTTCAACCACTTCTAACTGTAGAGTTCAGTGGCATTAAGTGTCTTCGCATTATTGTGCAGCTGTCACTACCATCCATCTCCAGAGCTTCTCATCTTGCCAGCTGAAATTCATACCCATCAAACAATCACTCCCCATTCTGCCCTCTCCCACCCTCTGGTAGCCACCATCCTACTTTGTCTCTATAAATTTAACTACTCTAGATGCCTCCTATAAGCGGACATATGTGTCCTTTTGTGTGTCCGTTTGTGACTGGCTTATTTCATTTAGCATAATGTCCACAAGGTTCATCCATGTTGTAGCACATGTCGAAATTTCCTTCAAGACTGAATAATATTCCATTATACGTATAGACCACATTTTGTTTATTTACTCATCTGTCAATGGACACTCAAATAGCCTCCACCTTTTGGCTACTATGAATAATGCTGCTGTGTGCAAATATCTTCTTGAGTCCCTGTTTTCAATTCTTTGGGGTGAATACTCAGAAGTGGAATTTCTAGCTCTATCTTTCTGACTCCTCCATTCATCTCTCAAACGATCCTTATCTCAGGACTGGAGAAGAGTGTTATTTATGACTTTCTGAACCCCCAAGAGACAGAGCCGACATGTCTAATTCTGCATGTTGGGCCCTACCCAAAGGCTCCCTGGGGCCAGAAGTGGAGAGACTATAAAACCACCCATGTTCCTTCCCTCCATGCACCTGACCCAAAGGTGCCCTGGCTGTGGCCCTGCCCACAGAACTCATGTCCTTCCATGTTTCTAACGCACATCTCAGACCAATCATCTCTATTCCCAAAGGCCTTTGTCCTTTACTCCAGTGTTTCTTTGGAAGAATTCTATGTCTTCCGCCTCTCTTGATCCTAGTTTCTTCCAAGGGTTCCTGTGGTCATTTGTGCACAGACAAATGAGACTACACCTTCTCAAACAAGATCTTCCCCTTCCTATGTAAAATTACCCATCTAGACCAGGCAATTTGTCTTTGAGAAAAATGTTCAACTACTCCAATCATACAAAAACATGGTGCTAAAATCCCATAAGCAGGGAATGCAAGTATTCTACAGGAATTATTATCCCTTAATACTTTTTTAGGATCAAAAGGGTCATTTGCTTGTGTAGCTGAAAGTCGTTTAAAAATACCAACACATGTGCTTCCCATCAGAGACAGCAAGCGTTCTTATTGGTCTGCATTTTCCAGTAGGGAAGCCAGGGAGCTTCTGCAACTCTGCTGGGCTTTGCGTGTTTGCCAAGATGACTAAGTGCATCAATAGAATTACATTAAAAACATGAAGATTAATAACAGCAAAAATACTCTCTTATCCTATAGTAATAAAGAAGTGTAATAGTTTTTATTGCTGCTATAACAAGTTACCACAAATTTCATGATTTAAACAACAAATGTTTGACGTTAACAGTTCTGTAGGTTAGAAGTCCAACACAGGTCCCACTGAACTAAAATCAAGATGTTGGCAGGGTTGCATCTCCACTAGGGGGTAAAGGGGAGAGTCCATTTCTTTGCCTTTTCCAGCTTCCAGAGGATACAAGCATGTTTTGGTTTATGGCCCCTTCCTCCATCTTTGAAGCCAGCAATGTTGCATCTCTCTCATCATTCTTCCCTAAGCAATTTCCCTCTGACTCTCTTCTTCTTCCCCCCTCTTCTACTGATAAAGACCTTTGTGATTACATTGGGCCCACCCAGAAAATCCAGAATAATCTATTTTAAGGTCAGATGAATAGCAACCTTAATTCCATCTACAACTTTAATTTCCCTCTGTCATATAACCTAAGAGATTCACACCTTTCGGGAATTAGGACATGGACATCTTCAGGGGATCATTATTCTGCCTACCACAGACAGGAAACATAAAAGAATAAAACAGGCCAGACCCAAGCCCAGAAGGAAATGCTAATTTTTATGTGAAATCAGCTGGTTCTTAAACGTCAGCAACTAAATCAAGTTGAAAACAAAATAAATACTGTTCAAGTCAAACAAAACTCCTCTGGAGGCCACGTTTACAGTTTAAAATCTCTACATTATGGTACAAGAAGGTAATTTCTTTTTTCGCCACCAAGATCCCCAGTGTGATTTCTCCTACTTAGACCCCAGGTTTTGATGGATTCAAAGGGATAAATAAATGCTATTTATTAAGTAATAATTCATTTCCCAAAGTTTTATTTTAAAAGGCATAGGTTAGCATCTATTCCCCCAGGAATAGCATAAAATAGAGCTTATTAATAATAAAAGCCAAGATACGTACAACTTATATTAATAACTAATAATAAAAGCCAGTGTGAATTGAGCACTTATTAAATGCCAGATTCTACGCTAAGTGTTTTCTATGCACTAATTCATTCAATTCTCACAACAGTTCTATGAAATCAGAACCATCATTTCTCCCATTTTATAGATGAGAAAACTCAGGCTCAAAGAGCTATGTCCCCAATGTTGCACAGACAGCAAATGGCCAAGCCATAATGCAAACCTAGGCCTGATATGAGAAGCCAATTTTTTAACCATTATGTTATCCTGCCAATACATTCCTATCAAAATAAAATAGATGTCATATTTTCACGTGTATGTGCCACCTAATGGTGGGTGATGAGGGACGTGAATCTCTTTACGGTGTTTAGAAAAACATGGTTTTGTGCTTCCTTTGGTGACCCCAGATGACCATCCAGGAGTGGGATTTGAAATAATTCAAGCAATTGAGGAGTGATACAGAAATCCTCTTCTATCGGATGAAGAAATCATCATGATACTCTGGAAAATTATTATTTCAAAGCATCAAAATGCATAGTTGATTGGGATTTACACACAGGAGACCCCAACCATGCAAAAAGTCCTGGAAAAACAATTCTATTTTCTGGCCAGGTGCGGTGGCTCAACCCTGTAATCTCAGCACTTTGGGAGGCCGAGGCAAATGGATCACCTGAGGTCAGGACTTCGAGACCAGCCTGGCCAACATGGTGAAACCTCGTCTCTACTAAAAATACAAAATTAGCTGGGTGTGGTGGCACACACCGTAGTCCCAGCTACTCCAGAGCTGAGACAGGAGAATGGCTTGAACCCAGGAGGTGGAGGTTGCAGTGAGCCAAGATCGTGCCACTGCACTCCAGCCTGGGCAAGACAGAGGGAGACTCATCTGAAGAGCTTCTGCACAGCAAAAGAAACTATCATCAGAGTGAACAGGCAACCTAAAGAATGGGAGAAAATTTTTGCAATCTATCCATCTGACAAAGGGCTAATATCCAGACTCTACAAAGAACTTCAGCAAATTTACAAGAGAAAACAAACAACCCCATCAAAAAGTGGGTGAAGGATATGAACAGACACTTCTCAAAAGAAGACAGGCAACCAACAAACATATGAAAAAAAGCTCATCATCACTGGTCATTAGAAAAATGCAAATCAAAATCACAATGAGAAACCATCTCACTCCAGTTAGAATGGTGATCATTAAAAAGTCAGGAAACAACAGATGCTGGAGAGGATGTAGAAAAATAGGAATGCTTTTACACTGTTGGTGGGAGTGTAAATTAGTTCAACCATTGTGGAAGACAGTGTGGTTATTCTAGAACAAGATCTAGGATCTAGAACCAGAAATACCATTTGACCCAGCAATCCCATTACTGGGTATATACCCAAAGGATTATAAATCATTCTACTATAAAGACACATGCAGATGTATGTTTATGGTGGCACTATTCACAATAACAAAGACTTGGAACCAACCCAAATGCCCATCAATGATAGACTGGATAAAGAAAATGTGGCATATATACATCATGGAATACTAATACTATGTAGCCATAAAAAAGGATGAGTTCATGTCCTTTACAGGGACATGGATGAAGCTGGAAACCATCTTTCTCAGCAAACACAAGAACAGAAAACCAAACACTGCATGTTCTCACTCATAAGAGGGAGGTGAACAATGAGAACACATGGACACAGGGAGGGGAACATCACACACTGTGGCCTGTCAGGGGGTGAGGGTCTAGGGGAGGGATAGCATTAGGAGAAATACCTAATGTAGATGATGGGTTGATGGGTGCAGCAAACCACCATGGCATGTGTATACCTACGTAACAAACCTGCACGTTCTGCACATGTACCCCAGAACTTAAAGTATAATAATTAAAAAAAAAATGTTTTCTGGGATACTTTCCACACAACTGGAACTTCAAAATTGAACAATGGCTACTGTACCCCGATGCAATTACTGGGTACCTCCCTTGTTGGGGTGAGATCCTGAAAGCCTGTTATTGTCATTTCCTAGAGCCATTGCTCTCCCACTCTCAATCAATCTTCCTTATCAGACTACCATTCCATTTCAGTTTTCCTTCTTGTTCATGGGCAGGTGAACTTAGGCCTCTGGCCATTGTGACTTTTCATACAACCCTTGGTTTGCCTCCATTATTCAATGAGAAAATAGGTTTTGTTTTAACACTGGGCAAGCATCTGGAGTACCAGAAACCTGTCTGCAGAAAAGCAGCAGCAATATGAGGTCTCCTAACCTCACATAACATGTTTAAGGCAGGTAAATATATCCCATTTATCTTAAAGTCTCTTCACCTAGCATGGTGCCTACAATTTAGTGCTTTAAAAAGGGAAGGAAGAAGGAGAAAGGGAGAGAAGGAGGAGGAGAGAGTACAAAGAAACCCACTATATTAATAGGTGTATCTTAAGTTCAGAGTGGCAGAATAAATGCACACAGACACTACTTGGGTAAACCAAATAAAATTTCTTATCTCAAAGGTACAGAGTTGGGAGTGGTCATTCAGGCTTGTAATTCCAGGACTTTGGGAGGCCAAGGCAGGAGGATTGCTTGAGTCCAGGAGTTTGAGACCAGCCTGGGCAACATAGCAGGACCCCATTTTCACAAAAAAAAAAAAAAAAAAAACTACTAGTAGGGTATAGTGGGATGTGCCTGTGGTTCCAGCTACTTGGGAGGCTGAGATGGGAGGACGGCTTGAGCCCAGGAGGCTGAAGCTAAAGTGAGCCACGATTGCACCACTGCTCTCAGCCTGGGCAACTGAGTGAGACCCCGTCTCAACCAATAATGTTAAAAATTAAAGGTACAGAGGAAAGGCAGCTGCATCAGTACTCACTAAAAAGAGATCACCAACACTTTTCAGGAAGATGCCCTTGTCCTAGAACCCAGGCCTTAACCAGCCAGCTCCCTGTTACTAAGTCATCCATTGCTAGGGAAGTCTGACCCAGCCATGCAGCTGCCCCTGCCCCAGACTGGAGCAGTTCTAGATGTCTCCTCACTGCACCAGGAGCAGGTGCACCTCATCAGTCTTAAAGCACATTGTGATAAAGCAATATACATTATGATTGAAAATATGGTACGATGTTGTATAGTCAAACATGAGCATGGTCATTAATCATCCTCAGTCCCCCAGGCTAATGCGGCCTGGCCTAGTTGTTACACTTTCCGAATTTAGAGCTAAGGAACTAAAACAAAGTTCAGCCACACAGATGTTTCTGGAAGTCATGTTCAAGGCTGAACATGAGCCAACCCTGAAGACAAATGACAGGGAAAAAAAAGAAGGAGGAAGAAATGAAGGAAGGGAGGGAGAGAAGGAGGAAGAGGAAGAGGAAGGAAGGAAAGGAAGGAAGGAAGGAAGGAAGGATAACCAGATATCTCAAGTATCTTACTCCAGAAATAAGATGGAGAATGTAGTGTGCACTCATACCCAAGTTTCCTCTCGTTCAAGCTTACAGAAGGATTATTCTTCCTTACTATCTTTGTAATTAGGTGGGATCATGTGACAAGTTTGGTTTAAACCCTTCATGTTCTCTTCCCCTGCTGAGATGACCACATGGAACTCAGAGGCTTTGTGATGAGATGGACATGCCATGATTTTGACAGTTTGTCCTGGAAAGGTGCTCAGAATCTCAACCCCCAGAATTCAATGAGCAGGAAATATACTTTAGTTAATTACACCACTGAGATTTCGGGGGTGTTATATTAATGCAGCATCACTCATGTTAACCTGATTCATATAGGAAATTAAAGGCAAAGCTTGCCAAAACCAATTTACAAGAGAATTATTTAAAATTTTATAAAGCAAAGTTGCACAGTGGCTGAGATCTAATCATAGGCTCAATAAATACTTGCTCAATATTGTAAGAATGTGCCAGGTGTGGTGGCTCACACCTGTAATCCCAGCACTTGGGGAGGCCGAGGCAGGTGGATCACCTGAGGTCAGGAGTTCATGACCAGCCTGGGCAACATGGAGAAACCCCATCCCTACTAAATACAAAAATTAATCAGGCGTGGTGGTGCATGCTTGTAATCCCAGCTACTTGGGAGGTTAAGGCACGAGAATTGCTTGAACCTGAGAGGCAGAGGTTGCAGTGAGCCAAGATCATGCCACCACACACCAGCCTGGGTGACAGTGCAAGATTCCGTCTCAAAAAAAAAAAAAAAAAAGTTTTAAGGATGGTTTTTCTCAATGACTAATTAATAGCATGCCTCGGCTCCTATGCAAAATATGTTTCCCTGGGCTCTCCAATTTGCATCTTCCATCTTCCTTTGTCTCAGAGAGTGTTTGGGAGGACCCTGTGAGATGATACAATCTTTCAATAGTATCAGTCAGTAAATGCTAGCTGTTAGTGTTTCTTTTGTTTTTGTTATTCCTCTAAACTCCACTCTTAAATTTTATCAATTTCTCTCCCTTGCCCAAAGCCATTTCTTCTCCTCTCTACATCCAAATCTCATCCCCCTTTGCAACCAGCTCAAGTTTTACCTTCTCAAAATTTGACTATTTCATTTAGCTTGATCTCTCCAATGAAAATAACGAATACACTGAGTCAATACCACCCAACTCAATCAATTGGGTGTTTTTTTATTTTTTAATGTGTAAAGTGAGCAGTGGTTCTCCCCATCAACATTTCTCTATCATCTGGGAAATATTCTACTTTTCTTTCAGTGAACAGTTACTGCCCCCAATGCCAACCCCTTTGGTCAGTGGATCATAGAAGCTTGAGCCCCCAGCCACAGAGGTGGGTATTGTATCCATTCTGAACAGGTCTTAGTACTTTAACCTGATCGAGCATAGTGATTGGCCCAAGAACTAGCCACATGACCCATGCCTAGCCAACTATAATTCTTATCCTGGTTTTCTCAAATTGGAGTTGGGGTAAGAGTCCTTTCTTCTCAGGCTACTCTGGGAAGATGTGAGTCTGGAAGCTACTAATCATTTCTGTCTCTCCTCCAGAGAAGGCCAGACACCATAAGGACACTGAGGCTGACATTCAGAAAAAAGTCAAGCCCAAGGAAGACAAGTCCCTGGCTTCAGTTTTCGCAAGTCATACCCTCTCTTCCCACCTCCCCAAGAAAATTAATTTCCCCTTTTACCTAAACTACTTTAAGTAGAATTTCATCATTTGCAAATAACAATCCCAAATAATTCAAAAGGTAAGCCCTTTGAGGAAAATTCAATTCACAAATCTGACCAACCTGTCTGAGCACCCACTATGGGCAGTTATAGCTTCCATTATCAATAGTATAATTTTAAATACAGAATAGATGAGAAACAAATGTGATGAATGTGAAATTTCTTCATTTATAAAAGAATATATATCACCTAGGGGGCCTTCTAAGATCCTCATATTTCCATTTGGAAGCTAGATCTTGCAACCAAAACCTGCTAGGCAAGAATACAGAACCTAGCTAGACATAGACACATGGCCTGCTGCCTTCCTCTGAATCTTGCCTGCCGGTCTAATGAGCCCCCAACTCCCAACTGCACCTCATATATGCACCCAGCATCCCCAACTATGCAGATAAAAACAGCTTTTGCAACAGAATGCTCATCACCTCATATGTTGACCATAAGGACAGATTTGGGCTCCTTGTAGGCTTGGGGAAAGTAGGATAAACTGGGGGTGATATTCTAAATATTTAACAACGAGACCTGCATGGGCACAGAGCAGTCAGAACAGAGGCTAGCTATCAACACCTCTACATTTGAATATAAGCCCCAAGGTGGAGTGGGTGAAAAGCTAGGACTTCAGATTGCAGAGCAAGCTCAGGTTTGGGGATTGAGAGAACCCCAATAGGTTGACACTGAGAGGCCTCCAAAGAGACTTACATCACTCATTCATCTGCCAGTTGTGAGAACAGAGGATATGGGGGTAAATCAGACACGGGCCTCTCTGTCTCTACTTTTATAGCTTTCTGATTACTGCCACTTCAAGCTAACACATTGCTTTGTTACATGTGCTAATTCCTTCAGTAGGGTGGTAGCCAAGGTCCCCGCCCTAGGTACCTTCCTATCTTCTTTTGGTCACTATGCAAAAGTATTTCAAACACAATTACAGGCTGTGTACATTGTAACTTCTATGTTTCAAAGAATCAGAGTTCAGTAACCCAAAAAAGTGTCCTAAGCCAATTTAAATCTTTACTCAGATTCTTGAGAAAAATGGCAAAGGACACTGCATTCCCAATGCACCGTAAAACATTTTAAATATCCTTTGGGGACAGTTTTATTACTGCCATTCTCTCTCTCCATGCCATCTCTCTCCTTCACCCAGCAGTAGACTCCAGAAAAACTTTCTGACAGTGACTCCTAAAAAATCTCCTCTCCAGCTTTAAATGTTCCCCAAACTCTCCCTGCTAATATTCTTTTGCCCGAGTTTCCCAGTCATCATAGAGGCTCCCAGACTTTTCTTGTCTCTTCCTCCCATCACACTGCCCTTCTGTTTTCACCTGCTCTTATCTACCAGCCTCCCAGCAAGCAGAAACTGGAGGGCTTGCTGGAGGGCTGCTTCTTCCAGCAAGGAGAAACGGTGACTCAATACTGCCCAACTCACTTTCGCTCCTCACAGAAGGGAGCTTGTGAAGCCCTTGCTTTTGAAAAAAAAAAAAAATTATACTGGAGACTTTCTGGAGAATGGAATGCTTCATCTGCTTGCACGTGTCTCCAGTTCACATGAGTTCTCATTGTTTTCCTAGCTTTTCCATTCCCAGTTCCTGGAGGTGTCCTATTTATACTATGGAAGAACCCTTAAAACAGCCCCTGCCAGGAGGCTGCCTCCCCACAACACTGACCAGGGATTGCTATGTGGCCCTTAACTAAATCACACTCCCTGCTCAGTTAGGAAGAAATCATCAAGGTGCCAGATGAATCTCCTTCTTCTTTTTCCTTGTCTGAGCTCTAGAAGAACAAAAGGCCCCAGAACAGGAGGCCACGTCTTGTCTGGATTAAGGAACCTTGACCAAATAACTGGAAAATGTGAGTTCTGGCCCCATCCCCACCCTAGCACAAGCTGGGTGACTCTCGATACATCAGTTCCTTTCTCTTGGCCTTAGTTTTAGAATGTTGGACTAGATAGAGGGTTTCTTAGCAGTAGAAGGAAAGAAGTTTAAGCAGATTTTTTTTTATTTTACTTATTGGGATTGGTCATATGATTAATTGCACTTGGAGGAAAAAATCAAGTTACTAAAATAGTCTGAAAAACACTAATCTAGATGATATCACTAAGGTGCTTCCAGCTCTAATAGTCTAATAGTCAATGATTTTCTCCACTAACATCCCTTTACAGAAGTCTGCTACGAGCAATTTTTTTCATTTTTGAAATCAATCAGAGAATAGTGAGCAGTCACAATTGAACTTCCTTATACAACACTAATAAGGAGATGTCTTTAAGAAAAATCATTGCCTTCCATCCTGGGTTACATAATGAATGCCATTTCCTCTCTGGAAATGCTGATCTTCCTGTTAGACAGCTCAAGGAGTGGCTATTATTGAGTGGCCTTGGTCCTCTGGGATCCAACGAAACCACTGGCACCACTCAGATGACCAATGGCCTGCACTATGGCCATAACATAATCATGAGAGACTAAAACTTCAAAACCACCAGTAAATCAGGGAAGGGCAGTAACAAAAGGAGAAAGCTGAGGAATAGGAAGGGACATGGCTCTCACCAAATGATATCAAAGAGACTTAGAGACATGCAGCCAACCCGTAACACCTTCCCCCTCCATCCCTCTGCTCACCATTGGAACTTCCTGGTCTCTGATCCTCCTGCTTTCCTCACCTGAGCCACATTGACTCCCCAGAAGCTCAGCTGTTAGAAAACACCAAAATTCAGGCAATGTTGGTGGACTTTTACAATAATATTTTAAAGCCAAAAATAGATAAGCACCTTGGAGATCAAAAATTAAACAACTTTAAAGATAACTTTGGCTCCTCCTTTAAAACTATGAAGTGTTTAAAATAATTTTGAGATTAAAATAATATACACTTCATACAAAAATTAACCCAAAATGGATCAAAAACATGAATAGAAGAACTAAAACTATAAAACTCTTAGAAGAAAATGTAGGGCAAAAGCTTCATGACATTGAATTTGGGAATGATTTCTTGAATATGGGAGCAAAAGTAAATGTAGAGCAATTGGACTTCATTAAAATTAAAAAACTTTTATGCATCAGAGAACACTACCACCAAAGTGAATAGACAACCCACAGAATGGGAATAAATATTTGCAAATTATAAATATCACAAGGGATTAATATACAGAATATATAAAGAACTAATACAACTCAATAACCAAAAAAAAGCCTGATTTTTTAAAATGATCAAAACTTGTATGATATTTTCACACAGAAGATATACAAATAGCCAATAAGCACATGAAAATTTGCTTGACATCACTAATCATTTGGGAAATGCAAATAAAAACAAAAATGAAATACCACTTTACTCTGATTAGGATAGCTATTACCAAAATAAATAAATAACAAGTGTTAACAATGATGAGGAACAATTGGAACCCTTGTGTATAAATGGCGGGAATTTAGACTGATGCATACACTATGGAAAATTGCAAGACAATTTCTCAAAATATTAAAAATAGAATTATCATATGATCTAGCAATTCCCCTTCTAGGTATAAAGCCAATAGACTCAAAAAATAGAGACTCAGATATTTCTATGCCAATATTCAGGCAGCATTACTCATAACAGGCAAAAGGTAAAGCAACCAAAACAAAATGTGGTATGTACATACAATGAAATATTAATATTTAGCTTTAAAAAGGAATAAATTTCTGGTACATGCTACAACACAGATGAACCTTGAAAATGTTATGCTAAATAAAATAAGCCAGACATAAAAGGAAAAATATTGCATACTTATATGAGGTAACTAATCAAATTCATAAAGGCAGAAAGTAAAATGGTGAATACCAGGAGTCGTGGGGAGGAAACAATGAGGAGTTATCATTTAATGGGTACAGAGTTTCAGTTTACGGTGATTAAAACTTCTGGAGATGGATGGTGGTGACGGTTGCATAACAAAGTGAATGTACTTAAGGTGGCTGAATTATATACTTAAAATGGTTAAAATGGTAAATTTTACCTTATGTATATTTACAACAATGAAAAAGCTATACAAATAAAAAATAATAATTACACAGGAGTGACAGTGTTCACAGGTGGGGTCATCAGCACAGGTGGTGCCATAGGTGGGTGTCTGAGCCCAGGATAACTGAGGAAGGCTTCCATGCAGGGTGGGGACAGAAGCAGCAGCAGCCTGATGCAGGTGTCTGGGCTCCTGCAGAGCAAAGAAGGCACCCGCACAGCAGAAGGATCAGCTACAGCAGTGGAGGTTGGTTACATACTGGGTGATTGATCCCATCAGTAAACATACTAAAGATAATGAGCAGCAGGTTTCTCACTGCCACAGAAGAAACTTAAATATGTTAGAAAAGAGGAAACAAGAATGAACTTTGTGTTGTTAGCTTGTAACTGGAGGCATCAATGTGAACTCATGGCTTGCGATAGGTAAGTAAGTAGACGATAGATGAAGAAAGGAAAGAGAAAGAGAGAGAAAGAAAGGAAGGAGATGGGAGGGGAGGGGAGGGAAGGAGGGGATGGGAGGGGAGGGAAGGAGAGAAGGGGAGGGGAGGGGAGCGAAGGAGGGAAGGGCAGGGGAGGGGATAGATGTGAAACGGGAGGAGTTTTCCCTCATCCCCGTTGCAGGGCATGCAATGGGGGTGTAGCTCACTTCTTCAGTGCCCCACAGCTCAAACCAAACCCTTAGGGGGAGCATGCAGACAGGCAGGTCATGGGGAGCGTGGGCTCCAACCCCATGGCAGCATCTAGAGTTGAGTGTTTACAGTTCCCAAAGCCCCAGTGGGCATGTGTCACAGTGTGCTCTTTCAGCTTAGCCGTCCACAGGTGGCTTGTTAGTCAGCTCAATTAGACCCTCTGCCTTATTGCAAGAACAGAGGGCTTTCTGTATCCTGGGGTTCTTGCCCGTATGTACCTGAAAAATCAGATCACACATGAGCTTGGAGAATGAGTGCAAGGTTTCATATTGAGTGGTGATGTCGCTGGATGGGGAGCCAGGAGATGGATGAGTGGTTGGGCCACTCAGCAGCCAGACTCTCCTCTAACCACCCTCAGCCAAATTGCCCTTGGCGTCCACATTGTTCCACCATCAATGGACTGCCAGTGTCTTCTGGTGTGTTCTTCTGCTGGTGTGCTCTTCTGCCGGTGTGTTAGCCGCCATGTCCAGCTGCTTGTGTATATGCCTGCTAGTGTCTTAGGATTTTTATAGGCACAGGATGGGGACATGGCAGGCCACGGTGGTCTTGGAAAACGCAATATTTGGGTGCAAAAACAGAAGTGCCTGTCCTCACTTAGATCCATGGGCACAGGCCTGAGGGTTGAGCCCTTGCCAGGGACCCTACCCTTCTCTACCCTGCATTTCCCTGCCCCCCTCCCATATCAGATGGATACATACATACACACATACATAGAATGCAAATATGACTATCTGAGAGACAGAGTATGTGTATGCATCTTTCACCTTGCTCTCTCCACTAAGAGTACCTGAGAACAGCACTATCCCAAAAGCAATGAGAACAGCTACCATCCATATCTAGTTTCTAAATGTCATTTTCCAGTTAAAGGAATCAACATTCCTTGAAGAAGTGTCTGATTTCAGGACTGAAACAAGAAAAGTACAAGATGAGCTGGGAATGTCTTGTTCTAAAAAGTGGGAAAATGCTCAAACAATAATGGGGGCATGTCAAAGGATACGGGGGCAGCTTTAAGGGGTGTCACTTGGGGAAATTTGACCACCAAAAACATGATAGTAACAATATAGCCATTAAATAAATAGGAAAACATGAGTCCATCTGATATAAATAGATATAAAACTGGCCGAATAGTCCCAAAGACGCTTGTTTTTGGATAAACATAGACTAGAAATTGACCCTTCTACTGTTAAAGCGTGAAACCTGTATTTGTTTTATCCTAGTTCCTTCCTCAGGAAAGGACTTTCAGGCCTCTCAAAAAATAGTACTGAAGAACCGAAACTCACCAGATCACAGCACCTGATGCCTCATTGCCCCCTCCCTAGTTCCTACTTTCTTACACATTGTTACATTTCTTCCCTGCTATCTAAGCCCCTAGTTTTAGTGAACAGGGAGACGGACTTGAGGCTGAGTTCCCATCCTCTCAGATGCAGCACCCGATTAAAGTCTTCTTCAGCAGTATCTGTCATCTCAGCGATTGGCTTTCTGTGCAGCAATCAACAGGATGTAGACTGAAACCCTGGTGTTTTGGTAACAAAGCTCTAAAGAAAAACTTTGGTGATGAATGAACTTATACGAATTCAAAGCACTTCTCCATCAAATGCTTATTAAGTGCAAAGGAAAATGAGTAGTGTAATCGTGGAGAAGCCCTGCAGACACCACTGTGTCCAGAATTGGTGGGTTCTTGGTCTCGCTGACTTCAAGAATGAAGCTGCAGACCCTCACGGTCAGTGTTACAGTTCTTAAACGCCTAGCGTCTGGAGTTTCTTGTTCCTTCAGTTATTCAGACGTTCAGAGTTTCTTCCCTCTCTCCCAGTGGGTTCATGGTCTCTCTGGCATCAGGAGTGAAGCCGCACACCTTTGCAGTGAGCATTACAGCTCTCAAGGGCAGTGCAGACCCAAAAAATGTGCAGCAGCAAGATTTATTACAAAGAGGAAAAGAACAAAGCTTCCATGCTGCAGAAAGGAAGCCAAGCAGGTTGCCGCCAAGAGCTCCCCAGCCTACTTTTATTCCCTTATCTGACCCCACCCACATCCTGCTGATTGGCCCATTTTACAGAGAGCTGATTGGCCCATTTTACAGAGAGCCGATTGGCCTATTTTACAGAGAGCTGATTGGTCCATTTTGACAGGGTGCTGATTGGTGCATTTACAAACCTTGAGCTAGACACAGAGTGTTGATTGGTGCATTTACAATCCTTTAGCTAGGCACAAAAGATCTCCAAGTACCCAATAGATTAGTAGCTAGACACAGAGTACTGATTGGTGCATTTACAAACCCTGGGCTAGATACAGAGTGCTGATTGGTGCATTTACAATCCTCCAGCTAGACATAAAAGTTCTCTAAGTTCCCACTAGATTAGCTAGACACAGAACACTGATTGGTGTGTTTACAAACCCTGAGCTAGATACAGAGTGCTGACTGGTGCATTTACAATCCTTTAGCTAGAGGTAAAAGTTCTCCAAGTCCCTACCTGACTCAGGAGCCCAGCTGGCTTCGCCTAGTGGATCCCGCACAGGGGCCGCCAAGGGAGCTGCCCGCCAGTCCGGCACCGCGCGCCTGCACTCCTCAGCCCTTGGGCAGTCCATGGGACCAGGTGCTGCGGAGCAGGGGGCAGCGCCCGTGAGGGAGGCTCGGGCGCGGGCGGAGGGCTCAGACATGGCAGGCTGCAGGTCCCGAGCCCTGGCCCGCGGGGAGGCGGCTGAGGCCCTGCGAGAATCCGAGTGCGGCGCGGGCGGGCAGGCAGTGCTGGGGGACCCGGCGCACCCTCTGCAGCTGCTGGCCCGGGTGCTAAGCCCCTCACTGCCCGGGGCCAGCGGTGCCGGCAGGCCGCTCCGAGTGCGGAGCCCGCGGAGCCCGAGCCCACCTGGAACTCGCGCTGGCCCGCAAGCGCCACGCGCAGCTTGGGTTCTTGCCTGTGCCTCTCCCTCCACACCTTCCTGCAAGCATAGGGAGCCGGCTCCGGTCTCGGCCAGCCCAGCGAGGGGCTCCCACAGTGCAGCAGCGGGCTGAAGGGTTCCTCAAGTGCAGCCAGAGTGGACGCTGAGGAGGCGCCGACAGGGAGCAAGGGCTGCTAGCATGTTGTCACCTCTCAACATTAATGAAGTGGTCAAAGTGAGCAACCTCAGTTATTAGACAAAATGAAATGCTAGAGTGCAATCACAGCATCGTATCACTTTTGTGATATTCCT
Organism: Homo sapiens; assembly: GCF_000001405.40. Classification (NCBI taxonomy): domain Eukaryota; kingdom Metazoa; phylum Chordata; class Mammalia; order Primates; family Hominidae; genus Homo; species Homo sapiens. The sequence continues at coordinate 17,414,934 of NC_000004.12, forward strand.
GCCAAAAAATTATAACTTGAATGTAATGAGGATGAAATATCAGGAAAATCTAGCCGGAGGGATATCATGCCTCGAATCTTCAAAAGTATAAACGTCATGAAAGTAAAGACAAGACTGAGGACTGTCAGACTGGAAGAGACTAAGGAAACATGGCAGCAAAATACAATGCATGATTCTGTACTAGATCCATTTGCTATGAAGGACATTATTGGAATGACTGTCAAAACTTGTCAGGTCTGTGGATTAAACATAATACATTAATATTGACTTTCTGCCTTTCATTATTATGTTGTAGTTGTGTGAGAAAATGCCCTTATTTGTAGGAAATAAACACTGAAGTATTTAGAAGCAATGGAGAATTAGTGACAAGTTTGTCAAATATCTCAGTGAGCGTATTCTTTTTACCATACTTGCAATACTTCTGTAAGTTTGAAATTTTTCTATTAAAAATTATTTTTAAAAATAATACAGGACATCCCATTATACATTAAATGTTAAAAGGACATAAAATTGTGCAAACCTGAGGAGCTAAACTTTCTTAAAAGACATATACATCCCCAAAAAAATACATCAAAATATAGTCATTGACTATAATTGAATTATGTGCAAGTTTTCTTTATATTTTTCAAATTTTCTATAAAAAGCACGCATTATTATTAGTGATTATGTCTTTTTTCTTTTATATAATTTAATATTATTTTGCCTCTTTGATGTTCTGCAATTTTTCTGTTACAGCTACAAATTAATTTGTTTTTATTAATTTTTTCTAAACTATGCACTCCTTTAATTAGACCTTATAGCTTTCTTTAAAAATGAAAACTTTTCCACCATTTTACCTTGAAGTGGTTCCTTTTCTCCATTATATCCAAGCTAATTTTCAGATGCTCTTATTAGATATTTTTAATCCTCTTTATCTTCCTTTTCTTATAATTTCTCTTTTATATTCATGGTTCATTTACTTAGCTTTGTTTCCACATTATTAATTCTCTCTTCAACTATTTCTAGTCTGCCATTTCATGAGTTGCTTTTTTTTTTTTTTTTAACTTCAATGACTTCATGGTTTTTTATTTCTTGAATTTCTACTTGGTCTTTGTCAAGTCCACCTTTTCTTTTCCCTTAACTTTCCCTTCTTACCTAATGATTTCTATTTCTTTCCTTATCTCTTTGAATATTATAAATACACTTATTTGAAAATCTTCCTTAGGTTATTGTATTACCTACAGTTATTAGAGTCTAAAGCTTAACATTTCTTGCATCTCTCTTATACAGAATTCATTTGTAATTGTTCATTTGCAAGTGTGATTCATCACACTTCTTTGTGATGCCATTTTCATTGTAGAATCTTATCTTTCCCAGCCCTAGCTTCCTTCCCAAAACAGTGCTTTCTCCCCATATGCACCTGGCCCAGAGGATCACCTGCTGCTTGGATTCCTGCCCTACACTCCTGGAGAGCCGCTTCTGGCCTCTACCATGACTCCACCACTGAGCACTGTACAGATCCCACCTGGGACTCCCATGACCTTTAATCAACATATCTGAAGCTCCCAGCTACTCCTCTCTGGATCCTACAGTAGAACAAGAGTCTCACAGCCAATTCCTGGCACCATCTTCTCCCTGCCATAAGAGAGCATTTATACCTTCTCTTGAACCTCTTCTTGGGTGCTGAGTTTTTCCTGCATGCCTGTTTGTGCTTCCTTTCTTGCCTGAAAACTACACCTAGGAAGGTGGAAGAGTCAGGTGTGGCCCCCTCCCACTCTGCCAGTGCCTCTACAGCAAGCCCCCCTACCTCTGCAGCATCAGGCATGGGGCTCATGGCTACAGCTGTCTGGCCACAGTTATCTACAGTGCCCTTCATCCTGTATACCAGGCCACCCTCATTTCCCTCTCTTGGCTCCAATTTACTTGAAGTTAAAAACTTTGTGTCAAAGGCACTAGGCTAAGCACTTTATATACTTCCCCTCAGTCACTGTTTACAGTTCTAGAAGGTCAATATTATTATACCCCTTTTGCAGATAAGGAAAAATAAGCCTTAGAGAGGTGAAGCCCCTCAAGAGAGGTCACATAGCCCAAAAGTGTGAAAGCTTGAACTCCAACCCAGGCCAGTGACTCTAAGTCCTTCACTGCTCTCTTTGCCCACATGGCCTTCTCCTTTGAAACATAAGCCAGGCACATCTCCCTTTCTAGAAAATGGCAAGTAAATCTCTAGCTTTCTTCTAAACTACTCTGCCGAGCATTTCAGGCACTGACTTCTGAAATTTCTTTCAGCCACCAGGAATATGCAGTCTTTATTAAATTAGCAAATGGCCCACAGAATAAAGACTGCATTAAAGTAGATCACGATGGGGCTTCAGCTTTTCCTAATGAAGTTTCACGTGTCCCTTCCTGAAAAAGCCAGTGTCAGGGTAAGAGGTGGCCAGATTCACTCGCATTTTTCCCAGGAAGAGCCACTTAATACAATAAAATCTCAGACCTGTCAGGGAGTTTGAGCACTGTTTCCTGGAAGGATGATTTTAAAGTTCTATTTACATTAAAATAACCTCCATCTCAACCCTCAGGGCTGCTTTCTATTGCAATTGACCAGGGAGGTAGAGATGCATTCCAACAGAAAGAAATGAAATCAGAATGAATTTGGCTGATGCTTAATCTCCTACTTTTACCCTTTCCCACAAGGGAGAAAAAAACACAAAACTGCCTTTTAAATTCTGCCAGGACCAAGTTTGATATGTGCACTGTCATTTCAGCCTCATGCGTATGAACTAAGAATCCTGGAAGACACCTGGAAGATCCTCTGTGCCCACCATCTTCCTGGCATAAAGATAAACCCACTTAAACTGAGTAGTATTAATTGGATGTTAGAACCATCTCACACATTAAAAACATAAAATCCCCATGCTCAAACACTTCTCACTCCTCCTCCTCATCCAATTTCCTAGTTTCGCTGCATATTTTACCGCTTAGACTTGAATAAAGGCATATAGTACTTTTTCAACTCTACCTCTGTCTTTGGTCCATAAGAAAGTTCAGGATAGGTCCATGTGTAACCAGAAGTCACCCATCAATGGTCCCGCTCACTGGAGCCAGGCTGAATCTCATGCAGGTCCTCAGATGTGTTAGGATTTCTCTTGCCTGCGGTCTTCATCTCTGCTACCCCTCTGCCTAAAGCAGGACTTCCTGCTTTCCTCCCCCTAATTGTAATAGGCTCGTTAGCTAATGCCTACTCACCATGCAAATTTCAACTCAAGAAGCCCTTCCAGAGCCTCCTCTCTGCTCCAGGGTAGGTCAATTGCATTCCCATACCACCTGTGCTTTCCACCCTGCTGGCACCATGAGGACACAGCACATAAGCCTACAGCCTCTAAGACGGCCGCTTTGGTTTCAACAAATATAAATTCTTTTCTATCTGATTCTCTGGTTGGAAAAGTGGCCTTGGATGAAACCATGCTCTGCAGGACAGTTACAAATGGGGCTTACAAAGGATAGAAAGGAGGTGAGTCTCTCATCCAGGTCTAAGACTACATTACAGAGCACTTGCTGCATGTCTTAAGCATGTGCTAATGCTTACGACAGTACTTATTAAATCATCAAACAGTTATAGAGGGTAGGTGTGGTTATGTCCTTTCTAGATGGGAAAACTGAGGGTCGGAGAGGTTGGGAACCTGTCCCCAGATGTCAGCAGTGGAGCTGGGTTCAAACCCAGGACTGACTCCAAACTCTCACACACCCCTCACATACTGACTGTCTCTGAGTGAGTATCCATTAGTCCAGAAGTTTCCTACCACTCTGGTCAACCCAGCAACTCTTGCACAGAGTCCCTGACAGAGTTCCCCTTTTGGAATGTGTTTGTTGTATTATTTAAGATATTCAATTCTGCTCGAGAAAATCAGAAATAACAAGAAGAATAAATGAAGCAAGCGTAGAAGCAAATAGCTTATGAGACAGAATTAAGCTTATGAGGCAGAATTCATTAGATGGGTTAAGTGTATATAAAGTAGTAATATAGGGTGACATGTTACCATAGATTAAACAGAGCATGTGTCTGCTGAGCTTAGAAAGAGATCGAAAGACCAAGAGGTAGCAAATATTTGAGAGTCACCAAATATACATGAGGCAAAGGAGTTTCCAAATTGTCATAATATATTCAATATACATGGGGCACTCAATATTTATGAGATCTGAAATCAGCCATCCATTGCTGACACCCATTCCAGCCCCACAAGTCCTCTGCCAAATGAAATCCAGGGCTGCTGGCAGGGTAAAGGGTGAGTTACCACCATGGGCCAGGTGTGACTGCCCCTGCATCTCCCAATAGAACAAGTTCACTGTGTTGGCCCAGGCACTTTTCATCTGCCAAGTTCCTTGTTCAACCTCAACTCTGATCTTGTAACCTAACCATCAGCAGGGAAGGCTGATGTAGCAAAGAGAGGTGAGGCTCTGCATTGCCCACTGTACTTTCTCTCTCTGAGCCCACATGGCAGCTCATGGTCCTTCTCTTACTACTATCAATTAATTCGAGTTAGCATCTGAAATGACATCTACTTGCCATCCTAAAATCTAAATTTTTGGTTCTCACCTCTGGCTACAAATCAGAATCATTGAAGAGCCTTTACAAAATACAGGTGTCGAACTCTACCCATATGGATTCTGATTTCATTGTTCTGGGATAAGAACGAGGCATTGATGTATTTTAAAAGCTCTCCAGGTGATTCTAATGCGTAAGCAGGATTGAGGGCCACTGGATGAGATGATCACTACAGGGGCCTAATAGGGACCGGCTATTGACATGAAGATGGAAGAAATGATTGGGCCGGTTGAGCCAAGCTGTGGTGGCAAGAATATTAGATGGACTTCTGCATAATCCAGGGTTCAGGAAGTGTGGCCATTTTTCCCTGTTTGCACCCTCTCCTATGTCCATTAACTACCCACCTCACTCTTCTGCCTTCAAACTGTGTGTTTTAAGTTAATATGCTAAACTACGTGATTCAAGCATCTTAACTTGGTCCTTGAGCCTTTCGGTTACATGAGCTTTATGATAGCTGGTCTTGGAGTTAGCATTGTATGAAGATAATCTCCCACGGGATACCTTTGGGCAATTCTTTTCCCCTCAGAGGATGCCCTCGACACCAGATTTAGGAAAGCAAGCAACAGATTTGGAGTCAAGTCTCCTGTATTTCAGAATTATCTCAGCTACTAACCTCTTCAAGTTTTCATTGGCTCTAGATCTGTCGAATAAGAATGCTAATCCTTCACTCACAGGATTGTTGTCAAGGTTAAATAATGACAGAGGTAAAAATATTTTGCAAAACCATTGTCACTTATATGACTTTTGTTGTGACACATAGATATAATATTTTTCTTAATTTATATCTCAGCATTGAAAAGAATCCTAATTCCAGTCTTTTGGTGACAGGCTTACTCTGACTTGGAAAAATGAAAGTCCCAAGGATTTAGCAGGACTGGGGATGTGCCGCAGGTCCTCATTCCCTCAGGGAGGCCATAGAGATGCGGTTCACAGTATTGGCACCATTGGGAGGAAAGCCCACTCAGATCAAGGTACAGACCATTTCCATCTCTCTGGAAAGTTCCCTGGAGAGACTCCCATTCCCAGCGAACACTCCACCCACCCAGATAACACTATGCTGACTTGTATCAGCACACATTCATTTTGCCTCTTCTTCAATTCAACATCAGTGGGACTAGAAGGGATCCCACTATTTTCTCCAGACTTCCTTGCTCGTGGCTCAGCCAGGCAGGACCAGAATGGACTCAGAAGCTGCAGCATAGCTGAGCTGCAGCACAGCTGAGCTGCAGTGGCTAAGAGACAACTGCTCGAACCCCAGCTGTGATCAATAATTGATTGCAAGGATGATGTGCGGACACGAATCCCGGTGCCCTTCATCAGGCCGGGCAGCCTCAGGCAGTGGACCTAGTGCAAACTGTTAATAATTTTAACACATTTCACATGCACAGTTTGTTTCACCTCTCAAATAAATTAATTACGGAGACTTTAAAGGATTTTCAGAGGGAATCTCATTACCAACTGCACATTCTGCCCTCCCAATCAATAGTCTTTTCATTCTTACATAGCAAGTGGAAGAGAAAAAGGGGCTTAAAAAAAAAAACAAACTTCTTCCATTTCATCATCTCCAGCCTTGGTATTTAATAAATGCTCTGAAACATGCTCAAACTCTCAATTCCCACTGTGTGAGACTGGGCAAATTAAGTAACCTCTCTGAGCATCACCTTTAGAATACCTCCACCTTGAATGTCCATCACCCTTGTTGTCCACATGAGAAACTCCTATTCATTCTACAAAATCCTACTGCATGCAAAAAAGGCAGAAGTTTGACAGGGTTATATCACACTTTAGGGTCAGACAGTCCTCCTAGATTCAAATGTTGCTTCAACTTACTATCTAAGGTGACTATGGCCAAGTTACTTAAGCCTCAGTCTCCTCATCTACAAAATGGTATCAATATACATGAGTCACATGTAGTTATGAGGAATAAGTGATAGAATGCATGGGAAGCCACTTAGCACAGGCAGGGCTGGACATATAATATGTGCTCAATACCTATTGGTTATTGTTATTATTCATTTATTCCACAACTATGTAAGACAGACACCATGCTTAGGTAGAAGCCTTCCATGACCCATTAACCCAATCCAAACCACCTCTCTTGACTGCATTACCTCTCTGCTTTGTGCTCCTTCTAATAACATTTGGGTCACATTCTGTTTTATATCTAGTGGAGTGGACTGTCTCCCTCTGTAAATGCTGAGCTTGGAGCTGGCAGGTACCAGTCTCATTTGGTTTTGCATCCACAGAGCTTAGTAGGGTATGTGGCCCACAGCAGACACTGATGTTGGTTGAACAGTTGGCATTTAAAGCCTCATAATACAGGCTGGTGCAAGGTGCTACAGGAGCATGGAAGAAAAAGAGCCTAGTATATATCAAGGAGTCATGCAAAAGTGCTAGAGAAGGTGTCATCTAAGCCAAATCTTGAAGGATGAGTTGGAATTAGCCCAGATACAGAAGAGGAACTGCATGGCTGGAGAGGTCCCTGAAAAATGCTGCCACAGGTCCTGAGTCCCAGCTCTCAGTGTCTGGGAGAGCAAAGCTGCAGAAGAGGCCTCCAACATGCAGGTGCCTGTAGTCACAGCACCTAGGGGTGCCCCTGGCAGCAGACACTCCATGAGCCTTCAGACTAGAGATGAAGGTAGGAGCCAGATCTTAGGGAATGTTGGTGTATGCTAAGTAGCAATGAGGTTACCGATGCTCCTCAACTTACAGTGGGATTACATCTCAATAAACTCATCACCAAGTGAAAATACCCAACATTATAGCTTAACCTAGCCTACCTAAAACATGTTTAGAACACTTACAGTAGCCTACAGCTGGGCAAAATCATGAAACACAAAGCCCATTTTCATAATAAATTGTTGAATATCTCATATAATGACTAAATACTACACTGAAAGGGAAAAACAGAATGATTGTATGGGTACTCCAAGTATGGTTTCTACTGAATGCATATTGCTTTCACACCATCATAAAGACAAAAAAATTTAAGTTAAACCATCACAAGTCGGGGACCATCTATATTTTGTAGGGGACAAAGGTGCTCCTGGAGGATTCCCGTGCTCCAGGTGCTCCTGGAGAAACACAGTCAGACTTGTATTTTAAAACAAATCCCTCAGGAAACTAGTAGACTATGGCCTGTAGGGGAGGTGCTGAGGCTGGAGACTGCAGGAACGGTGAGGGTGGCCCCTGCCTGCTCTGCCCATTGTCGTATCTCCCAATGGCTAACGTGTGGCAGACGTGCAGTAAATATCTACGGAATGACCAAAGAAGGCATATCTAAGAGCCTGGCCTGGAGATCACTTAGGAGAAGTCCCTGTCACTGAGAAGCAATAAGAACCTGGACCAGGGCTGTCCAAAAGAACTTTCTGTGATAATGGAAATGATCTGTGTCTGAGCCAATTAATGTGGTAGCCACTAGCCCACATGTGGCTACTGAGCTCTTGAAATGGGACTAGTGCCACTGAGGAACTGAATTTATAGCAATGCCCCACTTCTCTGGTATGAATTTTCTGTATTAGTTCATTTTCATACTGCTTTAAAGAACTACCTGAGACTGAGAAATCTATGAAGAAAAGAGGTTTAACTGACTCAGTTCCACAGGCTGTCCAGGAAGCATCGCTGGGGAGGGGTCAGGAAACTTACAATCATGGCAGAAGGTGAAGGGGAAGGCAGCATGTCTCACATGACCAGAGCAGGAGGAACAGAGAGCAAAGGGGGAAGTGCTACACACTTTTTAACAACCAGATCTCATGAGAACTCACTCACAATCATGAGAACAAAAGGGGGAAGTCCGCCTCCATGATCCAGTCACCTCCCACCAGGCCCCGCCTCCAACATTAAGGATTAAATTTAAGTACTGATTTCCCCCTCTTGGAATGGGTCTATTTACCCAGTATCTGTACCCCATTGTATCTCAGAAGTAATTAACTTGTTTTTTATTTTACAGGCTCATAGGCAGAAGGGACTTGACTTGTCTCAGATGAGACTTTGGACTTGGACTTTTGAGATAAGGCTAAATGAGTTAAGACTTTGTGGGACTGTTGAGAAGCCATGACTGTGTTTTGAAATGTGAGAAAGACATGAGATTTGGAAAGGGCCAGGGGCAAAATGATATGGTTTGGCTCTCTGTCCCCTCCCAAATCTCATGTCAACTGTAATTCCCAATGTTGAGAAAGAGACCTGGTGGGAGGTGACTGGATCATTGGGGCAGATTTCCCCCTTGCTATTCTCATGATAGTGAGTGAATTCTCATGAGATCTGATTGTTTAAAGTGTGTAGCACCTCCCCCTTCACTCTCTCTCCTGCCACCATGTGAAGAAGGTGCTTGCTTCCCCTTCACTTTCTGCCATGATTGTTAAGTTTCCTGAGGCCTCCCAACCATGCTTCCTGTACAGCCTGCAGAATTGTAAGTCATTTACAGCTCTTTTCTTCATAAATTACCCAGTCTCCGGTAGTTTATTTATTTATTTATTTATTTATTTTGAGACGGAGTCTCGCTCTGTCACTACACTGGAGTGCAGTGGCGCAATCTTGGCTCACACCAACCTCCACCTCCCAGGTTCAAGGAATTCTCCTGCCTCAGCCTCCTGAGTAGCTGGGATTACAGGCACATGCCACTGCGCCCAGCTAATTTTTTTGTATTTTTAGTAGAGATGGGGTTTCACCATGTTGGCCAGGCTGGTTTCGAACTCCTGACCTCAAGTGATCCGCCCATCTCAGCCTCCCGAAGTGCTAGGATTACAGGTGTGAGCCACCGCAACCGGCCAGTTCTTTATAGCAGTGTGAAAACGAACTAATACACTAACCATTCATCATTTTATTTTAAAGAGCTTTTTAGACTCATCTACATACTTTTATGTATCATTCTTGTGCATAAAAGGTAATATATACGTAAAATAAATGATTTACGGTATTAATTAAAACGCTTTAAATCAGTGTTAAACTCTGCTAACTCTCTTTTTGACTCAGACTGGGTAATGTCTATTTTTTCTTTTCTCATGTAATATCATACTCTGTGCCATCAAATGCAGTGATAATACAGCAATTTTTGAAAGAGTGCTGCTCTATCATCTCTGAAGGTATTCTTTGGAACCACTGACACCCATCCTGCAAGTCTTGGTGCTGAAACAACCTTTACCAAAAGGTATCAGTGGAAAGTTTTCAAACACAAACCTGGATTTATATTCATTCCTTGAAAGACCTTGGAATAAAGACCAAGTCCACTGCTTTATGAGCAATGACAACTACATCTCAACAGCCATTTGGCTGACATCTATTGTAACATTCCATTGACTGTGAGACATATCCCGAGGTTAAAATACGAAAGTGTTCTCAGAGTCAGTGAAATTTAGTATGTGCCAGGCAGTTTCATTCACATTCAATTGATATCCATTATACTCCTGTAACGTAACAGACACTACATTAGGCAACAAATTACATCAAGAAATAAGTCGTAGAATGCCCCGAAGAGACTACAGTATCTTATAACCCTCACAAGAACCCTGCAAAGTTGACAGAGATATCCCCACTTTGCTGATGATTTTTTACCACCTTTTACTATAATCCCCATTGTACAAACAATTCCAAGTACAATTTTGCTTTGTAGGTTTTATAATTTAGTGGTGGAGCTTAGATAGCAAACCTGGTATTCCCTACTTTTAAATATACATGAAACCCACTAAAAAAGTAAAAGTAATAATAACACAATCCAGAACTGAACCGAACAGAGATTTAGCTGTTTCTACATAAAGGTTTTTACCAATTCTTTTAAAAATAAATTGTAGATAAATATCAAAGGCCCACTGTATCATATCTCTTGCACGAAAGTATGCTTATACTAGCTGTATCCAGTTATTATTCCAACGTGTGAGTATAAACATTCTCAACTCAACTATTTTATAGTCACCAAAGGATGCCTTACATGTTACTGCAGACAGAAAAAAATATTTTTAATAGCCGCACTATGGAGTAGCAGTTAGGAGCACAGACTCTAAAGCTAGGTTGCCTGGATCCAAATCTTGTGCTGCTTACCAGATGAGCGACCTGGGCAAGTTATTTATCTTGTCTATACCTCAGTTTCCTCTTCTGTAAAGTGGAGATGATGATGATTATATCTCTCTAATAATCTGTTGAGTATTAAATGAGTTAATGTGTATAAAGCATTCCAAACAATATATTGTATACAGTCAGCACTATATGAGCATTAGCCAAAATTATTCTTATACCCAGATAATTTTTAGATCTCAATTGGTGCCCTACCAGTATTACAGTCAAGATCTCAGTGCCCAAGAGTGATTGAATCAATCAATAAGTGAATGAATGGAGATTGCTTTTACAAGGGGCATTTCTGGGTAAGGGAGCAGCACATTATCTTTGCACCAATTGGGCAAATACTCTGACCACCCCAGACATGCACATCAGCAAGTGAGTTATTGAACCATGAGATCTAAAGAGAACTCAGAAATCATTTTGTCACTTACGTAAAATCCAGTTCCAATTTTAAAATATCCTGTTTATAAGAGCTCGACTCTGAGTTCACTTAACTCTGAATGAATATTTTAAACATTATTTTCTACAGTGCCTCCAAAAAATTAAGTGTCTTCAGAAGAATAACTTTCAATTAACACTAAACAAGTAAAAGGGAACTAGTTAAAGATCAATACCCATTTTTCCCTTACTTTATAATTAATGGAGTGATTGCTTTGCTTTGACAACTACAACTTACTATGAAAAAAAAAACACACACAAGCTTCAGGGTTGGAGACTAGGAGAAGTGTGTGAAATATACAGTTCTACTTACATATTCAGTATTCTACAGTCTCTTATTTTTCCTGAGGCTTTGTTTGAAAGCTTCTGCCTTTGCTCCGTTTTCACCCAATTTACTGAGAACAATGATTTCAGCCTTCTGAATTTGTTTTGCAGGGAACTGAGACATGAGCATGTTGCAGCTTTTAGAAATGTTTAAAAAAGAACCGTCTCTCAGCTGCTATCAGGGGATTAAGGGAAGCTGGGAAGCTGCGCTGTTCGGAGCTGCATGGAGGAGCTGGTGAACCAAGGGGCACGGGGAAGGAATGTTATAACTGAAAAGAACAGGGAGAATGGAAAATGAAATTTGGAATTGGAGCATGACGGGTAGGTCAGAAAACCCCAGTTCTGATCTGGTACTTGGGTACCAGTAGACACAGTTGGTCTTGCCTGCCCAGCATCCATTCCGTCATCTTTCCTTCCCTTTGCAGAGTTCCTCATCCCTCACTATCAGCTTGCAGATATCCAGTGGAACTGATCACTCTCATCCCTAGAATGACCACATAATTTATCTTCAAAATTATGGCATTGTGAGAATAAAAGTTTTAAAAATTGTAATTATGTAGTTTTTGAACTATGTATTTAGTGACTAACAAATTTATTTTATTAAATGGGTGGGCCTATGAAATAGTCCTAGTCCTATTCAAAAACTGTTTTCAAAAATACATTTTTTCAAAAAAATAAAACATATGCACAACCATTAGAGCAAAATATGAGTTGGGGAAGAGGGACATCGAATTTTATTTATATTGATTTTCTGAACATTAAAAATAACAAGCAAAATAATTATTCTTCATACATCATTAGGTATTTCAATCAAATTTTTTTTTTTTTTTTTTGGATACAGAATCTCACTCTGTCACCCAGGTTGGACTGCAAGGGCCTGATCATGGCTCACTGCAGCCTCAATCTCAGTCTCAAGCATTCCTCCCACCTCAGCCTCCTGAACAGCTGAGACTGCAGGTGCATGCCACCACACTTGGCTAGCTTTGCGTGTGTATGTAGAGATGGGATCTCACTATATTTCCCAGGCTGGTCTAGAACTCCTCAACTCAAAGCAATCCTCCCATCTCGGACTCCCAAAGTGCTGGGATTACAGATGTGAACCACCATGCCCGGCCCAATCATTTTCTTAACCATATCTGTCTCTAATACAAACTTGTATTTTCTGAAGAATTAATGATCATTTTTAATATTTTCATAAAACTGCATGCACTATGACACTGGTTGAAAGCTTCAACTGACTCTCTTGTCTGTAGATTCAAACTTTTCCCATATCTAATTGTTGATAAGTAGTAAGGAAAAAAGTATGCCCGGCTGAAGAGGAGCTTTTTTTGGTTGTTTGTTTACTGTGGATATACTTTAGTCTTTTTTGTTTACAACTGAAACCCTTGGAATTCAAAATTAACATCCTTGCCAGTGAGCTTCTTATAGACACCAGAAAAAGTCTCAACCCTGTGTTCCACGTTGTTCTGCTGTGCTTTGTCTGAATGAACCTTCATGAGCCGGCTGCCATCCAGTTTCATGCAGAGTCTCTTGTGCACAATTTCACTTGGGAAAACCAAGTCCTCAAGGATGGCACCATGCATGGCTGTCAGAGTACGGCTCCTGGGACACTTTTGCTTATTTTTTGTATGGCTTGAGTTGCCTTAGGCAGAATTCTCCCCTGAACAGTGAAAACAACATTCTTCCCCACTGAACTTTTTCTCCAATTCATGTACTAGCCAGATGTGGATTTTCTGGAAAGATTCAGTTGAGGAACAGGAACAAAGATGATGATAGCTTTCTGACCACCACCAACTTCAATTTCCTTGGCTGCCATAATTCTCAGCTCCCTGAGCTGAGCCTGAGGTCCAAGTTCATCTCCAGCTTCAGAAGTGCCTGGAAGAGCTACACTCGAACATATTCAGCTTCCTGCAGCTGGGCTTCACGATCTTGGCGCTCTAACTGAACGTGGCCTCCTTTCTGAGCTCTGGCTTAAGAAGGGGCCCAAGTATTACAAAAGCTTCTCAAATTCCAGCAGCCTGAAGAGATTTCTTTAAATTCAACATCAGCTTAATCACAAAAATTTTGCAGTTTTGTCATTCAAACTGCAAATGTTTAAAAATTATATAAAATTGACAGGAAAGCTCTATTTTGATTCATAGAATATCACAGCCTATTCAGATGCATTTCTGAATTATGTGTACAGTACAACCAATTCCATGTACAATTTTCCTTGATAGGTTTCAAATTTAGTTTTAAAAAGTTGTTTTACCTTGACGTCATGTTGTTCCAAAAATTGTAAATGTATTTATTACCTTAAATAATTTTATCTTCAATGTTGATCTTGCTAACTTAATCTACAACATCCATTAGTCAGATGTTTCACCATTAATAGAACAAATTTCCAAATTTGGTTTGTTTTCAATAATTGGGTGAAAAATGCAAACCCTTATAGATATTAACTAATTCTAGAAGTTAACTTTTCTATTTGAACCATCTCAGAACATGGATATAAAGCTGGCACCCATTTAACTGTCTGCAAATTTCTTTTTAATGGAGACAACACACTAACGGCTATCGTATTACTTTTTGTATTGCACAAGAAAACTTGGTATAAAAAATAAGCAAACTGAATTTAGAAGAGCAGTCACTTGATCTAAAAGAAGAGTTATGATTCGGCCGGGCGCAGTGGCTCACTTCACACCTGTAATCCCAGCACTTTGGGAAGCTGAGGCGGGCAGATCACGACGTCAGGAGATCAAGACCATCCTGGCTAACACGGTGAAACTCACCTCTACTAAAAACACAAAAACAAAATTAGCCGGGTGTGGTGGCAGGCGCCTGTAGTCTCAGCTACTCGGGAGGCTGAGGCAGGAGAATGGCATGAACCCGGGAGGCAGAGCTTGCAGTGAGCCGAGATCACACCACTGCACTCCAGCCTGGGCGACAGAGCAAGACTCTGTCTCAAAAAAAAAAGAGTCATGATTCACAGAGGGGTAGGCAAAAGCACCTAAGGCCACGGCACATGTTAATTTATCATTATAAGTCACAATCTTAAAATAACTACCAACACTGGAAGTAGATCCTGATGCTCCCATAGACTTGTGCCTTCTGGTTTTCAAGTGGTCAGTGATAATATTATGCCCTCTCCCATATCTATGATAAAATCAATAAATATCTTCTACAAGTTAACCTTTATCATCAACTTTCTTGTGGGTTTTTTTGTTTGTTTGTTTGTTTCTTTGTTTGTTTTGAGACTGAGTTTCACTCGGTTCCCCAGGCTGGAGTGCAGTGGCGCGATCTCGGCTCACTGCAAACTCCGCCTTCCAGGTTAAAGCAATTCCTGTGCCTCAGCCTCCTGAGTAGCTGGGTTTACAGGCACGCACCACCACGCCCATCTAATTTTTGTATTTTTAGTGGAGACAGGGTTTCACCACGTTGGCCAAGATGATCTTGAACTCTTGATCTCAAGTGATCCACCCGTTTCGGCCTCCCAAAATGCTAGGATTACAGGCATGAGCCACCGCACCCGGCCTATCATCAACTTTCTCGAGAAATTAACATTCATTCACTAATTTTTCAACAAACAAGCACATTTTTTAACTCATTGATGTTAAAATAATATTAAAAGTCATTACAAAATAGAAAAAATATTACCAAACAATGAAACAAATAGTTGCAGATTTCACCGCATAGTAATTGACAAAACCACTGTGGCAAGAACATTCAGATTATTTTCTATTATAATGTGTGCGATATGGAGGAAATGATGCACAGCATAGAGAATATAATGTGTACATTACAGTGTACACTCATTTCCTCCACATGCCTCATATACACCTGACTAGTTTCCATTTTTCCAAGTGATCCTGCCAGCTGGAGAGCTGGCAGTTCCAGGAGTCACACAGGCCTTGGCACAAGCCACAGCCCTCTTTCTGGTACCCTCTGTGGCCAGCCGGGCAGCAGCATCAAATACTTACCCCACTACCACCCAAGACCAAAAGAATTTGCAAGCCCAAGCTGCTCTTCCCTAAGCATCCAGCTTACTGCCCTTGAGGGCAGATATTAAGTTATTTCATGCCAGGGTCCAGACAAGGGAGTCATCATGGCTGGATGACTTTTAGATTTAACTACGGACTAAACTCAAGTGTCTTCACTACATGTTTCTCTCATTTGACCAGAGGAGTCTATGGCAAAAGGTGGAAATACAAAGTAGAGGTCTACCAAAATACATTTTCGTGTATTTTTAATGTCACTATTAACAACATTTTATTAAAAATAAAGAAATCAGGGTAAATGCTAAACTACCCAGGAAAGATAACAGGCACAAACTTAGACCCTCTCCTACAAACCAGAGCACATGGTCATCAGAGAGACAGGCACCTCCTAGCCTGGCCTATCAAAGCTCTGCAGCCTCCTGGCCACAATGATTGGTTCCAAGTTGAACACACATGACTCTTCTTAAACCAATGAGAATCAAGCTCCAGATCTTCTGCTGGGAATCTTTTTTTTTTTTCTTTTTTAGACGGAGTCTAGCTCAGTTGCTCAGGCTGGAGTGCAATGGCACGATCTCGGCTCACTGCAACCTCCACCTCCCGGGTTCATGCAATTCTCCTGCCTCAGCCTCCCAAGTAGCTGGGATTACACTCAACTGGGATTACAGCCTGAGCAAGGCCCAAGACAGAAATGGAAACGTTTGTTAAGCCATCTTAGGATGTACACAGTGCTTTTCATAGTGCAGCTATCACTCCAAGCCCATTTTAAAGGCTTGAGCAGTTGAAAAGGACAAAGAGATGATCTGCTGGTCAACAAATCTCAAATATTTATATAGCAGGGATGGTTTAACATACCCAAGTCAATAAATATAACACATCACATAAACATGTGATCATCTAAATAGATGCAGAGAAAGCATTTGAAATCCAGCATCCCTTTATGATAAAAACTCTCAACAAGCTAGACATAGAAGGGACCAACCTCAAAATATTATAAAAACCATATGTAACAAACCCACAGCCAACATCATCCTGAATGGGGAAAAGTTGAAAGCATTCCCCATGAGAACAGGAGCAAGATAAGTGTTCCCACTTTCACCACTCCTGTTCAACATAGTTCTGGAAGTTCTAGCCAGAGTTAATTAGGCAAGAAAAAAATAAAGGGCATCCAAATTGGAAAAGAGGAAGTCAAACTATCACTGTTTGAAGATGAGATGACTGTATATCTAGAAAATCCTAAAGACTCCCCCAAATAATCTTAGATTTGATGAATGAGTTCAGTAAAGGATCAGGTCACAAAATCATGTATACAAATCAGTATCACTGCTATACACCAACAACCACCAAGCTGAGAATTAAAAATCAAGAGCTCAATCCCTTTTTACAACAGCTGAAAAATAAAATAAAAAAGTAATGTAGGCCTGGTGCAGTGGCTCACACCTGTAATCCCAGCACTTTGGGAGGCCAAGGTGGGTGGATCATGAGGTCAAGAGATCAAGACCATCCTGGCCAACATGGTGAAACCCCGTCTCTACTAAAAATAGAAAAATTAGCTGGGCATGGTGGCATGCACCTGTAGTCCCAGCTACTTGGGAGGCTGAGGCAGGAGAATCGCTTGAACCTGGGAGGCAGAGGTTGCAGTGAGCTGAGATCTCGCTACTACATTCCAGCCTGGTGACAGAGCAAGACTCCATCTCAAAAAAGAAGTAAAGTAAAATACCTGGGAATATACTTAGCCAAGGAAGTGAAAGATCTCTCCAAGGAAAACTACAAAACACTGCTGAAAGAAATCATAGGTGACATAAACAAATGGAAATGCATCCCGCGCTCATAGATTGGAAGAATCAATATTATGAAAATGACCATATTGCCCAAAGCAGTCTACAGATTCAATGCAATTCCCATCAAAATACCAACAGCATTTTTCACAGAACTAGAAAAAACAATTCTAAAATTTATATGGAATCAAAAAAGAACCCAAATAGCCATGGCAATACTAAGCAAAAAGAACAAATCTGGAGGCATCACATTACCAAACTTCAAATTATACTACAATGCTATCGTTATCAAAATAGCATGGTACTGGTATAAAAGTGAGTACATAGATGAATGGAACAGAATAGAGAACCCAGATATAAAGCCAAACATGTCCAACCAACTGATCTTTGACAATGCATACAAAAACAGAAATTGGGGAATTGACACCTTATTTAATAAATGGTGCTGGAAAAACTGACAAGCCACAAGTATTAAACTGGATCCTCATCTCTCACCTTATATAAAAATCAACTCAAGATGGATCAGAGACTTATAAATATAAGGCCTCAAACTATAAAAATTCTAGAAGATGAAATTGAAAAAACTCTTCTAGACATCAGGCTAGGCAAAGAATTCATGACTAAGACCCCCATAAGCAAATGCAACAAAACCAAAAATATATAAAGGGGACCTAACTAAAGAGTGTCTGCACAGCAAAAGAAATAACCAGCAGAGTAAACAGACAACCCACAGAGAAAATATTTGCAAAGTACACATCCAGCCAAGGACTAGTATCCAGAATCTACAAGAAACTCAAACAAATCAGCAAGAAAAAAAAATAATAATCCCATTAAAAAGTGGGCAAAGGACATGAATAGACAATTATCAAAAGAAGATATATAAATGCCCAGCAAACAATGAAAAAATGTTCAACATCTCTAATCATCAGGGAAATGCAAATCAAAACCACAATGAGATACTACCTTACTCCTGCAAGAATGGCCACTATTAGAAATTCAGAAAACAACAGATGTTGGCGTGGATGCAGGAGAAAGGGAATGCTTATACACTGCTTGTGGGACTGTAAATTAGTACAACCTCTATGGAAAGCAGTATCGAGATTCCTCAAAGAGCAAAAAGTAGATCTACCATTTGATCCAGCAATCCTGCTACTGGGGATCTACCCAGAGGAAAATAAGTCATTATATGAAAAAGACACTTGCACACACGTTTATGGCAGCACAACTCACAATTGCACAGGTGTGGAACCAACCTAAGTGGCCATCAACTATTAAATGGATAAAGAAAATGTGGTATAGATCACCATGGAATACTACTCAGCCAGTAAAAAGAATGAAATAATGTCTTATGCAGCAACTTAGAGCTAGAAGACATTGTTCTAAGTGAAAAAACAGAGTAGAAAACCAAAAACTGTATGTTCTCACTTATAAGCAGAAGCTAAGCTATGAATATGAAAAGGCATACACAGTGACATAATGGACGTTAGGCACTCAGAAGGGGGAAGGTGGGAGTGGGGCTAGTAATAAAAAACTACATATTAGGTACAATGTACACTACTTGGGTGATAGGTGCACTAAAATCTCAGAATTCGCCACTACATCATCCATCCATGTAACCAAAAACCACTTGTACCCAAAAGCTATTGAAATATAAATAAATGAGGTAATGAGGAGAAATAAACTATTCAGAATTTTGAATCGTGTGTGTGTGTATAGCACTTATTGAGCCCAAATAATTCTCCACTCTCCTGGATGCCATGCAAAAAAAAAAAAAAAAAAAAAAAAACCACAAAGAAGAATAAAAAATCTTTGGCTTTTAAGGAATTTAAAGGCAGAAGTGAGTGCATGAGACAGACACAGAAAGTATGGGGGCTCGACTCGCTTTATAATAACTCACTCATGCGATAACTAACCCGCCTCTGCGAGAAGGACATTAATACATTCATGAGGGCTCCACCCTCATGACCCAATCACTGCTGATTAGGCCCCACCTCCCAACAGTGTTGCACTGGGGATTGTTTCCAACACATGAACTTTTGGGGGACACAGTCAAACCATAGCAGTGTGATTCTGGCTTTAACTGCAGTTTCCCTCATTAGAGAACTACTGGATCTTTAGGGAATGAAATGTTCCAGTCCTGATCCAGTTGTGTATGTTCTTTTGAAGTCTCCTGTTTACTGACATGTCAGGCTACCTTGCCCCATGTTTCACTGGCTAATTGAGGAGAGTTATCTGTTTCTCTGCCACCGCTCAAAGGCTTCATTGTCATCTACATTTCTAAGCTGTAGTTTTCATTACCCCTCATTTGATACCTCATAGATCTGTGCCTTGGTGGAACTTATGGAGGCTCAAATTTCTCCAATTATACTCTGTAAAATTTCCTGCTGCTGCAGCCTCTTTCTCTCAACTGTGAGGTCAAGGACTACATCAACATTGGGTTTTAGTAAAAAGAGAACAATTTCCAAACTGTTCTTAAAAGTTTCCCAACATTTTGAAAGGAAAAAAAAAACCAAATCTATTATTACTTACTGGGTTGTGCTATCAAATATCCCTTCACCATCTGCAAAGGTCAGGGTTTTGTTTTCTAACAATATATTGCCCACTTATTAGGATGACAGCAATCAAGTGTAAATGTCACTGAAATGGTATAGACAATAAACGCCATAGAAATCTACAAAAGAGAACTCTCACTTCCCGAGCAGACTTCCATTCATTTGCTCACTTATCCATTCAATGAATATTTATTGATAATCTACACACACCAGGCACTGAGCTAGGCAGACATAGCCTCTGCCATCGTGGAGCTTTTAGAGATATACAGAAAATAGTCACACAGATATGGAGATAATTACAAAGTGTGGTAAGTGCAATGCAAAAAAAAAAAAAAAAGTGCAGAGAGCTATGAGAAAAAAAATAGCCAGCATGGGAATGAAATTTAATTTAGATTTAGAGGGAAAGTAAGATTTAATTGGGCTACAGGCAATAAACGAGATTTATTATGATCAGAGTCTAAACAACAAAGAAAATGACTGAGTGTTGAGGCCTCTCAAGAGAGTCCCAAACAATTGAAGATAATTATGATGACTTCTAGGTAACAGCAGGTGGTGACCTCTAACAGGTCAGGGGACAGTGATGTCCCATCATGAGCCCCTTTCAGAAACTTGGGACCTCTTCTGACACAGGTCTGATACTCACCTCCTGCTCAGATTCACTCCCACCAGTGGCGTTCCCCAAACTGTGATGCTGACGAATCTGTGTTTTGGTGTTGAAACGGGAAAAATTCCCTTATCCCCCTTGTAGGGCATGTGATGAGTTGCTCACTTCTTCGGTGCCCCACTGCTCTAACCCCTAAGGGGAGCATGCAGACGGTTTGGTTGTGGGACCCCACAGCCGTGTCTAGAGGTGAATGTTTATAGCTCCTGGGGCCCCAACGGGCCTGTGTTACAGGGTGGTCTTTTAGCCATTTGTAGGCGGCTTGTGTTAGCTCAATTAGACCCCCTGCCTTATCACAAGAACAGAGGACTTTCTGTATCCCGGGATTTCTTGCCTTGGTGTGTCCGGAATTGGCGGGTTCTTGGTCTCACTGACTTCAAGAATGAAGCCGCGGACCCTCGAGGTGAGTGTTACAGTTCTTAAAGGCGGCGTGTCCGGAGTTTGTTCCTTCTGATGCTCCTTCTGATGTTCGGATGTGTTCGGAGTTTCTTCCTTCTGGTGGGTTCGTGGTCTCGCTGACTTCAAGAGTGAAGCTGCAGACCTTCGCGCTGAGTGTTACAGCTCTGTGTCCGAAATTGGTGGGTTCTTGGTCTCACTTACTTCAAGAATGAAGCCGCGGACCTTCGCGGTGCTTGCTACAGTTTTTAAAGGAGGGGTGTCCGGAGTTTGTTCCTCCTGATGTTTGGATGTGTTCGCAGTTTTTTCCTTCTGGTGGGTTTGCGGTCTTGCTGGCTTCAGGAGTGAAGCTGCAGATCTTCGCGATGAGTCTTACAGCTCACAAAGGCAGTGTGGACCCAAAGAGTGAGCAGCAGCAAGACTTATTGCAAAGAGCGAAAGAACAAACCCTCCACAACGTGGAAGAGGACTCCTGCAGGCTACCACTGCCAGCGCCAGCAGCCTGCTTTTTTATACTCTTATCTGGCCCCACCCACATCCTGCTGATTGATCCATTTTACAGAGAGCTGATTGGTCTGTTTCACAGAGAGCTGATTGGTCCGTTTTGACAGGGTGCTGATGGGTGCCTTTACAGTCCCTCAGCTAGACACAAAAGTTCTCCAGGTCCCCACTAGATTAGCTAGAGGGCTGATTGGTGTATTTACAAACCCTGAGCTAGACACAGAGTGCTGATTGGTGCATTCACAATCCCTTAGCTAGACATAAAGGTTCTCCAAGTCCCCACTAAACTCAGGAACCCAGCTGGCTTCACCCAGTGGATCCGCAGGGGGGCATGCCGCAGGTGGAGCTGCCTGCCAGTCTCGTGCCTTGCGCCTGCACTCCTCAGCCCTTGGGCGGTCGATGGGACTGGGCGCTGTGGAGAAGGGGAAGGTGCTCGTGGGGGAGGCTCGGCCCAAGCAGGAGCCCTCCGCGGGGGTGGAGAGAGGCTCAGGCATGGCGGGCTGCAGGTCCTGAGCCCTGCCCCACGGGGAGGCAGCTAAGGCCGGGCGAGAAATTGAGTGCAGCGCCTGTGGGCCGGCACTGCTGGAGGACCCGGCGCACCCTCCGCAGCTGCTGGCCCGGGTGCTAAGCCCCTCACTGCCGGGGTCCACTCTGAGTGCGGGGCCCGCCAAGCCCACCTCATCCGGAACTCTATCTAGCTGGCCCCTAAGCGCTGCGCGCAGCCCAGGTTCCCGCCCACGTCTCTCCCTCCACACCTCCGGGCAAGCTGAGTGAGCCGGCTCCGGCTTCAACCAGCCCAGAGAGGGGCGCCCAAAGCGCAGTGGCGGGCTGAAGGGCTCCCCGAGCATAGCCAGAGCGGACGCCGAGGCCAGGGAGGCGCCAAGAGCGAGCGAGGGCTGTGAGGGCTGTCAGCGTGCTGTCACCTCTCATTGGTGTACTGGAAGAACTGGAGGGCACATGGACTTAGAGAATGAGTGCAAGGTTTTATTGAGTGGAAGTAGCTCTCAGCAGATGGGGGAGCCATAAGGCTGATGGAGTGGGAAAGTGGTTTTATTCCCGGAGTCAGGCAGCTCAGTGGCCCAGGCTTTCCTCCAACCATCCCATCCAAACTGTGAGCCATTCCACCGGTGGATAGCCAGCCGGAGTGCTCTTCCTTAGGTGTGCTCCCCTCAACGCCTTCTCAAGCTCCAGCCACCTGTATGTTCTTCCGCCAATGTGTTCTTCCGCCAATGTTTTCCTCTTTACTTCCAACCACATGTGTGTCTGCCTGCTAGAGTCTAGGGGGGGGTTTATAGGCACCGGATGGGGGGTGTGGCGGCCCGGGGTGGTCTTGGGAAATGCATCATTTGGGCAGGAAAACAGAAGCCTGTCGTCATCTAGGTCCTTGGGCACAGGCCCAGGAGTGAAGCCCTAGCCAGGACCACGCCCTTGCTTTCCCAGCACTTCCCTTCCTCGCTTCTGTATCAGTAATAGTCTCTGAGTACACAAGCGGTTCCATCCAGCGTCCTTGTTCACCAGCACAGGAGCGGGTAATAATAAGGGAAGTATTGAAGAGAGCCTCATTTGGTCAGTCACTGAGCCCAATTGGCCAGGTACTAAGTAATGATCCCAGTGTTCTTTAACCTGTTGTTGAGTACATGGGAAAGGATTGGTCAAGGCTGCCTTTTTCTCTGCCCAGGACCAGCAAAGGGTCAAACAGGAAAAGGACAATGAGCATCAGATCTTAATCTAAATCTAAATCTAAATCTTGAATCTAAATTTTCTCTCAGTAGCCCTACCCTCAATTAAACCAAGTGCACAGTGTTTCCTTACTGCGGGATTTCTCCATGTCTTTTTATGCCTTTGTGTATTGTGAATTTCTAGGAAAGGAGTGTTTTATGCAGTGTTTTCTAATTTTTTTTTTTTTTTTTGAGACGGAGTCTCGCTCTGTCACCCAGGCTGGAGTGCAATGGCGCAATCTCGGCTCACTGCAACCTCCGTCTCCCGGGTTCAAGCGATTCTCCTGCCTCAGCCTCCTGAGTAGCTGGGATTACAGGTGTGCGTCACCGCACCTGGCTAATTTTTGTATTTTTAGTAGAAACAGGGTTTCACCATGTTGGTCAGGCTGGTCTGAAACTCCTGACCTCATGATCCACCCGCCTCGGCCTCCCAAAGTGCTGGGATTACAGGCGTGAGCCACTGTGCCTGGCCGTTTTCTAATCTTTTATGACCACTGCGTTAGGTCGTAAACTGTTTGCCATGCTTCCGGTTTCTCTCGCTGAAAGAATATACATCTCTACACTGATGAACTCAAGTGAAACGGGCAGAAGTGATACATATCACTTCCTGTTGTCATGTCTGGGCAAAGCTTTAGCCAGCTCACGTCTTCTCTTCTCTCTTTCCTCTGCCATGGCAGAGGAAGCAGCCTAGTCCACATACAGAGTCCTGGAGTAAAGACGATGTAGAACAAACTTGCAGTCATGGCACCATGGACAGGTTGTATGCACAAGAAATAGGTCCTTGTAGGTTAAGCCGTTGAAGTTCCACAGTCATTTGTCATCACAGCATAACTAGCCTGGCAGTTCTCAAAGTGCAGTCTTCAAACTCTTGTGGGTCCTCAGACCCTTTCATGGTATCCATTAGGTCAAAACTGGTTGTTGTTTTGTTTTGTTTGATATGGAGTCTCACTCTGTGGCCTAGGCTGGAGTGCAATGGTGCAATCTCTGCTCACTGCAACCTCTGCCTCTTGGGTTCAAGTGATTCCCCTGCCTCAGCCTCCCAAGTAACTGGAATTACAGGTACACACCACCACGCCCGGCTAATGTTTGTATTTTTAGTTTTTGTATCTTTAGTTTTGTATTTTAGTTTCACCATGTTGACCAGGCTGGTCTTGAACTACTGACCTCAGTTGATCCACCCACCTCGGCCTCCCAAAGTGCTGGGATTATAGGCATGAGCCACTATGCCCAGCCAAAACTATTTTTGCAATAATACTGAGACATCGTTTGCTTTTTTCATCGTGTTGACATTTACATTAATGGTGTAAAAGTAATGGTGGGTCTCCATCCATTTGTGTTACTATAAAAGAATATCTGACACTGGGTAATTTACAAAGAAAAGAAGGTATATTTGGCTTATGGTTCTTCAGGCTGTACAAGAAGCATGACACCAGCATCTGCTTCTGGTGAGGGTCTCAGGCTGCTTCTACTCATGGTAGAAGGAGAAGGGGAGCTGGCTTGTGCAGAGATCACGTGGCCAGGGAGCAAAAGAGAGGGGAGGTGCCAAGCTTTTTATAAATAACCAGCTCTCTCAGGAGCTAACAGAGCGAGAACTCATTCATCTCCCACCCAAGGAAGGCCTTAACTTATTCACGAGGGATCCACCCTTGTGACCCAGACACCTTGACTGCACCCCACCTCCAACACTGGGGATTGAATTTCATTATGAGGGTTGGAGGGTCAAATATCCAAACTATAGCAATGGGTAAAATGGCTGGTCCTTATCACAAATCACAGTAGAATACCAAACTGTACTTAGTAGTCATTGTAGTTTTCACCCCATGCAGTCATAGTTTTTTAAATGCAAATTCTTGCCAGGAACTGTGGTTCATGCCTGTAATCCCAGCACTTTGGAAGGCCACGGCAGAAAGATAGCTTGAGCCCAGGAGTTTGAGACCAGCCTGGGCAACATAGCAAGACCCTATCTCTTCAATAAATAAAACATTAGGCATGGTGGTGCATGACTGCAGTCACAGCTACTTGGAACACTGAGGTGGATCACTTGAACCTGGGAGGTTGAGGCTGCAGTGAAACATGATTATGCCACTGTGCTCCAGCCTGGATGACAGAGCAAAACCTTGTCTCCGAAAATTAAAAAATAAAATCAATAATAAATAAATAAAATATAAGTTTTGCCTTATCACTTAATGCAACAGAAAAAAAAGACTTTTTTTAAATCTCACTTTTGAGTACACATCTTAATATTGTTTGTGATGAAATATAATGTAGACATAAAGCTCTTTCACTGCATACCAAAATACTGTGGTTTGTCATGAGAAAAAATACTTATGATTGTTTGAGCTACAAACGGAATTAGCTACTTTTCCATTTTTTAAAAATTTCATATTTATGAGGATGACTGACAGACAAATTACAGTTATTCAGACTTAATTATTTGGCAAACATATTCTTGCCAATGATAAACTTCAGATTTCAAGTGAATCTTAGCATTTTGGAAACCTTTTATCTGACATCATGAGCTTGATAACTGCTAATACTTAAAATTTTTTTCCTAATGAGATCAGTGGTAATGTGAATTAACGTGGATTTTTTCATATTATATAAGAAAATGTGGGCCAAGCATGGTGGCTCACACATGTAATCCCAGAACTTTGGGAGGCCGAGGTGGATGGATCACTTGAGGTCAGGAGTTCAAGACCAGCCTGGCCAACATGGCAAAACCCTGTCTCTACTAAAAATACAAAAATTAGCTTGCTGTGGTAGCACACACCTGTAATCCCAGCTACAGGGAGGCTGAGGTAGGGAAATCACTTGAACCTGGGAGGCAGAGGTTGCACTAAGCCAAGATTGTGCCACTGCACTCCAGCCTCCAGCCTGGGCAACAGAGCGAGACTCCATCTCAAAAAAAAAAAAAATGGAAAAGAAAAGAACATGTGCCGCAACAAATTAGGCTTCAAAGAAGCATACCTCAAAATAATAAAAGCCATCTATGACAAACTGACAGCCAACATCATACTGAATGGGCAAAAGCTGGAAGCATTCCCCTTAAGAATAGGAATAAGACAAGAATGCCCACTCTCACCACTCCTATTCAGCATAGTACTGAAAATCTTAGCAAGAGCAATCAGGCAAAAAAAGGAAAGAAAAAGCATCCAAATAGAAAAAGAAGCAGTCACATTATCTTTCTTCTCCAATAATATGATTCTATACCCAGAAAACCTAAGAGCTCTACAAAAAGGCCCCTAGAATGGAAAAAGAGGTTTCAGTAAAGTTTCAGTATACAAAATCAGTGTACAAAAATCAGTAGCATTTCTATACACCAATAATGTTCAAGCTGAGAGCCAAACAAGAACACAATCTCATTTACAATAGTCACAAATAAAATAATAAAATAAAAAAAATACCTAGGAATACATCCAACCAAGGAGATGAAAGATCTCCACAAGGAGAAATACAAAACACTGCTGAAAGAAATTATAGATGATACAAACAAATGGAAAAACATTCCATACTCATGCATTGGAAGACTCAGTATCATTAAAGTGGTAATACTACCCAAAGCAATCTATAGATTCAACACTATCCCTATCAAACTACCAACATCATTTTTCACAGAATTAGAAAAAAAAAAACTATTCTAAAATTCATGTAGTACCAGAAAAGAGTCCAAACAGCCAAACAAAAAGAAACAAAGCTGGAGGCCTCACATTACCTGTTGTCAAACTATGCTATACAACTACAGTAACCAAAAGAGCATGGTACTACAGTGTATAAAAACAGACACATAAACCAATGGAGCAGAATAGAGAACCCAGAAATAAAGCCACATGCCTACAACCATCTGATCTTCTACAAAGTCAACAAAAATAAACAATGGGGAAAGGACTCCCTGTTCAATAAGTGATGCTGAGATAAAACTAGGTAGCCATATTCAGAAAAATGAAATTGAACCCCTACCTTTCACCACATACAAAAAGATTAACTCAAGAAGAATTAAAAATTTAAATATAAGACTTCAAACTATAAAAATCCCAGACAAAAACCTGGGAAATACTCTTCTCAACATTAGCCTTGGCAAAGAATTTACGGCTAAGTCCTCAAGAGCAACTGCAACAAAAACAAAAATTGACAAGTGGGACTTAATTAGACTAAAGAGCTTCTGCACAGCAAGAGAAACTATCAACAGAGTAAACAGACAACCTACAGAATGGGAGAAAATGTTTGCAAACTATGTACCCAACAAAGGTTTAATGTCCAGGATCTGTAAAGAACTTAAACAATTCAACAAGCAGAAAAAAAACAAATAGCCACATTAAAAAGTGGGCAAAATCAGCCTGGGCAATATAGTGAGAACTCATCTCTACAAAAAAAAAAAAAAAAAAGGAAAGAAAGAAATTTTTTTAAATTAGTCAGGTGTGGTGGCCTGTGCCTATACTTTCAGCTACTTAGGAGGCTGAGGTGGGAGAATTGCTTCAGCCCAGGAGGCTGAAGCTGCAGTGAGCCCTGATCACACCACTGCATTGCAGCCTGGGTGACAGAGTGAGACCCTATGTCAAAAAGAAAAACAGCGGACAAAGGACATGACAGACTCTTCTCAAAAGAAGACATACAAGCAGCCAACTAGCATACAAAAATTGCTCAACATCATTAATCATCAGAGAAATGCAAATCAAAACCACAATGGGATACCATTTCACACCAGTCAGAATGGCTATTATTAAAAAGTCAAAAAAATAACAGATGCTGGCAAAGCTGCAGAGAAACGGAAATGCTTACATACTGTTGGTGGTAATGTAACTTAGTTCAGACACTTGGAAAGCAGTTTGGAGATTTCTCAAAGGACTTAAAACAGAATTACCATTTGACCCAGACATCTCATTATATAACCACAGGAAAATAAACTGTTCTACAAAAAAGGTACATGCACTTATATGTTCATTGCAGCACTGTTCACTATAGCAAAGATATGGGATCAACTTAGGTGCCCATCGATGGTGAATTGGGTAAAGAAAATGTAGTACATAGACACTGGACTACGGCACACTCATAAAAAAGGATAAAATCATATCCTTTGCAGCAACATGAATGCAGCTAGAGGCCATTATCCTAAGTGAATTAACACAGGAAGAGAAAACCAAATACCACACAGTCTCATAAGTGGGAGCTAAACTTCAGGTACTCATGGACATAATAGAAATGGAATAATAGACTATATTAGTCAGTTTTCACACTGCTATAAAGAACTGCCTGAGACTGAGTAACTTATAAAGGAAGAGGTTTAATTGACTCACAGTTCAGCATGGCTGGGAAAGCCTCAGGAAACTTACAATCATGGCAGAAGGCAAAGGGGAAGCAAGGCACCTTCTTCACAAGGTGGCAAGAAGGAGAAGTGATGAGTAACGGGGGAAGAGCCTCTTATAAAACCATTAGATCTCATGAGAACTCACTCGGTATCATGAGAACGGCATGGGAGAAACCGCCCTCATGATTCAATTACTTCCACCTGCTCTGTCCCTTGACACGTGGGTATAATGGGGATTACAATTCAAGATGAGATTTGGGTGGGGACACAAAGCCTAACCATATCATTTCATCCCTGGTCCCTCCCAAATCTCATGTCCTCACATTTCAAAACACAATCATGCCTTTTCAACAGTCCCCCAAAGTCTTAACTCATTCTAGCATTAACCCAAAAGTCCAAGTTCAAAGTATCATCTGAGACAAGACAAGCAAGTTCCTTCCACCAATGAGCCTGCAAAATTAAAAGCAAGTTAGTTACTTCCTAGATACAATGGGGGTACAGGCATTGGGTAAATACACCCATTCCAAGTGGGAGAAATTGGCGCAAATGAAGGACTACAGGCCCCATGCAAATCCAAAACCCAGTGGGGCAGTCAAATCTTAAATCTCCAAAATGATTTCCTTTGACTCCATGTCTCACATCCAGGTCACACTGATACAAGAGGTGGCCTCCCACAGCCTTAGGCAGCTCTTCTCCTGTTGCTTTGCAGGGCGCAGCCCCCCTCCCAGCTGCCTTCATGGGCTGGCATTGAGTGTTTGTGGCTTTTCCAGGCACACTGTGCAAGCTGTCAGTGGAACTACCATTCTGGGGTCTGGAGGATGATGGCCTTCTTCTCACAGCTCCACTAGGCAGTGCCCCAGTGCGGACTCTGTGTGGGGACCCCAACCCCACATTTCTCTTCCACACTGCTCTAAGAGAGGTTCTCCATGAGGGCTCTGCTCCTGCAGCAAATTTCTGCCTGGACATCCAGGCATTTCCATACATCCTCTGAAATCTAGATGCAAGTTTCCAAACCTCAATTCTTGACTTCTATGTACCTGCAGGCTCAACATCACATGTAAGCCTCCCAGACTTGGGGCTTTTCCCCTCTGAAGCAACAGCCTGAGCTGTATATTGGCCCCTTTTAGCCACAACTGGGTTGCAGGGCACCAAGTTCTGAGACCGCACAAAGCAGCAAGGCCCTGGGCCCACCCCACAAAACCATTTTCCCTTCTAGGCCACTGGGCCTGTGATGGAAGGGGCTGCCATGAAGACCTCTGACATGCCCTGGAGAAATTTTCCCCATTGTCTTGGCGATTAATATCTGGCTCCTCATTACTTATGCAAATTTCTGCAGCTGGCTTGAATTTCTCTTCAGAAAATGGGTTTTTATTTTCTAACACATTGCGTTAGAAATTAGCCTGCAATTTTTCTAAACTTTTATGCCCTGCTTCCCTTTTAAACAGATGTTCTAATTTCAAATCATCTCTTTGTGAATGCATAAAACCGAATGCTTTTACAAGCATCCAAGTCACCTCTGGAACACTTTGCTGCTTAGAAATTTCTTCTCCCAGATACGCTAAATCATCTCTCTTAAGTTCAAAGTTCTGCAGATCTGTAGGGCAGGGGCAAAATGCCACCAGTCTCTTTGCTAAAGCACAGCAAGAATCACCTTTATTACAGTTCCCAACAAGTTCCTCATCTTCATCTGAAACCACCTCAGCCTGATTGTCCATATCACTATCAGCATTTTGGTCAAAGCCATTCAACAAGTCTCTAGGGAGTTCCAAACCTTCCCACATTTTCCTCTCTTCTTCTCAGTCCTCTAAACTTTCCCAACCTCTGCCTATTACCCAGTTCCAAAGTTGCTTCCACATTTTGGGGTATCTTTATAGCAGTACCCCACTCTCTGCAGTACCAATTTACTGTACTAGTCTGTTTTCATATGGCTATAAAGAACTGCCCAAGACTGGGTAATTTATAAAGGAAAGAGGTTTAATTGGCTCACAGTTCAGCATGGCCAGGAAGGCCTCAGGAAACTTACAATCATGGCAGAACTTGAGAAGCAAGGCACCTTCTTCACAATGCAGTAGGAAGGAAAACTGCCGAATAAAGGGGGAGGAGCCTCTTATAAAACCATCAGATCTCATGAGAACTCACTCACTTGTTTAATATAAACCCTTATTAAACATAACAGGAGGCCAGGTGTGGTGGCTCACGCCTGTAATGCCAGCACTTTGGGAGGCCAAGGTGGGCAGATCACCTGAAGTCAGAAGTTCAAGACCAGCCTAGCCAACATGGCAAAACCCCATCTCTACTAAAAATACAAAAATTAGCTGGGCATGGTGGTGGGTGCCTGTAATCCCAGCTACTCAGGAGGCTGAGGCAGGAGAATCACTTGAACCCAGGAGGCAGAGGTTGCAGTGAGCCGAGATCACACCACTGCACTCCAGCCTGGGTGACAGAGCGAGACTCCATCTCAAACAAAAAAAAATAAAATAAATAAAATAAAAACAACAGGGGAGTAACTATAGAGATGTGAAGAGTACACTGACGAATACTCCAGGGCCAAGGAAGAGCATCCAAGGAGAAGCAAACTTGGAAGTTGGGGCCTCCCCAAGGCTGGGATTCAGACCTTGTTGGAAAAGGTGTGGTTGCAGCCAGCAGGAAGAGGATCCCCCTCCTCCTGCAATGTTTCTCCGGTGTTCCTCTACTGAGAAAGCTTAACACCATGCTTGCTACAAAAGAGCAATGCTTAAGGCTTCACTGTGGAGCTGGTAACAAAAGGGTGAATTTGGAGCTGAGAGGTAATAAATTGATAGTTGCCACACTGACAAAAAACATACCATATAATCCTTTTTTATACCACATTTATTAATTCATCCAAAATTAGTGTTCTAGGGACCACTTTTTTTTTTTTTTTCAGTTGAAGTCTTGCTCTGTCACCCACGCTGGAGTGCAGTGACATGATCTTGGCTCACTGCAACCTCTGCCTCCTGGGTTCAAGTGATTCTCCTGCCTCAGCCTCCCGAGTAAGTGGGACTACAAGCGCACCCTACTACGTCCGGCTAATTTTTTTTCTTTTCTTTTCTTTTCTTTTTTTTTTTGTATTTTTAGTAGAGACAGGGTTTCACCGTGTTGGCCAGGCTGGTCTGGAACTCCTGGCCTCATGTGATCCGCCCAGCTCAGCCTCCCAAAGTGCTGGGATTATAGGCATGAGCCACCACACCCAGCCGGGACCACCTTGTAAAAAACACTGATCTTTGTGTGTCATGGAGGATACATTCTCAGTCTCCTCTCCCTCTTGTATGTATCCATTGTTTTTGAATTTCAAAATCTACATGTCAACAACCACATGTGGAAAATACTCTCCACTTAGGAAGGCTGCCAAGGGCCAAAAACTGGGTGTGTATATGTTTGGGCAAAATTCTGCAGCAAGATTTTTTTAGTGCAGGAAGCAAAAAAAGATTGATGAATCATTAACAAGGGTAATTGAGCAAAATATATCAACAAGTTATTGCATTTAGCGGCAATGTTATGACTATTTTCCCATTAGCCCAGATCTCTGGTTATATGGGCTTTGAAAATGCTTAAATTACACATCTCCCGAGCTGGATTTTTCTGCAGCATAGGAATAAAACTCCTAAAGCTAGAGATACAACACTGGCAGTTTTTCATACCTCACAGAAAACCATCAAGGTCTTTGTCATCCTTCAAGTACTAACTTAAAATACAGCCTTCCCAGACCCCTCCCCAACAAAGAGAACAGATCTCTCTCCCTCTGGACCCTGACTTTTTCTGTTTATGCCTCTGCTGAAGCCCTTCCCCAGGCTAACTTGTTCCGTAGCCAGTTATGTCCGCATTGTTCCCTCCCACTAGACTGTGAGCTCCTCGAGGGCAGGAGCATTCCTTCTTCATCTTGGTAGCCCCACAGCCAAGCACAGTCACTTGATGTAAGCTCCCATCGTTATTTGTTGACTCAAATTTGCTCACTTCAAGTGAAGGAAGAATGATAGTTTAAAGTCATACGACTATCATTCCTTACTTGCAAAGAAACTTGGCAACAGACAGGTGCTGAGCTGGTTTCTGCTGTAAGCAATCTTCAAGGCATTTCAAAAACGATGGTCTTCGAGGAGATTCCTTTGAGATAGGCAAAGGCATAGAATTTATTTGAGAATCCTGGAATGCAGGAAGGTTACAGGCTAACTCAAAACCCAGAAAAAGCAATTGATCATGATTTTAGACAGTAATTCTGTTGCAGCTTCTCCAGATTCATTGCTTTCCTTCCCCTCATTTCCCACCTCCAGTCTTGATTCCCCATCATTTACCAGTAGACTATTTGGCATAGTTTTAGGATATTTTGTTGGTAGCACAGAATACTTTCTACCCCATTTCAAACCTTCCCCGCGAGGCTCAATTAGTCAGAATAAACCAGATTATGAGGCAGTAACAGATAGCCCTCAAATTTAAGTGCCTTCATACCATAATAGTTTACTCTTCATGTTTGCTACATCTACTGTATGTCTGGGCAGCTCTCCAGGACAACTAAGGTCAATGCAGTAACTCAGCAAACTACATGTCCCTTGCCTTGTGGCTCTAACATCTCAAGACAAGATTGAAGAGAGTGTGTGGCAGTACCAACATCTGTATGTTCTATGCTTGGGCTCTGAAGTGAAACTGGACACATAGCTCCACCTACTGGCAAAGGACCTAGGAAATGTAATCCTCTG